>NC_000017.11:39435980-40060980 GCF_000001405.40 Homo sapiens
AAAATCGCTTGAACCCGGGAGGGGGAGGTTGCAGTGAGCCGAGATTGCGCCACTGTACTCCAGCCTGAGCAACAGAGTGACACACCATCTCGAAAAAAAAGGCCGGGTGCGGTGGCTCACACCTGTAATCCCAGCACTTTGGGAGGCCGAGGCGGGCAGATCACGAGGTCAGGAGATCGAAACCATCCTGGCTAACACGATGAAACCTCGTCTCTACTAAAAATACAAAAATTATCCGGGCATGGTGGCAGGTGCCTGTAGTCCCAGCTACTCGGGAGGCTGAGGCAGGAGAATGGCATGAACCCAGGAGGCGGAGCTTGCAGTGAGCAGAGAGCACACCACTGCACTCCAGCCTGGGCGACAGAGCAAGACTCCAACTCAAAAAAAAGAAAAAAAAAAAAAAAAAAGCTTTTGCACACACACATACACAACTTATTTCCTCAATGTGAACACTCTAAGACATCCTCATGTGGTGCCTGAGAACTTCGCAATGCTCAAAACAAAGTGTATGTAATAACTTCCTTAAATTCCCCAAAAGTCTTAACTCTGAGTTTAAATTTAAGTACAGAAATTTCCACTCAATTAAAAGAAAAGTGAAAAAATCCACTATCTGCTAAAAGCGACTGTCTTCAAGCCTAGCACTTTTACTGTAACACACATGTACCTTCTAAATGAAACAATTTTTCCCAAAATCAAAGCGAAAAAGTTATTTTCATGGTATCATACTCAATTATCAAGCCTTCACTGATTCAATGATTACCTTCTATTTATTTTGTTCCACACATAATTCTTTATTATTTTTTTTTTTGAGACAGTCTCACTCCGTCACCCAGGCTGGAATGCAGTGATGTGATCCCAGCTCACTGCAACCTCCACCTCCCAGGCTCAAGCCATCTTGTGCCTCAGCCTCCTGAGTAGCTGGGATTACACGTGTGAGCCACTATGCTCAGCTACTTTTTTTTTTTTTTTGAGACAGAGTTTTGTTCTTGTTGCCCAGGCTGGACTGTAATGGCATGATCTTGGCTCACCACAACCTCTGCCTCCCGGGTTCAAGCGATTCTCTTGCCTCAGCCTCCCAAGTAGCTGAGATTACAAGCATGTGCCACCACGCACGGCTAATTTTGTATTTTTAGTAGAGACGGGGTTTCTCCGTGTTGGTCAGGCTGGTCTCGAACTCCTGACTTCAGGTGATCCGCCTGCCTCGGCTTCCCAAAGTGCTGGGATTACAGGCATGAGCCATCGCGCCTGGCCTCACATTCAGCAATTTTTGTATTTTTTGTAGAGACAGGGTTTCGCCAGGCTGGCTAGGCTGGTCTTGAACTCTTGGCCTCAAGTGATCTGCTCACTTCGACCTCCCAAATTGTTGGGATTATAGGCATGAGCCACCGCCCCCAGCTATATGAAATTCCTAAACCTAGATCACCAATTCCCAACCAGGGGTGATTTTGTGCCCCAGGGGACATGGTTGTAACAACTAAGGAGATACTACTAGCAACTAATGAAGAGGCCAGGGATGCTATTAAACATAATAGAATGCACCAGGCCACCCGGGAGCAAAGAATTTTCCAATCCAAATTGTCATTAGTACCAAGTTTAAGAGACCCTGGGATATCTTTCTGTTGGGAATCTGAATCAAAATAAGAAAAAAAAAATTAAAACTTAAAAAAACAGGGGCCGGGCACAGTGGCTCATGCCTATAATCCCAGCACTTTGGGAGGCCAAGGCAGGAGGATCACCTGAGGTCAGGAGTTTGAGATCAGCCTGGGCAACACGGTGAAACCCCGTCTCTACTGAAAATACAAAATTAGCAGGGCGTGGTAGCACATGCCTGTAATCCCAGCTACTCGGGAGGCTGAGGCAGGAGAATCACTTGAACCCAGGAGGCAGAGGATGCGGTGAGCCAAGATCACACCATTGCACTCCAGCCTGGGCAACAAAAGTAAATCTCCGTCTCACCAAAAAAATAAAAATAAAAATAAAAAAACAGAAAAGGGGCCAGGTGCTCAGTGAGCCGAGACCGCACCATTATACTCCAGACTAGGTAACAAGAACAAAACTCCGTCTCAAAAAAAAACAGAAAAGAAAAGAAAAGGGTCCAGCATGGTGGCTCACAACTGTAATCCCAGCACTTTGGGAGATGTGAGGTCAGGAGTTCAAGATCAGCCTGGCCCACATGGCGAAACCTCGTCTCTATTTTTTTTTTTTTTCTGAGATGGAGTCTTGCTCTGTCACCCAGGCTGGAGTGCAGTGGCACGATCTCAGCACACTACAACCTCCGCCTCCTGGGTTCAAGCAATTTTCTGCCTCAGCCTCCCGAGTAGCTGGGATTACAGGTACCCACCACCATGCCTGGCTAATTTTTTTTTTTTTTTTTTTTTTTTGAGACGGCGTCTTGCTCTGTCGCCCAGGCTGGAGTGCAGTGGCGAGATCTCAGCTTACTGCAAGCTCCGCTCCCAGGTTCACGCCATTCTCCTGCCTCAGCCTCCCTAGTAGCTGGAACCACAGATGCCTGCCACCACACCCAGTTAATTTTTTGTATTTTTTCTTTTTTTAGTAGAGATGGGGTTTCACCGTGTTAGCCAGGATGGTCTTGATCTCCTGACCTCATGATCCACCCGCCTCAGCCTCCCAAAGTCCTGGGATTACAGGTGTCAGCCTAAATTTTATATTTTTAATAGAGATGGGGTTTCACCATCTTGGCCAGTCTGGTCTTGAACTCCTGACCTCATGGATCCACCTGCCTCAGCCTCCCAAAGTGCTGGGATTACAGGCGTGAGCCACCGCACCCAGCCACCTAGTCTCTATTAAAAATACAAAAATTAGCTGGGCATGGTGGCACACACATGCAGTCCCAGCCGCTCTGGAGGCTGAGGCAGGAAAATCGCTTGAACCCAGGAGGCAGAGGTTGCAGTGAGCTGAGATCGCGCCACTGCACTCCAGCCTGGGCAATAGAGCAAGACTCCATCTCAAAACAAAAACGAAAACAAAAAAACCCTGGGATAGAGTAGGGTGAAAAGCTATGCTATGTCAATTCAGGACGTGATTAAGTATAGACTCTTAAAAATCTTTGCCCAAGAAAATAAACTTGTTCCTGAGGAGAATAACTTCTGACCAGTCTTAAAAGCCAGCTGTAAAGAACAGCACTGTCTGTCAATATCAAGGAATATAAATCGTATTTGCTCACCTTAGCTGCTGTACAAGCTCCGGACAGCTCTGAAATCAAAGAAAATTATGTTAAAACATTAAAACTACTTTAGCAACTTTGAAGATATCAAAAGCCTTTCTCTTTTTCTATAGCACATGTTTTACAACAAAACCATTAAAACTACAGATGGTCCTCATATTAAAATATTAAAAAGCATCTTCTTCCTACTTGGTGAACCACAGGATTAGGGTGAGAAATTTAAAGTCAAAGCATATGAAATAGTTTTTAAAAGAATCTACTTTCAGTAGCTTGTTTAAAACATTAGGAACTCTAATGCCATACATGGAATTCATATCAAATTATCTGGTTACACAGATTTTACATTCATCTCTATTACATAATTTTTCAGATCATCTGTTCTTGATTATAATCTCTTTGAAGGTAGTAACCCTGAGTCATTTATTTCTGTATCCCCAGCACCTATTGTTCAATCGTGGCTCATGTTTGTTGATATGAAATGAAAAGGGTTCCTGCCGGTGCAGTGGCTTATGCCTGTAATCCCAACACTTTGGGAGGCTGAGGCAGGTGGATCACTTGAGGTCAGGAGCTGGAGACCAGCCTGGCCAACATAGGGAAACCCCGTCTCTACTAAAAATACAAAAATTAGCCAGGCATGGTGGCACACACCTGTAATCCCAGCTACTTGGGAGGCTGAGGCAGGAGAATTGCTTGAATCCAGGAGGCAGAGATTACAGTGAGCCAAGATCATGCCACTGCACTCCAGGCGACAGAACGAGACTCTGTCCCAGGGAAAAAAAAAAAGAAAAAGAAGGAAAGAAGGAAAGAAAGAAAGAAAGAAAGAAGGAAGGAAGGAAGGAAGGAAGGAAGGAAGGAAAGAAAGAAAGAAAGAGAGAAAGAGAAAGAAAGAAAAGAAAGAAAAGAAAAAGAAAGCAAGCAAGCAAGCAAGAAAGAAAGAAAGAAAAAAGAAAGAAAAGAAAGAAAGGAAGGAAGGAAGGAAGGAAAGGGAAAAGGGTTCCTATGGTGTTTCCACTTGTTAAAGCCTTTGGATGATGTCAGAGATGGGACCCATATTTTCTAAATCCCATTCTATAGCTGTTGATTTTGTAGCCCATCACATCATCTCTACAGTGGCTCATGGAAAAACCTAAACCCAAGCTATTTAAACCCCAACAATTAATTTTAAAATTAATGTCCCTAAGTAAACCCCACAGATTCCAGTGAAATATCAACAACACATACCACAGGATTCTCCCCATGGTGAGCCACTTTTACATCACAAAGCTGTCCTGCAGGATCTAACTGCACTTCCACATAGAACATATCTGACGTGATGTAACATTCAGTGCCACTGGCACTGAGATGAGAGCCCAGTCTAGCAGGAACAAATCAAAACAAAAATTAATAGAAGACACATAAATAAAGCCACCCAAAGTTAACACTAAGTTAAACATTTCTGCCTACAGAAAGACTACTTACCCATTCTGTCTTGCTATGGACTCCAAACGATCAGTCATTGCTGGTAAAGATGTTACTATAAAAGGATGAAAAAAGGAGTCACAAAGAATGCTCCAAATGACTTAAATGATATTCTTTTAAGACAGAAAGATTCATCCTTCCAAAACCGTAAACATATTCAGTAGTTCAAATGCTTGTAATTTACATAAAGTTCACTGATTAGGGTTAGCTGTGGCCTATGCAGTACTAAAGGTCAAAAAAAAAAGATCTATTTGAAAAATTACCGAACCTTTCTCCTCTCCTGTTTTCATTACTCCTTATGTGGGACAAACTGCCTTTAACTTAAGACACATTTATCTGCTAATGATAGAATAAGGAAGATTAACATTAAAACTAACATTAAAAAAAACTCAACATTAACAACACCATTAATCACAACAGTCAAAAGGTTAAAACAATCCAAGTGTCCACTAGCAGATGAATGGATAAATGAAATGTATATACATAAAGAGGAGTATTTTTCAACCTTAAAAAAGAAAGAAATTCTAATAAATGCTTCAAAATAGATGAACCTTGAAGACATTACGTTTAGTGAAATAAGCCAGTCACAAAAGGACAAATATATGATTCCACTTATATCAGGTATACAGAGTAGTCAAATTCATAAAGACAGGAAGCAGAATGGTGGCTGCCAGGGACTGGGGGAAGGCGGGAATGGGACATTACAGAATGTAAGCTTGGGAAGATGAGTGAAGTTTTACAGATGGACAGTGGTGATGATTATACAATAATATGAATGTACTTAACGCTACTGAACTATACACTTAGAAACAAAGAAAATGGTAAATTTTGTTACCTATATTTTACCACAATTAAAACAGAAAAAAAGGCCTCGTGCGGTGGCTGACGCCTGTAATCCTAACACTTTCGGAGACCGAGGCATGCGGATCACAAGGTCAGGGGTTCAAGACCAGCCTGACCAACGTGGTGAAACCCTGTCTCTAATAAAAATACAAAAATTAGCCAGGTGTGGTGGTGCGCGCCTATAATCCCACCCTCTCGGGAGGCTGAGGCAAGAGAATCTCTTGAACCCGGTGGGGGCGCAGTGGTTGCAGTGAGCAGAGATCGTGCCACTGCACTCCAGCCTGGGTGACACAGCGACACTCTGTCTCAAAGAAAAAGAAAACAAAAAAAGGTAAAGAAGATAATACTCAGCTGAGACTGGGCAAAGTGGCTCACGCCTGTAATCCCAACACTTTGGGAGGCCAAGGCAGGCAGATCACCTGAGGTCAGGAGTCCAAGACCACCCTGGCCAACATGGTGAAACCCCATCTCTACTAAAAATCCAAAAATTAGCTGAGCATGGTAATGGGCGCCTGTAATCCCAGTTACTCAGGAGGCTGAGGCAGAACAATCACTTGAATCCGGGAAACGGAGGTTGCAGTGAGCAGAGATCGTGCCACTGCACTCCAGCCTGGACGACAGAGTGAGACACTGTCTCCAGAAAAAAAAAAAAAAACCCTCAGCTGAATTAGGTTCATTTCTGGTGGATCACAGTAAAATCTGTTTTTACTTTCATTATTCCCCAAAAATAGAATTAGTCATTATAAGCATGAATAATCAAGCTCATGACTTATATTTTACATTTGCTTTCCTGGAAATTTGCTCCATAAACACCGTAAAAATCTTTTTAGAGTTAAAATGTCCATCTTCTGGACAGGCATGGTAGCTCACGCCTGTAATCCCAGCAATTTGGGAGGCCGAGGCGGGTGGATCACGAGGTCAGGAGATCTATACTATCCTGGCTAACACGGTGAAACCCCATCTCTACTAAAAATACAAAACATTAGCCAGGCGTGGTGGGACGCGCCTGTAGTCCCAGCTGCTTGGGAGGCTGAGCCAGGAGAATCGCTTGAACCCAGGAGGTGGAGGTTGCAGTGAGCCAAGATTGTGCCACTGCACTCCAGCCTGGGTGACAGAGTGAGACACCGTCTCGGAAAAAAAAAAAAAAAAAAAAAAACTTCGCGAGTTGCTGTGGCTCGCGCCTGTGATCCCAGAACTTTGGGAGGCCAAGGTGGGCAGATCACCTGAGGTCAAGAGATCGAGACCAGCCTGACCAACATGGAAAACCCTGTCTCTACTAAAAATATAAAATTACCCGGGCATGGTGGCACATGCCTGTAATCCCAGCTACTTGGGAGGCTGAGGCAGGAGAATCGCTTGAACCCAGGAGGCAGAGGTTGTGGTGAGCCGAGATTCCACCACTGCACTCCAGCCAGAGCAACAAGAGTGAAACTCCATCTCAAAAAAAAAAAAAAAAAAAAAAAAAGTCCATCTTCTTATCGAGATTAATCAGAAATAAATGTGAAGGGAAAAAAAACTTTTCCCAGGTATCTTTTTTTTTTTTTTTTTTTTTTTTGAGACAAGTCTTGCCCTGTTGCCCAGGCTGGAGTGTAATGGCGTGATTTTGGCTCACTGCAACCTCCGCCTCCCCAGGTCACACTGTTCTCCTGCCTCAGCCTCCCGAGAAGCTGGGATTATAGGTGCCCGCCACCACGTCCAGCTAATTTTTGTATTTTTAGTAGAGACAGGGTTTCACCATGTTGGCCAGGCTGGTCTCAAACTCCTGACCTTGTGATCCGCCCACCTCAGCCTCCCAAAGTGCTGGGATTACAGGAGCGAGCCACCGCACCCAGCCTCCCCAGGTATCTTATATTACCCTTCATCATTTATCTTTTAAATCTCTATCAGCCTCCAAAACAGGATCAAAAATAAATGTTTCAAACTTTAGCAAAAAGATCATTCCAACTCCATAAATGAATGCAAGAGCAATATCTAATACATAAAGTTGACCTACCTCAATTTTTTACTTCTAGTTTAAGTATAAAATGGTCCTTCTTGAACTGGGGGTTTTGTGAAATCAGCATATTTCAAAAGTGTTCACAAACCTTTGAGAGCCTTCTGCAATGTCTCCAAACAGCTGACCAAATGTTGATGCCCTCCAGAACTCATCACAACCCTCTTCTCCTGTGTCAAGTGGGAAAACATTTGAGGTGAAAATTAACCAGGCCAACAGTGTTTTAGGTAAACATACACATTATCCTAGTAGTAATATTGCAGGACAGTCTATAGACTCAATATAGTCTATAGATTTTGTAGACTATATAGAGTAACACTGGTCTACAAGTGTTACTCTGTCCATCCATGCAAAATCCATATATATGAGTGTAGAAAAAGGTATTCCTCAGCCAGGCACGTGGCTCATGCCTGTAATTCTAGCACACTGAGAGGCCAAAGCTGAATAATCACTTGAGTCCAGGAGTTCGAGACCAGCCAAGGCAAGATAGAGAGATCCTGTTTCTATTTAGTCAAAAACAAAAAAGAAAACGTTGTATTTCCACATCTAAAACAAAAAAACCTTTAGAGAAATATTAGGAAGAATCAAAATGTAATACATGAGATCTGCCGCCTGTGGAAGTGACCACATGCTAAGATATAAACAGTTAAATAAGATGGCTCAGGAGATTTGGTAGTGTACAAATTTAACAAGGTGATTTGCATGTAATCTGAGAAACACAACCAAATTTTAAGAAAATGAGATTGACTCTAAAAAACAGAACATATAGGCTGGGTGCGGTGGCTCACACCTGTAATCCCAGCACTTTGGGAGGTCAAGGCGGGTGGATCACGAGGTCAAGAGACTGAGACCATCCTGGCCAAAATGGTGAAACCCCGTCTCTACTAAAAATACAAAAATTATCTGGGCGTGGTGGTGCACGCCTATAGTCCCAGCTACTCAGCAGGCTGAGGCAGGAGAATCACTTGAACCCAGGAGGCGGAGGTTGCAGTGAGCCGAGATCACACCACTGCACTCCAGCCTGGCGACAGAGAGAGACTCTGTCTCAAAAAAAAAAAGAAAAAGAAAAGAAACAGAACATGTAGTCCAGAAAAGGGACTTCCAAAGAACAAAAACTTAGCCTAGTTTGAGGCCGGTTGCAGTGGCTCACGCCTGTAATCCCAGCACTTTGGGAGGCCAAGGCGAGCAGATCATGAGGTCAGGAGTTCGAGACCAGCCTGGCCAACATAGTGAAACCCCATCTCTACTAAAAATACAAAAATTAGCCAGGTGTGGTGGTACGCGCCTGTAGTCCCAGCTACTCAGGAGGCTGAGGCAGGAGAATCGCTTGACCCGGGGATGCAGAGGTTGCAGTGAGCCAAGACCACACCATTGCACTCCAACCTTGGTGACAGAGTGAGACTCCATCTCAAACAAAACAAAACAAACAAACAAACAAAAAAAAACTTAGCCTAGTTTTCCTAACCCTATCCAGTGAAGAAGTTTCTCTCTGAAAAACATTCCAGTCCCTAAAAACGTGAACAGTTTTCTGGTATAAGGATAGTTTTCCAGGCTTTTCCATGTTGCAAATAAATCTATCTCACTGCTCTAATTCTCCCTTACAAAACAAAGTAATTTATTAATAATCTGAAATCTCTTGATTCTTGACAGGAGAAGAGGTGCTCTGGTCAATGAATACCAGTATTATGAAAACTGGAAAACTAAATGTTTTGTCATAAATTAATAAATAAGCATACAGTATGTCAGTTGTTGAAAACTCTTTTTTTTTTTTTGAGATGGAGTCTCGCTCCGATGCCCAGACTGGAGTGCAGTAGCATGATCTTGGCTCACTGCAACCTCCACCTCCCGGGTTCAAGCGGTTCTGCTGTCTCAGCCTCCCGAGTAGCTGGGACTACAGGCGCCTGCCACTATGCCCAGCTAATTTTGTCTTTTTAGTAGAGACAGGGTTTTACCTTGTTGGTCAGCCTGGTCTCGAACTCCTGACCTCAGGTGATCGACCCGCCTCAGCCTCCCAAAGTGCTGGGATTACAGATGTGAACCACCACGCCCAGCCATGAAAACTCTATAAAATCTTGATGTACCAATAAAATTAGGTTTCTGAATCTGCAAAACTGAAAAGTAGACAAGCAAAGTCATGGTGACCAAACCAAGAGAGTGGTACCCAAAGAGAGGGCCTTATTAGCCACCTGGAATCCTTCTATCTCACAATGTCTCTCTAATGACAGTATCATTTACAGAACATATTTCAAGCTAGAATTTGGTTGCCTTAAGGAATAAAAATGACAACCTGGGCCAGGCACAGGGGCTCACACCCGTAATCACAGCACTTTGGGAGGCTGAGGCAGGTGGATCACAAGGTCAGGAGTTCAAGACCAGCCTGGCTAACATGGTGAAACCCCATCTCTACTAAAAATACAAAAATTAACTGGGCATGGTGGCGGATGCCTGTAATACCAGCTACTCAGGAGGCTGGGGCAGGAGAATCGCTTGAACCCAGGAGGCGGAGGATGCAGTGAGCCAAGATCCCACCACTGCACTCCAGCCTAGGTGACAGACAGAGATTCCATCTTTAAAAAAAAAAAAAAAAAATGAATCCGCCAGGCACGGTGGCTCACACTGTAATCCTAACACTTTGGGAGGCCAAAGTGGGTGGATCACTTGAGCCCACAAGTTTGAGACCAGCCTGAGCCACAGAGTAAAAACCTATTTCTGGCTAAGCGCAGTGGCTACGCCTGTAATCCCAGCACTTTGAGAGGCCGAGACGGGTGGATCACGAGGTCAGGAGATCGAGACCATCCTGGCTAACACGGTGAAACCCCGTCTCTACTAAAAATACAAAAAGTTAGCCGGGAATAGTGGCAGGGGCCTGTAGTCCCAGCTACTCGGGAGGCTGAGGCAGGAGAACGGCATGAACCCGGGAGGCAAAGCTTGCAGTGAGCCGAGATCGCACCACTGCACTCCAGCCTGGGTGACAAAGCGACACTCCATCTCAAAAAAAAAAAAAAAAAAACGATTTCTACAAAAAATATAAAAAACTAGCTGGGCAGCCGGGCACAGTGGCTCACGCCTGTAATCCCAGCACTTTGGGAGGCAGATCACGAGGTCAGGAGATGGAGACCATCCTGACCAACATGGTGAAACCCCATCTCTACTAAAATACAAAAAATTAGCCAGGCGTGGTGGCGTGTGCCTGTAGTCCCGGCTACTCGGGAGGCTGACGCAGGGGAATCTCTTGAACCTAAGAGGCAGAGGTTGCAGTGAGCCGAGATCGCACCATTGCACTCCAGCCTGGCCACAGAGCAAGACTCCATCTCAAAGAAAAAAAAAAAAAAACTAGCTGGACATGGTTACATGCACCTGTTGTTCCAGATACTAGGAGGCTGAGGTGGGAGAACCACCTGAGCCTGGGAAGTTGAAGCTGCAGTGAGCCATGATCGCGCCACTGCACTTGAGCCTGGATGATAAGACCTGGTCTCAAAAAAAAGAATGAATCAAAAATTCTACTAGTACAGGCTGGGCATACCTAATCTGAAAATCAAAAATCTGAAATGCTCCCAAATCCAAAACCTTTTTAGCATTCCCAATGATGCCACCAAGGATTTCACACCTGACCTCACATAACAGGGTCATAGTCAAAATGCAGTCAAAACGGCTGGACGCGGTGGCTCACGCCTGTAATCCCAGCACTTTGGGAGGCGAAGGCAGGTGGATCACCTGAGGTCTGGAGGTCAAGACCAGCCTGACCAACATGGAGAAACCCCGTCTCTACAAATAATATAAAAATTAGCTGGGCGTGGTGGCGCATGCCTGTAATCCCAGCTATTCGGGAGGCTGAGGCAGAAGAATCACTTGAACCTGGGAGGCAGAGGTTGCAGTGAGCCGAGATCGGGCTATTACAACCCAGCCTGGGCAACAAGAGTGAAACTCCGTCTCAATAAAAAAAAAAAACAAAAAAAAACTTAGTTTCACACACAAAAGTATTAAATATATTATTAAATATGTTGTATAAAATTACCTTCAGGCTATATCTATAAGGTGTTTATGAAACATAAATAAATTATGTGTTTAGACTTGGGTCCCATCCCCAAGATATCTCATTATATATTTGCAAATATTCCAAAATCCAAAACAATCCAAAATCTAAAACACTTCCGGTCCCAAGCATTTCATATAAGGGATATTCAACCTGTAGTATAGATACAATAGACTCCTAAAGTTGAAACCACCATGTATTCAGATGTTTTATGAAGATAGTATGAACACATCTACATGGGGAGCTTAGCGTATTAAGAATAATTATCTAAGCAAAACACTTTACCCACTTCACCACAATCCTTACCATGACTTGACGCACAAGCTTAATGGTTTCACTCCAGGGTCTATTTTGGTTAAATTTTGCATGGAGCCGTTCCAGGAGAGAACTCATCTTACTCAGCTTTTCTGACTCTATGATTTAAATCAGAAAACGTTATCAGTAACTGTTCTATCAAGACCATCCACAGTTTTCCTTGCAAAATAAATTCCCACACTTCATCACAGTAAGAATTCAGTTAAAATATTTTCCAAAATCATTTTACTTCAAAACATCCAAAGAAGACATTTTTAATGGCAAGATGACACACAAGTTATGGGTCTGATGTAAGGAATACCATACCACTGGACTGTTATCTATCCACCTTTTTTTTTTTTTTTTTAAAGACTAAGTTTCACTCTTGATGACCAGGCTGGAGTGTCAAACCCTGTCTCTACCGAAAATACAAAATTAGCCAGATGTGGTGGTGCATGCCTGTAATCCCAGCTACTTGGGAGGCTAAGGGAGGAGAATTGCTTGAATCCAGGAGGCAGAGGTTGCAGTGAGCCGAGATCACACTATTGCACTCCAGCATGGGCAACAGAGCGAAACACTGTCTCAAAAAAAAAAAGAAAGAAAAAAATTAGCCAAGCCTCCTGGCATGTGCCTGTAGTCAGTCCCCAGCTACTCTGGAGGCTGAGGCAGAAGGATCACCTCAGCCTGGGAGGTCGAAGCTTCAGTGATGAGCCTTGATCACACCACTTACTCCATCCTAGGCAACAGAGGGAGACATTGTGTCAAAAAAAAAAAAAAAAAAGTTATTGAACTGGGCTAGAGAGGAAAATTTAAAAAAAAGAAAAAAAATAAATGAAAATGCTGGCTGGGCGGAGTGGCTCACGCCTGTAATCCCAGCACTTTGGGAGGCCAAGGCGGGTGGATCACCTGAGGTTGGGAATTCGAGACCAGCCTGACCAACACGGAGAAACCCCATCTCTACTAAAAATACAAAATTAGCCGGGCTTGGTGGTACATGCCTGTAATCCCAGCTACTCGGAAGGCTGAGGCAGGAGAATCACTTGAACCCAGGAGGCGGAGGTTGCAGTGAGCCCAGATTGCGCCACTGCACTCCAACCTGGGCAACAAGAGCAAAACTCTGTCTCAAATAAATAAATAAATAAATGAAAATGCTAAAAAGACAGCAATGAACAAACTAGACAAAAACTCCTACTTCATGAAGTTTCCATTTTTACACTTGTTGTCTCCTTGCACCCAAGGAGTACATCTTTCTTTTCTTTTTTTTTTTTAAGACAGAGTATCACTCTGTAGCCCCAGCTTGAGTGCACTGGCACAATCAAGGCCTATTGCAGCCTCAACCTCCCATGCTCCAGGATCAAGTGATCCTCCCAGCTCAGCCTTCAGAGTAGCTGAGACTATAGCTAATTTTCCCTTGAAACAGGGTCTCGCTCTGTCGCCCAGGTTACAGTGCAGTGGCATGATTCTGGCTCACTGGAGCCTTGACCTACAGGATTCAGGTAATCCTCCCACCTCAGCCTCCCAAGTAGCTGGGACTACTGGCTTGTGCCACCATGCCTAGCTAATTTTTGTATCTGTTGTAGAGACAGGCTTTTGCCAGGTTGTCTAGGCTGGTCTCCAACTTGTGGGCTCAAGTGATTCGCCCGCTTCGGCCTCCCAAGGTGCTGGGATTACAGCCTTGAGCCACTACCTGGAGCTAATTTTTTATTTTATTTATTTTCAATTTTTTTTCTTTTTTTTTTTTTTTGAGACGGAGTTTTGCTCTTGTTGCCCAGACTGGAGTCCAGTGGCACTATCTTGGCTCACTGCAACCTCCACCTCCCGGGTTTGGGTGATTCTCCTGCCTCAGCCTACCAAGTAGCTGGGATTGCAGGCATGCCACTGTGCCTGGCTAATTTTGTATTTTTAGTAGAGAAAGGGTTTCACCATGTTAGCCAGTCTGGTCTTGAACTCCTAACCTCAGGTGATCCGCCCACCTCAGCCTCCCAAAGTGCTGGGATTACAGGAGTGAGCCACCACACCCGGCCTTTTTTTTTTTTTTTTTTTTTTGAGACGAAGTTTCGCTCTTGTAGCCCAGGTAGGAATGCAATGGCGCAGTCTTGGCTCACCACAACCTCCACCTCCTGGGTTGAAGCAATCCTCCCACCTCAGCCTCCCAGGTAGCTGGGATTACAGGCATTCACCACCACGCCCGGCTAATTTTGTATTTCTAGTAGAGACGGGTTTTCTCCATGTTGGTCAGGCTGGTCTCGATCTCCCAACCTCAGGTGATCCACCCGCCTCAACCTCCCAAAGTGCTGGGATTACACGCGTGAGCCACAGTGCCCGGCAATTTTTTTATTTTTTTTGTAGAGACAGGGCCTCAGTATGTTGCCCAGGCTGGTCGCGAACTCCTGGGCTCCAGGGATCCTCCAGCCGCAGCCTCCCAAAGCGCTGGGATTACAGGTGTGAGTCACTGCTCCCGGCCTCACCTTTCGACCTCTGCTCCAAAACACACTCTTTGTTTTTCTTGAGAAACCTGCTGATAAATATCTGTACTTCGATGCTCCAACACTTTTTGAGCGACTATTACGTGCCAGAAACTATACAAAAATAATCAGGCAAGGACTCTAATCTGCAAAGCTCAGAGGAAACTGGAGAAGATAAACAATAACACAGTTCACTGTATCAACAGAACTATGCCCAAAATGCTAAGGCAGCATCTTAGCCGGAGTGTGGAACTTTAGAAAATCTTAGTAAAGTTCCACAGAAAAGTTGTTTTTCTGCAGTTCGTAGTTCGGTCAATAAAAGAACGAAATTCAGCGCACTTTAAAAATACACAATGGCACAGGATCTGAACACTTGACATTGTAGAGAACTGCTGGCTGCTAATAAATATAAGGACCTAATCATTTCATTGATGCCAAAATAGTCTCCAGTACGTTTACACACAGCCCTAAATTTATTCAGGCGTCTCTTCTGGAACGAGATGTAAGCTGATTTTGTATTCATTTGCCCCGTCTCCCACCACTTTAGGCCAAAAGTGCCCTAGTCGAGCATGAAATCTTCACAGAAGTTGAGAGTCCCCATCGCCCTAAAGTCGAAGCTCTATAATCACCAAGGAGGGTATAGTGACAATCTAAAACTAATACACATTCCCTCTCCTGGACTCTATGCCCCTAAAGTGGCCCCCATGGGACATCTGCAAGAACCTCCTCTCACAAACTGGCTCCCCCAGTTGTGTCCCGCCCCCTCCTTTCCCCTACAGTCACTTACCCTCGGTTTCCCCCTGAGCTTTCATCCTGAAGGCGAGGAGAAGCTAGATCCGCCACAAAAGGATAAGCCCTTCCCCACCACTAACGGAGGAAACAAGTTGGCTCGGGATCCCGGGACGCAGGGCACCAGCAGTCCCTACTCTTCCCGGGAAGGATCAATCTGAAGTCCCCGGCGGCAAGAAGAGAAGGGTGCTCGAGGCCGCCGCCATCTTCCCCAACGGAACTTCCCAAAATTCGCGAGATAAACCGTGGTCCTGCCAGAGAGAGGAAGAGGACAGGGCATCGAAATCTCGCGAATATTGGTCAATGCGTCGGCCTCGCGAGATTTCTTTCAGCGCAGTCTTCCCTTTGATCTGAGCTGTCTCAGGCCTCGCGCCGCTGGATATTAAACCTGCCGGCCGGTAGCTTTCGGCTCCCCTGCGGAAACCGCCATTTTTTTTTTATTTTAGCAGTTAAACAGCTCGCAAATTAAAATCTCCAGATCCCTGTACTGAAAGACTAGCTTTTCTTTTTTTTTTAATTTTTTTTTTTTTTTTTTTGAGATGGAGTCTTGCTCTTGTCGCCCAGGCTGGAGTGCAATGGCACGATGTCGGCTCACTGCAACCTCCGCCTCCCGGGTTCAAGCGATTCTCCTGCCTCAGCCTCCCGAGTAGCTGGGATTACAGGCACCCGCCACCACGCCCAGCTATTTTTAGTAGAGACGGGGTTTCGCCGTGTTGGCCAGGCTGGTCTCGAACTCCTGACCTCGCTGTCCGCCCGCCTCGGCCTCCCAAAGTGCTGGGATTACAGGCATGAGCCACCACACCCGGCCATGACTAGATTTTCAAAGGCTATTGGTATCAGGAGTGTCTTATGAAAGATAAGTTTAACCTGAGATACTAGATGCAATAATTACATCCTAAGAAAGATAGTGGCGCATTGTAACATGACGTTCAAAGCGAGCCTATAGCACAGTTAATTCCCCTTTTCTCATTTTTTTAGTTTCAAAACTATTTCTGGCTAGGCGCAGTGGCTCATGCCTGTAATCCCAGCACTTTGGGAGGCCAAGGTAGGTGGATCATCAGGTCAGGAGTTTGAGACCAGCCTGGCTAACATGGTAAAACTCCGTCTCTACGAAAAATACAAAAATTAGCCAGGTGTGGTGGTGCGCTCCTGTAATCCCAGCTACTCGGGAGGCTGAAGCAGGAGAATCTCTGGAACCCGTGAAGCGAAAGTTGCAGTGAGCAGAGATCGCGTCACTGCACTCCAACCTGGGTGACAGAGTGAGACTGTCTCAAAAAGAAAAAACTGTATCCTTTACTATCCTCAAACTAAGTGTTCTTCACTTAGTAAGCATCTGTGGAGTCCTAATATGTGTATATTTGGAGCTGCTAATACAAACATGAAAACACGGCTGGTCGCGGAGCTACTCAGGAGGCTGAAGCAGGAGAAGCGCTTGAACCTGGGAGGCAGAGGTTGCAGTGAGCCGAGATCATGCTACTGCACTCCAGCCTGGGTGGCAGAGCAAGACTCTGTCTCAGACAAATAAACAAACATGAAAACACAACCCTAGCGCTTGATAGGCTAATCTTATTTAGAGTTCCGAAAATATGATTGGTCACTATAATCATAGGGGCTCAAAATTTTTTCATTAATTATTATGCCCTAAGTACCAATGCCAGATACCCAACTACACTTTATCATGGAAACTCTATACAAATAAAAAAAAAAGTCTGTACTAAGTGTTGCTAGGAAATTTTTAACTTTATAAAGCTTATAAATAAACTTTACTAACTTCTGGTTACAGAATGGAATGAGAAGTTATCATTTGTCATCTGAAAATGCAGATGAGAGACACCATTGGAAAAGTTCTACTCTAGAAGATAAGAGAGCAATGTCCTTTGGGAGGCTGAGGCAGGTACTTGAGATCAGGAGGTCGAGACCAGCCTGGCCAAAATGGTGAAACCCCATTTCTACTAAAAATACAAAAAATTAGCCGGGTGTGGTGACACATGCCTGTAATCCCAGCTACTGGGGAGGCTGAGGCAGGAGAATCGCTTCAATCCGGGAAGTGGAGGTTGCAGTGAGCCAAGATCGTGTCATCGCACTCCAGTCTGGGCAATAAGAGCAAGACGGAGTCTGAAAAAAAAAAAGAAAGCCATGTCATTAAACAAGAAAAGTATTCAAGGTACATATAGGAACAGTATACATAGGAAAATGGGTACAATGGGCAAATTGTAAGTGACTAAGCTTTGAAGGAGGCGCCAAAGGACTCTTTTTTTTTTTTTTTTTTTTTTTTTTTTTTTGAGACAGTGTCTCGCTCTGTCGCCAAGGCTGGAGTGCAGTGGCACAATCTCGGCTCACTGCAACCCCCGCCTCCTGGGTTCAAGCAATTCTTCTGCCTCAGCCTCCCAAGTAGCTGGGACTACAGGTGTATGCCACACCACCCAGCTAATTTTTTTGTATTTTAGTAGAGACAGAGTTTCACTATGTTGCCCAGGCTGGTCTCGAACTTGAGCTCAGGCAATCCACCCACGTTGGCCTCCCAAAGTGTTACGATTACAGGCATGAGCCACTGTGCCCGGCCCAGAGGACTCTAAACCTAAAATCTAAACTAACAAATTGGTTTGTTGGGGAAAAAGAGCTATTGAAACTTTAGTTAAATATTTCTTCTTGTGTACAGCCTAAATGGAAACTTTCTGACTTGTTTTAGTAGATTTGCAGGCTAAGTATTGCCATCACCTGACTGATCACTTGGGGTTCACAGAGTTGCCCTGACTCTCTGCCCTTGAAGGTTATGCAAATAAAGCAAATGGAGCAGTCCTGGAATTTCTGAGTTCAAAGTTTTTCTGTATAATGAAGCAACCCTTATTTTACAAAAGCACAGATTGGATCAATACCTGCAGTTTACAGTAGATATTGTATTTTAAAATTTAGATACAGCCTGAGATTTTCTGCTGCAGAATTTTATTCACCAAAAAGAGGAATACCATGTTAGGGAGATTATCTAAAAGAAAGAGAGAGAGAGAAAGAAAGGAAAAGAAGGAAGGAAGGGAGGGAGGGAGGAAGGAAGGGTAGTTCAATACAAAGTACTGGTTTAGTATGTAGAAGTGAGGTGTCCCGGCTCCAGGCACTTTCTACACTTAAGTGTCAACATGGTCCAATCTAACTCCTTCTCAGTGTCAGTTTAACCTATATTAGATGTCGATAATAAGTGGCTCACGCCTATAATCCCAGCCCTTTGGGAGGCTGAGGTGGGTGGATCACTTAAGGTCAGGAGTTCGAGAACAGCCTAGCCAACATGGCCAAAGTCTGTCTCTACTAATAATACAAAATACAAAATAATACAAAAAAATTAGCCGGGCATGGTGGCGCATGCCTGTAATCCCAGCTATTTGGGAGGCTGAGGCAGGAGAATTGCTTGAACCTGGGAGGTGGAGGTTGCAGTGAGCCAAGATCCTGCCAGTGCACTCCAGCCTAGGCCACAGATTGAAACTGTTCTCAATAAGCATAATAATAATAATAGGCCTGGTGCGGTGTGGTGGCTCATGCCTGTAATCGTGCCACTGCACTCCAGCCTGGGCGACAGAGGGAGACTTAGTCTCAAAAAAAAAAATAAAAATAGTAATAAAAATAACATAATTTCATTAGTTTATTTATTCAATTGAAATTTATTGACGGGATTAAAAGAGTTCCGTGAAAAATTTTAAAGTGCTATAGAAATTCAAGATATTATAAGTTCAAAGTTTCAGGGATAAAGCTTCATTCTTTCATTAGTTACTGGTCTCTAATTGGCTTCAAGAGGCAGTAACAGATAATTTTGAAAGGTTCAGCCAGGTGCAGTGGCTCACGCCTGTAATACAAACACTTTGGGAGGCCGGGGCGAGCAGATCACGAGGTCAGGAGATCAAGACCATCCTGGCCAACACAGTGAAACCCGGTCTCTACTACAAATACAAAAAATTAGCCGGGCATGGTGGCAGGCACCCGTAATCCCAGCCATTTGGGAGGCTGAGATAGGAGAATGGTGTGAATCCGGGAGGCGGAGCTTGCAGTGAGCCGAGATCGAGGCGAAGCTTGCAGCGAGACGAGATCGCACCACTGCACTCCAACCTAGGTGACAGAGTGAGACTCCGTCTCAAAAAAAGAAAAAAAGTTTCTGCTGGTGTTTAATCTGGATAATCAATTTAATTCTTCCAGATTTTGACACATCACCGATGCCTTCTGTCGTCTTCACTTTTCCATTCTACTGTGGGTACATCGTGAATTAAAAACTTGATCTCAGCCAGGCACAGTGGCTTGCACCTGTAATCCCAGCACTTTGTGAGGCCAAGGCGGGGGGTGATCACAAGGTCAGGAGTTCAAGACCAGCCTGGCCAAGATGGTGAAACCACGTCTCTATTAAAAATTAAAAAAAAATCATCTGAACATGGTGGCAGGCGCCTGTAATCCCAGCTACTGAGAAGGCTGAGGCAGAGAATTGCTTGAACCTGGGAGGCGGAGGTTGCAGTGAGCCGAGATGAAGCCATTGCACTCCAGCCTAGGCAACAGAGGGAGACTCCATCCCAAAAAAAAGGCCAGGCATGGTGGCTCACACCTGTAATCCCAGCCCTTTGGGAGGCCAAGGCGGGTGGATCATGAGGTCAGGAGTTCAAGACCAGCCTGATCAACATGGTGAAACCCCGTCTCTACTAAACATACAAAAATTAGCCAGGCATGGTGGCGTGTGCCTGTAATCCCAGCTACTAAGAAGGCTGAGGCAGGAGGATCGCTTGAATCAGAGAGGCAGAGGTTGCAGTGAGCCAAGATAGTGCCACCGCACTCCAGCCTGGCAACGGAGCAAGACTCCATCTCAAAAAAAGAAATTAAAAATAAAAACCTGATCTCATTTAAAAGACAGAAAAATCAGGGTGAATTTTATTGAACTCATGACAACAAACCCATGCCAACACTTACTATGGCTGACTGGTCACTACATTTAATCAGCCCAGGAAGTCTCATGCCATCTGTCATCATGTAAAACATTCAAGGCCAGACACAGTGGCCCATGCCTGTATTCCGAGCATCTTGGGAGTCCAGGTGGGAGGATCCCTTGAGCCGAGGACTTCAAGAGCAGCCTGGGCAACATAGCAAGACCCCGTCTTTACAAAAAATAAAAAAAAAATTAGCCAGGCTCTGTGGCTTACACCTGTAATCCCAGCCAGGAGAGGCTGAGGCTGGAGGATTGCTTGAGCTCAGGAAGTGAAGATGGCAGTGTGTCAGCCGGACACAGTGGTTCACACCTGTAATCCCAGCCCTTTGGGAGGCCAAGGTGGGTGGATCACCTGAGGTCAGGAGTTCGAGACCAGCCTAGCCACATGGCGAAACCCCATCTCTACTAAAAATACAAAAATGAGCCGGGCATGGTGGCAGGCGCCTGTAATCCCAGCTACTCAGGAGGCTGAGGCAGGAGAATCACTTGAACCCAGGAGGTGGAGCTTGCACTGAGCCGAGATCGTGCCATTGCACTCCAGCCTGGGGGACAAGAGCGAGACTTCATCTCAAAAAAAAAAAAAAAAAGACTGCAGTGTGTCATGGTCATACCACTGTACTCCAGCCTGGGCAACAGAGCAAGACCTTGTCTCAAGAAAATAAATCCAGGTTGTCCTGGCAACACTGTACTCCAGCCTGGGCAGCACAGCAAGACCTTGTCTCAAGAAAATATATCCAGGGTGTCCTATCCTCCTATAGCGGTGAATAAGGAGTGTTCACAACTGAGTTCCAGTACTTGTGTTTTTCTTTTCTTTTCTTTTTTTTTTTTTTTTTTGGAGACAGTTTCACTCTTGTTGCCCAGGCTGAGTGCAATGGCACCATCTCATCTCACCGCAACCTCCACCTCCCGGGTTCAAGCAATTCTCCTGCCTCAGCCTCCCTAGTAGCTGAGATTACAGGCATGTGCCACCACGCTGGGCTAATTTTTGTATTTTTAGTAGAGACGGGGTTTCTTCTTGTTGGTCAGGCTGGTCTTGAACTCCTGACCTCAGGTGATCTGCTTGCCTCGGCCTCCCAAAGTACTGGGATTACAGGCGTGAGCCTCCATGCCTGGCCCGTGTTTTTCTTTTTTCTTTTCTTTTTTGAGGCAGGTTCTTGTTCTGTTACCCAGGCTGGAGTGCAGTGGCATGATCATGGCTCATTGCAGCCTTGACCTCCTGGGCTCAAGTGATCCTCCCATCTCAGCCTCATAGTAGCTGGGACTATAGGCAAGCAACACCATGCCTGGTTAATTTCTTGTTTTTGTTTGTTTGTTTTTGGTAGGGACGGAGTCTCGCTCTGTCGCCCAGGCTGGAGTGCAGTGGCGTGATCTTGGCTCACTGCAAGCTCTGCCTCCTGGGTTCAAGCAATTCTCCTGCCTCAGCCTCCCGAATAGCTGAGAATACAGGCCCACACCACTACGCCTGGCTAATTTTTTTTTTTTTTTTTGAGACAGAGTTTCTCTTTTGTTGCACAGGCTGGAGTGCGATGGCCCAATCTCGGCTCACTGCAACCTCCGCCTCCTGCGTTCAAGCGATTCTCCTGCCTCAGCCTCCCGAGTAGCTGGGATTACAAGCATGGGCCACCATGCCCAGCTAATTTTTTAGTATTTTTAATAGAGACGGGGTTTCTCCATGTTGGTCGGGCTGGTCTCGAACTCCCGACCTCAGGTGATCCGCCCGCCTCAGCCTCCCAAAGTGCTGGGATTACAGGCGTGAGCCACCAAGCCCGGCGGCTAATTTCTTTTGTATTTTAGTAGAGATGGGGTTTTACCGTGTTGCCCAGGCTGGTCTCAAACTCCTGAACTCAGGCAATTTGCCTGCCTCGGCCTCCCAAATTGCTGGGATTACAGGCATGAGCCACCTTGCTCGGCCTGTCATTTCTTGTATTTTTTTGTAGAGACAGATGTCTCAACATGTTGCCCAGGCTGGTCTCCAATTTCTGGGCTCACGAATTCCTTCCATGTTGGCCTTCCAAATTGTTGGTTTTACAGATGTCAGCCACCACACTCAGCCCTTTTTTCTTTTTGTTAGCCACTTTTTTTTTTTTTTAGATGGATTCTCACTCTGTTGCCCAGGTTGGAATGCAGTGGTGCAATCTTAGCTCACTGCAACCTCTGCCTCCCAGGTTCTAGTGATTCTCATGCCTCAGCCTCCTGAGTAGCTGGAATTACAGGCATATGCCACCATGCCTGGCTAATTTTTGTGTGTGTGTATATATAAATATATATATATTTTTTTGTTGTTTGTTTGTTTGTTTTTGAAACAGAGTCTTGCTCTGTCACCCAGGCTGGAGCGCAGTGGCACGATCTTGGCTCACTGCAACTTCTGCGTTCTGGGTTCAAGCGATTCTCCTGTCTCAACCTCCTGAATATCTGTGATTACAGGCGATCACCACCACGCCTGACTAATTTTTGTATTTTTAGTAGAGATAGGATTTCACTGTGTTGGCCAGGCTGGTCTTGAACTGCTGACCTCAAGTGGTCCTCCCACTTCGGCCTCCCAAAGTGCTGGGATTACAGGCATGAGCCACAGTGCTTGGCCTCTAATTTTTTTTTTTTTTGAGGCAGAGTCTTGCTCTGTTGCCCAGGCTGGAGTGCAGTAGCGTGATCTCCCCTCACTGCAATCTCTGCCTCCCAGTAGCGTGATCTCCCCTCACTGCAATCTCTGCCTCCCGGGTTCACACCATTCTCCTGCTTCAGCCTCCTGAGTAGCTGCGACTACAGGCACCCGCCACCACGCCCAGCTAATTTTTTTGTATTTTTAGTAGAGACGGGGTTTCACCGTGTTAGCCAGGATGGTCTCGATCTCCTGACCTCCTGATCTGCCCGCCTCGGCTCCCAAAGTGCTGGGGTTACAGGAGTGAGCCACTGCGCCCGGCCTATTTTTGTATTTTTAGTAGAAACAGGGTTTCACTGCATTGGCCAGGCTGGTCTTACTCCTGACCTCAAATGATCCTCCCCTCTTGGCCTCCCAAAGTGCTGGGATTACAGGCATGAGCCACTGCTCCCAGCCACTTCTTTTTTCTTGATAGCATTAATTTTACTTCCATAGAAGATCAAAAAGTTGTCGTGGAAAACTTGGTCTTTTTATTTTTTAAATTTTTTTATTATTTACTTATTTATTTTGAGACGGAGTCTTGCTCTGTTGCCAGGCTGGAGTGCAGTGGCGCGATCTCGGCTCGCTGCAACCTCTGCCTCCAGGGTTCAACCTCTGCCTCAGCCTCACGAGTAGCTGGGACTGCAGGTGTGTGCCACCAAGCCCAGCTAATTTTTGTGTTTTTAGTAGAGACGGGGTTTCCCCATGTTGGCCAGGATCGTCTCCATCTCTTGACCTTGTGATCTGCCCACCTTGGCCTCCCAAAGTGCTGGGATTACAGGAGTGAGCCACTGTGCCTGGCCTGATCTTTTTATTTTAGAACCAATATTTATGGACTCAATCATTTAGAGACGGCGGGCGTGGTGGCTCACGCCTGTAATCCTAACACTTTGGGGGCCAAAGTGGATGGAATGCTTGAGCCCAGGCATCTGAGGTCAGACTCGGCAACATAGCCAGCCCTCCATCTCTACAAAAAAATAAAAATAAAAATTAGCTGGGCTGGTGGCCTGTGGCTGTAGTCTCAGCTACTCAGGAGGCTGAGATGGGAGGATCACCTGAGCCCATGAGGGGAAGGCTACAGTGAGTTATGATTGTGCCACTGCACTCCAGCCTGGGCGACAGAGCGAGACCCTTCACACACACACACAAAATTAGGTTAAAAAAAAAAAATGTTTTGGATCGCCCTGTGAGCAAAAGGAACAAGAACATTTACAGAGAGTGATTTTTGAGAATTGAGACTACCTTAATTCAGAATGTTTTCTGGTCCTGAATTTACCAGCTGAACTTCTCCGTTTTGGACAAGCCCCTTCATTTCTCCATGCCTTAGTTTTCTCACTTATACAACCTATTTCAGAGGACTGTTGTGAAGATGGAATGACTTAAGGTAGGCGAAAGTTTTTTAAAAAGTAATAAATGAGGGGCCAGTGTAAGATAGTGTTATTTTCTTGTTAATTAATACTATGCTTTTCTTGTTCATATTATAATCTTTTGTATGAGGATGAAAGGCTAAATTATCCAATAACGGCCATGGGAGGATCTCAAGATGGGATGAGCTTTTAGGTTCTGAGATTTGAAGCAAAGATTGGTAAGGAGACAACACCATAGGATGGAAGAGCTTGTGTTTTAGTCTCAGAAAGACATGAATTTGAATGTTGACTGTGGCACTTGTTGGACCAAATTATTCAACTTCCCTGAGGCTGGGATTCCTTTTCTATAAAACAGGGATGAAAATCTCGTGTTTTGCAGGATAATTGTGAAAATTAGAGATAATGTATGTAAAATTCTTGGCAGGTAGCACACACCCTATATGTGGGAAGCACTGTTAAAACACTCAGGGACTTGGGTTGAAATGTCCCGACATTTGTCTTTTGCTCTGTAAAAAATAATCTCAACCGGGCGCGGTGGCTCAAGCCTGTAATCCCGCCACTTTGGGAGGACCAGACGGGCAGATTGCTTCATTCTAGGAGTTCAAGACCAAGGATCGCGGATTGCTTGAGTCTAGGAGTTCGAGACTAGCCTGGGCAACATGGCGAAACCCCATCACTACGAATAATAGAAACAAATTAGCACGGCGTGGTGGCGCGACTCTATAGTTCCAAGTACTCGGCAGGATGAGGTGGGAGGATTGCTTGAGCCCAGGAGGTGGAGGCTGCAGTGAGCCGAGATCGTGCCACTGCACTCCAGTCTGGGCAAAAGAGAGAGAACTTGTCTCAAACAAACAAAAAAATGGCCCGGCGCGGCGGTTCACGCCTGTAATCCTAGCACTTTGGGAGGCCGAGGCGGGAGGATCACTTGAGGTCAGGAGGTCGAGACCAGCCTGGCCAACATGGTGAAACCCTGTCTCTACTAAAAACAAAAAAGTTAGCCGGGCGTGGTGGCGGGCGCCTGTAATCCCAGCTACTCGGGAGGCTGAGGCAGGAGAATCGCTTGAACCCAGGAGGTGGAGGTTGCAGTGAGCCGAGATCGCGCCACTAACACTCCAGGATGGGCTACAGAGCGAGACTCCGTCTCAAAGGAAAACAAAAAACAAACAAAAAAAAGTCATCCTGGTAGTTAAAAGATTTGTTAAAAAGGATGTTGAAATTATTTTGTCACGGAGCCTGGGAGTGTTTGTTTAATCAGTTACCGATAAAGTTTTGGTTAAAAAAAAAAAACTCGGTTTGTTCCGTTTCAATAAAGCTTTGCTCAAACGGGGAGCTCCGGGAGCTCATCGCGAGACTCAGGTGAAACGCGTTTCTAGTTTGGGACCTGATCTCGCGTTGTTTGATAAGCAGGGGAATGAGGTGAAAGCGAAGCACGAAACATCGCGAGAGGCTACTGGACTCTCGCGACGATTTCTGGGATTGCCCCTCCCCCCTTCCCCAAGTGCCGTTTCGGTTTAATCTAGTGTGTGACTGGGTCTGTGTGAGGGAGAGAGTGTGTGTGGTGTGGAGGTGAAACGGAGGCAAGAAAGGGGGCTACCTCAGGAGCGAGGGACAAAGGGGGCGTGAGGCACCTAGGCCGCGGCACCCCGGCGACAGGAAGCCGTCCTGAACCGGGCTACCGGGTAGGGGAAGGGCCCGCGTAGTCCTCGCAGGGCCCCAGAGCTGGAGTCGGCTCCACAGCCCCGGGCCGTCGGCTTCTCACTTCCTGGACCTCCCCGGCGCCCGGGCCTGAGGACTGGCTCGGCGGAGGGAGAAGAGGAAACAGACTTGAGCAGCTCCCCGTTGTCTCGCAACTCCACTGCCGAGGAACTCTCATTTCTTCCCTCGCTCCTTCACCCCCCACCTCATGTAGAAGGGTGCTGAGGCGTCGGGAGGGAGGAGGAGCCTGGGCTACCGTCCCTGCCCTCCCCACCCCCTTCCCGGGGCGCTTTGGTGGGCGTGGAGTTGGGGTTGGGGGGGTGGGTGGGGGTTGCTTTTTGGAGTGCTGGGGAACTTTTTTCCCTTCTTCAGGTCAGGGGAAAGGGAATGCCCAATTCAGAGAGACATGGGGGCAAGAAGGACGGGAGTGGAGGAGCTTCTGGAACTTTGCAGCCGTCATCGGGAGGCGGCAGCTCTAACAGCAGAGAGCGTCACCGCTTGGTATCGAAGCACAAGCGGCATAAGTCCAAACACTCCAAAGACATGGGGTTGGTGACCCCCGAAGCAGCATCCCTGGGCACAGTTATCAAACCTTTGGTGGAGTATGATGATATCAGCTCTGATTCCGACACCTTCTCCGATGACATGGCCTTCAAACTAGACCGAAGGGAGAACGACGAACGTCGTGGATCAGATCGGAGCGACCGCCTGCACAAACATCGTCACCACCAGCACAGGCGTTCCCGGGACTTACTAAAAGCTAAACAGACCGAAAAAGAAAAAAGCCAAGAAGTCTCCAGCAAGTCGGGATCGATGAAGGACCGGATATCGGGAAGTTCAAAGCGTTCGAATGAGGAGACTGATGACTATGGGAAGGCGCAGGTAGCCAAAAGCAGCAGCAAGGAATCCAGGTCATCCAAGCTCCACAAGGAGAAGACCAGGAAAGAACGGGAGCTGAAGTCTGGGCACAAAGACCGGAGTAAAAGTCATCGAAAAAGGGAAACACCCAAAAGTTACAAAACAGTGGACAGCCCAAAACGGAGATCCAGGAGCCCCCACAGGAAGTGGTCTGACAGCTCCAAACAAGATGATAGCCCCTCGGGAGCTTCTTATGGCCAAGATTATGACCTTAGTCCCTCACGATCTCATACCTCGAGCAATTATGACTCCTACAAGAAAAGTCCTGGAAGTACCTCGAGAAGGCAGTCGGTCAGTCCCCCTTACAAGGAGCCTTCGGCCTACCAGTCCAGCACCCGGTCACCGAGCCCCTACAGTAGGCGACAGAGATCTGTCAGTCCCTATAGCAGGAGACGGTCGTCCAGCTACGAAAGAAGTGGCTCTTACAGCGGGCGATCGCCCAGTCCCTATGGTCGAAGGCGGTCCAGCAGCCCTTTCCTGAGCAAGCGGTCTCTGAGTCGGAGTCCACTCCCCAGGTGAGCTATTTGTCTAACAGTCCTTCCTCATTTAGGGTGGGTTGCGAGGAATTGGCATTCAGCGTGTTAACATTGTCTGGAAGCCCGCAGTGTTCATCATTGACTAGAACACTTTGCTGTTGGCTAGTCATTCCAGTGTGTGAATCTGTCTCCCCTTAACCCAGAATTCGAGAAGTGAAGAGTACATAGGCCTCAAACCGCCAAAGGTAGGTACTTCCAGTGGTGGGGTCTTCAGTTGTAAGCTTCTGAGTGAGAAACGTCAAAGGCTTCTGCTTAGTGAGTGGATGGAGTTGATACTAGTTCCCAGAGCATGTCTAGCTATTTCTGTTGCTTAGTTTTATATTTTTAAAAATCACATTGGTATTTGTGCTTTAGACTCTATGGGACCTGGTTGAAGACTTAAGAAATTGGTATGGAAGTTACTTGCCTAGTTTATCCTATTTGTGTTGTCCACTGAATCCCCAAACCTGTACATTTATTCATTTCCTACTTGGCACTGTTTTAATTATTTACAAAAGATTCCTGTCTTTTAACTGATGTTTTAGTGGAAATTCAGCTGATTAGTCTGTTACCCTTTTAATGGTATAACCTAGCAGAAATTGGTTCCAAGGACAATTTGGTTTTCTTTACAGCATCATCACTGACCTACCTTGTGACCGCTGACAATTTTCAAAATCTTTCTCTAAAACACATAGTAATAATGCCTTCTTTATATTTTTGCGAGAAAGGCATGCTAGTTTGAAATTTTGTTGTTAGAGTGAATTATTTGGAAAACTGTGTTCTTGTTCCTAGGTAATGAGATGTATCTCCTTTGTGGCCTCACTTCTGTTCACAAAAACAGAATGTGGGCTTTAGTTAGACCTTTGTGGAATCCTAATGTTGCTTTGTGACCTTTAGCAAATGAGTTAATTTCTCCTTGCCTGAGTTGCTTCAGGTGTAAAATGGGAATAATAAATACCTACTTTTAAGGGTTGTGATGATTAAATTAGTCAATTTGAAGTGCATAGCACAGTGCCTTGTACATAATATCACTCAGTAAATTATGAGTGAGGATGTTGAACACTGGTAGAGAAATTGTGCTAATTTGAAAAAAATTCATGCATGACTTTTTTTTTTTTTGAAAGACAAGATCTTGCCCTGTTGCCTAGGCTGGAGTGCAGTGGCATCATCTTGGCTCACTGCAGCCTTGACTTCCCAGGCTCAAGCAATCCGTCCACCTCAGCCTCCTGAGTAGCTGGGATTACAGGTTCATGCCACCATGCCTGGCTAATTTTTTTTTTCTTTTTCTTTTTTTTTTTTGTAGAGACTGGGTTTTGCCCTGTTGCCCAGGATGGTCTTGAACTCCTGAGCTCAAGCAATCCTCCTGCCTCCCAAAGTGCTGGGATTACAGGCATGAGCCACCACGCCTGGCTCATGCATGGCTTTTGTATTTCAGTGTAATTTTTGCTGACTTAAAGTTACAATTCATAAATGGTGTGAGTACATCAAGCTGCAGAGTGTTCCTAGCTGTCAAGGGCTGGAGTTCTTAATGTTTCCTCCTCCATTTTATTATAAAAAATTTTCCAGCACAGAAAGGTTGTAGTGAACACCCATATATGTAACAGCAAGATTCTACAATAAATATTTGCTGTATCCAGGCTGGGCAACATAGTGAGGCCCCGTTCTCTACAGGAAAAAAAAAAAAATTAGCTGGTCGCGGTGGTGCACATCTGTAGTCCCCACTGCCTGGGAGGCTGAGGTGGGAGGATTGCTTGAGCCTAGGAAGTCAAGGCTGCAGTGAGCTGTGATCACACCACTGCACTCCAGCCTGAGCAACAGAGTGAGACCCTGTCTCAAAAAAAAAAAAAATTGGGCCAGGAGTGGCTCACACCTGTAATCTCAGCACTTTGGGAGGCCGAGGTGGGCGGATCACGAGGTAGGGAGTTTGAGACCAGCGTGGCCAATGTGGTGAAATGCTGTCTCTATAAAAATATAAAAAATTAGTTGGGTGTGGTGGCGTGCGCCTGTAGTCCCAGCTACTCGGAAGGCTGAGGCAGGAGAATCAGTTGAGCCCGGGAGGCAGAGGTTGCAGTGAGCTGAGATCGTGCCATTGCACTCCAGCCTAGGTGACAGAGACAGAGTAAGACTCAGTCTTAAAAAAAAAAAAAAAAAAGCCATGTATTTTGTAATCTATCTACCTGTCCATTAATCTATCTTTTATTTTCATTTATTTCAAAGTAAGTTGTAGACATCAGTATACTTCATTCTAAACACTTTAACATGTTTACCATTAGCTGGATTACCCTTTTTTTTTTTTTGGAGGGGTGAGGAGTAAAATTTATATACAGTAAAATGCCTAAGTCTTAAGTGTAGCATTTGTAAAGCTGCTTTGTTTTTTGTTTTTTTTTGAGACAGAGTCTTGTTTTGTTGCCCAGGCTGGAGTGCAGTGGAGCGATCTCGGTTCACTGCAACCTCTGCCTCTCGGGTTCAAGCTATTCTCCTGCCTCAGCCTCCTGAGAGTAGCTGGAATTACAAGCGCCCACCATCACATCTGGCTAATTTTTGTGTTTTTTTAGTAGAGACAGGGCTTTACCATGTTGGCCAGGTTGGTCTCCAACTCCTGACCTCAGGTGATCCGCCAGCCTCGGCCTCCTAAAGTGCTGGGATTACAGGCGTGAGCCAATGCGCACAGCCATGCTGCTTAGTGTTTTAAGGAAGTCTAAAAAGTATTCTTAGGATATTTGTTTCTTGATAGAGTAGTTCATTAAGGCTGTAAAAATTGTTAACTTTAGGGTATGGGAATAGAGAAGAGTGTGCTAAGACTAAAACACTAAAAGGAGTTTCAGTAAGAAGTGCTTCTTTCTAGTGATTCCTTTTGGATTCTTAGGTAAAACAGCATATCTCATGTTCTCTTAAGAGAGTAGAGGAGGCTGGGCGTGGTGGCTTATGCCTATAATCCCAAGCACTTTGGGAGGCCAAGGCGGGCAGATCTCCTGAGGTCAGGAGTTTGAGACCAGCCTGGCCAGCGTGGTGAAACCCCGTCCCTACTAAAAATACAAAAATTAGCCAGGCGTGGTGGCATGCACCTATAATCCCAGCTACTCGGGAGGCTGAGGCAGGAGAATCGCTTGAACCTGGGAGGCAGAGGTTATAGTGAGCCAAAGTCACGCCACTGCACTCCAGCCTGGGCGACAGAATGAGACTGCGTCTCAAAAAAAAAAAAAAAGAAAGAAAAAGGCCAGGCGCAGTGGATCACGCCTGTAATCCTAGCACTTTGGGAGGCTGAGGCAGGCGGATCACCTGAGGTCGGGAGTTCGAGACCAGCCTGACCAACATGGAGAAACCCTTTCTCTACTAAAAATACAAAATTAGCTGGGCGTGGTGTCACATGCCTGTAATCCCAGCTACTTGGGAGGCTGAGGCAGGAGAATTGCTTGAACCCAGGAGGAGGAGGTTGAGGTGAGCCGCGATTGCAATAATTGCACTCCATCCTGGGCAACAAGAGTGAAACTCTATCTGAAAAAAAAAAAAAAAAAAAAAAAAAAAAAAAAAAAAAAAAGCAGATGAATCTCTACTCACATAATTTAGTCAGTAATGGTAAAAATAAGTTTAGAAAAAATTGGAGACACAATATGGTAGCGTAGCATGCAAATATAAACATATAATATTCCCAGAGACACATGCACGCTTTTAGTTGGCTTATAGAGAGCATTATATGTTTGTATGTGTGCATTACATGTTTTTCTTCATTGATTGAAATTCTAAACAGTACAAAAATTTTGTAGAGTCAGAGGAACATATAGATCCCTTCTATGATATTCTCTTGTGTTTTTTTCCTTGGGAGACAGTCAAAATGAAATAAGCAACATTTTATTTTATTTTATTTTATTTTATTTTTTTAATTTGAGACAGAGTTTCTGTCGCCAGGCTGGAGTGCAGTGGTGCGATCTCAGCTCACTGCAACCTCCGCCTCCCAGGTTCAAGCGATTCTCCTGCCTCAGCCTCCCAAGTAGCTGGGACTACAGGCGCGCGTCACCATGCCCAGCTAATTTTTGTATTTTTAGTAGAGACGGGGTTTCACCATGTTGGCCAGGATGGTCTTGATCTCTTGACCTCAGGATCTGCCTGCCTCAGCCTCCCAAAGCGCTGGGATTACAGGCATGAGCCACCATGCCCGGCGAAACAACCTAATTTTAAAAGACTGAAAATGCTTTGGCAGAAATGCAGTGTCTTTGCATCCGCTAGATTAGCAATGATTAATAGTTGAGTGGAACCTAACTTAATTCGGTGAGTGGGGGGGAAATACATTTGTTTTTGAAGACATTTCTTGAAGACACATTGCTTATTGCTGGCTGTGTTTACCTATTTGTTGTCTACTCCTCCGCTTTTTTCTAGAAGAGTGAACCTGGAACTTAAATGTAGCATTTGTATCACTAAAAATACCACAAGTATATGGCCATCCAAATCTGTTAACAGTAGGCTTCTGTGAGAAATTGAAGGGTTTCTAACAGACTTCCTTAGGAAGATTTGGTCATGCTGACTAAAACAGTAGTACTTGGTAGCTAGCTGGCATTAGTGTTTTGGGTTTTACATGTTTTCCCTGGGATAGAGATGTTACTTAGCTGTATTTCAAGCAGAGAAAAACTCTTGTTTCAGCCAAATATGTACAGAAGGAATGTTAGTTTTCTTAAGGGTAAGTGCATATTTGGTCAATATCAGTACCTTTCAGTATTTTATATTCTCATGTTCATGTTTGCGTTGTTGTTTTTTAGTCCTATTGATTCCAACAATATTTTTAGTTTTGTTTTTTTTTTTGAGATGGAGTGTCTCTCTGTCACCCAGGCTGGAGTGCAGTGGCGTGATCTTGGCTTACTGCAACCTCCGCCTCCCGGGTTCAAGCAATTCTCCTGCCTTAGCCTCCCGAGCAGCTGGGATTACAGGCGCACACCACCATGCCCGGCTAATTTTTTTGTATTTTTAGTAGAGCTGGGATTTCACCATATTGGTCAGGCTGGTCTCAAACTCTTGATCAGGGTGATCCACCCGCCTCAGCCTCCCAAAATGCTGGGATTACAGGCGTGAGCCACCGCGCCCAGCTTCCAATAATAATTTTATATTTTAACTGACTTTTGGAAGCAAACTTGCAAGAAGCAGTATAGGTAAAAGAAAATCATCGCTGCCATTATGCAAGTTGTTTCCCTTACACATATATGTTGTTTTGAAACATTTTGGTTCATGTCAGTCTTACTATATGTCAGTCTTACCATATCTCCCTGATCAAAGATAAAGGAAGATGTGATGATCTAGAATGGAAGCAATTTGTTTTAGACTACTGGGAAAATTTTGTTTTGTCCAATTATGCTTTTAATATTTTTATTTTATTTATTTATTTTTTTGAGACGGAGTTTCACTCTTGTTGCCCAGGCTGGAGTGCATTGGCACAATCTCAGCTTACCACAACCTCTGCCTCCCAGGTTCAAGCGGTTCTCCTGCTTCAGCCTCCCGAGTAGCTGGGATTACAGGCATGCATCACCATGCCCGGCTAATTTTGTATTTTTAGTAGAGACAGGGTTTCTCCATATTGGTCAGGCTGGTCTCGAACTCCCGAACTCAGGTAATCCGCCTGCCTCAGCCTCCGAAAGTGTTGGGATTACAGGCGTGAGCCACAGTGCCCGGCACTTTTAATGTTTTTATTTTAATTAATTAATTAATTTATTTATTTATTTATTTATTTTGAGACAGATTTTCGCTCTGTCGCCAGCCTGGAGTGCAGTGGCGCAATCTCTGCTCACTGCAACCTTGGCTTACTGCAACCTCCGCCTCCTGGGTTCAAGTGATTCTCCTCCCTCAGCCTCCCAAGTAGCTGGGAATACAAGCATGTACCACCACACCCAGCTAATTTTTGTATTTTTAGTAGATACAGGGTTTTACCATGTTGGCCAGGATGGTCTTGATCTCCTGACCTCGTGATCTGCTGCCTCGGCCTCCCGAAGTGCTGGGATTACAGGCGTGAGCCACAGCACCCGGCCTTTGTTGGTTTTTTGTTTTGTCACACATTGAGGCCTTAGCAGGTTAGGCTTTAGTAAAAAGTCATGAGAATTAATGACATTTGGGTTTCAACTTAAAATGATCTGCCCCATAGATTCCCAGATTTTATTTCCAAAGCCTTTCTTAAGAAGACAATTAATTAAACATGCAATAATATCTTTAGGAGTTTCTAAAAAGTCTATTGGAAATCATTTTATAATAAAGATATTAGGAGCCCTCATGTTTTTGAAACGTTCTAAAAGTTATTTTGGTAAATCATTTTCTCCACTTTATTTGTTTTGTAAATCCTAAGCCTTATGTGTTGGGAATTTGTTTAGTACTTTATTTTAAACTTTACAACTTTATTATAAACTGAGGATGCAAGGAACAACATATTTTTCTGGGCTCTGCCATTTAACTCTCTAGCTAACAAATTTAGGTTTTGGTGAAGCATGCTTGTTGCTTTTAACTTCCTGATGGATATAACCCACCTTTACTATGGAGTATGACTTCTTTTTTTTTTTTTTTTTTGAGACGGAATTTTGCTGTTGTTGCCCAGGCTGGAGTGCAGTGGCACAATCTCGGCTCACCGTAACCTCTGCCTCCTGGGTTCAAGCGATTCTCCTGCCTCAGCCTCCCAAGTAGCTGGGATTACAGGCGCCCACCACAACGCCTGGCTAATTTTGTATTTTTAGTAGAGACGGGGTTTCTCCATGTTGGTCAGGCTAGTCTCGAACTCCCAATGTCAGGCGATCCACCCATCTTGGCCTCCCAAAGTGCTGGGATTACAGGCGTGAGCCACCGCACCTGGCCAAGCATGACTGCCTTATCCTGTTTTCACTTTATCAAAGATTAAATTCAAAATTCTGAAAGTAATCATTGTGAGTATGGCTGTTTCTTTTCCAATGTGGGAAAAAAATAGTGACCCATCTTTTTTCAGATGAATAAGTAGTAGATAATTTTATTGTTATATGATTCAGATATGTTTTCATGTAGGATTTAGTTTAATCTATTTTTTTTTTTTTTGAGATGTAGTCTCACTCTGTCGCCCAGGCTGGAGTGCAGTGGCTTACTGTAAGCTCCACCTCCCAGGTTCATGCCATTCTCCTGCCTCAGCCTCCTGAGTAGCTGGGACTACAGGTGCCTGCCACCACGCCTGGCTAATTTTTTGTATTTTTTAGTAGAGATGCGGTTTCACCGTGTTAGCCAGGATGGTCTCGATCTGCTGACCTGGTGATCTGCCCGCCTCAGCCTCCCAAAGTGCTGAGATTACAGGTGTGAGCTACCGTGCCCAGCCAGTTTAATCTATTTTTTAAATGAACTTTATTTCTTTAGAGTAGTTTAAGATTTACAGAAAAATTGTGAAGATAGCGCAAAGAAGTCTCATATATCCCTGCATCCAGTTTCTCCTATTGTTAACATCTTACATTAATGTGGTACAGTTGTTACAGTTAATGAGCCAATATTGATACATAATTATAAACTGGAGTCCATACTTTATTTAGATTTACTTAGTCTACCTAATGTCCATTTTCTGTTCCAGGATCTTACTCATTATACCATCTTACATTTAGTCCTGTCTCCTTGGGGTGCCTCTTGATTGGGCTGGTTTCTCAGACTGTCCTCGTTTTTGATGGCACTTAATCTATTTTACAATTGATAAGTTACAGTTCTTCATAGTTTGTTTTATTGATCTGTTTTCCTCCATATACTACTGTAGTCCATTCATTTAAAACTGGCTTTTTATTTTTCCAGTAGGAAATCCATGAAGTCCAGAAGTAGAAGTCCTGCATATTCAAGACATTCATCTTCTCATAGTAAAAAGAAGAGATCCAGTTCACGCAGTCGTCATTCCAGTATCTCACCTGTCAGGCTTCCACTTAATTCCAGTCTGGGAGCTGAACTCAGTAGGAAAAAGAAGGAAAGAGCAGCTGCTGCTGCTGCAGCAAAGATGGATGGAAAGGAGTCCAAGGGTTCACCTGTATTTTTGCCTAGAAAAGAGAACAGTTCAGTAGAGGCTAAGGATTCAGGTTTGGAGTCTAAAAAGTTACCCAGAAGTGTAAAATTGGAAAAATCTGCCCCAGATACTGAACTGGTGAATGTAACACATCTAAACACAGAGGTAAAAAATTCTTCAGATACAGGGAAAGTAAAGTTGGATGAGAACTCCGAGAAGCATCTTGTTAAAGATTTGAAAGCACAGGGAACAAGAGACTCTAAACCCATAGCACTGAAAGAGGAGATTGTTACTCCAAAGGAGACAGAAACATCAGAAAAGGAGACCCCTCCACCTCTTCCCACAATTGCTTCTCCCCCACCCCCTCTACCAACTACTACCCCTCCACCTCAGACACCCCCTTTGCCACCTTTGCCTCCAATACCAGCTCTTCCACAGCAACCACCTCTGCCTCCTTCTCAGCCAGCATTTAGTCAGGTTCCTGCTTCCAGTACTTCAACTTTGCCCCCTTCTACTCACTCAAAGACATCTGCTGTGTCCTCTCAGGCAAATTCTCAGCCCCCTGTACAGGTTTCTGTGAAGACTCAAGTATCTGTAACAGCTGCTATTCCACACCTGAAAACTTCAACGTTGCCTCCTTTGCCCCTCCCACCCTTATTACCTGGAGATGATGACATGGATAGGTAAGTCCTATAGTGAACTGGAAAAAACCCCCTTGATCTAAACATAAAGCATTTTCTGTTTTAATCTTTGTCAACACTACCCTCATGGTTTTATGAACAGGAAATGTCTTTGATATTTTCAGTGGGAAAGTCTGTAATTATGACATTATTACTTGGGAAGAGAGAATTAGAATTTGAGGCCTGGTTAACCCATTTTATCATTAAGTTTATTTTATTTATTTTGTATTTTTTGTATTTTGAGACATGGTCTTGCTCTGTCGCCCAGGCTGTAATGCAGTGGCGTCATCTCAGCTTACTGCAACATCTGCCTCACAGGTTCAAGCGATTCTCCCACCTCACCCTCCCCAGCAGCTGGGACTACAGGCATGCACCACCATGCCTGGCTAATTTTTGTGTTTTTAGTAGAGATGGGGTTTCAACATGTTGGCCATACTGGTCTGGAACTCCTGACCTCAAGTGATTTTCCCACCTGGGCCTGCCAAAGTGCTGGGATTACAGGCATGAGCCACCATCCCTAGCCTAAGTTTATTGATAATGCTAATTTTGATTAAAATTTTAAAAAAATCGAGTTTTCCCTTAAATTTTTGTTGAAAATATTAATACCTATAGAAAAATTAAAAGAATAATAGGCTGTATGCAGTGACTCATGCCTGTAATCCCAGCACTTTGGGAGGCTAGGGCAGGCAGATCACCTGAGGTCAGGGGTTCAAGACCAGGCTGGCCAACATGGTGAACCCCCATCTCTACTAAAGATACAAAAATTAGCTGGGCGTGGTGGTGGGCCCCTGTAATCCCAGCTACTTGAGAGGCTGAGGCAGGAGAATTGCTTGAACCCAGGATATGGAGGTTGCAGCGAGCCAAGATTGCATATTGCCGTATTTGCTCTGTGGATATCATGACACTTTACTTCTAAATATTTCAGTGTGTCTCTCCTAATAATAACGTTCTATATAATTACAATATCTTCATCACCCTGAAAAATTTAACATTGACTTAGTAACATCAATAGTTATATAAATAACATGCTATCGGCCAGGCGCGGTGGCTCACGCCTGTAATCCCAGCACTTTGGGAGGCCAAGGCGGGCGGATCACAAGGTCAGGAGATCGAGACCATCCTGGCTAACAACGGTGAAACCCTGCCTCTACTAAAGATTTAAAAAATTAGCTGGGCATGGTGGCAGGCACCTGTAGTCCCAGCTACTTGGGAGGCTGAGGCAGGAGAATGGCGTGAACCTGGGAGGCGGAGGTTGCAGTAAGTCGAAATCGCGCCGCTGTACTCCAGTCTGGGCGATAGAGCGAGACTCCGTCTTAAAAAAAAAAAAAGCTATCAATAATCATAATATTTAACCAAATAGTCCCAGTAGCCCCCAAAATGTCTTTATTGTTGGTTTTTGTTTTCAGTTGGAATTCAAAATAACTCACAAAATGTCTTTTATAGCCGGGTTTGTTTTTTCTCTCCTGATCCCAGGGTCCAAACTAGGATTATTTTGAAAAGGGCTGCTTTAAAAAAAAAGAAATTATTCCATAAAAAGTAAAAGAATAATATGTAAAGTATTTGCTAATTAGAATATAATTCACAATGGGATGATGGGAAGAGCTTTAATTTTAATGAGTCCTCTGTATATTGAGAACTGAAATGATTATGAAGCATGAATCTAATTTTATAGAAGGCATTAACAAAAATACTTCTTTAAGGCTGGGCTTGGTGGCTCACGCCTGTAATTTCAGCACTCTGGAAAGCCGAGGTAGATAAGATCACTTGAACCCAGGAGTTCAAGACCAGCCTGGCCAACACGATGGAACCCCATCTCTACTAAAAAAAATACAAAAATTAGCCGGGTGTGGCCAGGTGCGGTGGTTCATGCCTTTAATCCCAGCACTTTGGGAGGCCAAGGCGGGCGAATCATGAGGTCAGCAGTTCAAGACCAGCCTGATATGGTGAAACCCTGTCTCTACTAAAAATACAAAAATTAGCTGGGCGTGGTGGCGGTTGCCTATAGTCCCAGCTACTCGGGAGGCTGAGGCAGAAGAATTACTTGAACCCAGGAGGTGGAGGTTGCAGTGAGCTGAGATCGTGCCACTGCCCTCTAGCCTGGGCAACAGAGCCAGACTCCGTCTCAAAAAAAAAAAAAGAAAGAAAAATTAGCCAGGCGTGGTGGCAGGCGCCTGTAATCCCAGCTACTCAGAAGGCTGAGGTGGGAGGATTGCTTGAACTCAGGAGGCAGAGGCTGCAGTGAGCCGAGGTCATGCCACTGCACTCCAGCCTGGGTGACAGAGCGAAACTTTGTCTCAAAACAGTATATATGTATTTCCTTAATATCTTGACAGGACTAACTAGGCAAGTACCACCAAACACACTTGCTTTAGCAGTGACATGTGATGGCAGTCTTTGTGTTATGGTTTGCTTATTCTACTGTGATATTGTGCTCTTTGGGATGTGAATTGCATTTATTGAAACAAACTTTTCATTGTAAGCACAAAATTAAGTGCCACCGATCTTGCATCCTAGCCTAATTCCCAAGCCTTCATTCCTTTCAAGGTGATAATTGTAATTTTATTTCATTTTATTTTGAGACAGGATCTGGCTCTGTCCCCCAGGCTGGAGTGCAGTGGTGTGATCTGGGCTTATTGCAACTTCTGCCTCCCAGACTCAAGTGATCCTCCCACCTCAGCTTCCTGACTAGTTGGGATTACAGGTGCATGCCACTACACCCGGCTAATTTATTTTTTGTAGACATGGGGTTACATCATGTTGCCCAGGTTGGTCTTGAGCTCCTGGACTCAAGTGATCCGCTTGCTTTGGCCTTCCAAAGTGTTGGGATTACAGGCATGAACCACCACTCCCGGCCAATATTGGTCATTTGAATGATGATACATTGCAGCCCTCTGGGTGAGAAAGTATGTTTTTTCGTACCCTCTGTTCTTTAGAGAAGATGCAAGTACAGTAAATGGAAAGGGGGAAAAAAACTATTTTAAGGAATGGCTCCATCACTATAGAAAGAAATATGATGTTTCCTTTTTTTTTTTTTTTTTTTTTTGGCATTACCAGACTGCCAAAATCTGATTTTTTATTTTTATTTTTTTTTGAGATGGAGTCTCTTTCTGTTGCCCAGGCTGGAGTGCAATGGCGCGATCTCAGCTCACTGCAGCCTCTGCCTCCTGGGTTCAAGTGATTCTCATGCCTCAGCTCCTCTGAGTAGCTGAGATTACAAGCATGTGCCACCATGCCTGGCTAATTTTTGTATTTTTAGTAGAGACAGGGTTTCACCATGTTGGCCAGGCTGGTCTCGAACTCCTGACCTTAAATGATTCTCCCACCTGGGCCTTCCAAAGTGCTGGGATTACAGGCATGAGCCACTGCACCCAACCCAAAATGTGATTTTAAAGAAAAATTCCATATACTCTTTCTAACATTAATAGGTATTTATGGACTGAGCTTTGTGGATGTAATCCCAGTACTTTGGGAGGCCATGGTGGGAGGACTGTTTAAGGCCAGGAGTTCAAAACCAGCCTGGACAACAACATAGTGAGACCCCATCTCTATAAAACATTTAAAAATTAGTTGGATGTGGTGGCAGGTACCTTTAGCCCTAGCTACTTGGGAGGCTGAGGCAGGAGGATCACTTGAGCCCAGGAGTTCAAGGCTACGGTGAACTATGATTGGGCCACTGTACGCCAGCTTGTGTGAAAGAGACCCTGTCTTTAAAAATAAAATTTTAATTAAAAAGTAATAACAAATTCTGCCACGTGATGAAAATTACAGAAGAGAAGAGAACCTGAAATTTTTTTTTTTTTTTTTTGAGACGGTGTCTCACACTGTTGTCCGGGCTGGAGTGCAGTGGCGATCTTGGCTCACTGCAAACTCCATCTCCCAGGTTCAGGCGATTCTTCTACCTTAGCCTCCCGAGTGGCTAGGATTACAGGTGCCTGCCACCACGCCCAGCTAATTTTTTGTATTTTTAGTAGAGACAGGGTTTCACCATGTTGGCCAGGCTGGTCTCGAACTCCTGACCTCGTGATTCGCCCACCTAGGCCTCCCAAAATACTGAGATTACAGGTGTGAGCCACCATGTCAGGAACAGAATCTCAAATTTATGTGGAAAAAATTAACTTGAGGTCCAAAATATAGATAGATAAAAGCCATAGATAAAAAGATAAAAGCCATATTTTTATAGTTTTTGTTGGAAAAGGAAATAGTTGAGCATTGTCCAAAGGGACCCTGGCCCTTTAGCTATAGGAACCTCATTTCAATACTTGTTTACATAGTGGCTAGAATATTAATGTGGGTAAGAATCTTGATTTTTTTTTTTTTTACTTCAGAAAAATGTTTAGGAAACAAAAAGCATCTTGATGATTTTTTTCTTTTTTGAGATAGATTCTCTCTCCATAGCCAGGCTGGAGTGCAGTGGCAAGATCTTGGCTCACTGCAACTTCCCAGGGTTCAAGCGATTCTCCTGTCTCAGCCTCCCGAGTAGTTGGGACCACAGGCACCCGCCACCACACCCAGCTAATTTTTGTATTTTTAGTAGAGGTAGGGTTTCACCATATTTCTCCTGGATGGTCTCGATGTCTTGATCTCATGATCTGTCCGCCTCAGCCTCCCAAAGTACTGAGATTACTGGCATGAATCCCCGTGCCCCAACTATTTATTATTTTATTTATTTATTTTTTGAGATGGAATTTTTGCCCTTGTTGTCCAGGCTGGAGTGCAGTGATGTGATCTCGGCTGCATCCGCCTCCCGGGTTCAAGCAATTCTCCTGCCTCAGCCTCCCAAGTAGCTGGGATTGCAGGCACCTGCCACCATGTTCAACTAATTTTGTATTTTTAGTAGACAATGGGTTTCGCCCTGTTGGCCAGGCTGGTCAGGAACTCCTGATCTCAGGTGATCTACCTGCCTTGGCCCCACAAAGTGCAGAGATTACAGGCATGAGCCACCATGCCTGCCTTTTTTTTTTTTTTTTTTTTTTTTTTTTTGAGACAGAGTTCTGCTCTGTCGCCCAGGCTGGAGTGCAATGGGGCAATCTCAGCTCACGCAACCTCCGCCTCCCAAGTTCAAGCGATTCTCCTGCCTTAGCCTCCTGAGTAGCTTGGATTACGGGTGCCCACCACCACGCCTGGCTAATTTGTGTATTTTTATTAGAGATGGGGGTTTCACCATGTTGGTTACAAACTCCTGACCTTAAATGATCCACCTGCCTCGGGCTTCCAACGTGCTGGAATTACAGGCGTGAACCACCAAGTCCAGCCCTAATCTAATTATTATTATTATTTTTTGAGACAGTCTCACTCTGTTGCCCAGGCTGGAGTGCAGTGGTGCCATCTTGGCTCACCACAACCTCCACCACCAGGGTTCAAGCGATTCTCCTGCCTCAGCCTCCTGAGTAGCTGGGACTACAGGTGTGTGCCACCATGTCTGGCTAATTTTTGTAGTGTTTTTATTTTTGTTTTTGTTTTAGATGAAGTCTGGAGTCTCACTGTTGCCCAGGCTGGAGTGAGTCTCACCCTGTTGCCCAGGCTGGAGTGTAGTGGCGCGATCTTGGCTCACCACAACCTCCACCTCCTGGGTTCAAGCGATTTTCCTGCCTCAGCCTCCCAAGTAGCTGGGACTACAGGCGCATGCCACCATGCCCAGCTCATTTTTTTGTATTTTTAGTAGAGACGGGGTTTCACTGTGTTGGTCAGGCTGGTCTCGAACTCCTGACCTCAGGTGATCCACCCACCTTGGCCTCCCAAAGTGCTGGGATTACAGACGTGAGCCACTGTGCCCAGCTAATTTTTGTATTTTTATTTTTATTTATTTATTATTTATTTTTTTTTTTTTTTTGAGTCAGAGTCTTGCTCTGTCGCCCAGGCTGGAGTGCAGTGGCTCGATCTTGGCTCACTGCAAGCTCCACCTCCTGGGTCCACGCTATTCTTCTGCCTCAGCCTCCCGAGTAGCTGGGACTACAGGCGCCTGCCACCACGCCCAGCTAATTTTTTGTATTTTTTAGTAGAGATGGGGTTTCGCCGTGTTAGCCAGGATGATCTCGATCTCCTGACCTCGTGATCTGCCCACCTTGGCCTCCCAAAGTGCTGGGATTACAGGCGTGAGCCACTGCACCCCGCCTATTTTTGTATTTTTAGTAGAGACGGGGTTTCACTACATTGACCAGGCTGGTCTTGAACTCCTGACTTCGGGGTCTGCCTGCCTCGGCCTCCCAAAGTGCTGGGATTACAGGCATGAGCCACTGCACCGGGCCCATCTAATTATTTTTAAACATGATTTTTTTTTTTTTTAGCCATCTCCTCCTCCACCTCTTTTTTTTTTTTTTTAAGAGACGGGGTCTTGCTATGTTGCCCAGGTTTGTCCCAAACTCCTCAACTCATGTGATCCTTCCACCTTGGCATCCCTAAATGCTGGCATTACATGTGTGAGCCACTGAGTTTGGCCATTATTTTTTTTTTTGAGATGGATTCCTGCTGTCACTCAAGCTGGAGTGCAGTGGCTCAATCTCAGCTCACTGCAACTTCTGCCTCTGGGGTTCACATGACTCTCCTGCCTCAGCCTCCCCAGTAGCTGGGACTACAGGCGCATGCCACCATATCCGGATAATTTTTTTGTATTTTTAGTAGAGACAGGGTTTCATCATGTCATCCAGGCTGGTCCCGAACTCCTGACCTTAGGTGATCCACCTGCCTTGGCCTCCCATAGTGCTGGGATTGGAAGCATGAGCCAACGTGCCCAGCCCTGGCCATGATTATTATCAGTATTCTACATATAAATAAATTATTAAAGGTAGAAAAACGGAAATAGACCAGGTGCTGTGGCTCACTCCTATAATCCCAGCCCTTTGGGAGGCCAAGGCAAGAGGCTTGTTTGAGCCCATGTGTTTTAGGCTACATAGCCAGACCCTGTTTCTACCATTAAACAAGAAAAGGCATGATAGCATGCACCTGTGGTCTGAGCTACTTGGGAGACTGAGGTGGGATGATTACTGGAGCCTGGAAGGTCAGAGCTACAGTGAGCCATGATCGCACCACTGCACTCTAGCCTGGATAACAGTGAGATGTTGTATCAAAGAAAATGAGATGAGGATGTCTTCCATTATCAATTTTATTTTTTTATTTTAAATTCATGATGTGTTTCTGTTTCTATTTTGTATGTGTGTGTGTGCTGCTATATCCATGTACCAGCTGCTCCATATCCATGTACCAGCTGCTCCTATCTTTGACATGAAAAGTAATTTTTACATAGGAAAGCTTTTTAGAAAGAAATCTAATGGCCGGGTGCGGTGGCTCACACCTGTAATCCCAGCACTTTGGAAGGCTGAGGCGGGCAGATCACGAGGTCAGGAGATCGAGACCATCCTGGCTAACACGATGAAACCCCGTCTCTACTAAAAATACAAAAAATTAGCCGGGCATGGTGGCGGGCCCCTGTAGTCCCAGCAGCTCGGGAGGCTGAGGCAGGAGAATGGCATGAGCCCGGGAGGCGGAGCTTGCAGTGAGCCGCGATCATGCCACTGCACTCGAGCCTGGGCGACAAGAGCGAGACTCCGTCTGAAAAAAAAAAAAAAAAAAAAATCTAAAAGTTTTGTAAGGAGCTCACTTATATTCTCTGTTTTATCTTCTCACTCGAGACTGCAGCAGCATAATGTTGAGAATGTGACTTACACATCATTTTTAGTATGTTGTGGGTGGAATACAGAATGCAATTAGTAATGTTGGTTATTTTAATTGATGGGTAAATAAAACTTCTAATGGAGCCAGGATCAGGGCTTGTGTGAAATGACAGTGGACTTGTAAAAGAAGTCAGTGTGCACATAAAGAACATAAAGCTTACATTAGAGGATTTGTCTGTTTTTTTTTGTTTTGTTTTGTTTTTTGTTTTTTTCCCCCGAGACAGAGTCTTGCTCTGTTGCCCAGGCTAGGATGCAGTGGCATGATCTCGGCTCACTGTAATCTCCGCCTCTCGGGTTCAAGCAATTCTCCTGCCTCAGCCTCCCAAGTAGCTGAGACTATAGGTGCTCACCACCATGCCTGGCTAATTTTTGTATTTTTAGTAGAGACAGGGTCTCCTCATGTTGGCCAGGTTGGTCTGAAATTCCTGACCTCAGGTGCTCCACCCACCTTGGCCTCCCAAAGTCCTGGGATTACAGGCGTGAGTCACTGCACTGGCTTTTTTTTTTTTTTTTAAGACAGAGTTTTGCTCTTGTTGCCCAGGCTGGAGTGCAATGGCGTGATCTCGGCTGACTGCAACCTCCACTTCCTGGGTTCAAGCGATTTTCCTGCCTCAGCTGCCTGAGTAGCTGGGATTATAGGCCCCCGCCATCACGCCTAGCTAATTTTTATATTTTTAGTAGAGACGGGGTTTTACCATCTTTCCCAGGCTGATTGCAATCTCCTGACTTCATGTGATCCACTCATCTGGGCCTCCCAAAGTGCTGGGATATAGGCGCGAGCCACCGTGTCCAGCCTAGAGGATTTAGTGTCATTTTGGGAAAAGAATGAAACTTTACTTTTTTTTTTTTTTTCCGAGACAGAGTCTTACTTTGTCGTCCAGGCTGGAGTGCAGTGGCGTGATCTTGGCTCACTGTAACCTCCATCTCCATCTCTGAATCCCAAGTGATTCTCCTGCGTCACCCTCCCAAGTAGCTAGGATTACAGGCATGTACCACCATGCCCAGCTAGTTTTTTTTTTGTTTTGTTTTGTTTTTTTGAGAGTTTTGCTAGTTGCCCAGGCTGGAGTGCAATGGTGCGATCTCAGCTCACTGCAACCTCTGCCTCCTGGGTTCTAGCGATCCACCTTCCTCAGTCTCCCAAGTAGTTGGGATTCCAACTAATTTTTTGTATGTGTAGTAGAGAGAGGGTTTCACCACGTTGGCCAGGCTGATCTCGAACCTCTGACCTCAAGTGATCCACCTGCCTTGGCCTCCCAAAGTGCTGGGATTACAGGTGTGAGCCAGCACGCCCAGCCGAAACTTTTCTTTTCTTTCAAACATGTATTTTGAATAGGAGTGTACTAGCTCAGGTATCAAATGCAAGAGTGAATTCAGCTAATGGTATTTCAAAAGCCTTTCTCATTTGTGGTCTATAATTCTTGATTTCAAGAAGCAAGGCAGCCCACGTCCAACATAGTACAATCTACATGACCATAGCTATTAATGGATATATTTCTGCCTTAAGTAGATCATCTGTATACTTTTCTTAGAAATTTCAGTTAACCAGCCGGGAGTGGTGGATCACGCCTGTAATCCCAGCACTTTGGGAGGCCGAGGCCGGCGGATCACCTGAGGTCGGGAGTTGGAGACCAGCCTGGCCAACATGGAGAAACCCCGTCTCTACTAAAAGTACAAAATAAGCAGGGTTTGGTGGCCCATGCCTGTAATCCCAGCTGCTTGGGAGGCTGAGGCAGGAGAATCCCTTGAACTCGGGGGGCGGAGGTTGCGGTGAGCCGAGATCACGCCATTGCACTCCAGCCTGGGCAACAAGAGCGAAACTCCGTCTCAAAAAAAAAAAGAAAAAAAAAAAAGAAATTTCAGTTAACCATATAGAATTTTTAAAGTCTTCTTTTCTTCTTTCTCTTTTTTTTTTTTTTTTGTGGCAGAATCTCACTGTCACCCAGGCTGGGGTACACTGGCGTGATCTTGCCTCACTGCAATCTCCACCTCCTGGCCTCAGCCTCCTGAGTAGCTGGGACTACAATCACAAGCCATGCCCGGCTGTTTTTTTTTTTACATTTTTGGTAGAGACCAAGTTTTGCCATGTTGCACAGGCTGGTCTCGAACTCCTGAGCTCAAGCAGTCTGCCCACCTTGGTCTTCCAAAGTGCTGGAATTACACGTGTGAGCCACTGCGCCCAGCACTTATGTGCTTGCTCGCTCGCGCGCTCTCTCTCTCTCTCTCTCTCTCTCTCTCTCTCTCTCTCTCTCTCTCTCTCTCTCTCTCTCTCTCTCTCTCTCTCTCTTTCTCTTTTCTTTTTTCTTTTTTTTTTTTGACAAAGTCTCATCCTGTTGCCCAGGCTGGACTGCGATGGCACTATCTCGGCACACTGCAACCTCCGCCTCCCGGGTTGAAGTGATTCTCCTGCCTCACCCTCCCAAGTAGCTGGGATTACAGGCAAGCGCCACCATGCCTGGCTAATTTTTTGTATCCTTAGTAGAGATGGGGTTTCACCAGGTTGGCCAGGCTGGTCTCAAACTCCTGACCTTGTGATCTGCCCGCCTCGGCCTCCCAAAGTGCTGGGATTACAGGCATGAGCCTGGCTTGCCTTTTTTTTTTTTTTTTAACAGAGTTTCGCTTTTTTTAGCCCAGGCTGGAGTGCAGTGTTGTGATCTCCACTCACTGCAACCTCCACCTCCTGGGTTCAACCAATTCTCCTGCCTCAGCCTCCTGAGTAGCTGGATTACAGGCGTGTGCCACCACACCCTGCTAATTTTGTGTTTTTAATAGAGATGGGGTTTCACCATTTTGGCCAAGGTGGTCTTGAACTCCTGACCTCAGGTGATCCACCCGCCTCGGCCTCTCAGAGTGCTAGGATTACAGGCCTGAGCTACCGCACCTGGCCTTGCTCTGTTTTTCTAATAGCCTTGTTCATTTGGAGCGTACTGAACTTCAGGGGAGTCTACATTATTTTTAAAGGCTGTATCTCTATAAGTTCAGTAAACTCCAAATGAACCAGGATTTTCCTAGTAGAATGGGATGCTTGGTTTCCATTTTTTATGTACTTAACTAAACTTTTTTTTTTAGGGAACACTTCACGAATTTGTGTCATCTTTGTGCAGGGGCCATGATAATCTTTTCTGTATTGTTACGGTTTTAGTGTATGTGCTGCCAAAGTGAACAATCAACTACATTTTTTTTTTTTTTTTTTTTTGAGGCAGAGTGTCTCTCTGTCACCCAGGCTGGAGTGCTGTGGTATGAACTCAGCTCACTGCAACCTACGCCTCCCAGGTTCAAACAATTCTTGTGCCTTAGCCTCCCAAGCAGCTGGGATTACAGGCATGTGCCACCATGCTTGGCTGATCTTTGTATTTTTAGTAGAGAGGGGTTATGCCATATTGGCTAGGCTGTTATCTAACTCCTGGCCTCAAACAATCCACCTGCCTCAGCCTTTCAAAGTGCTGGGATTACAGGTGAGAGCCACTATGCCTGCCTCAACTAAATTTTTTTTTTTTTTTTTTTTTGAAACGGAGTCTCACTCTGTCCTCTAGGCTGGAGTACAGTGGCATGATCTCGGCTCACTGCAACCTTCGCCTCCTGGATTTAAGTGATTCTGCTGCCTCAGTCTCCTGAATAGCTGGGGTTACAGGCTTGTGCCACCACGCCTGGCTAATTTTTGTATTTTTCGTAGAGACGGGGTTTCACCATGTTGGTCAGGCTGGTCTCGAACTCCTGTCCTCAAGTGATCCACCCGCCTTGGCCTCCCAAAGTGCTGGCATTACAGGCGTGAGCCACCTCGCCCTGGCTCAACTAAATTTTTGATAAAAGTTTGTAAATAGTGGTGAAATCACTGTTTCTTTTCTTTTTTTTTTTTAAGAGACAAGTTTTCCCTTTGTCGCCCATGCTGGAGTTCAGTGGCCTGTGCACAGCTCACAGTATCCTCTACCTGCTAGGCTGGAGCGATCTTTCCACCTCAGCCTCTCAAGTAGCTTGGACTACAGGCACGTGCCATCATGCCTGGCTAATTTTTGTACTTTTTTGTAGAGATGGAGTTTGACTGTGTTGTCCAGGGTAGTAGAACTCCTAGACACAAGGAATACACCTTCCTTGGCCTTCTAAAGTGCTAGGATTACAGGCATGAGCCACCGTGCCTGGTCTGAAATCATGTTTTAAACAACCAACTTCAAGGGGAAGGAGATAAAGGATTATATTTAAAGTAGTTTACGCTGTTAAAATGGGCAAATTATCTCATTGAAAAATTTAGTGTTTTTTAAACAGTTACAATTTATTTATTTATTTATTTATTTATTTATTTATTTATTTATTTTTTGAGGCGGATTCTTACTCTCATGATCCGCCTACCTTGGCCTCCCAAAGTGCTGAGAGTACAGGCGTGAGCCACCACCCCTGGCGTAAATATTTATAAATTTTATATTTTTTCTTTTTTTTTTGTTTGAGACAGGATCTTGCTCTGTTGCCCAGGCTGGAGTGCAGTGGCATGATCTTGGCTCACTGCAACTGCTGCCTCCAGGTTCAAGTGATTCTCATGCCTCAACTTCCCAAGTGGCTGGGATTACAGGCATGAGCTACCACACTTGGCTAAGTTTTTGTATTTTTAGAAGAGACAGGGTTTCACCATGTTGGCCATGCTGGTCTCAAACTCCTGGCCTTAAGTGATATGCCTACCTCGGCATTCCAAAGAGCTGGGACTACAGGCCGTAGTCACCATTCCTGGTCTATATTCTTTTTTTATTAACAGTATTTTTATTAGAAGTGTTTCCATTACACCCACAGATTCAGTTCAGATTCCAAAATACTATTCATATTCTAAAAGTTTGGCAGTCCTAGAGCTTGGTAGGTTTTTAAATTACACATGTATTATGAAACCTAATTACCACATGTGAATTTGTGTATAGGTATAAATGGGGAACTAGGAAATACTGATATAGTTAGGGTACATCAGCGCTTCCTGGTAGTGACTTTTCAAGTAATGACTGTGATGTATAGTATCTGCTCCCCTATGATAGACTCACTTTGCATGTACCACATGTCCGCAACCCTTTATAATACTGAGTGTCCTATGCTAAAGGTGATAATGTTAAGCATTGTAGTTTTGAGGCTGTCATTAAATTTTCAAGGTTTTTAGTACATTGGAATTTACTGAAACAGGATTTGACCTCTATTCAAATTGTATATCCTGAACTGGTAGGACATAACCTATCAAATACTCATTCTGTCTTGAAATAAACATGCTAAAAATGTAATATTTTAGAAGCAGTATACATTTTTCATACATGTTCAATATCCCTAATCCAAAAATCTAGAAATCCTCCAAAATCAGGAACATTTTTAGCGCTGACATGATACTCAAAGGAAATGCTCATTGGAGCATTTCAGTATTCAGATTTTTGCATTGAATATGCTCATCCAGTATAATGCAAATAATCCAAAATCTAAAAATTTTAAAAATTTGAAACACTCAGGCCGGGTGCGGTGGCTCACGCCTGTAATCCCAGAACTTTGGGAGGCCGAGGCGGGCGGATCACGAGGTCAGGAGATCGAGACCATCCTGGCTAACATGGTGAAACCCCGTCTCTACTAAAAATACAAAAAATTAGCCAGGCGTGATGGTGGGTGCCTGTGGTCCCAGCTACTCGGGAGGCTGAGGCAGGAGAATGGCGTGAACCCAGGAGGCGGAGCTTGCAGTGAGCTGAGATCGCGCCACTGCAGTCCAGCCTGGGCGACAGGGCGAGACTCTGTCTCAAAAAAAAAAAAAAAAAAAGTTCAGACACTCTGGTTTGAGGCATTGTGGATAAGAGAGTACCTAATCTGTATTAGTACTTTATTTGAGCTCATAAAGTAAACATTGGAGAAAACAAAAATATGAAACACAGATTGGCTGGGCATGGTGGCTGATGCCTGTGATCCCAGCACTTTAGGAGGCCAAGCTGGAGGATTGCTTCAGGTGGGAGTTTGAGACCAGAGCTTAGGCATCCCCCCCCTTTTTTTTTTTTTTTTTTTTTTGGGAAACAGAGTCTCACTCTGTCGCCAGGCTGGAGTGCAGTGGCTCAATCTCAGCTCACTAATCTCCACCTCCCGGGTTCAGGTGATTCCCCTGCCTCAGCCTCCTGAGTAGCTGGGACTAACAGGCGGGTGCCACCACGCCTGGCTAATTTTTTTTGTATTTTGGTAGAGACAGGGTTTCACAATGTTTGCCAGGATGGTCTTGATCTCCTGACCTCATGATCCCCGGCCTCGGCCCCCTAAAGTGCTGGGATTATAGGCATGAGCCACTGTGCCTGGCCCCTGTCTCTTAAAAAAAAAAAAAGCAGCTGTGGTGGTATGCACCTGTAGTCTCAGCTGCTTGGAATGTTGTAGTGGGTAGATCACTTGAGCCTCGAGGCTGCAGTCAGCTATGATTGCACCACTACAGTCCAGCTTGGGTGACACAGCAAGATCCTGTCTCCAAACAGACAAAAAACCATAGACTGAATTTATTTGAAATGATGATGACACAATTAAAATACCTTAATTTTTCTTTTTTCTTTTTCTTTTTTTTTTTTTGAGACAGAGTCTTGCTCTGTCGCCCAGGCTGGAGTGCAGTGGGGTGATCTTGGCTCACTGCAACCTCTGCCTCCTGGGTTGAAGCGATTCTCCTTCCTCAGGTTCCCAAGTAGCTGGGATTTTGGGAGTGCACCACCATGCCCAGCTAATTTTTGTACTTTTAGTAGAGATGCGGTTTCACCATGTTGGCTAGGCTGGTCTTGAACTCCTGACTTCAGGTGATCCGCCCGCTTGGCCTCCCAAAGTGCTGGGATTACAGACATGAGCCACTGCACCCTGCCTCTTTTTTTTTTTTTTTTTTTTTTCTGTGAAACAGAATCTTGCTCTGTCACTTAGACTGGAGTGCAGTGGCACAATCATGGCTCACTGCAACCTTGGCCTCCTTCCCTGGCTCAAGTGATCCTCTCGCTTCAGCCTCGATAGTAGCTGGGACCAGAAGTGCATGCCACCACTCCCAGCTAACTTTGTTTATTTTTTTTAGAGATAAGGTCTCACTATGTTGCTCAGGCTGGTCTTGAACTCCTGGGCTCAAGCAATCTTCCTGCCTTGGCTCCCAAAGTAGTGGGATTACAGGCATGAGTCACCATGCTCAGCCTGATTTTTCTTGTTCTTCTAGTGAAGCCAAACCAAGAAGAAATCTGTTTTGAATAATGAGGAATTGAGATTTGTAAAGAATATTCCGACAGTGGTTGAGAAATTACAAGTTTTTTTTCGCTGAACATCTTAAAAATTAGAATAATTTAAAAAATCTATGTTGGTGGGGTGCGGTGGCTCATGTCTGTAATCCCAGCACTTTGGGAGGCTGAGGTGGGCAGATCATGAGGTCAGGAGTTCGAGTCCAGCCTGGCCAATATGGTGAAACCCCATCTCTACTAAAAATACAAAAAACTAGCCGGGCGTAGTGGCACACGCCTGTAGTCCCAGCTACTTGGGAGGCTGAGGTAGCAGAATCACTTGAACCCAGGAGGCAGAGGTTGCAGTGAGCCAAGATTGCACCACTGTACTCCAACCTGGGCAATAGAGGGAGACTCCGTCTCAAAAAAAAAGAATCTATATTACATTGTGACTCAAAGAGTTTTCTGATAATAAGTTTTGTTTCTAGGATGGAAAAATCTGAGTGCAGATTATAATAATGTTGCATGTTCATCTCTCCCAGTATTTCAACAGAAAGTTTCAGATGATCATTATCTACTCCACTGACTATCCCAGTTCTGGTTGATGTGGTACAAACTAACCTATATTGTATTGTTCTGTCTGATTTACAAGGGATTAAAACGATAAAAATTGGCAGGAGTCAATAGCTGTTGAGATTTATGTTCTTATATTTTGAGTAAATGACATTCTTTTATGGAAAATTCACACACAAGGGTTAACAGTATTCTTTAAAAAGATACATTGCAAGAGATAGATCTTTGTGGTCTAGGAAATATTCATGCAAAGCACCAATATTTTCCTTTATAACTACCTGTCATAAAAATAGAGAAGATTGCCTGTGGTTAAGGTTCTCAGATCTTTTTCAACCATCTGATACTGTGAAGGAATAGAGAAGACCTATCTGGCCTGATTTTATTTGTAGACATGAGTTAGTCTGTTGTACTATAGATGTCTTATTTTTTCTGAGGATGTGCATGACACAATTTTTTTTTTTTTTTTTTTTTTTTTTTGAGATAAAGTCTTGCCCTGTCACCCAGGCTGGAGTGCAGTGGCACGATCTCGGCTTACTGCAACCTTGACCTCCCCAGTTCAAGCAATTCTCATGCCTCACAAGTAGCTGGAACTACAGGCACATGCCACCATGCCCAGCTAATTTTTGTATCTTTATTTAATAGAGATGAGGTTTCACCATGTTGGCCAGGTTGGTCTTGAACTCCTGGGCTCAACTGATCCGCCTGCCTTGGCCTCCCAAAGTGTTGGTATTACGGGCATGAGCCACCACACCTGGCTCTTGGCACAAAATTTCTCTACCACTTATTAATAAATTGAGATAGGCAAAAAATTGTATCTGGGCCATACGTGGTAGGAGGCGAGGCAAGAGCATCACTTGGGGAGGTCCAGGATTTTGTGACTAGCCTGGGCAATATGGCAAGACCTTGTCTCTACAAAAAATTTCAAGAATTAGCTGGGTGTGTTGGTGTGTGCCGTGGTCCCAGCTTCTTAGGAGGCTAAGGTGAAAGTGTTGCTTGAGCCCGGGAAATTGAGGCTGCAGTGAGCCATGATTGTGTCATTGCATTCCAGCCTGGGCAACAAAGTGAGTCCCTGTCTCAAAAAAAAAAAAAGATTGAAAACTGACTTTTCTGATCTATTCCTGGAAACCTATCTTTCTACAAAACCCCACTGACTACTATAATTTACTGATTACTGGGAGAGGCTTCTGCCACCAGGTGCCTTAATAATTCTGAAATAGTTGCTTGGACCCTTTTTCTTTAGATTTTTAGTTTGATGATTGTCTATTTTGGCTGGTCAGGTTTGCCTTCTGCTTTGAAGTGAACGGAATGATTCAGTATATTTTTTATTAGTTTTGACTTACAACTTAGCTATATTTCTATTTTTTTGTAAATATCTTCGGCAATTTATATTTTTTACAGGGAAAGCATTCTAAAATACTATTTCTTTTTTCCAAGATTTTTGCACCTCTTTAGCGATAGAGTAGTATTAAATTGTTGAGCTCTTCTTGTTTGTTAAATCTTTGCTAAAATGTAGAGTAAATTCGATGAACTCCACGAGTTGCAGTGATACTTTGTGAATTTAAGAAAATTACTTCCTGCATTTTATTTCTATTTTTAAATTTTTTATTTTTCGAGACAGAGCTGCCCTTTGTTGCCCAGGGTGGAGTGCAATGGCATGGTGATGGCTCACTGTAGCTTTGACTTCCTGGGCTCAAATGATGCTCCCACCCCAGGACTGCCGGTTGCCATCTGCCCCCAAGTAGCTGGAAACACACACTTATACCACCATGTCCAGCTAATTATTTTTGAGACAGAGTCTTGTCACCCAGGCTGGAGTGCAGTCGTGCGATCTCAGCTCACTGCAACCTCCTCCTCCTAGGCTCAAGCAATTCTCCTGCCTCAGCCTCTCGAGTAGCTGGAATTACACCACCACACCCAGTTAATTTTTTTTTTTTTTTTTTCGAGATGGAGTCTCACTCTGTCTCTCCGGCTGGAGTGCAGTGGCGCGATCTCAGCTCACTGCAACCTCCACCCCTGGGGTTCAAGCAGTTCTCCTGCCTCAGCCTCCTGAGTAGCTGGGAGTACAGGTGCACCCAGCTAAATTTTGTATTTTAATAGAGATGGGGTTTCACTGTATTGCCCAGGCTGGTCTCGAACTCCTGAGTTCAGGCAGTCTGCCCACCTTGGCCTCCCAAAGTGCTAAGATTACAGGCGTGAGCCACCGTGCCTGGCCAGTTTCTATATTTTTAGTAGAGACAGGGTTTCACCAGGCTGGCCAGGCTGATCTTCAACTCTTGACCTCAAGTGATCTGCCCACCTCAGCCTCCCAAAGTGCTGGGATTACAGGCATGAGTACTGTGCCTGTTCTAATTTTTTTTTTTTTTTTGAGACGGAGTTTCATACTGTTGCCTGGGCTGGAGTGCAGTGGCACGATCTTGGCTCACTGGAACGATTCAAGCAATTCTCCTGCCTCAGCCTCCTGAGTAGCTGGGATTACAGGCAGCTGCTACCATGCCCGGCTAATTTTTTGTAGTTTTAGTAGAGATGGGGTTTCCCTATGTTGGCCAGGCTGGTCTCGAACTTTTGATCTCGTGATCTGCCCGCCTCAGCCTCCCAAAGTGCTGGGATTACAGGCTTGAGCCACCGTGCCTGGCCTAATTTTTTTTTTTTTTTTTTAATTTTTTGTAGTGATGGAGTCTCACTGTGTTTTCCAGGGTGGTCTCAAACTCCTGGCCTCAAGCAATCCTCTTGCCTCAGCCTCCCAAAGTGCTGGGATCACAGGGGTGAGCCACCATGCCCAGGTGAATTTTATTTCATCTCAATAAAACTCCAAATAAAATCTTAGGAACGATATATTAAGAGTTTGATAAAGGGAACTGCAAGTAATATCACAAATATTTCATTGTTTTTAAAATATACTATAGATTTCTATTTATAAAATTTATCTCAGCCAGGCATGGTGGCTCACGCCTGTAATCCCAGCATTTTGGGAGGCCGAGGCACGTGGATCATTTGAGACCAGGAGTTCAAGACCAGCCTGGCAAACATGGTGAAACCCCATCTCTACTAAAAATACAAAAATTAGTCTGGCATGGTGGCACACGCCTGTAATCCCAGCTACTTGGGAAGCTGAGGTAGGAGAATCACTTGAACCCAGGAGGCAGAGGTTGTAGTGAGCCAAGATCACGCCACTGCATTCTAGCCTGGGCGACAGAGTGATACTCTGTCTCAAAAAAAAAAGAAAAAAATTAAGTATCTTTAGTTGTGATTAATTATTTTTTTTTATGTTATAGTACAGGTTTTTTTCCTTAAAAATTAGATCTTTCTAACCTTTTCGTAACCAGGCATTATGATCTTTGAAAATTTTTATTTGCGTATCTTTAATTGTAATTTTGTCATCTCTTCTCATTTATTGTTTAGTCCAAAAGAAACTCTTCCTTCAAAACCTGTGAAGAAAGAGAAGGAACAGAGGACACGTCACTTACTCACAGACCTTCCTCTCCCTCCAGAGCTCCCTGGTGGAGATCTGTCTCCCCCAGACTCTCCAGAACCAAAGGCAATCACACCACCTCAGCAACCATATAAAAAGAGACCAAAGTGAGTTTTTGGAGGAATCTGTCTTTCATGATAGTTTTCTCCCTTCCTTTTGAACTAAATCTCTCATGTTTCTTCTATAACCCACACCAGTAAGATCGTAGAAGTTTGGTCCCAAAGTATTTTTTAATTTTATTTTAATGGACAAAAGCCTTTCTTGGAGACTCAGGTCATTCATCTATGCCCTCAGATACCCAGCTATGTTTTTAGAACAACAGAAAATTCCCAAATCCAGATATACTATGAATGTTTATCTCATTATGTCTTTTTTATTCATAATATTTAGAGTACTAAGGAAGAATAAAAGCTTTTTAAATTCAGGATGTGTCAATCGTGTACACATTAACCAAAAATTAATAGATATGGGATTTTTCTTCCTGAAAGCATATAAATTGTCATGCCATAAATTGAGTATAAATATGGGTCTAATCTTCTGATTGTTAGCATTTCTCTCTTAATAATAAAAATAGGTATCATTTATTGAGCACGTATTATTGTCGTAGTTTTATATATACACATTTTTGAGACAGAGTTGCGTTCTTTGTTGCCCAGGCTGGGGTGCAGTGATGCTATCTCTGCTTACCGCAACCTCGGCTTCCTGGTTCAAGCAACTCTCCTGCCTCAGCCTCCCGAGTAGCTGGGATTACAGGCACGTGCCACCACGCCAGGCTAATTTTTGTATTTTTAGTAGAGATGGGGTTTCACCATGTTGGCCAGGCTGGTCTCGAACTCTTGACCTCAGGTAATCCACCGCCTTGGCCTCCCAAAGTGCTGGGATTACAGGCGTGAGCCACCGCGTCCGGCCTTATATTTTCATAGCAGCCTTAGCATGTAGCGATTAATTTCCCATTTTATAGTTAAAGCCATACCTGAGAGAGTTCAGAAAGCAAGCAACTAATCTATTATTTCAGTGTATGTCTTCCTAAAGCTGTAGCCCTATGTCTTAGCCACTGTGAGAGACTGTTTATGTATTTTTTTTTTTTTTTTTTTGAGACAGAGTCTCCCTCTGTCACCCAGGCTGGAGGCACCTGCCACCATGCCTGGCTGTGTGTTTATATATTTCATATCATTTCATTTCTGACTTTTTAGTAAAAAATGTATAAAAGATACAGGAGTGGCTGGGCGCGGTGGCTCACGCTTGTAATCCCAGCACTTTGGGAGGCCAAGGCGGGTGGATCATGAGGTCAAGAGATCGAGACCATCTTGACCAACATGGTGAAACCACATCTCTACTGAAAATACAAAAATTAGCTGGGCGGGGTGGCGCCTGCCTGTAGAGTACTAAAAAAAAAAAAAAAAAAGATACAGGAGTTAGTGAAATCATCATAAAAGAATCCTTTTTTCTTTGACTCGATTTCATTTTCTTTTCTTTTTTTTTTTTTTTGAGTCGGAGTCTCGCTCTGCTGCCCAGGCTGGAGTGCAATGGCGTGACCTTGGCTCACTGCCACCTCTGCCTCCTGGGTTCAAGTGATTCTCCTGCCTCAGCCTCCTGAGTAGCTGGGACTACAGGCGCCTGCCACCACGCCCGGCTAATTTTTTGTATATTTAGTAGAGACGGGGTTTCACCGTGTTAGCCAGGATGGTCTCTATCTCCTGACCTCGTGATCCACCTGCCTCGGCCTCCCAAAGTGCTGGGATTACAGGCATGAGCCACCGAGCCCGGCCAATTTCATTTTCTTTTTTTTTTTTCTTTTTGAGAGGGTGTCTTGCTCTGTCGCCCAGGCTGGAGTGCAGTGGCGCATTCTTGGCTCACTGCAAGTTCTGCCTCCCAGGTTCACGCCATTCTCCTGCCTCAGCCTCCCGAGTAGCTGGGACTACAGGCGCCCGCTACCACGCCTGGCTAATTTTTGTATTTTTTTTAGTAAAGACGGGGTTTCACCATGTTAGCCAGGATAGTCTCGATCTCCTGACCTCGTGATCTGCCAGCCTCGGCCTCCCAAAGTGCTGGGATTACAGGCATGAGCCACCGCGCCCGGCCTTCATTTTCTTAAATAACTATTTTGTTGTTTTTACTTTTTAGAATTTGTTGTCCTCGTTATGGAGAAAGAAGACAAACAGAAAGCGACTGGGGGAAACGCTGTGTGGACAAGTTTGACATTATTGGGATTATTGGAGAAGGAACCTATGGCCAAGTATATAAAGCCAAGGACAAAGACACAGGTAAATATTGCCACAAAATTTTAGATGTCAGAATGTTAACAATTTAGCAATACTAATATCTTAAGTGGATTTAGCAAAAGTAAATTCTGAGGTGTTTTGTTTGTTTGTTTGTTTGTTTGTTTTTTGAGATGGAGTCTTGCTCCCCAGGCTGGAGTGCAGTGGTGCAGTCTCAACTCACTGCAAGCTCCGCCTCCTGGGTTCACACCATTCTCCTGCCTCAGCCTCCCGAGTAACTGGGATTACAGACCGTGCGCAACCACACTCGACTAATTTTTGTTTTTTTTTTTTTTTTAGTAGAAACAGGGTTCCACTATGTCGTCCAGGCTGGTCTTGAACTCCTGACCTCAAGCAATCTGCCCACCTCGGCCTCCCAAAGTGCTGGGATTATAGATGTGAGCCACGGCGCCAGGCCTTTTTTTATTTTTATTTTTTGAGACGGGGTCTTGCGCTGTCATCCAGTCTGGAGTGCAGTGAGTGGATCAATCTCTGCTCACTGCAGGCTCTGCCTCCTGGGTTCAAGCGATGCCTCTGCATCAGCCTCCCGAGTAGCTGGGGTTACAGGCATGCACCACCACACCCAGCTAATTTCTGTATTTTTAGTAGAGATGGGGTTTTACCATGTTGGCCAGGCAGTCTTGAATTCCAGGCTGGTCTTGAACTCCTAACCTGAAATAGCCACCCACCTCAGCCTCCCAAAGTGCTGGGATTACAGGCATGAGCCACCACGCCTGGCCAAATTTTTAGTTCTAGTTTTGTCTCCAAAAGTTATTGAGTAGATCAAAGGTTTCCAAAAGAATACTATAATTATAACTTTTAAAACTCTCCAGCTGGGTGTGGTGAGTCATGCCTGTAATTTCAGCACTTTGGGAGGCCAGGTGGGCAGATCACGAGGTCAGGAGATTGAGACCATCCTGGCTAACATGGTGAAACCCCGTTTCTACTAAAAATAGAAAAAATTAGCCAGGCGTGGTGCCACACGCCTGTAGTCCCAGCTACTCAGGAGGCGGAGGCAGGAGAATCACTTGAACCTAGTAGGCGGAGGTTGCAATGAGCGGAGATCGCGCCAGTGCCCTGCAGCCTGGGTGACAGAGCAAGACTCCATCTCAAAAACAAAAAATTCAAGTCTTAAGAAAAAAATTAAAGCCAGGAAAGGGAATATAAAATTTCCTTTTTTGTTTTTTTATTGAGAAGGAGTCTCACTCTGTCACCCAGGGTGGAGTGCAATGATGCGATCTCAGCTCACTGCAACCTCTGCTCACCGCAACCTCTGCCTCCCGGGTTCAAGCAATTCTCCTGTCTCAGCCTCCTGAGTAGCTGGGATTACAGGCATCCACCACCACGCCCAGCTAATTTTTGTATTTTAATAGAGACGGGGTTTCACCACGTTGGCTAGGCTGGTCTCGAATTCCTAACCTCAGGTGATCCGCAGGCCTTGGCCTCCCAAAGTGTTGGGATTACAGGTGTGAGCCAGTGCGCCTGGCCTAGAGTTTACTTTTTAAAGGTGTATAAGTATCTCGTGTAAGCATTAAAGTAAGCACTAAGTTTGTCTTCCAGAGCAAGGGCATATATTGCTGGTTCACAATAGTGGCCAAAAATGCTCATTGATAATAACAGTTTACATTTGTTTTGGCAGGAGAACTAGTGGCTCTGAAGAAGGTGAGACTAGACAATGAGAAAGAGGGCTTCCCAATCACAGCCATTCGTGAAATCAAAATCCTTCGTCAGTTAATCCACCGAAGTGTTGTTAACATGAAGGAAATTGTCACAGATAAACAAGATGCACTGGATTTCAAGAAGGACAAAGGTACTAGCAAAGAATCACATTTTTACAGGGTAGACTGGTCCAATCTTTGCCTTTCTTTTTTTTTTTCTTTCTTTCTTTCTTTTTTTTTTTTTTGAGACGGAGTCTTGCTCTGTTGCCCAGGCTGAACTGCAGTGGTGCGATTTCAGGTCACTGCAAGCTCCACCTCCTGGGTTCACGCCATTCTCCTGCCTCAGTGTCCTGAGCAGCTGGGACTACAGGCGCCCGCCACCACACCCAGCTAATTTTTTGTATTTTTTTAGTAGAGGCGGGGTTTCACCGTGTTAGCCAGGATGGTCTCGATCTCCTGACCTCGTGATCCGCCCGCCTGGGCCTCCCAAAGTTCTGGGATTACAGGCATGAGCCACCGCGCCTGGCCCTTTCTTTCTTATTTATCTATTTATTTTGAGACAGTCTCGCACTGTCGCCCAGGCTGGATTGCAGTCCTGTGATGTCGGCTCACTGCAGCCTCTGCCTCTCGGGTTTAAGTGATTCTCGTGCCTCAGCCCCCAAGTAGCTGGGATTTCAGGCATGCGCCATCATTCCGGGCTTATTTTTGTATATTTAGTGGAGAGGAGGTTTCGCTATGTTCGTCGAGCTGGTCTCACACTCCTGACCTCAAGTCATCCGCCCGCCTCGGCCCCTCGAAGTGCTGGGATTATAGGAGTGAGCTACCATGACTGGCCTCATGTGTTTTTTTTTTTTTTTTTTTTTTTTTTTTTTTTATAAAATAATAAGTGAATGAATGGATATGATGCATGTATGCCTTTGGTGGAAAAACTGAAAATATAGAAGAAGAAGAAAAAGAAGATGGTAGTGGCCAGGCGCAGTGGCTCACGCCTGTAATCCTGGCACTTTGGGAGGCCGAGGTGGGCAGATCACAAGGTCAGGAGATCAAGACCATCCTGGCTAACACGGCAAAACCCTGACTCTACTAAAAAAATACAAAAAAAATTAGCCGGACATGGTGGCAGGCGCCTGTAGTCCCAGCTACTCAGGAGGCTGAGGCAGGAGAATGGTGTGAACCTGGGAGGCGGAGCTTGCGGTGAGCCAAGATCGTGCCACTGCACTCCAGCCTGGGCAATAGAGCGAGACTCCGCCTCAAAAAAAAAAAAAAAAGATGGTAGTAATTTATCTCCCACTTCCTCCCAATATACTACCATCCATGGAAAACCACTGAAGTATTAATACATTTCGGTATATTTGCTTTTAGTTCTTTTTGTTTTTGTTTTTTTTTTGAGACAGAGTCTTACTCTCTCACCCAGGCTGGAGTGCATTGGCTCGATCTTGGCTTACTGCAACCTCCACCTCCCAGGTTCAAGCAATTCTCCTGCCTCAGCCTCCCGGGTAGCTGGGATTACAGGCATGTGCCACCACTCCCGGCTAATTTTTATAATTTTAATAGAGACCGGGTTTCACCATGTTGGCCAGGCTGGTTTCGAACTCCTGACCTCAGGCAGTCATCCACCTCAGCCTGCCAAAGAGCAGGGATGACAAGGGTGAGCCACCACACTCAGCCCTGCTTTTAGTACTTTATGCCATATCTACTGTATTTATTTTAACAAAGCTGAGATTAAAGGTTATTTCGTGTTGTATAACTTGTCATAAGCAATTTCTCATATCATTAACAAATTTTAATGTTTATGCGTAAACATAGGTGAATCCAAATTTACCAGTCCCTGTTGAGCAATTAGTTGCCAATTTTCAGTTTAAAAAAAAAATAATAGGCCAGGTGCAGTGGCTCACCCCTGTAATCTCAGCACTTTGGGAGGCCGAGTCAGGTTGATCACCTGAGGTCGGGAGTTTGAGATCAGCCTGGCCAAGATGGTGAAACCCTATCTCTACTAAAAATACAATAATTAGCTGGGCATGGTGGCTAGCGCCTGTAATCTTCAGCTACTTGGGAGGCTGAGGCAGGAGAATGACTTGAACCTGGTAGGCAGAGGTTGCAGTGAGTTGAGATCACGCCATTGCACTCCAGCCTGGGTGACAAGAGCAAAACTCTGTCTCAAAAAAAAATCCCAAAAAACATAATAACAATGCCTTGAGTATCTTTCTGCATAAATCTTTGCATTATGATTTATTTTCATTGTATAGCATTTTTGATACAGAGTTATTTGGTCAAATGGATTTTCATATTTAATGTCAGATTCCTTTTAAGAAAATTAGTATGTCCAGTGGGTGTCCATCTCAGTGTATCCTCCCCAACATTCAGTATATCTTTTTTTTTTTTTTTTTTTTTTTTTTTTTTAATTTTGAGAAGGAGTCTCACTCTGTCGCCCAGGCTCGAGTGCAGTGATGCAATCTTGGCTCACTGCAACCTCCGCCTCCTGGGTTCAAGTGATTCTCCTGCCTCAGCCTTTGGAGTAGCTGGGCTTAAACAGGCGCACGCCACCACGGCCGGCTAATTTTTGTATCTTTATCAGAGACAGGGTTTCGCCATTTGGCCGGGCTGGTCTCAAACTTCTGTCCCCAGCTGATCCGCCCACCTCGGCCTCCCAAAGTGCTGGAATTACAAGTGTGAGCCACTGTACCCGGCCAAGTATATCTTTTTAAAAAATTGTCATCTGGGCTAGGTGTGGTTGCTTATGCCTATAATCCCAGCATTTTGGGAGGCCAAGGCAGGCAGATCACTTGAAGTCAGGAGTTTGAGCCAAGCCTGGCCAACATGGTGAAACCCCTCTCTACTAAAAATGCGAAAATTCGCTGGGCATGGTGCTGGGCACTTTTAATCCTGGCTACTGGGAAGGCTGAGGCAGGAGAATTGTTTGAACCCGGGAGGTAGAGATTGCAGTGAGCCGAGATTGAGTTACTGCACTTTAGCCTGGGCAACAGAGCAAGACTCTGTCTCAAAAAAAAAAAAAATTGTCATCTGGATAGGTTAAGTATGATATTATTATTTTATATATTATTTTAATTTAATTTTTATTTTTTGAGACAGTCTCAGTGTGTTGCCCAGGCTGGAGTACAACGGTGGTCATAGCTCATTACATCCTCAACCTCCAGGCTCAAGCAATCCTCCATGCCTCATCCTCCTGATTAGCTGGGGCAACAGGCATGCACCACCACATCCAGCTGATTTTTTAAATTTTTAGTAGAAACAGGATCTCTCTATGTTGCACAGGCTGGTCTCTAACTCCTGGGCTCAAGCAGTCCTCTTGCCTTGGCCTCCTAAAGTGCTGGGATTACGAACTTGGGCCACCGCACCCAGCGAATGTCATTTTGGATTATATTCCTTATATTTTGGGTCTTCTCTATGTTACCAGTTTTATTTACTTTCTCTCCCTCTCTCTTTCTCTCTCTCTTTCTCTCTTTCTTTCTTTTTTTTTTGGGACAGAGTCTTGCTCTCTCACCGAGGCTGGAGTGCAGTGACATGATCACAGCTCACTGTAACTGAACTCCTGGGTTCAAGGGATCCCCCTGACTCAGCCTCCCAAGTAGCTAGGACTAGACACCACTCCTGGCTGGTTTTTAAAAATTTTGGTAGAAACAGGATTTTGCTATGTTGCCCAGCCTGGTCTTTTTGTTTTGTTTTATTTTGTTTTTTTTTTGAGACGGCGTCTCACTCAGTTGCCCAGGCTGGAGTGCAGTGGTGTGATCTCGACTCACTGCAGCTTCCACCTCCTGGGTTCAAGCAGTTCTCCTGCCTCAACCTCCCAAGTAGCTGGGATTACAAGTGTGTGCCACAATGCCCAGCTGTTTTGTGTTTTTAGTAGAGATGGGGTTTCACCATGTGGGCCAGGCTGGTTTCAAACTCCTGACCTCAAGTGATCCACCCGCCTCGGCCTCCCAAAGTGCTGGGATTACAGGCGTGAGCCGCCGCGCCCGGCCATCCTTCTCTTTTTGAAATTTTTTGTAGACAGAATCTTGCTTTCTCACCCAGGCTAGAGTACATTGGTGCAATCACAGCTTATTGTAGCCTCAAACTCCTGGGCTCAAATGATTCTCTTGCCTCAGCCTCCCAAGTAGCCAGGAATACAGGCAAGCACCATCATGCCTAGCTAATTTATAAATTTTTTTGTGGAGATGGTGTCTCACTATTTTGCCCAGTCTGGTTTCCAAAGCTCAGGCAATCCTCTCACCTCAGCCCCTCACAATGTGGGGATTACAGGCATGAGCCACTGAACACAGCCCTAAATTTGTTGATTCATTTTTCTCTCAATTTTTAATACTATGATTTTCTCTTTCTTTCTTTCTTTCTTTCTTTCTTTCTTTCTTTCTTTCTTTCTTTCTTTCTTTCTTTCTTTCTTTCTTTCTTTCTTTCTTTCTTTCTTTCTTTCTTTCTTTCTTTCTTTCTTTCTTTCTTTCTTTCTTTCTTTCTTTCTTTCTTTCTTTCTTTCTTTCTTTCTTTCTTTCTTTCTTTCTTTCTTTCTTTCTTTCTTTCTTTCTTTCTTTCTTTCTTTCTTTCTTTCTTTCTTTCTTTCTTTCTTTCTTTCTTTCTTTCTTTCTTTCTTTCTTTCTTTCTTTCTTTCTTTCTTTCTTTCTTTCTTTCTTTCTTTCTTTCTTTCTTTCTTTCCTTTTTTTTTTTTTTTTGAGACAGAGTCTTGCTCTTTTTGCCCAGGCTGGAGTGCAGTGCCGCTGTCTTGGCTCACTGCAACCTCCGCCTCCTGGGTTCAAGCGATTGTCATGCCTCAGCCTCCCTGAGTAGCTGGAATTACAGGTGCACGCCACCACGTCCAGGTAATTTTTGTATTTTTAGCAGAGTTAGGGTTTCACCATGTTGGGCAGGCTTGTCTCGAACTCCTGACCTCAAGTGATCTGCCCGCCTTGGCCTCCCAAAGTGCTGGGATTACAGGCATGAACTACCGCGCCCAGCCTCTTTTTTTTTTTTTCTCAAGATGGGGTTTTGCTCTTGTTGCCCAGGCTGAAGTGCGATGGTGCAGTCTCAGCTCACTGCGACCTCTGCCTGCTGGGTTCAAGCGATTCTCCTGCCTCAGCCTCCCGTGTAGCTGGAATTATAGGCGCCTGCTATCATGCCTGGCTAATTTTTGTATTTTTTTTTAGTAGAGATGGGGTTTCACCATGTTGGCCAGGTTGGTCTCGAACTCCTGACCTCAGGCAATCCTTCTGCCTTGGCCTCCCAAAGTGCTGGAATTACAGGCATGAGCCACCATGCCTGACCAGTACTATGAATTTCACTAATAATTTATAACACATTTATTATGATGTCCCTGGCGTATTGAGTCCCATTAACTTGTATAAAAACCTTTACAAAATAGTCGTCAATTTTATGTAACAAATGGGCATGGTTGTGTTACAAATACAACTTCATTTACAGCAACAAGCAGCAGGCTGGATCTGGTCTAAGCTCTGTAATTTGCTAACTGACTTAGGTCATTAAAGTCTAGTAAGACAGGCTGAGCACAGTGGCTTATGCCTCTGACCTCAGCATTTTGGGATGTTGGGGTGGAAGGATTGCCTGAGCCAAAGAGTTAAGAGACCAGCCTGGGTACCATAGCAAGACCCTGTCTCTACAAAAAATGAAAAACATTAACTGGGTGTGGTGGCCTGTGCCTGTATTCCCAGCTACATGAGAGGCTGAGGCGGAAGATTCGCTTGAGCCCAGGAGTTTGAGGCTGTAGTGAGCCATGATCATGCCACTGCACTCCATCCTGGGCAACAGAATGAGACGCTGTCTCAAAAAAAAAAAGAAGAAAAAGGCTGGGCGCGGTGGCTGACGCCTGTAATCCCAACACTTTGGGAAGCTAAGGCAGGCGGATCACCTGAGGTCAGGAGTTTGAGACCAGCCTGACCAACATGGTGAAATCTCGTCTCTACTCAAAATACAAAAATTAGCCGGGTGTGGTGGCACATGCCTGTAATCCCAGCTACTTGGGAAGCTGAGGCAGGAGAATGGCTTGAACCCAGGAGGCGGAGGTTGCAGTGAGCCAAGATAGTGCCACTGCACTCCAGTCTGGGTGGCAGAGTGAGAGTCTGTCTTTAAAAAAAAGCCTAGTAATGCAACCTGGTCAGGGCACCTGCCCCCATGAAGAGGTGAGTAGTCCATATAGTACTAGACTAGGAATTGAAAGATTAATTCCTTTTTTTTTTTTGAGAAGGAGTCTTGCTTTGTTGCCCAGGCTGGAATGCAGTGGCACCATCTCAGCTCACTGCAGCCTCCAGCTCCTGGGTTCAAGTGATTCTCCCACCTCGGCCTCCCAAGTAGCTGGGATTACAGGCACGTGCCACCATGCCCAGCTAATTTTTGTATTTTTTTTTTAGTCAAGATGAGGTTTCATTCACCATGTTGGACAGGTTGGTCTCGAACTCCTGACCTCAAGTGACCCGCCCTCCTCGGCCTCCCAAAGTGCTGGGGTTACAGGCATCAGCCACTGCGCCCAGCCACAGAAGATTAATTCAAATATTAGCTCCGTTGTTTATTATTAGGAAGGACTAATTATTCAACTACTCTTCGTTTCAGTTTCTTCATCTGTAAAATTCAAGGGTTTTTTCTAGAGAACCTGTGGTCAACTCCAAAATTATATTAGGACTTGAGGCATTGTTATTTCAGCATTCTTTTTTTTTTCTTGCTTTTAATTTTTTTTCGTCTTTATGTAGGTGCCTTTTACCTTGTATTTGAGTATATGGACCATGACTTAATGGGACTGCTAGAATCTGGTTTGGTGCACTTTTCTGAGGACCATATCAAGTCGTTCATGAAACAGCTAATGGAAGGATTGGAATACTGTCACAAAAAGAATTTCCTGCATCGGGATATTAAGTGTTCTAACATTTTGCTGAATAACAGGTAACATAGTAACCAAATAAGATTAAGCACTTTCCTCTTCTCCTCTGACCTTTTTAGTTTCAAATGGTTAATTGGTATTATAATTAGACCTAATAGTGCAGTATTCACACACTATTTAGTGATATTTCCTACGTTCAGTGTGGGAGAAACATACCTGCTCCTTTAGCTGTTCTTGAGCCTTTTCTCAGTTACCAGCTTTCTGAGTAAACATTGATGTGCAGTTGGTGATTGGCCTTTTCTGCCTAGTACTTACTCCTAGGTTTTAATAGCGTAAACAAACAGGAATCTGGTTATGAACAGGTGTTAATTCATCAGAAGTTTTTATCATTTGCTTTCTTCTTTTCTGTTTATTTGCCTATACTGCATTGGTAATATCAGATGTATTATGCACACTAGGTTTTTTGTTTTGTTTTTTTTTTTTGAAGATGGAATTTCGCTCTTCTTGCCCAGGCTGGAGTGCAGTGGCGTGATCTCGTCTCACTGCAACCTCCACCTCCCAGGTTCAAGCGATTCTCCTGCCTCAGTGTCCCAAGTAGCTGGGATTATAGGCGCCCGGCACCATGCTCTGCTAATTTTTGTATTTTCAGTAGAGATGGGGTTTCACTATATTGGCCAGGCTGATCTTGAACTCCTGACCTCGTGATCCACCCACCTCAGCCTCCCAAACTGCTGGGATTACAGGCATGAGCCACCGCACCTGGCATACTAGTTTGTTTGTTTGTTTGTTTTTTGAAACGGAGTCTTGCTCTGTCGCCCAGGCTGGAGTGCAGTGGCGCGATCTCACCTTACTGCAAGCTCTGCCTCCCAGGTTCGTGCCATTCTCCTGCCTCAGCTTCCCGAATAGCTGGGACTACAGGCGCCCGCCACCACGCCCAGCTAATTTTTTTGTATTTTTAGTAGAGACGTGGTTTCACCATGTTAGCCAGGATGGTCTCTATCTCCTGACCTCGTGATCCGCCCACCTCGGCCTCCCAAAGTGCTGGGATTACAGGCGTGAGCCACCACGCCTGGCCGGTTCAGTTTTATCTAACAGACATTATCTATATAGGAACATGGAAAGATTATGACACATTTCCCCTCTTTATGGTGTAGAATAACCAATCTTGCATGGTTACCTGGGACTGTCCTGGTTTTAGCAGTAAAAGGCTCACATGCGACGATTGAACACTGGAACTCAAAACTTTTGCAGGAGAAATAAATAAATTACTCAATTCAGTAAACATTTATTAAGGTCAATTTTTTTTCACTTTGAATTTGAGAGTATCTGGAAAGGTGTAACCTTGAGGGATGAATAAGAATTTATCTGAAAAACTGACAGTGGGTGGGTGATCAAATTTCTAGGCAGAAGCAGCTGCATGCACAAAAGTACATAAACATGAAAATAACATGTTATGTCTGGAAAACTGTAAACAGGTCAGTATTTCTAGAGCAAGAAGAGGGAAGCACATAATGGCCAAGAGATGAAGCTGGATAGTTACATAGAGCCCACTTATGGATCTTGCATGCCCCACTGAGGAACTTAAACTTTATCTGTATTTGACAGGGATCAGCATCACTTGAACCCAGGAGGTAGAGGTTACAGTGAGCCGAGATCAATCCACTACACTCCAGTCCAGGTGACAGAGCAAGACTCCATCTCAAAAAAAGAAATAATCTTAGACTGAGTCTCACTCTGTCGCCCAGGCTGGAGTGCAATGGCAGGATTTCACTGCAACCTCCAACTCCTGGGTTCAAGCGATGCTCCTGCCTCAGCCTCCCAAGTAGCTGGGATTACAGGTGCCCACCACCACGCCCAGCTAATTTTTCTATTTTTAGTAGAGACGGGATTTCACCATATTGACCAGGCTGGTCTCGAACTCCTGACCTCAAGTGATCTGCCCCACTTGGCCTCCCAAAGTCCTGGTATTACAAGCGTGAGCCACTGCGCCCGGCCAAAAGAGTATTTCTTTATGTTGCTTTCTCTGACTCATAATTCCCAGTAAAGTTGGAAGTGGGTGACTCTACATCTATAGTAAATAATGCATTAAGAACTTAATAGCTATTAGCTTGCAACTTTCTGGCCTATAGTATAATATACTTTCTGCTGTTCCCTTTACTCCTCCATGAGGAGATGTCTCAAAGCAGGGAATAATTGCAGCTCCGTTTGGTGTCCTCTCTGGTGGGTAAGGCCTCTTTTGGTTCCTGACCTTCCAGAGTCAGAAAGCTGATGAGGTTCCAGACTAAATTGAATTTCCTCCTCAGGTTGCTAAGCAGGATACAGGAATCCTGTGGTCTAGCCTGATCCATCCAGCCTCTTCCCTTACCCATTTAGCTCTGTCTACTCAGACCTGTGGGTGAGATGGCCTGGAGAAAATGGTGAAGGGTCGTCAGCTGGGCAAGGAAGAGAGCGAACAGGTGGCAAGAGAGAGAGAAGAGCAGAGTTGGATTCCAAATGAGACCAAATCATTTTATATAGAAGAGAGACACAGTCAATCTTCTGTTTTGGAAAGGTCACCAAATTATCAGTTTATGCCGATAAACTGGAGGCAGAGAGACCCTCTAAGAACTTCGTAATAAATGGTCAGTGCTGGAAATAACCCAGACACCACTAGTAGGGATGGACTCGGTAGATCTGTAGACTTTGGTTGAGTGAGTGTATGGTAGATAATGAATTAGAGAAAGTAAGATAACTCACAGGTTTCTGACTTGAAAAACTAGCTAGATGGGTGGCACTACTAGTCAATACAAGGAAGATGGAAGAGTAGGATGGATGGAGTAACAGGCAAATCTCTTTTGAATATGTCTTTTATATATCCAGGGTAGTGATATTTAATAGCATATGGTCATTTGGGAATTCCAAACTACCAATACAGAGTTGGTAGTTACAGAACATAGAAAAGATGTCAGAAATGTAACCCAAGAGAGATGGTCAGAGAGATAGGAAGAAAATAAGGAAAATATGAATGCAAGATAGGCAGGTTTAAGAAGGGAGTGGTGATTGATGTCAGATGATGCAGGCAAATTATAAGAGAATCTGAAAATTAAAAGGTCAGTAGTGATAATTAGTGTGGAGTAAGGGGTTGAGTAGCACAGTTAATGGGAAGGTACTGGTAGGGGGTGTCTTTAATTTTTAATTTTAAGGATGGCAGAGATTTGAATATATTTAAATGCTAAGGGGAGGCCAACGTGGTGGCTCACATGTGTAATCCTAACACTTTGGGAGGCTGAAGTGGGCAGGTCACTTGATGCTAGGAGTTCGAGACCAGCCTGGCCAACATAGCAAAATTCTGTCTCTACTAAAAGTACAAAAATTAGCTGAGCTTGGTGGTGCACGCATCTAATCCCAGCCACGTGGGAGGCCAAGGCATGAGAACTGCTTGAACCTGGGACACAGAGGTTGCAGTGAGCAGAGATTGCCACCACTGCACTCCATCCTGGGTGACAGAACAAGACCCTGTCTCAAAAAAAAAAAAAAAAAAAACGCTAAGGAGAAAGAAAATCTATAAAAAGGGAGCAGTTGAAGATTTGGGGGCCAGGCGCAGTGGCTCACACCTGTAATCCCAGCACTTTGGGAGGCCGAGGCGGACGGATCATGAGGTCAGGCGTTCAAGATCATCTTGTCCAACATGGTAAAACCCCGTCTCTACTAAAATACAAAAAATTAGCTGGGCATGGTGGCGCATGCCTGTAATCCCAGCTACTTGGGAGGCTGAGGCAGCGGAATCACTTGAACCCAGGAGACAGAGGTTGCAGTGAGCTGAGATCGCGCCACTGCACTCCAGCCTGGCAACAGAGCAAGACTCCGTTTCAAAAAAAAAAAAAAAAAGGCCAGGCGCGGTGGCTCACACCTGTAATCCCAGCACTTTGGGAGGCCAAGGCGGGCAGATCACGAGGTCAAGAGATCGAGACCATCCTGGCCAACATGGTGAAACCCCGTCTCTACTAAAAATATAAAAATTAGCTGGGTGTGGAGGTGCGTGCCTGTAGTCCCAGCTACTCAGGAGGTTGAGGCAGGAGAATCACTTGAACCCGGGAGGTGGAGGTTGCAGTGAGCTGAGATCGCACCACTGCACTCCAGCCTGGTGACAGAGCGAGACTCCGTCTCAAAAAAAAAAAAAAAAAAAAGATTTGGGAAAGAACCAAAATAATTTAAAGGAGCATATTTCTAGAATAGATGGGATCAAGGCCACAGATGGAGGGATTGATTATCCTTGGTCAAGAAAAGAGATTGACATGCTTTTTATGTACCATTGACCGTTGAACAACGCAGGTTTGAACTGTGGCATGTCCACTTATACACAGATTTTATCCAACCAAAAACAAATAAAAAACAGTGTTTGCAGTATATGCAACCTGTTTATATGGAGTACCAGTGTTTCATATATGCAGGTTCTATAAAGCGTACTGCAGGACTTGAGTTTGCTTGAATTTTGGTATATGTGGGAGTCTTGGAACCAATTGCTAGATATACTAAGGGATGACTGTAATTAAAAGGAAAGAGGAAAGTAAAATTATAGATGGAAGTAAGTTTACTGGTAAAAGGTAGGATGTTAAGGACCTCTCACCTAATGACTTTAATTTTTTCACTGAAAAAGGTCATTTACTAAGTAAGTGTAAGAGGGTAGGGGATGGATTAGAGCATTAAGGAGAATGCCAGAGGTCTGTAATGACAGCCATGTTGAATGGAAGTTGCTGATTACAGACAAGTAAAAGGACTAACCAGCAGCATTCAGGAATTAACAGAGAGAGGAAATCACACATTTTGCAGTGACACCATACAATATGATTATATGATTTTTTTTTTTTTTTTTTTTTTGAGATGGAGTCTCACTCTGTCACCAGGCTGGAATGTAGTGGCGCTATCTCGGCTCACTGCAACCTCTGCCTCCCGGTTCAAGCCCTTCTCCTGCCTCAGCCTTCCGAGTAGTTGGGAATACAGGCGCATGCCACCACGCCTGGCTAATTTTTGTATTTTTAGTAGAGACGGGGTTTCACCATGTTGGCCAGGCTGGGTCTCAAACCTCTGACCTCAAGTGATCCACCCACCTCAGCCTCCTAAAGTGCTAGGATTACAGACGCGAGCCACCACGCCTGGCCAATTATATGATTTTTATTCTTTACACTTGTGTTCAGCTCTCTAGGTAGAGCAGAAAAGACAGATTTTCTAATGATCCAGAATTAGGGACTTAGGGATTAGCTATATCACAAGCTAAGGCAACGAGGAAGACAATAGTTTGGTTAATTAACCAAGGGGTCCAGGTAGGCAAGGGAAGGAAGTATTACGTGAAAGAGGGCTGAACTGGGAGTGAGTGGAGGCACTGTGTACTTGAAGTTCTTCTCAAAAGGCAAAAATGTTAAACCATGGTCTCAGAAAGGATTCTCCAGATATTTCTATATTCACCTTATTCCTTTGAGACAGGACATAAACAATATGATGGCACTTCTTTTGTATTGTATTTTATTTTGTTTATTTACTTATTTTATATTTTATTTTTTGAGATGGAGTCTCACTGTGTCACCCAGGCTGGAGTGCAGTGGCACAATCTCAGCTCACTGCAACCTCCGCCTCCCAGGTTCAAGCGATTCTCCCACCTCAGCCTCCCAAGTGGCTAGGACTACAGGTGTCTGCCGCCACGCCCAGCTAATTTTTGTATTTTTAGTAGAGACAGGGTTTTACCATGTTGGCCAGGCTGGTCTCAAACTCCTGACTTAAGTGGTCCGCCTGCCTCGGTCTCCCAAAGTGTTGGGACTACAGGCGTGAGCCACTGCGCCCGGCCTGTTCTATTTTATATTGCAAAAAGTTACAAGTACTTCCACACTTCATACTGAGTCACCTTAATGGTTTAGTTGGAAGGAAAAGTGGGAGTCAGTAAAAGTGCTATCAGCGGCCGGGCGCGGTGGCTCATGCCTGTAATCCCAGCACTTTGGGAGGCCGAGGCAGGCGGATCACCTGAGGTAGGGAGTTCAAGACCAGCCTGACCAACATGGAGAAACCCCATCTCTACTAAAAATACAAAATTAGCCGGGCGTAGTGGCACATGCCTGTAATCCCAGCTACTCGGGAGGCAGAGGTTGTAGTGAGCCGAGATAGCGCCATCGCACTCCAGCCTTGGCAACAAGATTGAAGCTCAGTCTTAAAAAAAAAAAAGTGCTATCAGCAGGTTCTGTAGCAGACTAAATTCGTTTAATAAACATTTATTTAGTACCTAGTATGAGCCAGGCAGGAAATATGTTAGATGCTGGTGATATTCAGGTCTACACTGATTTCTGTAACTATATATCCATTTCCATTTTGACTTTCAGTCCTACTATGTGCCTTGAATCTTACATAATTTCAGGCTTTCAGAGTAAGGATGCCAAGTAATTTGAGGAATCATCTTTGTCTTAATATAAGTTAACTATTTCTTGTTGCTTTTCTCACAATTTGCTTATAAATTGAACTTAATGTAATGGTGTTTGGGGCAAGTGGATAAGGTACCTTTAACTTCACTAGGAATAAGCATTGATTTAATGTAGAAGTTTGTTGCTAGTAGTTACCTTGTTTTAATATTGTCACATGTCCATATTTTGGGGAGCACCTCTTGGCCTCTTTTCTGTACTACATGTTGAGTATCCCCTGTGCTTGAGACGAGAATTCTTTTGGATTTCAGATTTTTTTTAGATTTTGGAATATTTACATTATACTTACTGGTTCTGAACATCCAAAATCTGAAATGTTCCACTGAGCATTTCCTTTGAGTGTCATGTTGGCACTCAAAAAGTTTCAGATTTTGCTTCAGACGGCGGGGGGAGAAGGTTCTGAAAAATTTTGGATTTCACATTTTTGGATTTGGATGCACAATCTATATCTCACTTTTTTGCCTGATCTGAACTATTAGACACCTACACCAGCTTCCTATAAGACAGTGAGCTGGCTTTTCATGTCCCAAGAAGTAGCAAGGCTGTAAATATGACTAAACAGGTTACATGAATTTAGATAAATATCATTAATCCAAAGTAGTCAATAAGTAGTTGTTGGGTTTTGCATTGCCCACCCCCTCCAATAAATAAATAGTTTTAAAATAGATTCCCAACATCTCGTCTTGCAGTTTTCAAAAATATTCCTTCATGCAGGAGGAGAGAGAGCATCAGGAAAAATAGCTAATGCTTGCTGGGCTTAATACTTAGGCGATGGGTCAATAGGTGCAGCAAACCACCATGGCACACATTTACCTACGTAACAAACCTCATGTACCCTGGAACTTAAAAAAAAAAATTCCTTTATATCACTGTCAAGGATAGAATACTGAGCAGAGGCCAGTCATGGTGGCCCATGCCTGTACTCCCAGCCCTTTGGGAGGCTGAGGAGGGAGGATCACTTGAGCACAGGAATTTAAGACCAGCCTAGGCAACATAGGGGAACTCTGTCTCTACAAAAAATAAAATAATTAGCTGGACATATTGGTGCACACCTATAGTCCCAGCTACTTGGGAGGCTGAGGCTGGAGAATCACTTGAACCTGGGAGATCATCAAGGCTACAGTGAGCCAGGGTTACACCATTGCACTCCAGCCTAGGTAATAGAGTGAGACTCTGTCTCAAAAAAAAAAAAAAAAAATCAGCAGAGTGAAACATGGTTGGGATCTCCTTGAAGTGATTCTCAAAGCCTGATTCTCAGGCCAGCTGCATTGGCATCACGTATGGGCCTGTTAGAAATGCAGATTCATGAGCCATGTTCTACTGAGTCAGCATCTCTAAGAATGGGGCCCAGGAAACTGGGTTTCTTTGCTTGTTTTTTCAGAGATAGGGTCTTGCTCTATTGCCCAGGCTGGAGTGCAGTGGCCTCCCAAAATTCTGGGACTACAGGTGTGAGCCACCATGCCCAGACTGTTGGCCCTCTTAAGTCTTTCTCAATCTAGAGCAAATCATTTCTTTTTTTTCCCAACAATAAGTATTTAATCTAGCACGTTCTAGGTACTGTTGTTTACCATGAAATAAATTTAGCTAAGGAGTCAAATTCAGAAAATGTAATAATAGTTTTTTTTTGTTTTTTAAGTGTAAGGCATTATAATTGAAGTAGTCAAAAAAGGTTTAATTAGGGGGATTGAGTGTTAAGAGTAGAAGTAATCATGAACTGGGTATTGTATAAAATTTTTTAAAAAGAAAGAGAAAAGAGTAGAACAAAGAGAGCAGAAGTTAAAATTTATTTTTGTAATTCCTTTACCCCTAACTTGGCGCATGACTTTTCAGGTGTATTTTGGAGGCCACTGCTATGGCTTATGAAAATAATTGTTTTTTGTTTTACAGTGGGCAAATCAAACTAGCAGATTTTGGACTTGCTCGGCTCTATAACTCTGAAGAGAGGTAAGGCATTAATTAAAATTACATGTGGGAAATAAGGTTTGTTTTGTTTTGTTTTTTTGAGGCAGGATCTTATTCTGTTGCTCAGGCTGGAGTGCGTGGCTTGATCTCAGCTCGCTGCAGCCTCAACCTCTGTGGGCTCAGGTGATTCTCCCACCTTAGTCTCACAAGTAGCTGGAACCACAGGTGGGTGCCATCACACCTGGCTAATTTTTGTATTTTTAGTAGAGACGGGGTTTTGCTATGTTGCCTAGGTTAGTCTTGAACTCCTGGGCTCAAGCTGTCTACCTGCCTCAGCCTCCCAAAGTGCCGGGATTACAGACATGAGCCACCGCACCTGGGCAACAATCTCTCTCTTTTTTTTTTTTTTTTTTTTTTGAAGACGGAGTCTCAATCTGTCACCTGGGCTGGAGTGCAGTGGCGTGATCTCGGCTCACTGCAACCTCCGCCTCTTGGGTTCAAGAAATTCTCCTGCCTCAGCCTCCCGAGTAGCTGGTATTACAGGTGCCCGCCACTACGCCCAGCTAATTTTTTGTATTTTTAGTAGAGGCGGGGTTTCACCATGTTGGCCAGGCTGGTCTCAAACTCCTGACCTCGTGATTCATCTGCCTCAGCTTCTCAGAGTGCTGGGATTACAGGCGTGAGCCACCACTGCGTCCGGCCAAGAATCTTTTTTATTCCTAGATGTTCTAGTATTCTGCAAGTTGCAACAACTGTCAGAGTTCCCTAATTATCTGAAAGCGTTATCACTTACATTTTAGGCAGCAAATTTTATCTAAATTCTTGAATCGTCCCTTGGCTGGAATAAATAAATTAGAATGGAAGTTATTTTTTTCTCTCTTCTCTTCTCTTCTCCTCCTTTTTCTTTTTTTTTCCTGGAGATTTGCTCTTGTTGCCCAGGCTGGAGTGCAATGGCACAATCTTGGCTCACTGAAACCTCTGCCTCCCGGGTTCAAGCGATTCCCCTGCCTCAGCCTCCTGACTAGCTGGGATTACAGGCATGTGCTGCCATGCCCGGCTAATTTTGTATTTTTAGTGGAGATGGGGTTTCTCCATGTTGGTCACGCTGGTCTCGAACTCCCGACCTTAGGTGATCTGCCTGGCTTGGCCTCCCAAAGTGCTGGGATTACGGGCGTGAGCCACCGTGCCTGGCCTTTTTTCTTTTTTTTTTAATAGGCCAGGCGTGGTGGCTCACGCCCGTAATCCCAGCACTTTGGGAGACCGAGGTGGGTGGATCATGAGGTCAGGAGATCAAGACCATTCTGGCTAACACGGTGAAACTCTGTCTCTACTAAAAATACAAAAAATTAGTGGAGTGTGGTGGCGGGCGCCTGTAGTCCCAGCTACTTGGGAGGCTGAGGCAGGAGAATGGCGTGAACCTGGGAGGCGGAGCTTGCAATGAGCCAAGATGGCGCCACTGCACTCCAGCCTGAGGGACAGAGCAAGACACCGTCTCAAAAAAAAAAAAAAAAAAAAAAAATGAGATCTTGCTGTGTTGACCAGGCTGGTCTTGGACTGGCCTCAAATGATTCTCCCCTTTAGGCCTCCCAAAGTGCTGGTATTACAGGCATGAGCCACCACGCCAGGCATGGAAGTTATTTCTTCATCTCCTACTTCTGAACAGTTTGCTTTTGGAGTGTTAGGTTGCTCTGGATTTGTTTTTCAGTCTCATCTTCATTTGGCACCTATTTCTATTTGCATTTAGTTATGTGAATATTTTTCATCAGAAGCCACTGTAAGTTTATGTCATGGTTGTTTTTTATATTTCAGTCGCCCTTACACAAACAAAGTCATTACTTTGTGGTACCGACCTCCAGAACTACTGCTAGGAGAGGAACGTTACACACCAGCCATAGATGTTTGGAGCTGTGGGTAAGGTTCTGTTAACTTTTTCTTTTGTCTGTAACTTACATACTGTTGACTTGTACTTTGTTTTCTCTGTACACTGGCTTTTTAGAGCTCTTCTTAAGTTCAGAAGGATGGCGATAAACTTTTGGCCAGATTTCCGGGAAATCTGTTGAATATTTCTTAATGTCAGAGACCCTTTTTTTAAAAAACAGATTTCTTCTTTTTTTTTGTTTAAACTTTGTTTGAATTGAGATCCAAATAAGATACCCAAGTAAGGTTCATAGCTTGCAATTGATTACATCAAATCTTTTAATTTTACATTCCCCTTCTGTGTTACCTAATTTTGATTTATTTTGTTTCCTTATAATTTCATTAGAAGAAACTATTTCACTTGTCCTATCCAGCCTTTTATAGTCTGGATTTCGCAGATTGTATCCTTGTGATGATATATATGTATTTTTTAGCATGATTTTTTATCTTTTTGTTGTTTGAGATGGAGTCTTTCTATGTTGCCCATTCTGGAGTCCAGTGGCTGTTCATAAGTATGATCATAGCACGCTATATCCTTGAACTCCTGGGCTCAAGCAATCCTCCTGCCTCAGCCTCCTGAATAGCTGTGACTACAGGCGTATGTTGCCATACCCAGCTTATCTTTTTTACTTTTAGCAAATTGTAAATGGATTAAAGGTTGATTCCTAACCACCCACCCAGGGTCAGGGTAGTAGACCCTGAAACTACTTTACAGTTTGTTTTGAGTACTTCTAACAAAAGTTATATAATAAGTGGTACATCAGAGTTGGAAGGTGGGGAGCAGTGGGAGCCTCTGCCCAGAGAGTACAAGCAGTAAATGAGTATGTTGTCTGTGGAGAATTTTGAAACAACAAAACAAAACAATCCAGTACAAACTAGTCAGCTTTTTATTATGGCCTTATTAGGGCAGTTCTAAATGAGCAGATTTATACACACATACCACTTTACATAATACGTAATTGTCTTTTTTTGGGATGTTAACAGTTACTTGGCCATTGCCCACATCTGTTAATTAATTTGTGGTTATTTTATGATGGTCACATTCTAATTATATCATTTCTTATTGGAATACTTATATAAAGATATCCTCCCATCTGTTTGGCTGAACTCAGGTCTAAATAATATAGAAAAGGTAGGATAAAAGTTAATTCTTTCATTTTATATAACGGTTTTCAAAATAATGAAGTAGTTTCCTAGTATCCTTCAAAGATGACCAATGAAAAATGTTTTTGTTTTTTGGTTTTATTATGAATTCTTGGATTTAAACTTATTTCATGTATTTTAATCCATTGTGGTTATTATCCTTATTCTTGTTCAAACTGTCCAGTCTTTGGCCAGTGGGAGCTTATTCAGGTTATATTTTGAGTCCTTTTGGCACACCATAGTAGTGTTACAGTAGAAAACATCTTGTTTTTGGTTCCAAGCTTGTCCTGTTCATTTCCTGCCCCAAACCTGGAATCATCCATTTCTCTAAGGAGTCTTAGTTCCTTTTACTGGAAAATGATATTTAGAAACTACAGTTTGTGTGTTGGGGCATGGATGTTTTAAATTGGCCATGTTTGTTAATTGTATCTTATGTTGTATGATTTATGCCCAGTCACACACTGTCCTTGACCTTTATACTTTACAATTCTGACATATATACTTCCCAGTGGAGCAAATCACTTCTTTCCATTCTTTTCCTTCCTCTATTAATGTCAGTCTTTAAGAGGAGCACTACAGGGGTTTTATTTTAAAATTCAACAGAATGATGGAGAAAGAGCATAATTTCTGTGGTAGCCTACCCAAATAAAATAAAGCTTTAGTTAAATTTTACTGACTCAAGCTGGGTGTGTTTTTGTTCTGGACAATTTGCTTTAACAGTATTAGCATTTAAATTGTCACAACTAGGCTCTAAAGTTAACGCCCCATTAAGATGCACGAGGAAAGTTCATAGCTCTGTTCGGTACTATTATTTCAGTCTGTGCAGCCTGCCACCTCAGAGCAGTAGCAAAGTGTTGATTACATAATGAAGATGTCTTCCCACCAAAGGACTGGAAACCAAAAGAAAAGAAAACAGAAAAACACAATTGGAAATTAAAACTACATAAAGTTAGACATTCTTCAAAGCCCAGTGGCTCATTGAATTAAGATTTTGTTTGAGTTTTGATGTGAACTTACTACTTTGGTGATTCATGGTAGTCTCTCTGAAGATATTTTTATGGGATTTTTTATAGAGAATTGGTATGACAGTTCAGTGTGCAAATTAGAATCGAGGAGAAACTAGAAAGACTAGTACAGCAAATTATGTCAGGAGTCTGAAAACCTAGTGGTTTTTTTTTCTTCTTTTCTTTTTTAAATGTCTCTGATTTTACCCGCTGTGACGACAACATTGCACTTAGAACTTGATGTGGCAGTTAATGTTGAAAACAGAATTAAATTTTACTTTTTTTTTCTTTTTATAGAGTTGGGATCTCACTACGTTGCCCAGCCTGGTCTCAAACTCCTGGGCTCAAGCAATCTTCCCACCTCGGCCTCACCAAGTGCCAGGATTACAGGCATCAGCCACTGAGCCTGGCCTAAATTTTATTTTCACTTTTCCATCTCTGAATAGGGTTTGAGAGAATATAGGAAGTAAGAATTTGTCTTTGAAGTTGTTTTAACATAATTCGTTTAAAGGTCCAAATTCTAACAGAAAAGTGCTACTTAAAAAGCTAGGTTCGTTTTGCTTTCTCAAATTAAGTCAAACTAAAGAATTTTAAAATAAAAGTATAAATTTGGTTTTGTATTTGTCTCATTTCAAAGCATAGGTCAGACAGATTCATCGACCTTTTTTTTTCTTTCCCCACTTTAAAAAAATGAAAAATTTCAGGCACGTAACAAAAAGTATGGGATATTCATGTAATCTTTGAGATGTGGTCTTCCTATGTTGCCAGGCTGGTCTTGAACTCCTGGCTTCAAGTGATCCTCCTGCCTAGGCCTCCCAAAGTGCTGGGATCACAGACATGAGCTGCCATGCTCAGCCTTTATTTTATTTTGAAATAATTTCAATGTATGGAAAAGTTACAGGAATAGTACAGAAAACTTTAGTATAGCCTTATCAAATTCATTCAATATTTAAACCTATTTTATTGAAGTATAAAATAAACTGCATATATTTTGATATGTTTTGACATAACATATCCACCAGTAAAACCATCAACACAGCCAAGATAATGATCACCCACCACAGTTTCCTTGTGCCCTTTTGTAATCCCTTTCCTCTACCCGTACCCTCCCATTCCCAGGCAAACCACTGTTCTGCATTCTGTCACTATAATTTCTATTTCTAGAATTTTACACAAATGGAATTATATAGTATATACTCCCCCCACTCTTTTAATCAGCATAAATGATTTGAGATTTATTCATGTTAGATTCACTAGATTCTATTAAAAATACAAAAAAATTAGCCGGGTGTGGTGGTGCATGCCTGTAGTCCCAGCTACTTGGAAGGCTGAGGCAGAGAATCACTTGAACCTGGGAGGCAAAGGTTGCAGTGAGTGGAGATAGCACCACTGCACTCCAGCCTGGGTGACAGAGTGAGACTCTATCTCAAAAAATAAAAATAAAAAAAGTCCAACTGATCCTAGCTGATGACAGTAAATTATTTTATTTGAAATACAGTGCCAAGAAGGCTATAGTATAGTGCATCTTCTACAGAGCAGATTAATGACAAAAATGAATTCAAACTTTATAGAAACTAACTGCAGAGAGCATCCTTGTTTATTTATTTTTTGTTAGTATTGTTCTTTAATTTTGAGCAACCTTGTAAAATTGTCTTTAGTTATTTCCTTAATTACAATGGCATGATAGAAAAAGACTCTTGACTCCCTTTCTCTGATCATAGAGTGTCCTTAATAGGTGGCAAAAGTTTGATCTGCTGGCAAATTTAAATTCTTTATACTGTCTGTTTCACTGCAAGAAATATTTTCTCTTTGGAAACTCAGACACTGAAATTTGGGGCTATTTATCTTGGTTGCAATCCGACATATCAATAATGTAAAAATTTTTTGAGACACTTTAAATAGGCTCTAAGAATTTCTCTTCTGACCTCTCAATTTTACCTTTTCTAGATGTATTCTTGGGGAACTATTCACAAAGAAGCCTATTTTTCAAGCCAATCTGGAACTGGCTCAGCTAGAACTGATCAGGTACAGCTGTACATGTGCTCTTGAGTGCCCAGGTGTGATAGGTATTCTCATCCTCCAGTTTCTAACACTTTCTAGTCATTCTGAATGAGTTTATGTTTCTTATGTCCAAGTAAGTTTCTCTTTACTCAGTCAGGTTTACCATATATTTTGTCATAGGCTATACATATAAAGAAGTTTTATTTCACCTAATTTTTAGATCTTACTTTGCATATTTTTTATTAGCTCTTCATATAAAAGCATACCATTTTGGGGATGGCTCTTCCATTCATAGCTCAGATGAGATTAAATTTATTCAGCAAACATTTATTGAGCCTGTTATACAACAGATTACTTTTAACATTAAACTTTAGGATTCAGAGATAAAAAATAGGTCCCCGCCTTCAAAGAATTCAGAGTTTAGTAAGGTATATAGCATGTAAATAGTTATAAAATACAACCTATAATAGAAAATATGGGGAAAGCCCAGGATTGGGCTGGCATTTGGGTGGGTTTGTTTTTGTTTTGTTTTTTTCAATAAAATTAAAGGGAAGAATATAGCAGGCTAATGTTTTTTGTATTTTTTTTTTTAGACAGGGTCTCGCTCTGTCACCTAGACTGGAGTGCAGTGGTGTGATCATAGTTCACTGCAGCCTCAAACTCCTGCACTCAAGTGATCCTCCCACCTTACCCTCCTGAGTAGCTTGGACTACACCTGTAGTCCCAGCTATTTTTCGTTCATTTGTTTTGTAGAGATAGGGTCTCATTATGTTTGTTGCCTGGGCTGGAACTCCTGGGCTCAAACAGTCCTCCCACCTTGACCTCCCAAAGTGCTGGGATTACACACGTGAGCCACCACACCAGCCTAATGCAGACTTTTTTTTTTTTTTTTTTTTGAGATGGAATCTTGCTCTGTCACCCAGGCTGGAGTGCAGTGGCGTGATCTTGGCTCACTGCAAGCTCCACCTCCCAGGTTCAAGCCATTCTCCTGCCTCAGCCTCCCGAGTAGCTGGGACTACAGGTGCCCACCACCACACGCGGCTCATTTTTTTGTATTTTTAGTAGAGACGGGGTTTCACCATGTTAGCCAGGATGGTCTCGATCTCCTGACCTCATGATCCGCCCACCTCGGCCTCCCAAAGTGCTGGGATTACAGGCGTGAGCCACCGTGCCCGGCCAATGTAGACATTTTTTAAAGGTGATAAAGGTGATATTTTTGTTGTTGTTATTTGGTAAACTGTTGATTATCTCTCAAAATTTTCAGTCTTATACTCTCTTCTCATCTCACAGTTTACCCTATAGGGATACTATAGGATCATCTTAGCCCTTTGTAATTACTACTAACTGAACAGAACAAAACTGGTAATAAAAACCTGTATGGGGGGATTAAAACATTTCACAAATCCAAATAATGTGGATCATTTAGGATTATTATCCGAGTATTTTTTCTTTCCTCTGTTATAACCAGTTCTTTCTGTTCTCTGCCTTTCTGCCCTTAAAGCAGTAATGTCATATTTTCCTTTCTGCATGCCCTGTAATGTAATAACCAAAGATTCCCCAGACCTCAGGAGGTAATAATTTCTGCTTCTGAAACCTCCGGAATTCATGATGTTGACTCACTCACTCCATTGTTCTTGCTTTTGCTTTGTTTTCAGCCGACTTTGTGGTAGCCCTTGTCCAGCTGTGTGGCCTGATGTTATCAAACTGCCCTACTTCAACACCATGAAACCGAAGAAGCAATATCGAAGGCGTCTACGAGAAGAATTCTCTTTGTGAGTTTGGGGAAAATGAACATCTCGTTTCTGTGTCTGGCTGGTGTTGGGACTTGGCTTTTTCCTGGTCTGGGTAGTTAATGTTGTCCCAGTTTATCATGGCAACACAGTGTAGGAAAACATTTTAGTTTCGAACAGTATATGAGTTTTATCATAGCCCTTTTGTAATTTTCTCTTCTGAAGGCTTTAGACAATAGAAAACCATTTTATTTTGAACAATATATAAATTTTCTCATAGCCTTCTTGATCTTTCCATGAGAAAAAGAGAATGGAATTGTTGGCTTCATGGGTTTTGTTTGTTTGTTTTTTAAATTGAGACAGGGTCTTGCTGTGTTGTCCAGGCTGGAGTGCAGTGGCACGTTTAGGGCTCACTGCAGCCTTGACCTGCTGGGCTCAAGCAATCCTCCCACCTTAGCCTTCATTTTTTTTTTTTTTTTTTGAGACAGAGTCTCACTTTGCCACTTAGGCTGGAGTGCAGTGGCATGATCTTGGCTCACTGCAACCTCTGCCCCCCAAGTTCAAGTGATTCTCCTGCCTCAGCCTCCCAATGTAGTTGGGATTAGAGGCCTCTGCCACTGCACCCAGCTAATTTTTGTATTTTTAGTAGAGACAGGGTTTCAGCATGTTGGCCAGGCTGGTCTTGAACTCCTGACTTTGTGATCCACCCACCTCTGCCTTCCAAAGTGCTGGGATTATAGGCGTGAGCCTCTGAGTCCGGCCCCACCTTAGCCTTCTGAATAGCTGGGACCACAGGCACCCGCCACCACACCTGGCATTTTTTTTTTTTCCGTGTAGAGATAGGGTCTCCTAATGTTGCCCAGGCTGGTCTTGAGCTCCTGGGCTCAAGTGCTCTTCCTGCCTCAGCCCCCCAAATTGCTGGGCTTAAACTTTGAGAGGCTGAGGCAGGAAGATCACTCGTGCTACCACGCCTGGCCATGTTTTGGTTTTGTTTTCTTCTTACTTTTTTCCCTCTCTGTTATTTTATTTTACTTTTTTTAACTTTAATAGATGGATAGAACTGGCCATATTTTTGTGTGTGTCACCCAGGTTGGAGTGCAGTGACGCGATCTTGGCTCACCACAACCTTCGTCTCCCAGGTTCAAGGAATTCTCCTGCCTCAGCCTTCCAAGTAGCTGGAATTACAGGCACCCGCCACCATGCACAGTTAATTTTTGTATTTTTAGTAGAGATGGCATTTCACCATGTTGGCCAGGCTGGTCTTGAACTCCTGACCTCAAGTGATCTGCCCACCTCAGCCTCCCAAAGAGCTGGGATTATAGGTGTAAGCCCACCACACCTAGCCAGAATTGGCCATATTTTTTACTTGTGTTATAGCACAGCATTTCTCGTTTGTTTGTTTTTGAGATGGGGTTTCGCTCTTGTTGCCCAAGCCAGAGTGCAGTGGCATCATCTCGGCTCACTGCAACCTCCGCCTCCTGGGTTTAAGTGATTCTCCTGCCTTAGCCTCCTGAGTAGCAAGGATTACTGGCACGTGCCACCACACCCAGCTAATTTTTTGTATTTTTAGTAGAAACGGGGTTTCACCATGTTAGCCAGGCTGGTCTCGAACTCCTGACCTCAGATTATCTGCCCGCCTCGGCCCCACAAAGTGCTGGGATTACAGGCATGAGCTACTGTGCCCGGCCCAGCATTTCTTAAATCCTGTGTGGGAGCAAATCTGCTTGCTTGTGTTAGCCAACCTCCAGCTTGCTTTCTTTGGTTTTACATGGAAATTCAAAGACTTTTTTTTTTTTTTTTTTTTTTTTTTTGAGACCGTCTCACTCTGTCACCTAGGCTGGAGGAGTGCAGCAGTGTGATCTTGGCTCACTGCAACCTCCGCCTCCTGGGTCCAAGCGATTCTCAGCCCTCCAAGGAGCTAGAATTACAGGCGTGCATCACCATGCCTGGCTAATGGGGTTTCACTATGTTGGCCAGGCTGGTCCTGAACTCCTGGCCTCAAACGATCCACCCGCTTCAGCCTCCCAAAGTGCTGTGTGGGACTGTAGGCATGAGCCACCATTGCACATCCTTTTTTTTTTTTTTTTTAAAAAGAGATGGGCTCTTGCTCTGTTGCCCAGGCTGCAATGCAGTTGTGCAGTAAGAACTCATTGCAGCCTCAAATTCCTAGGCTCAAGTGATTTTCCAATGTCAGCCTCCCAAATAGCTGAGACTACAGGGTGCACAGCATTGCACCCAGCTAATTAAAAATATATATATATTTGTAGACATGAGGTTTCAGTATGTTGCCCAGGTTGATCTCAAACTTCTGGCCTCACGCAGTCCTACCTTGGCCTCCCAAAGTGCTGGAATTACAGGTGTGAGACCCTTTGAAACAAAATTACAAATTTGAGAACTGTAGGGTCATTGTGAACTTGTCCTTTCTGTGTTCTTTTCCATAGCATTCCTTCTGCAGCACTTGATTTATTGGACCACATGCTGACACTAGATCCTAGTAAGCGGTGCACAGCTGAACAGACCCTACAGAGCGACTTCCTTAAAGATGTCGAACTCAGCAAAATGGCTCCTCCAGAGTAAGTGCTGGTAGCCATGTTGTGACCCTAAATCTTTCCCTGGGCCTTAGACGATGAGAAACTCATAAAAGAACCACAGATGCCCAGTAAGACCCAAATGAAGAGGTGTCTTTGAGTATTATGGTTGAGGTTTGTTTTTTTTGTTTTATCTTTGTTGTTTTTTTCTTTATATAAGTAATAGATTTAGCTTTGATACTTGTTCTAATTTGACTCAAGCTATCTTCTTTTGTCCCTGGATCTCCATCCCAGAATATTGTTGTGTAGAGCCTCTTTGAAAGTATTCCTTTTAGATTTTTGTGGGTTGGTTTATTTATTTATTTATTTATTTTTGAGATGGAGTCTCTGTCGCCCAGGCTGGAATGCAGTGGTGCAACTCAGCTCACTGCAACCTCTGCAGGGTTCAAGCGATTCTCCTGCCTCAGCCTCCCGAGTAGCTGGGACTACAGACACACACCACCACACCCAGCTAATTTTTGTATTTTTAGTAGAGACGGGGTTACACCTTGCTGGCCCAGCTGGTCTCGAACTCCTGACCTCAGGTGACCCACCCTGGCCTCCGAAAGTGCTGGGATTACAGGCGTAAGCCACTGCGTCCAGCGTGTTTTTGTTGTTGTTGTTGTTGTTGTTGTTTTGAGATGGAATCTTGCTCTGCCTCCTCCACCTCCCGGGTTCTAGCGATTCTCCTGCCTTAGCCTTGCAAGTAGCTAGGATTACAGGTGCCTGCCACCACACCCGGCTAATTTTTTTGTATTTTTGTTTCATTTTGTTTTGTTTTTTGAGATGGAGTTTCGCTCTTGTTCCCCAGGCTGGAGTACAATGGCGCAATCTCAGCTCGCCGCAACCTCTGCTTCCCAGGTTCAAGCGATTCACCTGCCTCAGCCTTCCCAAGCTGAAATTACAGGCACGTGCCACCATGCCCAGCTAATTTTGTGTTTTTAGTAGAGACAGAGTTTCTCCATGTTGGTCAGGTTGGTCTCGAACTCCCGACCTCAGGTGATCTGCCCACCTCGGCCTCCCAAAGTGCTGGGATTACAGGCATGAGCCACAGTGCCTGGCCATTTTTTTGTATTTTTAGTAGAGATGGGGTTTCACCATGTTGGCCAGGCTGGTCTTGAACTCCTGCCCATCTTGGCCTCTCAAAGTGCTGGGATCACAGGTGTGAGCCACCGTGCCTGGCCTGTTTGTTTGTTTGTGTGTTTTGAGACGGAGTTTCACTCTTCGCATCCAGGCTGGAGTGCAGTGGTGTGATATTGGCTCACTGCAATCTCCGCCTCCCAGTTTCAAGCAATTCTCCTGCCTCAGCCTCCCAAGTAGCTGGAATTACGCCACCATGCCCGGCTAATTTTTGTATTTTTAGTAGAGACAGGGTTTCATCACGTTGGCCGGGCTGATCTTGAACTCCTGGCCTCAGGTGATCCGCCCGCCTTGGCCTCCCAAGGTGCCGGGATTACAGATGTGAGCTACTGCTCCCAGCCTTTTTTGTTTTTTCCGAGACGGAGTCTCGCTCTGTCGCCCAGGCTGGAGTGCAGTGGCGTGATCTCGGCTCACTGCAACCTCCATCTCCTGGATTCAAGCAGTTCTCCTGTCCCAGCCTACTGAGTAGCTGGGATTATAGGCGCAGGCCACCACGCCCGACTAATTTTTTTGTATTTTTAGTAGAGACAGGGTTTCACCATGTTGGCCAAGGTGGTCTCAAACTCCTGACTTCAGGTGATCTGCCTGCCTCAGCCTCCCAAAGTGTTGGGATTACAGGCATGAGCCACCACTCCCAGCCTTTTTTTTTTTTTTTCCAATTGTAGAAATGGAGTCTCACAATGTTGTCCAGACTGTCTCAAACTCCTGGGCTCAAGTGATTCTCCCGCCTCAGCCTTCCAAAGTCATGGGATTACAGGCAGGAGACACATGCTTGGCCTCCCTCTGGTTTTTGCTCTTAACCATTCCTCCAGCTGTAATCATGCATGTCTCTGGTGACCATGTATATCTCACACTTGCAGAGATAGTCCCAGTTTTTTGGGGTTTTTTTTGTTATTATTTTTTTTGAGACAGAGTTTCACTCTTGTTGCCCAGGCTGGAGTGCAGTGGTGTGATCTCGACTCACCACAAGCGTTTCCTGCCTCAGCCTCCCGAGTAGCTGGGATTACAGGTATGCGCCCCCATGCCTGGCTAATTTTGTATTTTTAGTAGAAACAGAGTTTCACCATATTGGTGAGACTGGTCTTGAAGTCCCGACCTCAGGTAATCTGCCTGCCTCGGCCTCCGAAAGTGCTGGGATTACAGGCGTGAGCCACTGAACCCGGCCAACAGTCCCAGTTTTAAATGGTTTGCATCACTGCCAGTTTTTTTTGTTGTTTTTGTTTTTTTCTGAGACAGGGTCTCTCACTCTGTCACCCAGGCTGGAGTGCAGTGGCACAATCTCAACTCACTGCAACCTCCACCTCCCGGCTTCAAGCGATTCCCGTGCCTCAGCCTCCTGAGTAGCTGGATTACAGGAGCCCGGCACCACAGCTGGCTAATTTTTGTATTTTTAGTAGAGATGAGGTTTCACCATGTTGACCAGACTTGTCTCCAATTCCTGACCTCAGGTGATTCGCCTGCCTCGTCCTCCCAAAGTGCTGTGATTATAGGCGTGAGCTACCGCACCCAGCCAGATTACTGAATTTTGATGTAAGAAATAAGATCTTTCGGTCGAGCGCGGTCGCTCACACCTGTAATCCCAGCACTTTGGGAGGCCGAGGTGGATGGATCACCTGAGGTCAGGAGTTCAAGAGAGCCTGGCCAACATGGTAAAACCCCGTCTCTCCTAAAAATACAAAAAATTAACCAGGTGTGGTGGTGTATGCTTGTAGTCCTGGCTACTCAGGAGGCTGAGGGAGGAGAATCGCCTGAACTCGGGAGGTGGAGGTTGCAGTGAGCCGAGATTGTGCCAGTGCATTCCTGCCTAGACCATAGAGTGATACTCCATCTCAAAAAATTAAAGTAACATAAAAGAAATATGATCTTTTAATATGTCTCTATTTAATTAAAATCTTATGAATGCCTCTGTATTGTATTGGAGCTTCAGAGATTCATATCCCACATTATAGCACATAAAAAGTCTTTTATCTGGCCTGGCACGGTGGCTCATGCCTGTAATCCCAGCACTTTGGGAGGCTGAGGCAGGCAGATCACCTGAGGTCATGAGTTCGAGACCAGTTTGGCCAACATAGTGAAACCCCGTCTCTACTAAAAAATACAAAAATTAGCCAGGCGTAGTGGCGTGTACCTGTAGTCCCAGCTACTCAGGGAGACTAAGGCAGGAGAATCACTTGAACCTGGGAGGCGGAGGTTGCAGTGAACTGAGATTGCACCACTGCACTCTAGCCTGGGCAACAGAGCAAGACTCTGTCTCAAAAGAAAAAGAAAAAAAAAGTATTTTATCTTTGAATTTGTCAGTGACAGTATTATAGCTTTAATGTCAAATTTTGGAGGTCATTTTCTTAAGAAAGACTACATGTCTTAAAAATGGATAGGATGTTAGTTCATGAGTAGGTAGTAATTCTAAATCTGATTGCTCCAAAGAAATGTCCAAATTCATTTATTTTTTTGAGACAGACTCTTGTTCTGTTGCTCAGGCTGGAGTGCAGTGGTGTGATCTCGGCTCACTGCAGCCTCCACCTCCCAGGTTCAAGCAATCCTCCTGCTTCAGCCTCCTTAGTAGCTGGGATTACAGGCACACACCACCACACTTGGCTAATTTTTGTATTTTTAGCAGAGACCAGGTTTCACCATGTTGCCAGGCTAGTCTCGAACTCCTGACCTCATGATCCGCCTGCCTCTACCTCCCAAAGTGCTGGGATTACAGGCATGAGCTGCCGCGCCCAGCCAAATTCATTTATTACACTAGAATGTTGATACATTGAATATGACTTGAAACATATAAGGGTTTTACTGAAATTTGGGAACTCCTATTATAGAGAGATTTATAGTAAGATTTGACCTACTTGGTCTGATTGTATGAGAGATTCTGGACTAAGTTATACGTAGTGCTGAACTCCACAGATGAGCAAGTTGATATCCAGTCATAGAAATTCTGTGGGCAGAAAGGGGAAAGAACTAGTCTTTGGTCCTCACAAACCAAATTACACATAAGTTGATTTTGCACAGAGATGTTTTGATCATGATACATGGTTCCATGGTTTAAGTCACCGCCTTTCCTCGACCTTCTGTATACATTAACAAGCCAGCCATTACTGTCCTCGTCTTTATTCCCTACTGAAACTTGACCAATACTGTTCTCCTTTTTTGTTGTTATGCCAAGGAAAGACAGTATTTATATGGGAATTTATATAGCTGGTCTGTACCTAGTATTAGCAAGATCCTCCTTTCTCACTATGTAACTTTCGTACTTTTATTTCCTCAGACTACCATCTGCCATGATTTATTTTACACTGCTGTTACCTACTTTTACTAACTTTTTTGGTTATTTTTGTTTTCCTTATTCTTTACATTTCCCACAGTCTTTGCCTTCCCATTTTAATCCTTTGCTCCTCCATTCATTCACTGCTGCATTCCCTTACATATTTCCCCTTTGCTTTGTCTTTTTCCAGCCTCCCCCACTGGCAGGATTGCCATGAGTTGTGGAGTAAGAAACGGCGACGTCAGCGACAAAGTGGTGTTGTAGTCGAAGAGCCACCTCCATCCAAAACTTCTCGAAAAGAAACTACCTCAGGGACAAGTACTGAGCCTGTGAAGAACAGCAGCCCAGCACCACCTCAGCCTGCTCCTGGCAAGGTGGAGTCTGGGGCTGGGGATGCAATAGGTCAGTGCCAGAATGGGGCCTTTGTGCTTTTGCTAAGCGTATTTGGCAGGTTTTGAAGGTCAAGTGTAAGGAGTTTGTGTGTGTGTCTGTTTTTTAGTTTTTGGTCCAGTGAACCATTAGGAAAGAGGTTAATGTCCTCATTATGGTGAGAAGGAGATTAACCAAGTTTCGTACATATGGTCCAGAAAGTCTACAATAGATCATTTTCCTTTCCTGAAATATGTACGGAACACTGTATCTCAATTAGATGTGTGGCATAAATCAGTGAATTAGGTAAGCCAAATTTAATTTAAGGTTAGTTCACCCATGACTTTATGAAACACATAATTTGGAGCCTTGTTTATATTAGATTTGATAAGACCTTCATAGAATCTAGTAGTGTTAAATTACAATTGCTAAATGTTGTTCTATAGACTGTTATTTTGATCTAAATGTATCTGAAACTATGTCATATTGAACTGTTATAACAAAGTAGTTCTCCTGTGTTATGACCAATTCTTCGGGACAAAAGATACTCTTTTTCTGGTTCACTTTCCCCTCTTCACTTATAGCAGTGGCTTTTAATACTGGCTGTATATTAGAATCATCCTGGAAGCTTTAAAAACAAATATGCCTATACGATTGCCTATCTCTAGGGATGGGTCCTGAGGCATCTGAATAGGAGAGATTTTTAAATCTCTCTTAGTAATTCTGATGTATAATAAAGGATTGAAAATCACAGAACTTGAAAAATACAGATAAAGTGAAGTCACTTTTATGCACAATCCAGAGATGTTTTAGTTATTAGTGCCTGTATTTCTTAAGCGAAAGCATAAAGAGTAACAAAATGTGTCATGACATTTTGAGGCATGAAAAAATGAGACATTTAAAATGAAATTTCATTTTTTGGATATTGTAAGTTGCTGTTGCCAGTTGAAGAAGGCAAAGGGCCCTTGGCCTATCTCATCGTCTTATATTGGCTTCACTGTCTTTCAACAGGCCTTGCTGACATCACACAACAGCTGAATCAAAGTGAATTGGCAGTGTTATTAAACCTGCTGCAGAGCCAAACCGACCTGAGCATCCCTCAAATGGCACAGCTGCTTAACATCCACTCCAACCCAGAGATGCAGCAGCAGCTGGAAGCCCTGAACCAATCCATCAGTGCCCTGACGGAAGCTACTTCCCAGCAGCAGGACTCAGAGACCATGGCCCCAGAGGAGTCTTTGAAGGAAGCACCCTCTGCCCCAGTGATCCTGCCTTCAGCAGAACAGACGACCCTTGAAGCTTCAAGCACACCAGCTGACATGCAGAATATATTGGCAGTTCTCTTGAGTCAGCTGATGAAAACCCAAGAGCCAGCAGGCAGTCTGGAGGAAAACAACAGTGACAAGAACAGTGGGCCACAGGGGCCCCGAAGAACTCCCACAATGCCACAGGAGGAGGCAGCAGGTAAACAGACCGGTCATGAATCTCATTGAGCTCAGGTGCTGTTGATACCCTCTTAAAAATCTCTTAACATTTTTTTTCCCCCACATCAATGGCCTTGGTTTCAGTTATTCTGTAACCTAGTCTACAGGAGAACATAGCACCAAGTAATGTATTTCTTGCTTGGCTTCTTTTATTTAAGTCTCAAAGCTTCCCAAAGCACCTTTCCTATACTGATTGTTTTTCCACCTCCTAGGAGATAGGTAAGTAAAGCCCCTGTGTTCTAACCAAGGAAACCACAACCATAGCTAGTGATGCATCTTGAACCACACATCTTGAACTGTGTGTGGTGGCCAACTAGTCCTAGCACTTGGAAATCTGACTTCCAAACAAACCATTATCAGACTATACTTCTTTACCTCTAGTGGAGTGGATGCTGAATGCCAGTCTTTCCTGGAAGATACAATCAAGAAAACCCTAATAAAATATCATTGTTAATTTCCTGAAGAATAATTTGGGAATATTTCTAAGTAGATAATTAACACTATACATTTCTTTTCCCAAAAATAATAGTGTATAAGAACAATTCCTTTAAATCTGTTTCTGATAGAAGCAATTGAATGGACCCCAGATCAGGAAGTGCGTGTATTATAAAGAAAAAAAAGGAAAATGGGGATAAGTTATACGTTAATCTCACATGACCATAGCGTGCAATTTATTAGAGGGAAAAGCAGTTTAAGTTCTTTAATTCTGATTCACACTGTATTTGCAAAATCTTTACTTATGTAAAAATGTTTTTAACTCCTCGGAAATTCTCACTGTCCATGAAGACCCCATGAATTGGGGAATAAGAAGAGGCTCGAGGGCTGAAGAGATATACTAATCTTCAACTTTAGGGTCCTACATTCACATTTCATATGAGGTGGTGCAGAAAGTATATGTTTTAAGGCCTGGCCTATGGCCAGAAGTTGTTGGATTTACTTTTCAGAGGAAAGTGTAGAGATGCCGTAACTAATTATTGCAGTCACCCCTGGATTATTCAGCTGATGCCTCTACAGTGGCTCACTTGTTCTTGTTTCTCCCCTGCTATCTCTATTTGGCCATTTCACTGTTAATTAGCACTTCCACCAGAGGGCAGACTGTATAAACCAGAGAAGGTGACAGCCTATTAATTGGGCTGCTGTTTTACTATTCTGTACTTACTGGGAAGGGTGATAAGTTGAAATCAAATGAGTAAAATGAAGGGTTTTGTTTGTTTATTTGTTTGTTTTTGGAGGCGGAGTCTTACTCCATTGCCCAGGCTGGAGTGCAATGGCATGATCTTGGCTCACTGCAACTTCCGTCTCCTGGGTTCAAGCGATTCTCCTGCCTCAGCCTCCTGAGTAGCTGGGATTATAGGCATGCACCTCCATGTCCAGCTAATTTTGTATTTTTAGTGGAAACGAGGTTTCACCATGTTAGCCAGGCTGGTCTCGAACTCCCAGCCTCAGGTGATCTGCCCGCCTCAGCCTCCCATAGTGCTGGGATTACAGGCTTGAGCCACTACCCCCGGCCTGAAGTTTTAAATTTATTTTTACATTTCAATAATACATCCTTATTGTTGTCAATCCTGAAAGTCCGTACTTTTTTTTTGTTTGTTTTGAGACAGAGTCTCTCTCTGTCACCCAGGCTGGAATGCAATGGCGCGATCTTGGTGCACTGCAGCCTCTGCCTCCTGGGTTCAAGCAATTCTCCTGCCTCAGCCTCCCAAGTAGCTGGGATTACAGGCACCTGCCACCACACCTGGCTAATTTTTTTTTGTATTTTTAGTAGAGATGGGGTTTCACTGTGTTGGCCAGGCTGGTCTTGAACTGCCGACCTCTGGTGATCCACCCGCCTTAGCCTCCCAAAGTGCTGGGATTACAGGTGTGAACCACCACACCCAGCCAAAAGTCCATACTTTTAAGGATTGACAACATTGATACTTTAGATCATAACAATATGATTTATAATTCATATTTTTAATTCCTTTAAGAAGTATTAGGCTTACTTTAATAAGTTTTTTTGTTTGTTTGTTTTTGAGATGGAGTCTCGCTCTGTCACCCAGGCTGGAGTGCAGTGGCGTGATCTCAGCTCATTGCAAACCCTACCTCCCAGGTTCAAGCGATTCTCCTGCCTCAGCCTCCTAGTAGCTGGGATTACAGGTGTGTGACACCAGGCCCGGCTAATTTTTTTGTATTTTTAGTAGAGACGGGGTTTCACCTTGTTGGCCAGGCTGGTCTCTAACTCCTGACCTCAAGTGATCTGCCTTCCTTGTTCTCCCAAAGTACTGGGATTACAGGCATGAGCCACCATGCCCAGCCTTTGCTACTTTGGAATAGAATTTTTATTTTACACATATGAAAGAATTTGACCTCAAGTGTTAGTTCTGTTGAAACATAATTAGGCTATTTACATAAAAGGCACAGTTTGAATACAAAAAAATGGCATAGCTGGAAGAATGTAAGTTTAGATTATCTCACTTTTACAGTTACACATTTTTAAGTTATTTGACCTCGGTATTAAAAATCCTCGTGTTCCATTTTATGTGTAGTCCAGAAATACTTTTTAAATAACTGGTACAGTGATGTCCTTATATAGAGAGTGTTGAAAGCAAAAGGCTCTGAAATCTATCATTACTTGTAGTCCAGTTTGCCCTCCTTTTTCAGCATGTCTACTCTCCATGTTCAAAATTTTCCATGGCTAATTTTTTGTCCTTAAATTCATTTTCCCCTGCCACCCTGTCAACCAGCCAATCAGTCAACAAATAACTTGGGTGGGTACTATACATAGGGTCACCAATTCATTCCTGAACTGTCCCGGTTTTAAAGCTGAACATTGACAACCTGGAAAACCCCCTCAGTCCCAGACAAACTGGGACTGTTGGTCACCCTGCTTGGATGTTACATGTAACACCTGACCATCTTTTGTACTGTACAACCTTACAATTTTGTAGTGTTTTCAGAGTGCTTTCATCTGCATGCTAAGGGAATACAAACTTAATTACTGATTGTCTTTGCAAAATATAATTAAGGTAAATATGCTACAAAAATATCTAATTATAACTAAAAACTGTTTTTGGCTTGTTTTGAGTAATGACTTTACATCACAGCTTAGATAATTGAAGAATGACTATATATATATTTTAAAATATGCTTCCATAGGGAAAAGAAAAATCGGTCATTTGGAAGATATCCCAAAACATTAAATCTTTTCTTCAGCAGGATGACTCTCAATTTTCTAAAGGCATTGTTCTACCATACTTCTGTCTCAGTGGTTTTCTTTGTCCTCAAACTCATACCATTTTACATCTCTCCTCTCCTGCCTTGGCAGGAGTTCATTATCAGACAATGTTTATCATGCTTAAGCACATTTAGGCAGCAGTGGAAAAAAGAAAGTCTGGTGGAAGTAGTTCAAGAAAGACAAAAGATCTTTGTAAAGACAGAGTATAGTATGAATTTAATATATTTCTAAATATTTAGTTCTTGTCACCGTCTCCAAGATAAACAGATGTTTATCAACAGTTCATTCTGCATGACACTGCTATAGTGATTTTTTTTTCATAGCATGGAAAAAAATGCAGTAGTTAGGAAAACAAAATAGAAAATTATGATAGAAATTAGTCTTTAAAATTACTGTAACATAGGAAGCTGAATGATAATATGGTAGTTACAATCCTTTCAGACTATGATTTTGGGGAGACGTGACTAAAGTTTGGAGAAGCAAGTGTATTTTTATACATGACAGTAATGAAAACTTTTTACTTTATTTTATCTCTCCTATATATTCTTTAAGTTTTATTTCAGGTTAACCTATGTCATCAAACATTCTGTAAAATGTGTTAGCCAAGTCCATGCAAGGTCTCTGTTGTAGAGCAAGATTATGTCCTAGAAATGTGACCACAGCATGTATATTGTTCCCTCTCATCTTCCTTCCTTCTGCTTTGTTTTAATGTTTCCATCTAACAGCAAAAAGGGGCAGGGAGTCTGCCAACAGCCTGCATGTTAGAACAGTTCTTTAAAGGAAGGAAATGGAGGAAATCTTAGACCAAAATCAGGATAATCATTTGAAACATATGATATTTTTACACTAGCTGTTAGATCCAGGATGCAACTGTTTTACTTTTAATCACTTGATTTATTTATAATTGCAATTTTCTGATCCCAAGATTTTATTCTTTATATATCTGGTTACTTATATTGATATTTGTTTATGTTGCACAGTGTGTGTGTTTGTGTTTATAATCACATGTGCTTTTTAAGATGGTGTTTAAAAGAAGTAACCCTTCCACAGCATGTCCTCCTCACATTCTTCCACCAGAGAAGAGGCCCCCTGAGCCCCCCGGACCTCCACCGCCGCCACCTCCACCCCCTCTGGTTGAAGGCGATCTTTCCAGCGCCCCCCAGGAGTTGAACCCAGCCGTGACAGCCGCCTTGCTGCAACTTTTATCCCAGCCTGAAGCAGAGCCTCCTGGCCACCTGCCACATGAGCACCAGGCCTTGAGACCAATGGAGTACTCCACCCGACCCCGTCCAAACAGGACTTATGGAAACACTGATGGGCCTGAAACAGGGTTCAGTGCCATTGACACTGATGAACGAAACTCTGGTCCAGCCTTGACAGAATCCTTGGTCCAGACCCTGGTGAAGAACAGGACCTTCTCAGGCTCTCTGAGCCACCTTGGGGAGTCCAGCAGTTACCAGGGCACAGGGTCAGTGCAGTTTCCAGGGGACCAGGACCTCCGTTTTGCCAGGGTCCCCTTAGCGTTACACCCGGTGGTCGGGCAACCATTCCTGAAGGCTGAGGGAAGCAGCAATTCTGTGGTACATGCAGAGACCAAATTGCAAAACTATGGGGAGCTGGGGCCAGGAACCACTGGGGCCAGCAGCTCAGGAGCAGGCCTTCACTGGGGGGGCCCAACTCAGTCTTCTGCTTATGGAAAACTCTATCGGGGGCCTACAAGAGTCCCACCAAGAGGGGGAAGAGGGAGAGGAGTTCCTTACTAACCCAGAGACTTCAGTGTCCTGAAAGATTCCTTTCCTATCCATCCTTCCATCCAGTTCTCTGAATCTTTAATGAAATCATTTGCCAGAGCGAGGTAATCATCTGCATTTGGCTACTGCAAAGCTGTCCGTTGTATTCCTTGCTCACTTGCTACTAGCAGGCGACTTACGAAATAATGATGTTGGCACCAGTTCCCCCTGGATGGGCTATAGCCAGAACATTTACTTCAACTCTACCTTAGTAGATACAAGTAGAGAATATGGAGAGGATCATTACATTGAAAAGTAAATGTTTTATTAGTTCATTGCCTGCACTTACTGATCGGAAGAGAGAAAGAACAGTTTCAGTATTGAGATGGCTCAGGAGAGGCTCTTTGATTTTTAAAGTTTTGGGGTGGGGGATTGTGTGTGGTTTCTTTCTTTTGAATTTTAATTTAGGTGTTTTGGGTTTTTTTCCTTTAAAGAGAATAGTGTTCACAAAATTTGAGCTGCTCTTTGGCTTTTGCTATAAGGGAAACAGAGTGGCCTGGCTGATTTGAATAAATGTTTCTTTCCTCTCCACCATCTCACATTTTGCTTTTAAGTGAACACTTTTTCCCCATTGAGCATCTTGAACATACTTTTTTTCCAAATAAATTACTCATCCTTAAAGTTTACTCCACTTTGACAAAAGATACGCCCTTCTCCCTGCACATAAAGCAGGTTGTAGAACGTGGCATTCTTGGGCAAGTAGGTAGACTTTACCCAGTCTCTTTCCTTTTTTGCTGATGTGTGCTCTCTCTCTCTCTTTCTCTCTCTCTCTCTCTCTCTCTCTCTCTCTCTCTCTCTCTGTCTCGCTTGCTCGCTCTCGCTGTTTCTCTCTCTTTGAGGCATTTGTTTGGAAAAAATCGTTGAGATGCCCAAGAACCTGGGATAATTCTTTACTTTTTTTGAAATAAAGGAAAGGAAATTCAGACTCTTACATTGTTCTCTGTAACTCTTCAATTCTAAAATGTTTTGTTTTTTAAACCATGTTCTGATGGGGAAGTTGATTTGTAAGTGTGGACAGCTTGGACATTGCTGCTGAGCTGTGGTTAGAGATGATGCCTCCATTCCTAGAGGGCTAATAACAGCATTTAGCATATTGTTTACACATATATTTTTATGTCAAAAAAAAAACAAAAACCTTTCAAACAGAGCATTGTGATATTGTCAAAGAGAAAAACAAATCCTGAAGATACATGGAAATGTAACCTAGTTTAGGGTGGGTATTTTTCTGAAGATACATCAATACCTGACCTTTTTTAAAAAAATAATTTTAAAACAGCATACTGTGAGGAAGAACAGTATTGACATACCCACATCCCAGCATGTGTACCCTGCCAGTTCTTTTAGGGATTTTTCCTCCAAAGAGATTTGGATTTGGTTTTGGTAAAAGGGGTTAAATTGTGCTTCCAGGCAAGAACTTTGCCTTATCATAAACAGGAAATGAAAAAGGGAAGGGCTGTCAGGATGGGATAATTTGGGAGGCTTCTCATTCTGGCTTCTATTTCTATGTGAGTACCAGCATATAGAGTGTTTTAAAAACAGATACATGTCATATAATTTATCTGCACAGACTTAGACCTTCAGGAAACATAGGTTAAGCCCCCTTTTACAAAGAAAAAGTAAACATACTTCAGCATCTTGGAGGGTAGTTTTCAAAACTCAAGTTTCATGTTTCAATGCCAAGTTCTTATTTTAAAAAATAAAATCTACTTATAAGAGAAAGGTGCATTACTTAAAAAAAAAAAACTTTAAAGAAATGAAAGAAGAACCCTCTTCAGATACTTACTTGAAGACTGTTTTCCCCTGTTAATGAGATATAGCTAGATATCGGTGTGTGTATTTCTTTATTATTCTCTGGTTTTTGATCTGGCCTTGCCTCCAGGGCCAAACACTGATTTAGAAAGAGAGCCTTCTAGCTATTTTGGCATTGATGGCTTTTTATACCAGTGTGTCCAGTTAGATTTACTAGGCTTACTGACATGCTATTGGTAAATCGCATTAAAGTTCATCTGAACCTTCTGTCTGTTGACTTCTTAGTCCTCAGACATGGGCCTTTGTGTTTTAGAATATTTGAATTTGAGTTATTGGGCCCCACTCCCTGTTTTTTATTAAAGAACGTGAGCCTGGGATACTTTCAGAAGTATCTGTTCAATGAAAAAAAGTTGGTTTCCCATCAAATATGAATAAAATTCTCTATATATTTCATTGTATTTTGGTTATCAGCAGTCATCAATAATGTTTTTCCCTCCCCTCTCCCACCTCTTATTTTTAATTATGCCAAATATCCTAAATAATATACTTAAGCCTCCATTCCCTCATCCCTACTAGGGAAGGGGGTGAGTGTATGTGTGAGTGTATGTGTATGTATGATCCCATCTCACCCCCACCCCCATTTTGGGAGTCTTTTAAAATGAAAACAAAGTTTGGTAGTTTTGACTATTTCTAAAAGCAGAGGAGAAAAAAAAACTTATTTAAATATCCTGGAATCTGTATGGAGGAAGAAAAGGTATTTGTTAATTTTTCAGTTACGTTATCTATAAACATGATGGAAGTAAAGGTTTGGCAGAATTTCACCTTGACTATTTGAAAATTACAGACCCAATTAATTCCATTCAAAAGTGGTTTTCGTTTTGTTTTAATTATTGTACAATGAGAGATATTGTCTATTAAATACATTATTTTGAACAGATGAGAAATCTGATTCTGTTCATGAGTGGGAGGCAAAACTGGTTTGACCGTGATCATTTTTGTGGTTTTGAAAACAAATATACTTGACCCAGTTTCCTTAGTTTTTTCTTCAACTGTCCATAGGAACGATAAGTATTTGAAAGCAACATCAAATCTATACGTTTAAAGCAGGGCAGTTAGCACAAATTTGCAAGTAGAACTTCTATTAGCTTATGCCATAGACATCACCCAACCACTTGTATGTGTGTGTGTATATATAATATGCATATATAGTTACCGTGCTAAAATGGTTACCAGCAGGTTTTGAGAGAGAATGCTGCATCAGAAAAGTGTCAGTTGCCACCTCATTCTCCCTGATTTAGGTTCCTGACACTGATTCCTTTCTCTCTCGTTTTTGACCCCCATTGGGTGTATCTTGTCTATGTACAGATATTTTGTAATATATTAAATTTTTTTCTTTCAGTTTATAAAAATGGAAAGTGGAGATTGGAAAATTAAATATTTCCTGTTACTATACCACTTTTGCTCCATTGCATTTACTTCTTAATCTGTACCCCCTGAGCATATCTAATCATGTATAAAGGACGTTTTTCCTCCACTTTATCTTAGGGGTTCTCTGTCTCAGAATCATTATAGACTCATTAACTCCCCCTCCCAGCAAAAGGTTATCAGGATTTGAAGAGGTGCTTGAAAACGCTAGACTAGGAACTAGAGAATAAATGAGTTGGGAAAAACCATGAAATGTGATTTTTTTAAAGTAGAAAAGTTATACAAATAATGGTACCAAACCATCAAAAGAGTTGAGCTTCATGTACCCTGACTCCTCCTGACAGGAGAGGTAAGTGGGTTTGAGCTCAACTGTCATCAAGGGAAGTTGGTAAGAGGCTGTTTAGACCCAAAGGATAGTCTTAAACCAGACTTCACCACCCACCCTACCTCAGTTCCCATGTTATTACATGCAGAGTCAGCATGGGGATTAGTGTACCTACCTTTGCTGAGATTTCCCGATGCGTTGCCAATCCAGAAAGTGAATCAAAAAGTTGTTTAAAAGTTAAAATCTCTATTGTTTCCAAAATCTTTCCCATCTCCACCTGAAGACAGAATTGCTTCCCCTTCTCTTTCATGGCTTAGAACACAGGATAAATTTGCCCCTGTGGTATGTGCTGCAATCCTGCTAGTTATGACAAATGGGCAGAGGGCAGATAAAGTCCACTAGGAGAAAGAAAGAAGGGCGATAGGTATCTGAAGTTGTAAATGGGGTGAGCAAGTCATACAGGAAGGTTAAGGGATACACCAGAGCAAGGGAAATTAGAAGGAAGTTGAGTTCAAAAACTGGTGATGATGAGAGTTGCTAACCTGTTTTTGAATCCTCAAAAGTTTAAGTGGTGTTCCCTTTCCTGTGGGCTAAGTCACATCTTATAAGGAGAATGGAGAGCTCAAGATTGTTCCAATTTCTGGAATTATGTGTTCCTGGTTGCAAGTTCATGATTGGGGTATAAACTTCAACCTACTAGAAAATACTGTTTTCACTTCATAGCAGTGAAAATTGAAGCAGTGTCTTTTCAATTCTGGGCCTAAAGGCTGAGGACCTTACTAACCTAGATTTTTCTGTCATACCCAAGGCCATTTCTAACCAGAAACCATGCTGTTCAGTACCTCAATTTCTTAGGCACTGTTCTTTCCTAGATAGGCATCCTTAACTGTATGGTTAATGCCTCAAAGAAGTAAACAGTTAATGCTCTTGGTGCTGATCTTGGGATTTCCATTGTTATTAAAGATTGCCTCATAGCTTGACTGTTTTTTAACTATGGAGTGACTTTTCATATCCTAATCATCCATAAGGGCTAAGTGGAATGGGAATGGGGAATTCCTCAAGGGAGGAAGCACTCAACCATTCCAAGGGAGAGGTGGAACTGCTGAGTCTTCTGGTTGTCCTGAGAGGCAAGGTGAGCATTCCTGGACACTTTGGTTAATTTTACTGTCCAGGTGTGACAGTTCTTATCTGTAGGAACACCTCCAGTGTTCCTAATTAGGAATTCTCTCAAGTAGGAGATTACTCCAAGCCAGAGTTGAAAGACTGGGGGAGTACGACACCTGAAGGAATTACTGGTGGTACTCCTTACTGTACGCAACTGTCTCTCCATCTCCTATCCACCCACTTCTTTTCCCTATTTCTCTTTCTCCCCACTCACCATTCAACTGGAATAATTTAGGCCTACCATCGGTATTGATTGCTTAACCCTACCAGGTATTTAGAGTTACTGCTATTTCATTGTTTTGAAAGGTAATGAGAGTCAATTCAGAAGACAAATGTCTATCTGGATCCTCAACCTACTGTAGTGGAAAGTGAAGGAGAAAGTAAACTAACCATACTTTCTTATTGCTAGGAGCTATGAAAGGAGCTTTTCATTTGTGTTATGTAGGGTACAAAAGATTATTTTGTACCCTGGCCAGGAAAGGCAGGGAGTCATCTTTCTGTCTTCCTGCTTCCCCTCTTTCAACCTTCACCTTTTTATCCTCTTCTTCCATATCCTGAGATTGTTGCTTTTGCTGATGACATTTCTAAGCTCAGTTGCAGATGGTGTCTGTGGGAAGTAAAGCTTGGTGAGAAGAGGGCTCTCTGGTATCTAAGAGAAAGCAGATAAGAGTTGCTTTAATGTCCTGGTGATTAATCACTGGGGTGCCAAAACACTTTGACCACTGGATTTCTCTCATATCTCTTATCTCAAAAAATTAGTACTCCAAGGCTGAGAGAAAGAGACTGATACTGAGTTTGTCTTTCATACCCTCTAAGTGGGTAGTTTGTTAGTGGACCATTCTCAATTTGCAACCTTCAGCTACAGCATACTTCTGTGGAATAAGAAGGTATAGCCATGAAATAAATTTACTTAGACCCAGGTTCTCTAGGACCTGTAAATGGATGGACTTTTTGATATCTTGCTCTGGCATGTTTGTAAACTACAGATAGTATTGACAGCTCTAAAGGAATGAAGGGCATTTTATCCAGGCCAAACCAACCCTGAGGGAGGCAGCATGAAGAAACCTTTAAGAAGTCCACCATATAGCAGTCAGAGCTAAGTAAAGAACAAAGTCTGAGTCTTGGAGGATGTCTTTTCTCTACCTAAGGGGCCTATCTGATGGACTCTCTAGGAGGGGATCCTTCTCCCTCCTCAGTCTCAGAACTACAATAGTGCCTAATGAGGGACACCCTTGGTGAGGATCAGCTTGTAGATGACCCTCCTCACCAAGGCTAATGCAATTTTGAATGCATTTGGACCTGGAGAAAACAGGCTGAATTCAAAGACCTAAAGAAAGCTTAGTAGCCTGGTCCCTTTTTTAAAGTCTGGAACTTTTTAGTTTGGCCTTATACTAGTGTTAATATTTATAATTTCTGTTAGGGGACCAAAAGTCTCAGAAAATGAAGCAATATAAGAGGTGGAAATAAGGGTAAGAAGGGAGAACTAGAAGAGTCTGGTAGCTGGGCTGCAGAAAGAGACTTGGGGTATAATTCCTTATTTTTATTTATTTATTTATTTATTTATTTATTTATTTATTTATTTTTGAGATGGACTTGCTCTTCTTGGAGTGCAGTGGTGTGATCTCGGCTCACTGCAGCCTCCACCTCCCAGGTTCCAGCAATTCTCCTGTCTCAGCCTCCCAAGTAGCTGGGATTACAGGTGCGTGCCACCATGCCCAGCTAATTTTTTGTATTTTTAGTAGTGACAGGGTTTCACCATGCTGGCCAGGCTGGTCTTGAACTCCTGACCTTGTGATCCACCCGCCTCGGCCTCCCAAAGTGCTCGGCCTCCCAAAGTGAGCCACCGCGCCCAGCTTGGATATAATTGCTTATAAAGAAGAGAGGGATACAGGATGGAAGGAAAAATTATGGTTGAGTTAGTGAAATTTATAGGATAATTTTCTTAGAGATTCACAGTTCATTTCAGGAAGACCCCATTAAAGCACCAATACTGAGTAAAGAATTCCCCTTAATTACAGTAGTCTTACCTTTAGGGTTGGAGGATGGGCCAAGAACCCCTAGGATACTATGAAGACATTTTCTGTAGGGAAACTAGAAAAGATGGGCAAATATGTTAAGCAATATGTAAGGACATTTACTTAACACTGTTATCTACATAGTTCAAGAGAGTAATTCAAGAATAAGGAGGAATGACATGGATGCATCACATTAAACAGTTATTTGTATTGTTTGAATTTCAAAACTCCTGCAAGTGGTTTTAGGTATGCTAAGTCAACCTAGAGACTAGTAGTATTCCTCTGCCACTCATTTTAGATCCAAATGATGGCAGTGCATAGAAGAACAAACGAGAATATGCGAATTAGAGTCACAGAATGTTAGAGCTACAAAAGAAGATTAGTTTGTTTGGTTCAGTACCATCTTTAACCAGTAAAAAATGCCCAGAAAGGCCGAGGAACATGTATGGTGTTGCGAGAAAGAAGGGAGAGAAAGGGAACTAACATTGTTGGGTACCTGCTATGTGTCAGGCGCTGCCTAAGTGCTTTGTTTTTATCTTGATTGATTAGCACCTTGAGGCTAAGGGATAGAATGAATAAATGGCAAACCCCGGCTACCTGGGAGCGGTGGCTCACGCCTGTAATCCCAGCACTTTGGGAGGCCAAGGTGGGTGGATCACGAGGTCAGGAGATCGAGACCATTCTGGCTTACACGGTGAAACCCCATCTCTACTAAAAATACAAAAAATTAGCCAGGCGTGGTGGCACAAGCCTGTAGTCCCAGCTTCCCGGGAGGCTGAGGCAGGAGAATTTGCTTGAACCCAGGAGGTGGAGGTTGCAGTGAGTGAAGATTGCGCCACTTCACTCCAGCCTAGGCGACAGAATGAGACTCCATCTCAAATAAATACATACATACATACATACATACATACATACATACATACATACATACATAAGGCTAGTATCCTGAGCAATATGTAGGAGATAAAAGGGAGTGGTAGACCACGTTTTTCTCTCTAACCACACAGGGCTAAACTAGAGGAAGTAAAGAGTCAGCATTTGAGAGTGAGGTTAATCTAAGGAAGTATTTGCCAAACTGTTGAAAGCGACTCATAAATAACTTCTCCATTCCTAGAGACCTTCCAAAACATGTTGATAAGAGTTAGGACTGATAGGGACCAAGATTACTCTTGGCTCTGGAATTGATTTTCATTTTGGAAAATCAAGTCATGACCTGAGAATGTGGGATTAATTGTACAAATAGGAAACAAAATGGAGCTTCTCATCCTAAAATGTCTTCAAAGAGAATAGTATTTATCTACCATGAATGAAGGAGATAAATTCCTTTGGTGACTGTACTTGTTTTTTTGTTTTGTTTTGTAACACTTTGAAGTCATGAAACTGAATTTGTAATCTTGGGGAGATTCAGTGCCAAGTTCAAGGCAGGTGGCAATTTGAAAATTGACAGAATAAGATTGTGTTCCTCATGGTTGTTTGATATAATATCCCAATAGTTATACCATGAGGGCTGCTTCAGTGGGGAGCATTAATATCATTAGCAGAGGCATGTCCTGTGTACAGACAGGACAACCTCTGAGGAAGAAGACTGGGGGAGGGTCCCACCTTCAGGAAGCTTCTGGGTCTTGTGAGAGAGGTCAGTCTTACAGCTGGTGGAGAGTGGGGAATCTGTAAGTCAACATATCAATGCAGGTTGTAATATAAAACTATTATAATAAGAGGAAACCAAAGGAAAGAAATAATCGGAGAAAGTGGACTTATTCAGAAACAATTATTTGAAAATAAAGAAGATAGGGGACATAGAACAGAAGAGGAAGGTGAGCAGTGGGAGGAATCTCATGGAAGAGGGCTCATGTATGTTTTGTGCAGAGGCTGTGAATTGGCTGACCAGAATGGTACAGGAAAGGAGTATTAGGAAATGAAGTTGGAGGAGCAATCTCATTGGCTTGAATGAGGAATTTGAGTTGTTAAGCAGTAGCAGGGAACAGAGCATGATGAGATGAAAATCACATTGAGGACTTTTGTAGCAGTACTTGGTCAAGGAAGCAGGAAAGTTCACTAAAATATTATTGTTCTTGCCAAGACATGAAGCACTGAGAGTTTACAGTAGAGTAAGACAAGGAGAATCAGAGGAAAGAAAGTGGGTCCATAGGAATTAGCAAGGCTTGGTCACAGCTTGGATGTGAGGAGAGGGATAAAAGCCTCAGGATGATGATCCCAAGACACATTTGTGCTGTTGGTGGTGATGAAAGCTTGATAAGAGGGAACTGCTTTGTTTTTAAGTAGGAAGTGTTTTGTCTTATTAACCAATTGATAGGATGTGTCAATGTTCAGTATTGCAGAGTCTAGGAGGGGGCACTGCCCCTGGAGGATAGTGGAGCATGCACCATGTGTCCAGATGATAACCTGCATGCACCCTGCCCTTTTCAGGTTGAAGAACCAGGCAAGAGGGAGTCTGTTGCTAGGGTGTGCCCATAGACTTCAAGAATGCTATCCTACTCTGGATCTGGGAAAGAAAATAGTATTTTTGCCAGTTTCTTCCCCTTTAATGCTTTGAAAATGGGATATGACTAGCCTGTGGCAGCATGTGCCTGTGGATGCACAATTCTCTAGCTTGATTCTTGGAAGGCCTTTTTCTGTCCCTCCCTAGGGATCATTTGTATCTCTGATTCCTGCTCCCAGAGCCATAAAGTGGGAGCCCCCATTTATTAATTGGGCTGGGACTGGGGCGGGGGTCGGCGGGGGACTCTTTAGTGCGGCAGGCGGGGGTCTTCCCGAATGAGCCCATTAGCCAGCCCCAACGGCAGCTGAAACGGGGCCTCAGCCAAGTCCTCTCTGTTTCAAAAACCCTCCATTCCCTGCAGCAGATCAGAACAAGGCCTGCGGGAGCCCTTAGCTTCTGATTGCAGCTGAGAGGAAGGACAAAACAATTTATAGGAAGCCAAGTAGCTCCTGTCTCACTGTGTCTTCCTTTCCAACTTTGGGGAAGGGGAAGACTGGGATATGGTGTCGCCTCCCACCATGGCTTGTTACAGGCTTAAAGTAGGGGAGAATGAGAGTATATGGACATTGATTGAACACTTATGTCAATGCTGTGGATGTGTTTACACATGTCCCTGCTTTCTTCTTCCCATCTACACACAGTTGAGTTGGATTAGCAGCTACTACTTATGGGGGGCTCCCTAGGTGTGTGCTAAGTCTGGGGGGTGGGGAGGTATGCTTATCATACTCCTTCCTGCCCCATACCTGCTCTCAGTCTCCCATTTGCTTTATCAAAATTCAGGGTTAGAGTTAGACTGCCTCAACTTCTTTTCCTCTTAATGGGAGGAGTTTGAGTTTGGCTCTTTTTTTTTTTTTTTTTTTTTTTGAGACAGAGTCTCGCTCTGTCACCCAGGCTGGAGTGCAGTGGCGCGATCTCGGCTCACTGCAAGCTCCGCCTCCTGGGTTCATGCCATTCTGCCTCAGCCTCCCAAGTAGCTGGGACTACAGGCACCCGCCACCATGCCTGGCTAATTTTTTTGTATTTTTAGTAGAGACAGGGTTTCACCATGTTAGCCAGGATGATCTCGATCTCCAGACCTCGTGATCAGCCTCCCAAAGTGCTGGGATTACAGGCGTGAGCCACCGCATCCGGCCCCGAGTTTGGCTCTTAAAGGAAGGCCTCCTTCTGAAACATACTTGTCCCTTTGGTTAAGCCAGCAAGGGAAAGGTAGGCATCTATAGGGGAGTTTCTCTGCAGTGGCCCAGAGAGAAGCTGTAAAGGGCAGGAATGAATGTATCACTTCCTGATGGAATGACACGTCTTCTCCCTTAGGGAATCATAGATTGCCAGGGCTAGGAAAGAGGTCAGGTAATCTAACCTCTCCCTTTACAGAGCAGGAAACTGAGGCTTAAGGAAGGAAAGTGCCTTGCCCACGCAGTCGCACAGCGAGTTAATGGCAGCCAGCCAGAACTAGATCCAAGAGGCCAGAATCTTGACTTCTGCGAGTAGAGTGCCCCCAACTTTAAGATGACCCTTTCCTGAGAGCCCTGAGCTTCTTCAGGAAAGGAAGGATGGACTGTGAGATTTGAGGAGGGAGAGAGAGATTGAGGGGGAAAGGTAGATCTAGAAAGACTGGGAAATTATATATACATATATATATGTGTGTGTGTGTGTATCTTAAAGAATAATCTTTTTTTTTTTTTGAGACGGAGTTTCGCTCTTGTCACTCAGGCTGGAGTGCAATGGCGCGATCTCGGCTCACTGCAACCTCCACCTTCTGGGTTCAAGCGATTCTCCTGCCTCAGCCTCCCGAGTAACTAATGGCTAATTTTTTTGTATTATGTAGCCTGGCTAATTTTTTTGTATTTTTAGTAGAGACGGGGTTTCACCATGTTGGCCAGTCTGATCTCAAACTCCTGACCTCAGGTGATCTGCCTGCCTCGGCCTCCCAAAGTGCTGGGATTACAGGCGTGAGCCACCGCGCCCAGCCTCTTATTTTCTTTTTCTTTTTCTTTTCTTTTTTTTTGAAACGGCGTTTCATTCTTGTTGCCCAGGCTGGAGTGCAATGGTACGATCTTGGCTCACCACAACCTCTGGCCTCCCGGGTTTGAGCAACTCTCCTGCCTCAGCCTCCCAAGTAGCTGGGATTACAGGCATGTGCCACCATGCCCGGCTAATTTTGTATTTTTAGTAGAGATGGGGTTTCACCATGTTGGTCAGGCTGGTCTTGAACTCCTGACCTCAGGTGATCCACCCACCTGAGCCTCCCAAAGTGCTGAGATTACAGGCGTGAGCCACTGCACCCAGTCTAAGAATAATCTTTCAATGACATGCAGATTATACAAGTGTAATTTTTATTTAAAGTCAAGAGGCTGGTTCATTGGGAAGCAGATGGCAGCCACAGCCAAAGATCCTGATGCCCTCAGAGTTAACCCAAACTTCAAAGAGCATTTTGCAACTATCTCTGGAGGTTGGATAGCAGGAAAAGATCCTTAGAGGCAATGTGAGGAATTCACCCTAAATCTCAACTGAAGCTCTTTTGCTATATTGAAAAGAAAAAGGGAATGGAGAAAGAAAACACATCGGCTAGAAAACTATGGTGGCGGAAGGGGGTCCCTGAATGATAGATGAGATGATAGAACTCAGCAAAAAGAGGTATGCTCTGAGATTACAGGAAAATGGTAAGGGGACCTTCTCCTCTCCTTTATTTTAGTTTTTAAAGTTTTGAGTTGTTTGATATTCTCCTTTGATGAGGCAGAAGGAAGGTGGTATGTGGTGATCCACAGTGGCCTAAATACCCTAAATAGTGTGTTCAGTTGGCTGACACGCATTGCTGGTTCTGTAAGTCATCTCAGTCTGGTGCCAAGATGCCTTTCCCTCTTTAGACCCCTCCTGGATGTATCTACAGTCCCTTCCAGTGTTTGCTTTCTCTGAGCATATGAGTCTGGGAGCCACTGATGAGCAGAGAGTGGAATACTGGAGCATGCCTAGGCTGGAAGCAGAATGGTGAAGGGAGGAGGGCATCATTGGGCAGATTAGAAAGAGTTAATGGGTCTAGGGGAGAGGTACTGGGGATCTGCAAAGTGAATATTGTCTGCTGCTGATGAAGAAATAGATCCCAGTACATATCCTTTACGTTTTGTTCATCAACTTTGATAGACAGCATAGAGGAAATGTGGAACTGGTCTCCATGTAAATTTGTCTCTAGGGAATGTATGATAGACCTACTTGTCCAGATTACATTAAGTTTGCTGTCCTGCAAACCTCCTTTCTCACAGTCAGGATCCTTTTTTGCCTTAGAGTCCTTCCTGAAGGAGCTGTTATGGATGAGAGAGCCACAAGTCCAACCTCATGATCTGATCTAAAACTGGGTGGCCTCCTCCCAGTCACCTTCTTTTATTAGCCTTATATTAACCATTAACCTTCATTGATCTTTATGATTCTGGGTTTCACAGCTTCTGTTTCTGTTGAATTCCCTAACTTTAAGAACCATGTTTTTGCTTTTATCAGCCTGGGAGCTAGGTCCCTGGAGACAAGAATTTTAGAACAGTTATGACTCTCTCTGGGAGTGTACTAAGGTTAGTCTGAATCCTTCTGGGGAATTCAGGTTTGAAGGAGTTAGAAGAGTGCTAACATCACCGTCACTGTTACCTACCAATGGATGCTTCCTGGGTGCAAGACCAAAGATGTTCTTTGGTGTCTAGTCCCTTGTCTCATGTCTAATGTAACCTGCCATTTTCCTTTACAGGTAGGAGCAACGGTGGGAATGCCCTCTGAGGAATGCAGTGATGTCCATCAGTCACCTCTCACCCAGAGCCTGGCAAATTCAGTCTCTTTCACAGAACCTAAAGCCAAGCCAGGTAGGGGCCTAAAGCCAATCAGAGGTCACTGGCCTGCTTTTGTGTGGGATGACCCTACTCCCATCCCACCCCACCCCACCCCTGGTCTTAGAGAAGTTTCTTTCTTTTTTTTTTCTTTTTTAATTTTTATTTTTTGAGACAGAGTCTCACTCTGCCGCCCAAGCTGGAGTGCAGTGGCGCAATCTCAGCTCACTTCAACCTGCGCCTCCGGGGTTCAAGTGATTCTCGTGCCTCAGCCTCTTGAGTAGCTGGGTAACAGGCGATCTTTTTTTTTTTTTTTTTTTTTTTTATGGAGTTTTGCTCTTGTTGCCCAGGCCGGAGTGCAGTGGCATGATCTCGGCTCACCGCAACCTCCGCCTCCCGGGGTTCAAGCGATTCTCCTGCCTTAGCCTCCTGAGTAGCTGCGGTTACAGGCATGCACCACCACACCCGGCTCATTTTGTATTTTTAGTAGAGATGGGGTTTCTCCATGTTGGTCAGGCTGGTCTCCAACTCCCGACCTCAGGTAATCCGCCCGCCTCAGCCTCCCAAAGTGCTGGGATTACAGGCGTGAGCCACCGCACCAGGCTAACAGGTGATCTCAGGGAAGTTTCTTATTCCGAAAGATCTCCAGAGGAGTTTCCTTAGCTTTTTATTTGACCCTATATTCTGATGTTCTGCCTTCTGATTAATAGATTCTCCCTTCCAGCTAGAGCAGGTAACCCCCTTTCTTGGCATTCCTGTTCTTTCCTCTTGTCCAGCTGTGCTAATGGATGTTCCTCTACAGTGGGTTGCTGATGTCAGTTAGTGGGTTACTCTCAGCCCTCTCCTCCAGGGCAGCTAGCCCTCTAGCCCACAACCCCATCTATATACACAGCCTTGCAGGGTCTCACTCCTGTTGCCCAGGCTGTAGTGCAATGGCATTATCATAGCTCACTGCAGCCTCAGGTGATTTCTCCTACCTCATCCTCCTGAGTAGCTGGGACTAGAGGCGTGTGCCACCATGCCTAGGTAATTTTTTGTATTTTTAATAGAGACAGGGTTCCACCATGTTGCCCAGGCTGGCCTTTAACTCCTGGACTCAAGCAGTCTGCCTGCCTCTGCTCCTAAAGTGCAGGGATTATAGACGTGAGCCACTGTGCCCAGCCCCAAAAAGCTTTTTTTTTTTTTTTTTTTTGAGACAGAGTCTTGCTCTGTTGCCCAGGCTGGAGCGAAATGGCGTGATCTCAGCTCACTGCAGCCTCTGCCTCCCAGGTTCAAGTGATTCTCCTGTCTCAGCCTCCTGAGCAGCTGGGATTACAGGTGCCCGCCACTACGCCTGGCTAATTTTTGGTATTTTTAGTAGGGACGGGGTTTCACCATGTTGGCCAGGCTGGTCTTGAACTCCTGACCTCAGGTGATCTGCCCACCTCAGCCTCCCAAAGTGCTGGGATTACAGGATTTTTTTTTCCTTCCTTCCTTCCTTTTTTTTTTTGAGATGGAGTCTTGCTCTGTCACCCAGACTGCAGTTCAGTGGCACGATCTCGGCTCACTGCAACCTCCACCTTCCGGGTTCACGCCATTCTCCTGCCTCAGCCTCCCAAGTAGCTGGAACTACAGGCGCCCGCCACCACGCCTGGCTAATTTTTTGTATTTTTAGTAGAGATGGGGTTTCACCATGTTAACCAGGATGGTCTCGATCTCCTGACCTCATGATCCGCGCACCTCGGCCTCCCAAAGTGCTGGGATTACAGGCGTGAGCCACCGCGCCCGGCCCCTTCCTCCTTTTTTATGGAACACTTTACAAATTTGCATGTCATCCTTACACAGGGACCATGCCAATCTTCTCTGTATCATTCCAATTTTTTCTTTTTTTTTTGAGACGGAGTCCTGCTCTGTCGCCCAGGCTGGAGTGCAGTGGCACAATCTCAGCTCACTGCAAGCTCCGCCTCCTGGGTTCACTCCATTCTCCCGCCTCAGCCTCCTCAGTAGCTGGGATTACAGGCGCCCCCCCACCACGCCTGGCTAATTTTTTTTTGTATTTTTTAGTAGAGACGGGGTTTCACCATGTTAGCCAGGATGGTCTCGATCTCTTGACCTCGTAATCCGCCTGCCTCGGCCTCCCAAAGTGCTGGGATTACAGGTGTGAGCCACTGTGCCCGACCTCCAATTTTTTTAGTATATGTGCTGCCAAAGCAAGCACCAAAAAGCTATTTTCTATTTCTTTCTTCTCAGTCAAGATAGGGCAGTTCTGTCCCTTCTCACTACCTCTAATCAGCTTCTTCACTTCCTTTCCAGGTTCAGTGGGAAATCCCACCTGTCCAAACACTGTGTGAGACACCAGAATTAGAGGCCTGCAAGCCTGCTTCCTTCATCCCCAATGCCCAGATGGGACAGGTCACCAGCCTCCTGTGTCTACCCCCACCTTTCTTGCTTGCTGGTAGGTGTGCTGCTCCCCCTACCCATCAACCCCAAACAGGGTTATGTTTCTCTCTCGGAGTATTTTTCTCTGTTATTAAATGTCTCCAACAAGGGGAAGGCCTTGGTGACTCGCCTGTATGTCTTCGTAACTTCCAGCCCGAATCTGTAAAGAGCCGCTAACCTCCTGGTATCAAATGTCCATCCCTTTTTCTATAGTTCATGACCATTTTTCCCATTTAGTGGGTGTGGGAATGGACCAGTAAACAGATGGTATTTGGTACTGGAGAGGGAGAGTCTAATGACAGGTAGCCTTTCTTCTGGGGGCTAGAAATCTGAAGCCACAGATGTGCATTCTTCCTAGTTGCTTGCTATCCTGGGAGAGTACTAGGATTTTTTTTTTTTTTTTTTTTTTTGAGACGGAGTTTCGCTTTTGTTGCCCAAGCTGGAGTGCAATGGCACGATCTTGGCTCACTGCAACCTCTGCCTCCCGGATTCAAGCTATACTCCTGCCTCAGCCTCCTGAGTAGCTGGGATTACAGGCATGCGCCACTATGCCAGGCTAATTTTTGTATTTTTATTAGAGATGGGGTTTCTCCATGATGATGAGGCTGGTCTCGAACTCCCGACCTCAGGTGATCCGCCTGCCTTGGCCTCCCAAAGTGCTGGGATTACAGGTGTGAGCCACTGCGCCTGGCCTACCTGGATCTTTTGAGCGAATGGTTTTATGTGTGCATTTGTTTTTAATAATATCCAGACTGTTCCGAAAGGAAAGATGATTTATCTAGTGTCTATTTCCCAGGACCAGGATCTTAGGCTCTGAGAATCTGTCCATACTCATTCCCAGATGCCTCCAGGAAGTGGAGAATAGATGGCCATAAAGCAGAATCAACTACTAGGTGTTACTGTCTTGAGCTCAGGTGTCAGCTCTCCTCTGGGGGCTGTTGAGAGTTGCAGGGTCAGGTGTGGGCAGAGCATCTCCCTGCATCCTGGGCATAGGAGGTGACATCAGCTTATCCTCTTGACCCTAGGCCTCCTCTCTCTGCAGTGCCTCTCTCATCCCTGCAATCCAGACAGCACATGCAGCAGCTCAAGTAAGTGCCACCTCTGGGTAAGGTGCTCCCTCTCCTGGTAGGCATATGGGTTGAGTTAGAGGTGAAGCAGGTGGGCTGAGGTAGACAGAGGGATAGAGCAAGTGTTAGCAAGAAACGTCCCTGGATGTAGTCAAGCAGTAAGTATGCATGGGGTACCTTGAGCACCAGCATTTATAACTTATCTTCATGTCTTCTGTCTACCAGGTTATCTGATCACACAGAACAGGCCTGCCAGTTGGGCAGCTGCAGTCATGGTTTCTGCCACACGAGGGCGCTGCTGGCCAATTAAAACTCATGCCCCTTAGCAGACAGTTTGGGGATGAGGGCACCCTTTCTCCAAAACAGGGGTCAGAAACTCTGGGGCTCTCTGGGCCCCAGAGAGCATGGGCCCAAAAAGTGAGACAAATATTTGGTACCACTTGTTCTTCCTTGAAAATGGCCTGAGACCCCTAAACACTTTGCTCTAGTGGCCTGACATCTCAATGTGCTTCCAGCTGAACTTGGGAAGCCCCCTCTTTCCAGGCACTTAACACCTTGCACAGGTGCATCTCTCCCTTAAGGTGTAGCAGGTTCCAGCTGTATGCCCCGTTGTCCCCCTGCCTTAATGGCAGTCACTTTCCGACCCAGATGGTGGAGGTGCCTGTGGTTTTTAGGGGGAAAAAATCTCTTATAATTGTTCTAAGAAAAGTGTTTTGTTAGTGAGAAAGTGTTAGGGGTGACTGAAGCCTGGGAGAGTTAGTCTCCCCGTCACCTACTCCAGCACAAACCTATAGAATTCAAGATGGTCTAGTGGATGTTTGCAGCCTCAGTGGCTGGAATACACCCCAGGACATTCCAGGGCCCTGAGCCAAAAATGGTGTCAGAAAGCTGGATAGGAGTGTGGGCTGCTTTGGGCCATGAGCCTCATACCCACCCTGTATCAGGCAGTGTTTCTGCTAGGGGTGCCAAATGGCCCTGGGGCCTCTATGGGACTGAGGACTCCACAATTGACCCTCCATCTCCATGAAGCCCTTCCAGGCTGAACAGGCTAAGGGACATGACAGAGGTTCTCCTCCTCCTTCCTACCCCCATGCCTGAGGGCCCCTCCCCAGGAGGACAGCTTGATTAAACAGTCGGTGCTGCTGGAATTACTGCACAGCTGGCGCTCCCCCCAGCACCCCGAGCAGAGCAGCAGTGCAGATTAAAATCTCCAATTAGCGTTAAAGTGAAGTGAGGAGGTGCTGAGGCTGCCAAGGAGGCCAGACGGGGGCCCTGGGTTGGCAAAACCCCCACTCTTGCCTGGATTCTGAGTGTCACCCTTAGTCACCCCTACTTTCCCAGCTCCTCTCCCAACAGCTTTCAGTGCCCATTAGTTTTGTATCGCTTGGGGCCAGAGGGCTTTGCAGAGGGGTGGAAGGGGGCAAATGCCTTACCTAAAATGCTAGGGACACCGTAAGTATGGAGGAGGAGAGCGGTCAGTGCTCATCAAGGGAGATACCCTATTCACTGCCTGCCAGGCAGCCAGGCCAAGGTGACTTCACGCTACAGCTCTGCTTCTTCTTTTTGCTTGAAGAAAAGATAAACAGGACGGGTCCTTTCAGGTCCTTTACCTATGAAGTGCTAGGGGACATGGTGCCCACATGAACATCTCTCTCTGCATATTTTATCCTATCTGACCCATCTGCTCCCACCGAAGTTATGGCTCCTTCCTCCCTCTCTCCATTCTTCTCTCAGCTTTCCTGTGGGCAGGGGTAGGCACAGCCAGGCTTGGGAGCATCGCCATGCCCTGCCACCTGGGTCCCAGCCTGCTCCTCGTTATAGTCTTCCCAGTTTGGGGAAGAGCAGTGATATGCCAAGAATGGAGGCCTCAGACTCTCCCAATCCCTGATTTTTACATGTCCCCCTATAAGGCCCCTCTGCCATCTACACTTTTGCCCTTCATCCACAAAGCCCAAAAGGAAGGCATTATAGCTAGCCATGCCCTCTGACTGCCCTCTGCCCCTTTAAGGGAAATGGAAATGGGTACCCAGCTGACTGAACCTACTCAACACCTCCAGAAATTAGACACTAGGGCATGGTGCCACCCTCCCAGGCTGGCACATGCTACCCTGGCAGAGGATCAAATAACCCCCCCATCATACCCTGCCCCATGTCTTCCTCTACTCTCTCCCTCATGCTTTCTCTCTCTCTCTCTCTCTCTGTCTCTCTCTCTCTCTCTCTCTCAGCTCAAAGCACAGCTGAGCCTTAAAAGGGGGGTTGAGGGGGTGGAGAGACCAAGCTGGGGCAGGGGGGTATAGAGCTCCAATAGCACGTTTTCACCTGCCATTTAATTGGATGTATTTTTAATTAATGGGACCTCAGGGACCAACATGAGACAATCTGATATCTGAATAGGGACAGGGGAGGGATTGGGTAAGGGAGGAGGATTGGGCCACTGGGTGCGGTTACCGGGAACCCAGGCCCATCAATCACTGGCCACTTTGCGTTCTGGCATGGAGAATAGCGAGGTGGAGGAAGGGAGGCACTGGGGAGAGGTGCCAGGATTTCCCCCCAACTGCCAGGACCTCCAAACGGATTGGAACTATACTGGTTGACTCAGGTCTGGAGCCCAAAATCACAGCCAGAATATAAGGTGAGGCTGTTTTCTTGCTCCTGGGGTTTTGTCTGGTTGGGCTTGTCCCAGGGAGTGCTGTAAAATTGTGAAAGGAAGGTGGGGACAGAGCTTTGAGGTCCTTGTAGAGAGAAGACAAGAGCTATGGACCATAGAACCAGAGACTATGGAGAGACGGAGGAGAAGGGCAGGGTTCAGAGGTATTTCTGTATGTTTTGACATAAAATAAGTGCCATGGAGATTACATGCAAAATGGCATGCAAATGAGGCCTGGTGCCTTTTGGGGTATGAATCGTAGAACCTTGCTTTTGCAAGAAAGGGAACTTGGCCAGGTGCGGTGGCTCACGCCTATAATCCCAGCACTTTGGGAGGCCGAAGCAGGTGGATCACTTGAGGCCAGGAGTTCGAGACCAGCCTGGCCAACATGGTGAAACGCCATCTCTACCAAAAAATACAAAAAAATTATCTGGGCATGGTGATGTGTGCCTGTAATCCCACCTACTTGGGAGGCTAAGGTAGGAGAATTAGCCTGGGCAACAGAGCAAGACTCTGTCTCAAAAAAAAAAAAAAAAAAAGGGAACTTGGAGCTCATCTTGCCCCACCCCTTCATTTTACAGATGTGAAAAACAAGACCCAGAGAGGGGAAATCATTTGAATCCTGTCCTGGTATTGCTTTGTGTTCCTGGATTTGGAGAATTTCTGGGAACACAGGAAAAGGAAAGGTAGGTAGGTGTTGGGGGAGGAAAGTCAAGGGAAGAAGGTATGCAGGATATTATTCTCCATTGCTTGAAGTCTCAAGTTTCTATCCCCTGTCTTAGAAGCAACTTAGGGGAGTCATGGACAGGTTCAGCTTCTATGGAGCACTATTAGGGGGACATTTCCTCTATACAGCTTGTTCCAGAGATCATCTTATCCATTTTCTTGCTTCCAAGTACACAAATCCCCTACAGCCCCTGACCCCTATGGAATTTTACCATGTCTTATAAGATCTACAGGGAAGGAAATGCATTATTTACCCCACCTCCTTAACCAAGAAGCAAATCCCCCAATCAAGACTAAATGCTGAGCTTTTTTTTTTGAAATCTTACCACATATTTCCCTGCTGCAATATAATAAGCCACTGGAGAAACTTATGCCAACAAATGTGTTAAGGAGTAGTCTTATACGTCTTGTCCCATGGCAAAGCCTAGAACAGAGATAGAATTTAAATTCAAGGCCCTGAAGGCTGAATTAGAAATGCTCCTGAATTCATGTGGTGCCATGGCCTTAGAGCTCTTAGACCCCTCTGACTCTTGTAGTGTTGATGTACACTGGAGAAAGGGGCAAGTTTCCAGCTGTACCCATCCCCAACCCCTTGCTTCCTTCAGTGTTCACATGCTAGGGTTAGGAGGGAAGAAATGAAGGAGAAAGGGGGTTCTCCCACTAGGTTGCCAAGGTGGCATTTCTTGCCATCCTCCTCCTTCCTCAGAAAATTCAACATTTTTAGTTCCATGCTTCATGAGACTAAGTTAGGTTAGGGACAAGGATAGGCACAGAGCTTGGAAAGCAGTGCCAGTAAAAACTTTATCACACTCCCCAGGCCCCCAACACCCTTCCCCCACCCAAGAGTTGCCTTCTCTTCCCCATTTTATATCCCCAAATCCCCTGAGAAGAGCAAGATCTGCCTAAGTGCCCCCCAGCCTCACCCAGCCCTTCCTTCAGACTGTGAGTCATCTCCTTGGCTGTCTCATTGCCTGCCTTCTTAACTGCAGACAGGATGAGAAGAGCTCTCCTCAGATCCCTCCAAAACAGTTTGGAAAGAATTTATCTAGGACCCCGTGCCTACTTCTAAGGGCCCCAGGGGTGTCAGCAGGGGAGGAAGGCTGTGCCAAGGGGCTGGAAAGGAAGATTCTCTTGTTGGGAGAGCAGATAAAAACCTGAAAGTGGTGACAAGGCAGAGGGCGAAGTTTGGGAACTGAGACCTGTAGTCCCACCTGTGGGGCTGGCTGCCTAATGTGTGGCAGGACATTTAGAGCAAGTATGGTTTGTAGGATTTATTAAATGGCTGCTGTTTACAGAGCTGCTGTTTCTACTCTGGAACACACAGCAGTGGAAAGGAGCATGCATTGAAGGAGAGAGGGTGGCAGGCTTTCTGTAAGCCCTCTTTTTCACCCTTTGTCCATCCCTATTCCAACATATTGCAGTCATGTTAGAGCTAGGGCTAAAAGGCCCTAAAAGCATTCAGTCTATATTCTGGGTGTTTCTCCAAGGAACAGAGCCTCCTTTCTTGTAACTCCTGTCAGATCTGCCTCCCACTCCTAAGGCTTTTTTGTTTGTTTGTTTTTGAGATGGAGTCTCACTCTATCGCCCAGGCTGGAGAGTGCAGTGGCGTGATCTCAGCTCACTGCAACCTCTGCCTCCTGGGATCTAGTGATTCTCCTGCTTCAGCCTCCCAAGTACCTGGGATTATAGGTGCGCACCACCATGCCTGGCTAATTTTTGTATTTTTAGTAGAGACGTGGTTTCACCATGTTGGCCAGGCTGGTCTCAAACTCCTGACCTCAAGTGATCCGCCTGCCTCGGCCTCCCAAAGTACTGGGATTACAGGAGTGTGGCTCAGCCTCTCATTTCTAAGGTTTAGCCAAGGGTGCCAGATCTTTGCGGGGAAGAGGGATGACTTGAAGTGAGTGGAAGTTAAAAATGGTAGTACCCAGAATTTCCTGCACTTTGGAGAAAAGAGACTAGGTGGGGTACTCAATGTTAGCCTACGGCTCAACTCTTACTCTAATAGGATCTCTTTCCTCCTTCTCCCCTAAATTTTTCCCACTGGTTGAAGAGAGATCTGGATGACTAAACCTCCCATCTTGACACCTTGGAGTTTGTTAAGCAGGTCCCCTCTCTGTAGCTTCCAAAGCCATGAAGAAGGGGAAGGAAGGCCAAGACAGGGGTAGATAGAGGTGGCAGTGCCATGGTGTCCATCAGCACCCAAGGAGAAAGGCCAAGGAGAAGAAGGTAACTAGAGAGGAAGCCAGGAGGAGATGTCTGCTCCTGAAACAGCATTCTTACCCCATCCTCTCCTGCTTCCTTGATCACATGCCGACAGGGCTGTTTGCCCAAGTGTGCCAGCTCGCCTGGCTAGTGATCCTGCTCTGCTGTGCAGGCAGCCAGCTCTCTGCCCCAGCACAGAGCACATGCTGAGGTCTCTCACACTCCTTTGCTCACTCATTTCCATGTGTCTATGTTGTGGATTCCTAGAAATGAAGGAGGGGACTGTGGGCTTGAAGATAGGAAGATGGCAGGCTCTGGGGCCCATTGGGCACATATCTGCCTGGCTGGAGGAAGGAAAGAGGGAGAAGGCTGCTGGTAGCTCAGCAAGCTCAAGGTTCTGGTGACTCATAGCAGTGGAGGTGGCTCACAAAAACAACAGAGGGGAAGGGATCCAGGCCTATTAGAGCTCTCTTTTGCCCCATATCTCCCCACTCTGAGCTCTGTGAATGAAGGTCCCTCATCTGGATTGTGGAGCAGGGGAGGCCCCAACTATAAAAAAAACAGGGAAATGGGAGAGAAGAGAGCAGGGGAAGCTGAGCATTCCCAGTGAGAGGTATCTCAGTGAGGAAAGGATAGGAGAGGCCAGTTATTCTTGCCCTACTGTATTCATTGGGTGCACAGGAGGTACGGGGCATCCATCTGTGCTAGGGTAGCTCAGTGCCCCTGGGCACTTTCCAGAAGAGGGGTTTCTAGGCAAACACAGTTACTCCTCCCTACCCTCACTTGCCTGCCCAGAACTCTAGGTACCCAGCTGACACTAAATTTTTAGAAGTAAAACAAGCTGTGTTATAACACCAGAACCTGGAAGGATAACTGCTGGGTCTCAGTCCTCTCCTTTCTGGAAACAGACACCTGGGACAAGAGAGAAGCAGCTAGGGACTCCTATGCTGGCTGAACCAAGGTAGTGGTGCAGGCTGTGGAGGTGGGTGCAGAACCATAGATCTTCAGAAGTGTCGATTTCCTCCTCCCTTGTGTGCCAGGTGGGCAGTATGCATCGTCTCCATTTTTCTGATAGAGGGGATAATAGGGTAACGGGGTTTGAGGTCACACCAGGAGAAAGAGGCCAGAAAGTGGACCAGGAGAACCATTCATGCCTTGGACTCCAGTCCCAGGGGCCTATACTGGATCTGGTAAAGAGTAACAGCTAGGATAGCCGGGCACGGCAAATCACACCTGTAATCCCAGCACTCTGGGAGGCTGAGGCGGGTGGATCACGAGGTCAGGAGATAGAGACCCTCCTGACCAACATGGTGAAACGCCGTCTCTACTAAAAGTACAAAAATGAGCCAGGCGTGGTGGCGTGCACCTGTAGTCCCAGCTACTCAGGAGGCTGAGGCAGGAGAATCGCTTGAGCCCGGGAGGCAGAGGTTGCAGTGATCTCCGAGTTGAGATCGCGCCACTGCGCTCCAGCCTTCCAGCCTGGGCAACAGAGCGAGACTCCGTCTCAAAAAAAAAAAAAAAAAAAAGAGTAACAGCGATCTTGTTTGCCAATGTATCCAGACACATAATAGTAAACATCTGGCTGGGCACAGTGGCTCATGCCTGTAATCCCAGCACTTTGGGAGGCCGACGCAGGCGGATCACAAGGTCAGGAGATCGAGATCTGGCTAATATGGTGAAACCCTGTCTCTATTAAAAATACAAAAAATTAGCCGGGCATGGTGGCAGGCTCCTGTAATCCCAGCTACTCAGGAGGCTGAGGCAGGGGAATCACTTGAACCCGGGAGGCAGAGGTTGCAGTGAGCCGAGATCGCACCACTGCACCACTGTACTCCAGCCTGGGCAACAGAGCGAGACTCTGTCTCAAAAAATAAATTAATTAATTAATTAAAAAATAAACATCCCATCTTCAGTGAAGGATGGACTAAGAGGAGGAGGGTTCTGTGACAGAGCCTGAGTTCTCATTTGCCTATTTCTGTTCTTTCATTGCTGGCAGCTCTGCTCTCCTGCCAGGATGAGGGACCTCTGCCCACTTGCTCTTGGTGGTCCAGAGATGGCTTTGGTTAGAAAAAGGACAGAAGATTAGCCACTCCTTGTGTAGGAAGTCAGGAACAGCTCCATTCCCCCAGCTCTCCCGGGCAGTATCAGAAGCCCCAGGTTGCCTGCTGGGAGATGCATAATAAAGCTCAGTCCTGAACTAAACCAACACATCACCTGGCCCTGGGTATAGAAGTAGTATTGTGAGGGGGATCTTGGGTCTTCCAGGCCAGGTGTAAGCAAATGTAGGGAGTTCAGCCCCAGGAGAGATAAAAGAATCATGCCATGGCCAGGTGCAGTGACTTATGCCTATAATCCCAGCACTTTGGGAGGCCGAGATGGGTGGATCGCTTGAGCTTAGGAGTTCGAGACCAGCCTGGGAAACATAGTGAAACCTCATCTCTACACACACACACACACACACACACACACACACACACACACACACACACACACACACAAAGCCAGGTGTGATGGCATACATCTCTAGTCCCAGCTACTTGGGAGGCTGAGGTGGGAGGATTGCTTGAGCCTGGGAGGTGGAGGTTGCAGTAAGCCAAGATTGTGCCACCATACTCCAGCCTGGGTAACAGAGTGAGACCCTGTCTCAAAAAAAAAAAAAAAAAAGAAAACATGCCACGATGCCACATGCTCCCTAATCCTCTACTTTCTCAAACCCTATTTTCTGCCTGCCTTTTCTTTCACCTCCCTTTAGCCAATTCCATTCCTGGCTACCTCATCCCCTCCAGTCTGAAAGGACGTGGTAAGTACTTGTCTGTTCCCTATGCTTTTCTCTCTCTCACTCTCTTCCTCTCCTCCCAGCTCCCAACTGAGAGCTATCCCTGTTTCAACTCTTTCCAGTGAATGCCACCAGGATCTGAACCCAAGATTCCAGCCTCGGTCACCACCCTGACCCTGAGAATGCCACTGGGATGGGGAGAACTTGTCAGTCTTCATCCTTCCCCACAAGTATACTGAAGCCAGGACAGGTATGTCCACTGCCATGAAGGGCCCTGCCCTGGAGTAGAGGGCAGCCATAGGGGTACAGTGGGGTCCCAGCCCTAAATGTGTGTATGCCTGTGCATTGGGCACACTGGTTTATTAGTGTTATTTCAGCATTGTGATGCAGAGAGAGTAAGTGTAACAGCTGCTCCTTGCTTGCAGTGTTTATTGTTACCTAGAGACAACCTCCTGGCTTTTTCCCAGCTCCCCCTCCCCGCTAGCCCAACCCCCTCCCTGCCAACAATCCTGCTCTCTCCACACTGATGGGAAATTTATAGCTTGCCCATACCATGCCTTTAACCCTCTCCTATCCATAGGGTAGATGGGCTGAGGGAAGCCAAGTGAGCAGCAGGCATGCTTGGGCACCAGCAGGGTAGAATAATGTGTGGAGGAGGGAGGGGGCAATGACACCCCTCCCCTCCATTCTATGTGTCCAGTCTTAGGCCCCTGCTGCCCTCCTGGCTCTCAGTGGAGAGAAAAGAGGAAATAAATTTGGACCCAGCCTTGAGATCCTGGAAGAGCTCCTTTGGATTTAGCCTTGGGATCCTAGCATCTCCTCACAAAATTATGATCTTCCCTGGGCATCTCTAAGCCACCAATTGGGTTGCCTGCACCTGAGCAAATACAGCAAGGTAGTATTGAAACAGAAGGGTAAATACAGAGTGGCAGAACCCTCAGATCCCTCCTTTATGTCTGAGAGAGAGGTAGCTGTAGAGATGTCTTATCAAGACAAGAGGTGCTGGCTTGAGAAATGCTGGCTGGACTTCTACAGCTGGGTAGATGTTAGACATGAAGCCGGCCGCTGAGTCTGGTGGGAGAAACTGCCCGCCTTAACATCACCCTGAGCGCAGCACTAAGATCCTGAGAGACCCCTGGGTCATTCTCTAAGCTGGTCTTTTTGATCTGGTTATGCTGCTGCTTTTTACTTTTCCTTCCTGGGTCATTTTCTCCTACACATCTTCTAGTTTGACACCTTGGGGTAGATCCAAGAGACTGAGAAGATGGAGGCATCCTAGTCATGGCCTCAACAAAGCTGGGGAAAGAAAAACTCCTTCTGTCCTCTCTTGACCTTTCATGGAGGGGCACTGTGTGTTCTACTCACCATCCTCACTGGAAACAGAAGAGAGGAAAAAGCATCAGATTTTAGCAGAAAGGATAGAGGGAAGACATATGGAAAAACTTACTCATGGGATGAAAGACTTCAGATTGGACCTGCTTCTCTTCTGAGATTTTTCTTCTGCCTGCCGGTTTGTTTTTGTGTCTACCTAAGAGGCATTGGATGAAGCACAGTTACTTTTCCAGGCCTCTTCCAGACAGCCTCAGCACAGTTTCCATACAGTGCACTGCTTCTTGGTTCTTCTAAATGTCATGTAGTATGTGTGGTGGTTAGATCACAAGTTTTGGAGACAGACAGCCCTGGGTTCCAGTGCCATCTCTGCCACTTACCAGCTGTGCTACCTTGGTAATTCACTTAACCTCTTTGAGTCCTAGTTTCCTTGTAAAATGCAGAAAAACAACTACTCCTTAAGTTTGTTGTGAGAATTTCGTGAAATAATGTGTGTAAAGCACCTACAACAGTGCCTGATACTCAGTAGGTGCTCACTCAACAGTGGCTGGTGCAAGAGTACTACTACTTTTATGAAGTTAGCAGGGCTGATATTGCTTCAAAGACTTTGTGAGTCCCCTGAGATTAAAGGCCAAATGTATGTGCACATGCTGGGGGAGAATGTAGTTTTCTACACGATGTGGAGTAGGGGTGGCCATCCTCTGGAAAGAAAGTAGTCCCAATACTTGACTCAGACTCCCCAAGAAATCAGTTACCCCATTCCTATGCCTCTCAAGCCAGAGTACCTTGGCAACTGTTCTGCCTGGAAGTTCAGCTTCATCCAGGATGGAGGGGGGAGAGATAGTCATTAGAAGGATAGCAGCAACTAGCATTTGCTAGGCACTTTACAGTTCGTTAATTACATTTATCTGCATTAGCTCTTTTGATACCCAGAACCAGTAAAGAGAACTCCATTTATTGATGCCTGTATGCCAGGCATTGTACTGAGTGTGTTTTTTAAAGTATGTTTAAAGCCTATAGAGTATTTCATCCCCTGGATATGCTGTGATTTATAAGGCTCATCCCCTATTTTGAATCATTTGGTTATTTTTTCTGTTATAAAAAATACCACAGTGAATATCCAAACAAATAAAACTTCATGCATTTTATTTTATTTTATTTACTTTTTGAGACGGAGTTTTGCTCTTGTTGCCCAGGCTGGAGTGCAATGGTGCAGTCTCGGCTCACTGCAACCTCTGCCTCCTGGATTCAAGTGATTCTCCTGCCTCAGCCTCCCACGTAGCTGGGATTATAGGCGTGTGCCACCATGCCTAGCTAATTTTCGTTTTTTTAGTAGAGACGGGGTTTCATCATGTTGGCCAGGCTGGTCTTGAATTCCTGACCTCAGGTGATCCACCCACCTTGGCCTCCCAAAGTGTTGGGATTACAGGTGTGAGCCACTGCGCCCGGCCTTCATGCATTTTAAATAGTTAATTCTGAGACATGGAATTATTGGTCAATGGATACAAATACCCACCTCCCATGGTTGTGTTCATTTTATTGATGTACACTAATGAGAATATAATATTTATTAGTCTTCCTCATTGGAATTCTACATTGGAAACACAAGGCGGCCCCTTTTCCCTCCTATACCTAAAAGAGACATTAATAATCTATCAAGGCTTTTAAAATTGAGATCATTGTAGATCCACATGCAGCTGTAAGAAATAATACAGAGAGGTCTCTTGTACATTTTGCCCACTTTCACCGAATGGTGACATTTTATAAAACTACAGTATAATGTCACAACAACCAGAATATTGACCGTGATATAACCTACCAGTCATATCCAGATTTCTCTAGTTTTACGTGTTCTCATATGTATATATATTAAGTACTATACAATTTTATTACCTGTGTAATTTTATGTATCCACCACTACAGTCAAGAAGCTGAACAGTTCTAACACAACAAGAATTCTTCATGTTGCCCTTTTATATTCACACCTCCTTCCCTCTCACCCACCTCATCCCCTCCTTAACCCTTGACACCACTAATCTGTCTTCTAAAATTTCGTAGTTTCAAAAATGGAATAATGTAGTACATAACTTTTTAGGATTGTCTTTTTTATTGTTTTAGACAGGATCTTGCTCTGTCACCCAGAATGGAGTACAGTGTCTCAATCATAGTTCACTGCAGCCTTGAAAGCCTGGGCTTATTAGCTGGGCATGGTGGCATGCTCCCATAGTCCCAGCTACTTGGAAGACTGAGGTGGGAGGATCTCTTGAGCCTGAGCGGCAGAGATTGTGGTAAGCCAAGATCATGCCACTGCACGCCAGCCTGGGTGACACAGCAAGACCCCATCTCATAAAAAAGAAAAAATGTTAAAAAAAAAAAAAAAAAGAAAGAAAAAAAAAAATCCTGGGCTCAAGCCTTAGTTTCCTAAGTGGCTGAGACTACAGGTGCCTGCCACCATGCCAGACTAATTTTTAAATTTTTGTAGGAATGTAAAATGGGGCCTTGCTATGTTGCCCAGGGTGGTCTCAAACTCCTAGCCGCAAGCAGTGTTTCTGCCTTAGACTCTCAAGTTGCTGAGACTACAGGCATGAGCCACTGTGCCTAGGTTGTCTTTTTTCATGCAGCATAATTCCCTGAGATCTGAGTTTTTATGTGTATCAATAGTTCATTCCTTTTATTTATTCCATGGTATGAATATACCACAGTTTGGCCAGTTACCTGTAGAAGGACATCTGGACTAATTCCAGTTTCTGGCTATTACAAATAAAGCTGCTATGAACATTCACGTACAGATTTTTGTGTGAACATAAACTTCTTCTTATATTACCAGGTTGCCCATCAGCAAGGTTCTCTCACTTTGTACTCATTAGCAATGAATGAAATAGCTCATTTCACTTGTTTGCTGAATGTTTTATATTCATAATTATTAAACTTCTTAATTGGGCATGGCACTACTATTATCTCCATTTTATAGATGTGGAAAATTGAGGCTCATGTTAAATCATTTTCCCAAGGTCACATGTTAAGTCACAAAGAAGAGCCTGGAATCCAAGATAATAAGGCTTTTTCCACCACAGCTGACTTTTCAGGTGGAGGCCTTTCTACACTTCACTAAGGTTGCTGAAAAGAGGGTGTGGGTGCTACTAGCAGAGAGATGTTGGGGGCAGGGAGAGCACTGGAGCAGCCTGGGTCACTCAGGTCCTCACAGCCAACTTCAGTCCATAGATCAAAAGAGCGGCACAGGCCATGTGGGGTGGCTCATGCCTGTAATCCCAGCACTTTGAGAGGCCGAGGCAGGTGGATCACTTGAGGTCCAGGAGTTTGAGACCAGCCTGGCCAACAGGGTGAAACCCCATCTCTACTAAAAATACAAAAATTAGCCAGGCGTGGTGGCAAGCACCTGTAATCTCAGCTACTCAGGAGGCTGAGGCAGGAGAATCGCCTCCACCAGGGGGTGGAGGCTGCAGTGAGCCAAGATCGTGCCGCTGCACTCCAGCCTGGGCGACACAGCAAGACTCTGTCTCAAAAAAAAACAAACAAAAAGCAGCAGTGTCATGGATCAGGGGACCTGTGCCCTTGAAATTGTTTCCCCTTTGCCAGAGAACAAGGCTAAAGTGAATGGTGCGCCTGAGCATTCTATCCAGACACCTGAGACCTGGAATGGGGAAGGGAGGACCCAGCCTTTGGATGCCTATCAGAGGATGAGATATTAAGGTCCTCTTTGGAAATGTGCTGTTGAATGTGTTTATGAGGCCTGAGGAAATTGAGACCTATGATAAGTGAGCTCTCTATTCTGAGGGGTAAGGGAGATATAGCACTTTTTGTTGTTTTTGAACAGGGGAACTATAGTTCATTTACAAACCCATACATCCACATACACCCCTTGGGCAGGCTCAGTGTCTAGGACGTGGTAGAGAGGGCATGAGCACAGTGGAAGCAAAAATGCCAGTTCAGTGCTTAGTGCTGACTTTACCACCGTTCTTCATGGCAACTGAACTCATGGACAGCTCAGGAGAAGCTAGAGAAATTGTTTTGTCTGTCACTCAGCCTCTGGGGCACTGGTTGAAGCTGACAGGTGGAAACCTAGAGTTGGCCCAGACATGATGAATGCAGAGATGCCAATTTGTAGGAGAGTAGGTTTGGCTCCTCTCCTGGGAGTTCTGTCTGGCCAAAGGCTCCCACCTCCCACCTCCTGCTGGAGCTGGCTCTTTTATAGTTGATGTTACCATTGCTCTCTTGGCCTATTCCAGCAGCTGTGGACTCCTAACAGTTTTCCCCACTCACTTACAGCTGCAGAATCAGGCTAAGATTACGTATCACTCCTCCATCTTCTTGGGCCCATCAGGAACAGCATATCTCCCAGTGGTACCCACTGTCCCTGCCCAGTAGTCCCAGCCATGTGGGATATAAACACTGAGGCTAGACCTGGAATGGGGACTATAAGGATTATTTATTTTTTTATTTTTTTGAGATGGAGTCTTGCCCTGTCACCCAGGCTGGAGTGCAGTGGCGCGATCTCGGCTCACTGCAACCTCCGCCTCCTGGGTTCAAGCGATTCTCCTGCCCCAGCCTCCCAAGTAGCTGGGATTACAGGCGCGCACCTCCATGCCCAGCTAATTTTTGCATTTTTAGTAGAGACGGGGTTTCACCATGTTGGCCAGGCTGGTCTCAAACTTCTGACCTCGTGATCCACCCGCCTCAGCCTCCCAAAGTGCTGGGATTACAGGCGTGAGCCACCGTGCCCAGCTGGGGACTATAAGAATTATATAGGCACCACACTTTATCATCGAAACAACTAGAGATACCCATTCTGAACCTCTGTCCTCTGGTTGGGAGTTCTTAGACAAAGGGAGACCACTCTTTACTAGCTCTTTCACCTCTACCCACTCTGAGATTTTCTGGCTCTGGGAGGTCCTGACTGTGGCTGGGAAGACAGCTACCTTCTCTTAGAGCCAAGATGGTGAGGAAATCTCAAGACCCCTCCCTGCCTTGTTCCCTTTCCTTGGCTGCTTCTCTATTCAGGTCCCCACCTCTCCTGGTACCACTCCATTCCCATTCCTTCTTTCTGTTTTCCTCTCTCTCTCAGCAAGTTTTTTATGTGATTACAGGCACTGCATGGTAATTAGTGCTAAACTCATTTGCACAACTACAGTTAATTGGCTACAACAATTAATTAATGTGTTGGAAATTTGGCACTGGAAAAAAAAGTTTGTCATCAAAAAAAGGGCAAAAAATTGTAGAGTGAGGTACCCATAAAAATCGAGGGTAGGCTTCAAAAGCCCAGCTGGGCCTCAAACTTCAGGCCTGCCTCAGCTGCTTTTCCACTCTCAACTTCAACGCATTTTCCTCTCTCATTTTTTTCCTCCTTTCTTTCTCTGTCTCTCTCTTCTCCTTTTTTTTTCTTTTTCTTTTCTTTTTTTTTTTTTTTTTTTTTTACAACTTAAGCAAACTCATTTCCCTGATAAAATATAGCATGACTAATGGCTAGAGCATGTAAAAATCATTGGGAAAATGTCCTTGGAAGACGAATGCATTTTCAGCAGAATAATTAACTTAATTAACAAATTCACATGCATATTCATCAGGCTATTAATGTCTTCTCGGCTCAGCTTGATGAACATTGCGGTAATAACCATCTCATTTACATACTGCATTCTACTGCGATCCAAAACAGAGACAACATACAGGCGTATGCACACACACACACTCACACACACGAATACACACAACATGCCTGGGCCACTCTTGACTTCCAGGTTGGCTGGGAGAGTGTGTGTGTGTAAGCGAGGCAGGGTAGGGAGTGGGTGAGTGGGAACCCTGACTGGGTGGTGTGATCTTTAGATGGCCATGAGTCAGGTGGGCTAGGGATACCCACATGTAAATATCTGAGAGAACTCAATATTCTCTCTCTCTCTCTCTTTTTACTTGTTTCCATTTCTCTGTGTCATTTTCTCTCTTCTTCTCTTGCTTCCCGCCCCCCCCCCGCCCCCATATCTCTCTAGGGAAAAACTTGGTATCTGTGCCAACTTTTTTCCCCCTCCCCTCCTCCCTCTCTCTTCTTCTTCCACTCTCCCAACTGCTGCCAGCCGGCATCAGCGCCGAATTGCCATCTCCTTGAGCTCTCTGTGGAGCAATCTCAGAGAGCAGTAAGGTGTGACGCGAGGCTCTGCCGGCTTCGCAGCACCGCCTGCGGAAAGAGCGCAGGATGGCGGAGGAAGATTAAGAGAAATCGCGAGCAGGGCTCGGCTGCCATTGGTGTGTGCAAACGCCGAGGAGGAAGGGAGAGGGAGAGTGAGAGTGAGGAAGGGGGGAGAGAAGGGGGAAAAACCAGCAGCTGTCGGCCTAATTCTTCTAACACTCTGCTTGTGGTCATATTAGAAAAACAGATTATGCCCCTCGGTGCCACTCACTTATACTTGACATACGTTAATGTTCTATATCTCCATTTTCCGGTTCTTGATGACGGTGGACTTGAGGTCGAGGAGGATGGGGGCCTGGGTGGCCAAGGGGCACAAAAAACCCTGTCCTCTCATTCTCTCCTGACCTTGAACCCCAGTCTGTACTCGCCCTTTAGAAAGCAAACCAGTTTACATCTGATGCCACCATTTGGCATTTTACAGCCCCTTATAAGATGCAGAGGTCAGAGGATACCTGGAGGACCTTACCCCTAAGTCACCCCTCCTTTGTAGTCTTAATAGGTCACTTTAGGACCAAGTGAGACCAGCTTTTGTGGCACTACCCCCCAACCTTTCTATGGGCTCTCTCCCTCAAATCAGAAGTTGAGGGTCAGAGAAGGGAGTCTATGATAGTGTGTGTCCCAAGAGGGGGTTACAGAGAAGCCATAAGCAAAACAAGGCCAGGATTGTTTCTGGGTTGCTATGGAAACCAGGTTCCCTCCTCCTGGCAGGAATGGAGGAGTGCCTAAGGCCTTCCTCCTACCACCAATCCTGAGGGTTGTAAAGGCGGAGTTTGCTAAGGCCTGGGGAAAGGGCTGGTCTTGGAGGACAAACCAACCATTCCCTATAGCTGGCCTGCTATTCAGAGGTCTTTGACCCCCACCTTTCCTACCCTCCCACCTCTATATTCAGTCAAAGGAGGCTTTTTCCTCTGGTACCTTGTCCTCTATAGAGACCTGTTGCTTAGCAACCACTAGTGCTTTCTTCTTAATAACTAACACGGACGGAGAGATAAAATATCTGTGTCTATATTCAGTTCCCCTCCCCTGTCTATTTATATTTAATAACTGAAACCCTGTCTTGGGTTCCCTTAGCACCTGCCTTAGAGAGCTCTTAGAGGGATTATCCGCAGCCTGAAGAAAGAAGGTTACAACTGAGGAAGAACTTCTGAACAGGGAAGAGTGGAAGAAAAGACTGCAGTACGTAGAGCATCAAGGGAAGCTGTGGAAATATATTTTCTTAAGTACAGGTAGAGAGGGGAAACAAAATATTTAGAACTTGGAATGCGGGAAGGGGATATCCACAGGGATTCTTAAGGGACAGCTCCAGGTCCTGGAGTGGACCCTAACAGCTGCTTCCAGGCTGGCATTTGCCACTCCCCACGCCCTTCCCTGCCCCTGCTTCCTGGCCACTTCCAGTCTATGTCCCTCTCATATTTCTTTTGTTTGTTTGTTTGCTTGTTTGTTTTGAGACAGTCTCGCTCTGTCGCCCAGGCTGGAGTGCAGTGGTGTAATCTCGGCTCACTGCAAGCTCTGCCTACTGGGTTCACGCCATTCTCCTGCCTCAGCCTCCTGAGTAGCTGGAACTATAGGCGCCCGCCACCACGCCCAGCTAATTTTTTAGTATTTTTAGTAGAGATGGGGTTTCACTATGTTAGCCAGGATGGTCTCGATCTCCTGACCTTGTGATCCGCCCACCTCAGCCTCCCAAAGTGCTGGGATTACAGGCGTGAGCCACCGCACCCAGCCTGTTTGTTTGTTTGTTTGTTTGTTTGTTTGTTTAAAAAAAACGGAGTTTCGCTCTTCTTGCCCAGGCTGGAGTACAATGGCATGATCCCAGCTCACTGCAACTTTTGCCTCCCAGGTTCAAGCGATTCTTCTGCCTCAGCCTCCCAAGTAGCTGGGATTACAGGCATGCACCACCACGCCCAGCTAATTTTTGTATTTTTAGTAGAGATGAGGTTTCATCATCTTGGTCAGGCTGGTCTCAAACTCCTGACCTCAGGTGATCCACCCGCCTCAGCCTCCCAAAATGCTGGGATTACAGGCGTGAGCCACCGTGCCCAGCTTCCCTCTCATATTTCTATCTGTAAGCAGCCTGTTGGATCTCCAGTTTCCTAGTGTCTGGATGTTGGTATCCAGGAGAGGGGGCTGTGCTGATGTGTGTCCCCCAAGGTCTGGGTACTTCCCCATTTTTCAGTCACTAGGAAGGAGTTCTTCTGAGCTCTCCACTAGAAAACCCCACACCTGACCTGGCAGTGGGGGCTGTACAATAACCAAAAAATGAGCAAGGAAGGTCTACAGTAGCCTAGGCCTGTATGTAGAGTCAGGAGACTTGGATTTAGTCACTTCTCCTTACTCTCCTGTGATCCCAGGTTATTATCCACTTGATCTTTTAAAGCCCTTGTTGCTTCATCTATAGGCCAGGAATAATAATAAAGTTTACCTTACTGGACTTTAGCAGGATCAGTTAAAGTAATATGTGAAAGAAAATATGCTGCAAACTGTCACATTTAACTAAAATATTTTAAGTTCTGGAAAAGGTCTGATTGCTAGGGAGAGGGAGGCATCATGAATCCAGCCCAGCCCTGGGCTTAGGAATGTCCCTTCCCACAGCTGTCACGGCCTCTGGTCTTCCATTAGTTTGTTGGCAAGAGGGGTATGACTCTGCTCTCTGGTCATTAGGGCAAGGAGCTATAAAAATCAAAATCAAACACCAAGCAGTCTAGGGAGAGTCGTGCAGTGTTGTCCCTATCATTTTTCTCACCTCAGACCCAACCTCTGGCCTCTAGTTTTCGGCTGCCAAGACAGCAGCCCTACCGACACCCCACCCTGACCCTCTGCCCCTTTCGGCAGTCAGCACCTTTGCTGCCATCGTGCTAACTCACAGACTGTACAGTTTCACCCGCCATACCCCCCTTCTCTGCACCTCTTCCAACCCGAGCCTTCTGTGGCAGACAGATGGGGTGTCTGCGATGGAAAAAGCTCTGGGCTCTACGCCGTCTTGGGTGGGCAGCCCCCCTCCCCAACTCCCCATTACTCCCTCTCCCCACCTAAGACACTCAGATTCACCCCAGGCAGCACTAGAAGGGGCTGAGAATTCCAACTCTCTTCTCTTCTCAGGCTCAGCTCCAGAAGCAGACCCAGAATGGCATCCTTCTCTGAGACCCAGACCCCAGCCCCTTTTCATGGAAGACCAGCACAAAGGAGGAAGTAGGTTAGGGAATGGTAAGGCTCCATGTGATGGGACTAATGTGGAGAGGCCTGGGGCCTTTCCCTGAGGACTGGATGGCTGGAGTTTGGGAGCCTGAGTTGACAGAGGAGGCTAAGCCCGGGCAGCTACTTTGTTCCAGAAATCTAAGGTCCCTGGAGGGAGGCTCTGCTTTGGGAGGGGGAAGGGAGCTAACATTGCAGAGCACCAACTGTGAACCAGGTACAATGGCAGAGCCTTTCCATACCTGTACTCACAACTAGCGGGTGAGGAGTCAAGGCAAATAGGTGTCTCATAGCTCCCCATATCTCGGCAGTCGACCACCTCCTCCTTTGATTCTCTGATGTCACTGCCAGTTCTCCTCCTATTGCTCTGACCTGTCTTTCTCTGTGTCCTTTGCAAACTCATTCTCAACTCCTTAGACTCAGTCAAGTCCCCCAGTTACACACTTCCATGGTACTATATATCATTCCTTCAGAGCACTTAACACAGTTATTTCCTATGTATTTGTCCAGTCATTTGAATAATGATCCTAGTTTCATTGGATGGAAAGTTCCACAAGGTCAGTGACCATTTCTATCTGTGTTCACCAATGTGTTCCCAGTGCCCAGAAACAATGCCTAGCATAAAGCAGCTGTTTTGTAAATACTTGTTCAATGAATGAATAAATGACAAAAGAACATCTCTCTGGCCTAAACTCCCTTCTTAGCCACTCCCTCACCCTGAGCTCACCCACCCCAATGTGTGGACCAGGGAACAAAGTACCTGGGAGGTCAGGCCACCTTGTTCTCCCTCATCAGGACAGGACCAGTCCTAGTTTCAGGGTATGGGGCCATTGCTGTGCCAGAGCCTGGTCCTGCCTGTCTGCTCTTCAGCCTTTCCAGGGACTGAGATAATTCAAAGTCTCAACAGTTTTTCCCCACATGGAGGCCTGAAATCATTCATGTGAGCTGGAAAGGGAGGGGAGTTCCATCAGAGGAAGGTGCTCTGAAGAAAATCCCTCTTTTTTGCCTTGCCGAGACTGCAGAGACCATCTGTTGCCACCCCTCTGTTTGCTTCTGTCCTCTTACCCTGGACTTCAGGGAAAGAGATGGTTAAACCAAGTAGGAGGGATAGGCAGTTTACCAGATGCAGGACAGGCTGCTTGATCCTGAAAATGTCTGGGGAGCTAGATGATGAGCTTCGGCCAGGTGATTGGAGCAGAGGAACACAGAATCCAGGAACAGCCAGTCCTTTGGGGCTGTACTCCCTAGACCCTGGGAAGCAGGGTATAGATAAAATGACCTTTATGAGGTGTCCAGCCTCCAGCCCAGGGCTTTATCTGACTCCTTTGCTGCCCTTACCATCTGACCTCAAACAATGTTCCCAAATCTGTTAAGAGTTAAAGTTAGCACAAACGTGGTAGCTCCTTGCTGTCTGTGGCTATTCCCCATTCTTAACCTTGAACAAGCACACAGACGTTTGCCCATCTCCCAGCCCAGAGCATCTCTTCATCCAGCTCAGTGCCAATACCCAGTGCTCACAGCAGCTTCTCAGCCCCCTTATCCTAACAGTGCCCGTCAGCACCCAGGTATCTAGGGTCCTGGATCTGGGAAGCCACTCTGGGCAGTGTTGCTCTCTCTGACCCCACCTGTTCTCTGGGCCCTAATGAAGCAGGACAACTCAAGGCTTCAGGCCAAGTCCTTGTGTCCTTATCAAAGGCAACATCTGTCCCCTCCAAGAGGATAACCCCTGGGGGGAGGAGGGTGAGACAGGCACAAGGGAGAAATCCTGATCTTGCCTGGGCCCTCACCCCAGATTCCACTGCAGGCATAGATTGGGGGTGAAAGCCAAGACAGTCACAGAAGCCCTCACACACACATGCCCCTGCATGGGCCTTCATGCCTCTGAGCCCCCACATATGAATGCCCCTCTTGGGCTCACCCAGCTACCTGGGCTGCTGCTGCTGCCAAGCGGCCTTCTTTTATTCATGCGTTGTTTTATTGCTGGCAAATGCTGCTGCTTGCTGCTGTTGGAGGCGTTCCTGCCAAATCCATCCCAACATCTTGGCCTGGCATCAGGGCGGCATGCTAATGTGGAAATTTAAAGAGCCGCTCGGCTTTAAATCGGAATTTTAAATGAGCAGCAGTGCTCCGAGGGGACCTGGGCAAAATCGAACAGTATCTGATCCACCCTTCCTCCTCCCACACCCACAGCATCACCCCAAGTTCCTCCCACCCCTCCCTTTGATTTGGACATTAGAGGAGGTATTGGCATGGGACATCCTAAGGGAAGAAAGAGGTACCAGGGCAGAGGAATTTGTTCAAGATGGGGGTCATCTGGACCAGTGAGGAGCTAGGATCACTCTGGACCAAGAATGGATCTACTCCTTGCTGTCATAGGCAAATGACCAAATACAGGATGTTCCACAAGGGAGAAGGGCTAGAGGTAATGAAACTGAAGTTACTCCCTCACTTCCCGTTTTACCAGGAAACAAGAAGAGAAGGCCTGCTCTGCAGAGAAGAGGGAAGGTGGAATTCCAAGAAGACACTCACACACAACATACTCTTGTTGCCAATGGGATGTGTGCACACAGCTGTGCATGCAGGCTGGGATGCTTGATGAGGTCCCTGCAGCACATATACACATAGCTCACACATCACCCCTGCATGGAGAGGAATTATCTGCACATGGAGGGCGGTCTTTCTTTCCCTATCCAGGACACTATTGTAACCCCAGAGCAAGCTGGCTTCTGCAAGTTGCTAGCCTGAACTGTGCCCCAGGTTTTTCCGTGGATCCTAATTTCCCAGATCCTGGCAGCTGCTTGAGTCAGCCATGGTGATGGATCTCTGCAGCTCTTCTGCCAGGACAGGGGCAGGGGGAACCTGAGGTCATCCTGTGCACCTGTCTTGGCCACAGTGTGGTGCCTTCTCTGGTGATCACCAAATGACAGGCTCAGACATCTCATCTGGGAGAGGTTTTGGAAACAGCCTTGGTTTCAAAGGAAAGAAGGGGCTAATGGGAAGCGAGAGAGGCAGAGTCTGTGCCTCCTTGTGATTCCCTCTCCTTACCTATCTCCAGGAGGTAGGTAGCCCCTCATTATCAGAAAACATTTTTTGAGTGCCTGCCCTCAGGGAGACACCATGCTTTACTTTAGCACAGTGCCTCACAATTTTCTGGATTGACAGCAGCCCTCAGAATCTGGATGTGCTGTCCCCATTGGAGGGTCCACAGTAACACACATGGTGACATCCACCTTACTCATGTTAGGCTACCAGGCCAAGGGATGCTCCAAGACCTTCCCTAGAATTCCTCCTCCCTCAAAGAAGGAGCCAGCTCCTTCAGGGGCTGGTGTGGCTGCCAGCCAAGAGGCTTGGGGCAGGCCTGGGGCATGCAGCTGATACCTGCCCACCAGATCTCCAAGGAACACCCTCCTCCCCCACTCCCACAGCCTCATTCAGATGGCCACTGGGCTACAAGGAGACAGTGCTCACTTCTCCCCACTCCCAGAAAAAACTTCAAAGCTGGACAGCCTCCCTTTCCATTGTAACCTGTTCCAAGATCCTCCACTTAGACTAGATACACTAACGACCCACCAAGCAATTTTGCTAGGCAGGACCAAATGTTTAATATAGTAGGGGTTGAGCTAGGCCTAGGTACGGAAACTTGAGGAGTGAGGCTTGGGCTGGAATTCTGGGAGAAGTTGTTGAGGTCAAGAGAGGTATGAGGAAGAACAACTTGATGTGAGTGAAATAGGACAGGGGGACATGAAGGGGAGGGCCTGAAAGAATCTGCCTCTCTCATCTAATTATCAACATGTAAATAATATGCAAATAACACACTCTTTGTCTAGAGACCACAAGGCCACTGCTTTTTGGAAGTGGATTACAGAGGGCCCACCAGACAGTATCTCTGAGATCCTCAGATATGGGACACCCAGGCTCAAGAGAGAGGCCAGAGTGCAGCCATCTGGTTCTTGCTTATTCCCTGGATTGGCTCACTTTCTGTGAGCCTCAGTTTCCCTATGTGTGAAATGGCAAGACTACTGGATGGTCTCTAAGGGTTTTTTCCAGTACCGACAGTCTGGGATTGTATGACCTGGGCCCAGTGCCAGGGCAGAGTGGAGGGTTTGATTCCATTCTGGGGTGGAAGCCAAGATCCTTGGCTCTCTTGCCCCTGCTGCCCACCTCAGCAGTTCTGTCATGCTGCCCCCGCAGCCCGCAACATACCTGCCATCCCAAACATGGGCAGTTTTCTGAAGGCAGTGTTTTCTTCCATCCATGCCTTTACCTACACTGTTTCTCTGCCTGGTATGCCCTTCCTGTTTCAGCCCCTCAGTTGGCTAAGTCCTCCAACTCCAACAGCCTTGCCTACCTTACTCCTCCACTCCCCAGTTCTGACAAGGTGCCTCCCTTCTGGGTGCCTCTATGCACTGTCTCTTTACTTCTCTCTTGTCCCACTAGACCATGAACTTTTGGTTTTGTTCCAGACTAAATCTCCATTATAAGTGTATTAGTTTCCCAAGGCTGCTGTAACAAATTAACCACAACTCTGGTGTCTTAAAACAACTGAAGTTTATTCTCTTACACTTCTGGAGATCAGAGGTTCAACATCCATTTTATTATACCAAAATCAAAGTGTTGGCAGGGGTATGCTCTTTCTGGAGGCTCTAGAGGAGAATCTGTTCCTTGTCTCTTTCAGCTTCTAGTGGCTACTAGCATTCCTTTGCTTGTGGCCCCATCACTGCAGTTTCTGCCTCTGTCTTCACATCACCTTCTACTCTTTGATATATGTATAATTTCTCTCTCTCTCTCTCTTTCATAAGGACACTTGTGTTGGCATTTAGGGCCCACCTGGATAATCCAGAATAATCTCCCCATCTCAAGATTCTTAATCACATCCTCAAAGATGAACCCATTTTCCAGTTAAGGTAACATTCACAGGTTCTGGGGATTAGAACATGGACATATCTTTAGAAGCTATCAGACTACCAAAATAAGCAAAGACATTTTAAAATTTACCATTTATTAAGTACCATATGCCAGACACCTACATACATTTTTCTCACCTCAATTAAGTTTTACAATAACCCTGAAATGTAGGTATTAATGCCTGTATTCTATAGACGAGGAAACTGAGGCTCAGGGAGATTGAGTCACGTGCCCAATGTCACGTAGCTGGTAAATGACAGAACTAGGATTTGAAACCAGATGAGCTGGGCTCCAAAGCCAACATGCTTTTTGCCTCACCAACAGCCTCTGAGCCTACTCCAGGCCCTGGCACAGGTTTCTTGCCTGAATGGATGCAGAAAAAGAAAGATAGGTAGACAAGAGAACAGACGATGAGGCCCAGCATTTTTAGTGATACTGCTTCTAGCTTTCTTTTGCCAAAGCCCCCTTACCACCCCTCTTATTCTCCCCCACCAACCCTGACCTCTTGTTTCAGAAGCCTGGAATACCCCCCAGCTTGCAGCCCCCTGCCAACTACTGCTGCCCAGAAGGGTGGCACAGTGCCTGGACTTCAGGCAGAATCTATCAAATCACAGAACCAGAGGGTGTCTGGAAGTCACCTCATCTAGTCCTCTGTTCACATCCAGCCCTGCTCACGAGGACAGGGGCAGACAGGTTCAGGGTAGTGGGCAGCAGAAGGATGAAGTGCCCATCTCCCTTCAGCTGCCCTTTCTCCTTTCTTACTTCTTACACAATTTATATTGGAAGTCCTCACTCAGATCTGACTTTGCAGACATCATGCATAATGAGAATTGGCCAGAATCAGGAGTCCTATGGTCATAGGACTGACCCAGTCCTAGATTCTCCAAAAAATAAAACGAGATTTTTGGCTAGGTCCTTTCACCTCTGTGGGCCTCTAATTCTTCATCTTTAAAATGGGATCGATAATAGGGGTAATAATAATACCCAACTCACAGGGCCTTTGGGATAATAACACAGCCCAGGAAAGAAGCATCCAACCCACGGCCTGGAGCAAGGCAGGTGCTGCAGGAATATTTTATAACACCCCCCGTCAGCCCTCCAGCCAAGCCCCTTTATCCTGGGTAACACAAGGCTCTGCTCACCTCAGCCATTCTGGTCTGCCTCGCGCGCTAGACTGTGAATTCCTCTTGGCAGGATCTTGTTCATTTCTAATCACCGCCCGTTCCCCTCCCTAGTGTCTAGCCTGTGCTCGGGTACGTAAGTTCAACACACATTTAATAAATACGGCCAGGCGCGGTGGCTCACGCCTGTAATGCTAGCACTTTGGGAGGCCGAGGCGGGCAGATCACTTGAGGTCAGGAGTTCAAAACCAGCCTGGCCAACATGGTGAAACCCCGTCTCTACTTAAAGTCCAAAAAAATTAACCGGGCGTGGTGGCGGGCGCCTGTAATCCCAGCTACTCGGGAGGCTGAGGCAGGAGAATCGCTTGAACCCGGGAGGCGGAGGTTGCAGCGAGCCGAGGTCGCGCCAATGCACTCCAGCTTACCCAATAGAGCGAGACGCCGTCTCAAAATAAAATAAAATAAAATAAAATAAATAAGTGAGCGAGTGTATGAGTCGGCCTCCCAAGTCCTGAGAGGCTCAGAGCTTGACCCCCACCAGCAACCTTTGCCCGCACGACCATTTCCCCTGGGGTCCTGGCGGCGACCGCAATGGAGGGGAAAGAGGCCACTGCAGCTTTAAGATTTCTCTCGGGCGTCCCGGTTGCCAAGGCGCGGTTGCCAGCGCCCTGCGCGGAGCTGCGTCCTGCTTTAGCGCGCGGCCTTCGGGTTTCCGCCATCGCCGCCGCCGCCGCCGCCGCCGCCGGGCCGCGCCGGGCTCCGCTCCTCCGAACCGTCTGGCGGACTTGGCACCGGCCCCCGCTCCTCAGTGCCCCCGCAGTGCGTGGCAGGCTGCGGCTTCATTATCCTGATTGATTCCTCCTGCTCCCCGACACCATGGGGGCCCCGGACAAGGAAGGGAGGCGGAGGCGGCATCTGCAGGCCCCTTCCCCGGCCCTCGCCCCCAGCCGCTCCTCAGGCCACCCTGCTGTGGCTGGCCAGGCAGGGCGGGGATGGAGGACCGGCCCCGCCTCTGCTCTCTTGGTGGGCGGGGAGGGGAGGGCCCCAAGGGAGAGCGGAGCAGTGTCCGGTCGGTGCTCTTCCAAGGTTCCAGCTCTGGGCCGCGTACACCCTGCCTCGGCCCGCCCTCAGCAAAGATTTTGCGCCTTCTGAACCGGGAGGATATGGAAAGGTTGGGGTGGGGAAAGAACACAGTGGAGGACTGAGAACTTCAGGAAAACAAGCCCTGGTAAAACGGGAAAGGTGACATCTCTGAGGAGCGTTGGTCACGTGTGTCAAGGCCTGGTGACGCGTGTCTTATGTGCCTCCCTGGGCATCTTCTCAGTACAGTTCTCAGTAGAAGCAGGGGCAGGGTCTGGACCCAACCAACACAGGACACCCCGCAAGGATCTAAGCTTAAAGGAAGGCCAGGAGTCTGTGTGAGGGAGAGGACCTTTTCCCCAGAATCCAGCATGGTGTGCCCACCCCACGCCCAAACCAAGTACTGACACCTTAAAAAGAGCATCTGGGCCGGGTGCGGTGGCTCCCGCCTGTAATCCCAACACTTTGGGAGGCCGAGGCGGGCGGATCATGAGGTCAGGAGTTCGAGACCAGTCTGGCCAACATGGTGAAACCCCGCCTCTACTAAAAATACAAAAAAAAAAAATAGCTGGGCGTGGTGGCGGGCGCCTGTAATCCCAGCTACTCTGGAGGCTGAGGCAGGAGAATCGTTTGAACCCGGGAGGCAGAGGTTGCAATGAGCCAAGATTGCACCATTGCATTCCAGCCTGGGCAACAAGAGCAAAACTCCGTCTCAAAAAAAAAAAAAAAAAAAAAAAAAAAAAAAAAAAAAAAAAAGAGCATCTGGGGCCAGAACTGAGATTGGAGCATCTACTTAGTTCCGCCACTTGGTTTGTAGCCTGGGCAAGTCGCTTTACCTTTCTTAGCCATGGCTTATCCATCTATACAATAGGGATAAGCCAGTTGCCAATGACTAAATGGGATAATATGTAATGTGTAGATGGCAGGACCTTAAGTCCTCTGGCAAAAAGAAGAAAGGGAGATAAGGGGCTGACCTCTATCCCTGCTGCTGTTTTGGGTGGATACCTTGAGGGAGGTGAGTCTTCTCCATATGCTTAAATCCCTGCTTAACTGGAAGATTACCTCAAACCTTCCAGCCAAAGCCGCCCCATTGTCACAGTAGAGGGGCAAAACTGCTCTTTACCTCATTGGCATTGCACGGATTCAATATCTAGGTTTACACCAGGCTCTCTACTACTGTCCTTCTCTCCTTGGGTCCTCTCTTCCCACAATCCCTGACAGTCTCCCTCTCGTGCCTTGCCCCTGTCCTGTCCAAGGGCCAGACCTGGGAAGTTTCTTCCATAGACTCCAACCTTTGATCCCTCTCAGCCCTGGGAAAGAGGGAACTGGTGGAGAATTTGAGGCCGTTTAATGTATACCTGTCATGCTTGTGAATGTGATCTGAGCCTCTCTGGCAACTTCAGTGTCTATCTCAGGGCCTGTTTCCTCTTCTGTAAATTCATTATTCTTGCAACCCACATTGACTGGGTGACAACAGCAGGGCAGCATGGTGCACCCAGCAGGTTGGGAGTATGGAAAAAACACAGGATGGAAAGAACTCCACTGAGGCCGGGCTCGGTGGCTAATGCCTGTAATCCCAGGACTTTGGGAGGCCGAGGTGGGCAGATCGCCTGAGGTCAGGAGTTGAAGACCAGCCTGGCCAACATGGTGAAACCTCGTCTCTACTAAAAATACAAAAAGTAGCCAGGCATGGTGGTGCGCACCTGTAATCCCAGCTACTCAGGAGGCTGAGGCACGAGAATCACTTGAACCCGGGAGGCAGAGGTTGCAGAGAGCTGAGATCGTGCCACTGCACACTGCAGCCTGGGTGACAGAGTGAGACTCCATCTCAAGAAATAAAACCCCACTGTGAAACTACTGATCTGGGGACAACAGACCAATGCACACAGCAGGCTCTCCAATACTAGGGGTCGGTGCAGGGACACCTCCCAGATTCTAGAGCATTCCACAGTGTCATGATGCTTCCTCCTGTCCTTCCTGAGTACAGCAGACTCTTCCCCTAGACTTCTGTCAGAGGCTAATTCATTTCCTACGGGAAAAGACATCCTAAAATTTGAGTCTGGGGCTTTTGTTCATTCCCTTTTGTTGGAATTCCCTATTTTTACACCAGTCATCCAGTATCTTTATATTCAAAGGGAAAACACAATAAAAATACTTCCAGTTTGCCAGTAGCCAGAATCAGGTTAGCTCATGTATCTAGGTTTGCAAAGCTGCCCAGGACCTTTGTTCAGTGTGGCCCTGTGTGTGGCTGCCTTAGTCTACCCACTGGCCTGTCTGCCCACCCATCCCTGGCTGGCCTGCCCTATCTTCAGCGCCTATAGCCCTCAGCTCCACTTCCTATTAATACAAACCATGTGGGACCCTCACTGTGGCGTCTCCAGGCAAAAGATGAAGCCACAGCCGCCTAGTGGCTGCCAGGGAGGCTGGCAGGAAGGGGCATCTCTACCCGGCGTCTCCTGGGAAACAGCGAGCTCCCCAGAGAAGGGACATTTGGAAATAAAATTTCTGCCGTTGTGTGTCAATGTGTGTGTTGAGGCAGGAGAGGGAGTTAAGAAGCCTCCCCAGCCCCTCTGTTCCTTTCTCCTCAGGAAAAGCCTCTTGGAGCAACTCTCCCACTGCCTCCCAAAACTCCAGCCCCTTGTAGGCTCTCCTGGGACTGGACAAGTGGCTGAAAATGTTCCTTCAGATTCATGATGCAGGTGAAGAAGAGCACTGGACTGAGAGTCAGAGGCCCCAGTTCTGAGCTTCCTGACTTACCCCGTGGCTCTGGCCTGTTATACCTCCCTTTCTGAGTCCTAAGTTCCTCCTCTGTAAAATGAAATTTTTTCATCATTCCTGGTCTCTACATTGGGCCTCCTCCACAAAGTCCAGGAATATAGTTGGGGCATTCTAGGCCATTCTTTCCTATACTTAGGACAGATAACTAATAGAAGCTTATAATTCCTAGAGTGACCTTGACTCTAGGAATTCTACAGCGACCTTGAATGAGCCAGGGCCCTTCACCTGCCCATGCATTCATTCAGGCATTTGTAGGTGCCTTTTGAGAGTGAAGTCTGTGCTAAGAGGGTGAAGTCTGTGCTAAGAGGGTCTAAAGCTGCCCCAAATTTTTTTTTTTTTTTTGTAGAGATGGAGTCTTGCTCTGTTACCCAGGCTGGAGTGCGGTGGCGTGATCTTGGCTCACTGCAACCTCCACCTCCTGGGTTCTAGCAATTCTGCCTCAGCCCTCAGCCTCCCAAATAGCTGAGACTACAGGTGCACGCTGCCACACTCGGCTAATTTTTTGTATTTTATTTTATTTTTATTTATTTATTTTTAGATGGAGTCTCGCTCTGTCGCCAGGCTGGAATGTAGTGGCACAATCTTGGTTCACGGCAACCTCTGCCTCCCGGGTTCAAGCGATTCTCCTGCCTCAGCCTCCCAAGAAGCTGGGACTACAGGCGCCCGCCACCACGCCCAGCTAATTTTTGTATTTTTAGTAGAGATGGGGTTTCACCATGATGGCCAGGATGGTCTTTATCTTGACCTCGTGATCTGCCTGCCTTGGCCTCCCAAAGTGCTGGGATTACAGGCATGAGCCATCGTGCCTGGTCCTATTTATTTATTTATTTATTTTGAGACAGAGCCTTGCTCTATCACCCAGGCTGGAGTGCAGTGGCACAATCTCGGCTCACTGCAGCCTCTGCCTCCCAGGTTCCAGCGATTCTCCTGCCTCAGCCTCCTGGGTAGCTGGGATTACAGGTGCAGACCACCACGCCCAGCTAATTTTTGTATTTTTAGTAGAGACGGGGTTTCACCATGTTGGCCAGGCTGGTCTGGAACTCCTGACCTCAGGTGATCCACCCACCTTGGTCTCCCCAAGAGTTGGGATTACAGGCGTGAGCCATGGCACCCGGCCATTTTTTTGTATTTTAGTAGAGAGGGGGTTTCACCGTGTTGCCAAGCTTGGTCTTGAACTCCTGAGCTCAGCAGTCCACCCAACTTGGCCTCCCAAGTTAGGATTACAGGCATGAGCCACTGCGCCCAGCAGCTGCCCAAATTTTTATGAAAGAGGCATCTCAGCTTCCTCTTGCTGTCCTGTACCAGAGGTCAGCTGCATGCCACATTCCTTCCATGATGACCCCCTTCATGAGGAGCTGGAGGGACTAGGAACCTTCTCTTCCCCTAGTGTCCAAAGCCAACCTAAGGGAGAAGCCATGGTGTCTCCTGGGAAATAGAGGTGGGGGTGATGTCCCTGCCCCCTCCTCTCTCACTCCCACCTATTTCCCTTTGCTCTTTCTTGCTCTTGATAGTCAAGCCCCACTCCTAGCCCAATCCACTGCTCTCCTGTAAAATTATGGGATGTCCAAATTAGAGACAGGAGCCCTTTGGAACCACAGGCAGAGGTCAGAGGCGCCCTAGTAAAAGCAAGTGGCTCTCTCCCAGCTGGAGGCCCCCTCTTGGTCTCACCTCCTAGAGCTTCCCTTCCTCAAGAGACTCCACCTTCTAGGCAGGTTGGGGATTGCTGAGAGGGCCCTCCATGCAGGAGACAACCCCCAAAACTTGGAGGAGACAGAATAGCTCTAGGGAGGAGGAGGGCCATGGTCCCTGCAGAGACCCAGGGGCCCAGGCCTCCTTCCTTCCCATCTTGTGGCTTCTCAGCCCTTGATCTACATTGAAGGAAGGGTCAGGCAGTGGGAAGTCGGAGAGAGGAAGGGGAATGAGGGGGAATGGGGGACGCTCAGAAGCAGGGAGAGGTCCTGGAGATCTGGATTCTGACTTGTCACCTTTACTGGGCATCTACTGTGTGCCAGGCTCTGTCCCAGTTTTACATAGATTATGTCATTTAGCCCTCAGCCCAGCGCTGTGCTGTGGCATTATTATTCTGCTCTGACAGAGAAGGAAACTGAGACTCAGAGGCCTTATATAACTTGCCCAAGGTCACACAGCTTGTCAGGAGTGAAGCCAGAATCCTAGCCCAGGTCTGTCGGCCTCCATTGGGTTCTCCCTGCTGCCAAAAAGTCCTCCTCCTGGAAAAGCAGGTCTGGGGTTGGGGTTTTCAGTTGGAGCTCATCAGGATCCCCAGAGGCAAAGCTATTGTCATCTGCCTTCCTCCTCCTCACCCATCTGCCAGGCAAGTCGCAGGTGAGCCCCCACCACCATGGCCCCTGCCCTAGCCCCAGGTGCCAGCACTGCTTTGCCTGGCTCCCACCCTCTCCCTGGTGCCCCCAAGGTGGCTCTGAGGTCACCCCACACCCCAGTGCCTCCATTCTGCATTTCTACATCTCCGAATGCTTGGGAAAAACAGAAGGAGAGAGGAGGTCAATTGAAGGTTGGAAATGTGGACTCTGACTATAGGTAGAGCATTCGGGGGCCTGGTTATCTTCCTCAGTTCAAATGAACCCTTTCCCCAACTCCCACCCCCTCACCCCCAGAGACAGCCAGAGCTTTGCTTAGTTAATGAAATACAAAAGAAGGAATCAGGGGTGGGGGGTGGCTCCAGAGCCCTGGAAAGCGAGGGAGAGAGAAAAAGTTGGGTCTCTTCCAAAGAGTTAATGTTCCACAGTATGATCGATTAGGTGTCAGATGTAATTTCAAACCAATACAAGATGAATGGCATAATTTTCCCTCTCTCATTTTAGACAGAATTAAGAATCCATTAGCTAACACAAATTTTTGGCAAGTTTAATAGGAGCTCAAATCTACATTCGGAGGAAATGCTCCCCAAAGCCTGTTTCAAGCTTTTACTTCTCAGGCCCCCTGCCTCCAACGTCCTCTTACCAACTCACTGTTGTCTGTCCACCCACCAACCCCTCCTCCCCCGCCGCATGCAGCCCCCACTCCCTTCCTCTGGTCCCCCTACATGCCCCTCCCCAAGCCAGCCCAAGATTAACTGGCCTGACCTCTCTCACAAAGGCCGGGCCTGCCCACCATTGTCTTTCAGTGGCAATGGGTGGGGGAAATGGGTGGAGGGGCTGGCAGTGGGCCCAGGAGAGGGGAGAGGTTGCTGAATTGGCCCTAGGCTGCAGACAAACCCTAGGGAGAGGGGTATATTGGGGCCTTGGGCAGTTTGAGTCTCAGCTACTCCTCAGTTTCACCTCCAGAAAAGTTGTTTTTGTCCTCAACAAAGCATTACCCAGTTCATAGGGAGGACACGAGCCCCATCCTTGTTGTCTCTTATAGTTACATACATTAATTCACAGAGTTAACCTGAGGTAGGAAGAACAGCTATCATCCCATTGCATACATGAGGAAACTGAGGCTCAGAGGGTTGGACTTTGGCTCTGCTGTTTGCTCTCTTACTAGCGCCAGAAGGCACTTACCTCTGGGCCTTAATTTCCTCATCTATGAAATGGGAAGAACATTTAGTAACCAGCTCATAGGATTATCCTAAGGAACAAATGAGATGGTACACATCAGAGCTTTAGCACAGAGCCTAGCACATTAGGAGCGCTTTCATGACTGCCCACCCAGGCAGAGGTGCCGCGTGTCCGCCCTACGCCAGCTTTGTGCTGGGGTTGAGACCTGGAACACAGCCTGAATCAGCTCTAGCCTCAGCCCGTCAAATTCACAGCCTGGTAAGGGAGACAGACATGCGGACTGACCCCTGCCCTGGAAGACAAAAGAGGCTGGAAAAAGAATTATGGTGGCTTACCCTTACTAGGCATTTATGGTATGCCAAATATGGGAGCAAATCCTTTGTATATAGTAACATGTTTACTCCTCACAACCACCTTATCAGATAGATACTATTATCATCACCCCCATTTTCCAGATCAGGGAACTGAGGCCCAGAGAAATGAAGTAACTTGCCCAAGATCACCCAGCTACCAAATGGCAGAACTAAGATTCCAATTCAGGCAGCCTGATTCTAAGGCCTGTGGCTCTTAACCCCAATGGATGGTGAAGCATGAGGATGTGATAGACCCTGCTTGGGGTCTAGGAATGCTTCTCAGAGGATAGAAGGCTTGAACTAGGTCTTTTTTTTTTTTTTTTTTTTTTTTTTTTTTTAAGACAGAGTCTTGCTCTGTTGCTCAGGCTGGAGGGCAGTGGTGTGATCTCAGCTCACTGCAACCTCCGCCTCCTGGGTTCAAGCGATTCTCCTGCCTCAGCCTCCTGAGTAGCTGGGATTACAGGTGCATGCTGCCATGCCCAGTTCATTTTTGTATTTTTAGTAGAGAACAGGTTTCACCACGTTTCCCAGACTGGTCTCAAACGCCTGACCTCAGGTGATCCACCTGCTTCGGCCTCCCAAAATGCTGGGATTACAGGCGTGAGCCACGGCGCCCGGCGCTGAACTAGGTCTTGACTGATGAGTTGGAGTTTGCTAGGTGGGCAAGGAGAGAAAGAGCATTCTAGGCGGCAAGAACAGCATGTGCAAAAGCACCGAAAGGAGGCTCAGCATGGGAGGCAGTGAGTAACGCGCTTCTTCACCAAAACATGGGGTTCGTGCGGAGGATGGCAGGAAACAAGGTTGGATAGGCAGGCCTGATGCTTCATTCTGACAATCCTCGGCAAGTTGGGAAGTTCTTCCTATTGTCTGACTCCTACAGACAGCTTTGCATGCTGTGCTCAAGAACTATGATTTAAATCACGTTGTCATAATAATAGGCATAGCTAGCATCTCTCGTATGCCAAATGCTTTATATTGATTATCTTGTTTCTCCTTTACAATAACCACATGAACCAAGTACTATTATCCCATTTTTCAGATGAGCAAACAGAGGCTCGGAGATGCGAAGTAACTTGGCCCGAGAGAGACAGCTAGAAAGTGACAGAGCTAAGTTTCAAACCCAGGTCTGACACCAAGCCCAAACTCTTAATCGCTTGCTTGCTGTGTGCTGGTAGGCAATGGGGGAACTTTGGAGGAATTTTCAGCAGTGAATTGAATTTTAGAAAAAGAATTCTGGCAGAGTGTAGAGGTTGGATTGGAACAGGGTGAGACTGGAGGCAGAGAAGCCAGCCGTGAAACTGTTTCTCTTGTCCAGATGAAAGTTCCAGATGGAGAACGATGGGAGGAAAGGCCCTTCCTTATCCATGGGGATGAAAGAGAGGGCCTTTTGGAGCCCAAGGAATAATAATCATACTATAGGCAGGGCGCAGTGACTCATGCCTGCAGTCCCAGCACTTTGGGAGGCCAAGGCAGGGGGATCACCTGGGGCCAGGAGTTCAAGACCATCCTGGCCAACATGGTGAAACCCCGTCTCTACTGAAAATACAAAATTAGCCAGGCACGGTGGCGCATACCTGTAATCCCAGCCACTTGGGAGCCTGAGGCAGGGAAATCTCTTGAACTTGGGAGGCGGAAGTTGCAGTGATCTGAGATTGCGCCATTGCACGCCAGCCTGGATGACAGAGTGAGATTCCTTCTCAAAATAATAATAATCATAATCATCATCATCATCATCATCACCATACTATTAAGTGCCTACCATGTCCTCTGTAAGGAAGTTTTTTTTTTTTTTTGGACATGGAGTCTCGCTCTGTCGCCCAGGCTGGAGTGCAGTGGCGCAATCTCGGCTCACTGCAAGCTCCGCCTCCCAGGTTCACACCATTCTCCTGCCTCAGCCTCCCAAGTAGCTGGGACCACAGGCGCCCACCACCATGCCCGGCTAATTTTTTATATTTTTAGTAGAGACAGGGTTTCACCGTGTTAGCCAGGACGGTCTCGATCTCCTGACCTTGTGATCCACCCGCCTCAGCCTCCCAAAGTGCTGGGATTATAGGCATGAGCCACCACACCCGGCCAGGAAGTATTTTTTTTTAAATAAAATAAGATAAAAATAAGTGCTTACTCTGTGCCAGTGAGCCATTTCCAACTTGCACATGCTGCAAAGCAGATATTATTAGCCCCATTTAACAGATGAGAAAGCTGAGGCTCAGAGAAGTTGACCAACTTCAGAGCCAGGACTGGCCTAAAGCCCCAGCCTTTCCCTTCTACCACACTGCCATAAGGTGATTGGGCCATACATTAGAAGTCAGCTCTTCCCTCTCAACCTGGCTTAATATTCCCTGGGTACATATGGAGCTGGTCCTTATTTTGGCCCCAGCAAATGGCGTTGAGCTGAGGGAGGTAGAAAAGGGATGAGGGGGAGTGGAGAAGGGAAACTGGAGAGGAATGAGGTCTGGAGTTCGGAGGATCTATTGCTGACTATTCAGGAAGACGTAAAGGAAGGCACACAGGAAGATTAGTGGATTTAATTCTCTTAGCCCTTAAGAGGAGAAGACACCTCTGCCGGGCATGGTGGCTCACGTCTGTAATCCCGGCACTTTGGGAGGCCGAGGCAGGCGGATCACAAGGTCAATAGATCAAGATCATCCTGGCCAACATGGTGAAACCCCATCTCTACTAAAAATACAAAAATTAGCTGGGTGTGGTGGCCCATGCCTGTAGTCCCAGCTATCTGGGAGGCTGAAGCAGGAAGATCACTTGAACCTGGGAGTCGGAGGTTGCAGTGAGCCAAGATGGCACCACTGCACTCCAGCCTGGTGACAGAGCGAGACTTCATCTCAAAAAAAAAAAAAAAAAAAAAAGGAGAAGACACCTCATTCCTTTACTTCATTTCCTAACTTTTGGTAAATCCTTCCAGCTGTCTAACTCCTATCCCTCCTAATAGAGTCACAAACCACCCCAGTTGCCAGTTTTAAGGAAGAGCTCCTATCCATGCTCCCTACCATGAGGGCATACTTCATCCTTTCTTGTGGAGTAGGAGGTAAGGAGATGGGGGAGTATTCCACCTACTTTTATTTTTTGAGATGAGGTTTTGTTGTGTTGCCCAGACTGGTCTGAAACTCCTGGGCACAAGTGATCCTCCCACCTCAGCCTACCAAGTAGCTGGGACACAGGCATCGTGCCAGCTCATCTACTTACTTTTATATCAATTAATACCCAGAGGAAGCTAGGTTCCCAGAGTATTCCACCAAAAAGGAGGAAATGACCAACTCTTGCCCCAGTAGAGAGAAGACAGAGAATGCTTGGCACCAGGTGGGTCTCATCGCCTGCCCCTCAAGAATGGTTGCCACTTTTGAGATCCTTGATCCCCATACCTTTATTATTGAGTCCATTCATCTACTCGCTCCACATTTATTTATTGGGCACCTAATATGTACCTGGTCTTGTCCTAGGTGCAGGGAGTGCTACTAAAAACAACCCCCAACCCCAACCAAGGAGCTTGTGTATGAAGTGGGGGGAGATAGACAATGAACATAATAAATGTGTAGAATACATAGTGTGTTAGATGGTGAAACATATACGAAAAAAGAAAAAACCAAGGAAGGTGGGCCAGGTGTTGTGGCTAACACCTGTAATCCCAGCACTTTGGGAGGGGGCTGAGGGGGGCAAATCACTTGAGGTCAGGAGTTCTAGACCAGCCTGGGCTAAGATGGTGAAACCTATTTCTACTAAAAATACAAAAAAAAAAAAAAGCTGGATGTGGTGGTGGTGCATGCCTGTAGTCCCAGCTACACAGGACGCTGAGGCAGGAGACTCACTTGAACCCGGAGAGGTGGAGGTTGCAGGGAGTGGAGATAACACCCCTCCACTGCAGCCTGGGCAATAGCGCAAGACTCTGTCTCCAAAAAAAAAAAAAAAAAAAAAAAGGAAGAAAGGAAAAGCAGTACAGTTTTGAATGGGGCAGCCAGGAAAAGACTCTTAGAGAAGGTGCTATTTTAGTATGGATCTGAAAGAGGTCAGATATCTGGGGAAGAACTTTCCTATCAAAAAGAACAGCCAGTGCAAAGACCCCGAGGCAATAGCTTTCCCAGAGTGTCTGGAAGAGGGAATGAGCAAGGGGAAGATTGAAGGAGTTGAGTCCAGAGAACCCTAGGGTCAGACTGTCTAGGGCCTTCAGGTTTTCATTCTGAATGAAAAGGTACACCACTTGAGGGCTCAGAGTTCTAGGCAGAGGAGTGACATCATCTGACTTAGTATTTAAAAATCATTCCAGTTGCCTAGGGCTGAGGTATTGGAAGGCAGGTGGAGAGAGACTGCTAATGGGATGGGCTTCTTATTAGAGTGCTGAAAATGCTCAGAATTGGCCAGTTGTGGTGGCGCACACCTGTAATCCCAGCACTTTGGGAGGCTGAGGCAGGTGAATCACTTGAGGTCAGGAGTTTGAGACGAGCCTGGCCAACATGGCAAAACACCATCTCTACTAAAAATACAAAAGTTAGCTGGGTGTTGTGGTGCACATTTATAATTCCAGCTACTTGGAGGCTGAACCTGGGAGGCAGAGGTTGCAGTGAGCTGAGGTCATGCCACTGCACTCCAGTCTGGGTGACAGAGTGAGACTCTGTCTCAAAAAAAAAAAAAAAAAAACCAAAAAAAAAAAAAACTCCAGGGCTTGGTGGCTCACACCTGTAATCCCAGCACTTTGGGAGGCTGAGGCAGGCGGATCACAAGGTCCTGAGTTCAAGACCGGCCTGGCCAATGTGGTGAAACCCTGTCTCTACTAAAAATACAAAAATTAGCCAGGCGTGATGGTGGGCGCCTGTAGTCCCAGCTACTCGGGAGGCTGAGGCAGGAGAATTGCTTGAACCCAGGAGGCAGAGGTTGTAGTAAGCCGAGATTGTGCCACTGAACTCCAGCCTTGGTGACAGAGTGAGACTCTGTCTCAAAAAAAACAAAAAAAAAGGAAAAGTGTTCAAAATTGTGTGGTGATGGCTGTGCAAATTTATAAATACACTAAAAATCATTGTATTATACACTTTATTTTTTATTTACGTATTTATTTACTTGTTTGTTTATTATTATTATTATTTTTGAGATGGAGTTTCGCTCTTGTTGCCCAGGCTGGAGTGCATTGGCGTGATCTCGGCTCACCGTAACCTCGGCCTCCCAGGTTCAAGCGATTCTCCTGCCTTAGCCTCCCGAGTAGCTGGGATTACAGGCATGCGCCATCACGCCCGGCTAATTTTGTGTTTTCAGTAGAGACGGGGTTTCTCCATGTTGGTCAGGCTGTTCTCAAACTCCCGACCTCAGGTGATCTGACCGCCTCGGCCTTCCAAAGTGCTGGGATTACAGGTGTGAGCCACCATGCCTGGCCTACATATTTATTTTTTTGAGACAAACTCTTTGTCACCCAGGAGGGAGTGCAGTGACATGATCATGGCTCACTGCAGCCTTCAACTTCTGGGTTCAAGCCATCCTCCCGCCTTAGCCTCCTGGGAAGCTGGGACTATAGGCATGCACTGTCAGGTCTGCCTAATTTTTAAGTTTTTTGTACAGACAAGGTATCACCGTGTTGCCCAGGTTGGTCTTGAACTCCTGGCCTCAAGTGATAATTCTGCCTCAACCTCCCAAAGCACTGGGATTACAGGCAAGAGCCATCACTCCTGGCCTGTTGTATACTTTATTTATTTTTTATTATTTGTTATTTTTAAGATGGAGTCTCTCTGTCACCAAGGTTGGAGTGCAGTGGTGCAATCTCAGCTCACTGCAATCACCACCTCCCAGGCTCAAGTGATTCTTGTGCCTCACCCTCCCAAGTAGCTGAGACTACAAGTGCCTGCCACCACAACTGGCTAGATTTTGTATTTTTAGTAGGGATGGAGTTTCACCATGTTGGCAAGGCTGGTCTTGAACGCCTGACCTCAGGTGATCTGCCCACCTTGGCCTCCCAAAGTGCTGGGATTACAGGCAGGAGCTGTCGTGCCTGGCCCTGTTGTACACTTTATTTTTTAAATTTATTTTTTATTTTTTGAGATGGAATCTTGCTCTGTTACCCAGGCTGGAATGCAGTGGTGCAATCTTGGCTCACTGCAACCTCTGCCTGCCAAGTTCAAGTGATCCTCTCACCTCAGCCTCCCAAGTAGCTAGGATTTAAAGGCGTGCACCACCACACCTGGCTAATTTTTTTATATTTTTAGTAGAGATGGGATTTCACTGGGTTGGTCAGGCTGGTCTCGAACTCCTGATCTCAAGTGATCCATCCACCTTGGTCTCCCAAAGTGCTGGGATTACAGGTGTGATCCACCGCGCCCAGCCTGTCGTACATATTAAATGGGTGACTTATATCTCAACAAAGCTGTTCTGTTTTTTAAAAAGTCACTCTGACTGTTGCACTGAGAATAGACTATAGACAGGAGTGGATCAAGGGCAGAAACTGGTCATCCAGGAGAGAGGGAAGGCAGTGGGTAGCAGTGGAGGGACAAATGCGCTGATTCTGGATTTATTTTGAAGGCAGAGCAGACAAATTCCCTGATGAATCAGATGTGGGATATATAAGAACATAAACTAGAATAGTTGAAGAACTGGAGTTCTGGAAAGGAGGAAGGGCTGGCCTGAAGGCATGGGCCTTCAAGGGCAGCGCTGAGATTGCCCTTAGAATTTAGGTTCTAAGACCCTGGCTTTTTATTTTTTACTGATTGATTGATTGATTGCTTGATTGATTGATTTAGAGATGGGGTCTTGCTCTGTTGCCCAGGCTTGAGTGCAGTGGTGCAGTCTTGGCTCATTCAACCTCTGTGTCCCGGGTTCAAGCGATTCTCCTGCCTCAGCCTCCGAGTAGCTGGAATTACAGGTGTGTGCCACTAGGCCTGGCTAATTTTTTTTGTATTTTTAGTAGAGACTGGGTTTCACCATGTTGGCCAGGCTGGTCTTGAACTCCTGACCTGAAGTGATCCACCTGCCTCGGCCTCCCAAAGTTCTGGGATTACAGGTGTGAGCCACGGTGCCCGACTGACCCTGGCTTTTTAATATGAATTTTAACCCTATTATATTTCAGAACATCTCTGAGCATCAGTTTCCTCAGCTTGTACTCAATCAGCTGCAGAGACTGATGGGGACAGACCTGACTCCTATAAGGTGCTTGTGGAGCATTCACTCCATTCCTATCCTCTTCTTTTCTGGCCTTCTAACTGAGACTGCTCTGAACCAGGGGCCCAGGAAAGAATGAGGGGGAGGAATATGGCAGAACTTAGGTCCCAAAGGGAGTACTGGGCAGGGGGCTTGGGCATTGTTCCTAGTTATCTGATTCCTGCAGTGGGGAAAGAAGTGGAGGACATTGCCCATCGCCCTTGAGCCTGACCCATCCATGGTCACCCTGGCTCCTGTGCCTCCACCTTCCCTGGGGGCAGAAGGACTAGTGCCTTACACATTTGGGGTTGGCAGAAGATTATCTTGGAGCCAGTTCTCTTCAACCTAGTGGGAGATTCTAGGAAGGCATTAATTACCACCTTCCTGCTGATGCTCGGTTAATGCGATGATTCAAAAGGTGTATTTTTCAATTACATTTAATGAAAAGATTTATAGTCAAGTAAAACATAATTAGGAGGCTGCCAGCAGACTGGTCTCCTGAGAGGAAGAAAGGTGGGACCAAGTCCTAATGAGGCAGGTTGGAGCCCAGGCCAGAGGACCTACTTATCCTTCCCTACCCCTCTTCAAAGATGCCGAAGCATTCATCAATTCCGACATTCAACCCACATTTATAAGTACTTATTCCATGCTGGGCCCAGAGTGTACAATGGAAACAGAATAAACACTATGATCCCTGCCCTCAGAGAGCTTACACACGAGGAGAGGGGGCCAACCAAAAAAACAAAAAAACAAAAACAGCTGACAGTTTAACAAAGTGCTGCAAGTGCTGCAAAGAAAATAACAGGATGCTGAACTAGAGAATACCTGGGGGATCTGCCTTGGGCAAAGAGATCAGACAGTGTTTCGGGGTGAAGGGGCAAGCTGAGATTGGAAAGATAGAAATGAGTCAGCCAACCCAAGAGCGGGAGGTAGTTGAGGGAATTGGTTCTCAGAAAGCAGCCCAGGTGGATCATCTGAGGTCAGGAGTTCAAGACCAGCCTGGCCAATATGGTGAAACTCCGACACTACTAAAAATACACTAATTAGCCGGGCATGGTGCAGGTGCCTGTAATCCCAGCTACTCAGGAGGTTGAGGCAGGAGAATTACTTGAATCCGGGAGGCGGAGATCGCAGTGAGCCGAGATCACACCACTGCACTCCAGCCTGGGCAAAACAGAACTAGACTCTGTCAAAAAAAAAAAAAAAAAAAAGCAGCTCAGGTCCTAGGATGGGGCTCTTAGTGTTTGCAAAATGGAAGGAAAAGCCAGTGAGGCTGGTGCAAGGAGAGGGAGCAGGAGAGACAGAAAAGGACACCAGGAAGGGAGGCAGGGACCATGATTACAATCAGGTTTGAATTCTTTCATCACCCCAAGAAGCAACTATACCCATTCAAAATTACTCCCCATTTTCCTCCACACCCCCAAGCTTTAGGCAACCAGAGTTATTTTATTCTATATGCTAAGGACTGGGGGTTTTAAGCCAGGGAGTAAAATGACCCAGCCTATATTTTTAAAAGATTGCCTCAGGCCAGGTGCGGTGGCTCACGCCCGTAATCTTAGCACTTTGAGAGGCCAAGGCGGGCAGATCACGAGGTCAGGAGTTCGAGACCAGCCTGGCCAACATGGTGAAACCCCATCTCTACCAAAAAAAAATACAAAAACCAGCCGGGTGTGGTGGCGGGCGCCTGTAGTTCCAGCTACTCAGGAGGCTGAGGCAGGAGAATCGCTTGAACCTGGGAGGTGGAGGTTGCAGTGAGCCGAGATCGCGCCACTGCACTCCAGCTTGGGTGACAGAGTGAGACTCCAGCTCAAAAATAAATAAGTAAAAATAAAAAAGGTTACCCCAGCTGCTATGGGAGAATAGATCAGAGAGAGGCAAGGTGAAAGACTGGAGCAGAGACTCAGGGAAGAGGTGATGTGACCTGGCTTGGGGGGAAACACTGAGGAAGAAGAGAAGAGCCTGGATTTGAGATGCACTTTGGAGCAAGATGCAGTGATTCTTAGTGAGAGTCTATGTGGAGCGTGAGGGACAAGGTGAGCTTAAAGGTGACTCGGGTTTCTGTCTTGAACTGGGTGCTGCCATTTATTGAAGTGGGGAAGCCAAGAGGAGAAGCATATGGAAAGACATGTGGATAAAGAATTCAGATTTGGCCAGCCTAGGCAACATAGTGAGACCTCATCTCAAAAAAAAAAAAAAATTTGCCAGGCATGGTGGCCCACGCCTGTGGTCCCAGCTACTTGGGAGTCTGAGGTGGGAGGGTCACTTGAGCCCAGGAGGTTGAGGCTGCAGTGAGCTGTTATAGCACCACTGTACCCCAGCTTGGGTGACAGAGTGAGACCCTGTCTCAAAAACAACAACAACAACAACAAAGAAAATCCAAATGCCCATCAGTGATAGACTGGATAAAGAAAATGTGGTACATATACACCATGGAATACTAGGCAGCCATAAAAAGAATGAGATCATGTGTTTTGCAGGGACATGGGTGAAGCTAGAAGCCATTATTCTCCACAAACTAATGCAGGAACAGAAAACCAAACACTGCATGCTCTCACTTGTAAGTGGGAGCTGAATGCTGGGATCACATGGACACGGGGAGGGGAACAACACACACTAAGGCCTGTCAGAGGGTGGGGTGGGGGAGGGAGAGTATTAGGAAGGATGACTAATGCATTCTGGGCTTAATATCTAGGTGATGGGTTGATAGGTGCAGTAAACCACTATGGCACACGTTTACCTATGTAACAAACCTGCACATCCTGCACAGGTACCCCAGAACTAAAAACAATAAAGGGTTCATGTGAGGCTTCCCTGGCCCTGAGGGATGGAGGCCTGGATGCCCACACCAAGGGAGTCTCCTCTCACCACCACACTCTATTGCTTCCTGGCTTGTCCTTTAGCGTTTTTTTGTTGTTGTTGTTTTGTTGTTGTTTTGTTTTTAATTTGAGACAGGGTCTCGCTCTATCGCCCAGGCTGGAGTGCAGTGATGCGATCTCGGCACACTGCAGTCTCCACCTCCCAGGTTCAAGTGATTCTCATGTCTCAGCCTCCCAGGTAGATGGGATTATAGGCGTGCACCACCACGCCCAGCTAATTTTTGTATTTTTAGTGGAGACAGGGTTTCACCACGTTGGCCAGGTTGGTCTCGAACTCCTGACCTCAGATGATCCGCCTGCCTCGGCCTCCCAAAGTGCTGACATTATAGGCTCGAGCCACCATGCCCGGCCTGTCCTTTAGCTTTTTTACATGTCTAACTTCCATTCTTCCTGCTATTCTTGGAAATGCATCTCTCTAGTTTGGAGAGGGAATTTTGGAGAGAGAATTCTGTCATTCTCAGTTCCCTTTAACTGTCTAAGTTCCTGAAATTCTACCACAAAATTCATACTATACTCGTATTCATTGAGTACCCACTATGGGTCAGATACTATGCTAGAAGCGTTGGCTACATTATTTCGTTAAATCTTGCTGACCACTCTTTCCACAGTATTAATAATACAATAATAATAACAGTAGTAATAAAACAATAATAGTGACCACTTAATGAAAACTCACTTGAACTAAGTGCTTTACATTAATTGTCATTTTAAAATCTCATTGGGAAATAACCTACCCAGGGTCAAATAGCCAGTTAGGAATGGGATGAGAAACCTGGACTTCTCTCCAGTACACCAGACTCTCTTGGGGGATGAGGACTTTGGCTGCATGGGTGGAGGAAGGGCAGAGGCATTGTGATGCCTTTCTCTTCCTTCTCATTTATTCTTTCAAATGGAGCACAGAGGCAGCAATATCTTTCCAGACTTCCTTGGGTGCAGAGGGCAGGCACCCCTGATGACAACTCCAGGGCCTGCCCTTTGCTGGGGAAATGTGACCATTTCTTGGGGAGGGCACAGCTCTCACAAGACTTACCAGACCCTTAGAGCAGTTGCCTGGTGTCATAGGAGGTAGGTTCCCATCTGTGTAGTGCAGGATCCTGCTCTGTGATACAAAAGGCTGATTCTTGTATTCATCCTCTGAGGATGGCTTTGGTGTTTGTGCAGGTGCATTTACCCTTCTGTATATGTGTGTGTGCATTTGTGTAATAATTGGTGTGCAAAGGACCAGGTGATTTGCACACATGCATGCAAGTCAGAACAGCCTGGATTCTGTGCATTTCTCTCAGGATATGTGTGTGTGAAGGGATGATTATCTGGTTGTCTGGGGCCTCAGAAAGGCAGGTAACTTGTAAATTTCCTCAAGCATGTGCTGGTGGGTGGAGTTCCCACAGGATGGAAAAAGGGGCTGGCCCCAGAGTTGAGTTCTGAGCTCAGCTCTCCACCTCTTCCTGCCCGTCTCCAGCTCGCTGCCTCCCCCTACTTTTCCCCAAGCTGGGCAGAATGCCCTCAGCCTGTGCCGGCTGGCACACATGCCACATGGTGCCTGGCGCGCGTCTGGGCAAGGATGACGCCCCCAGGACCGGCTGGGATACCAAGCCACCCGCTGCCTCCCCCACCTCCAGAACGGAGCGTCCCCATCCCATCCCCTTTCCCAGCCAGGGACTCGGGGAGCAGGCAGGGACACAGCACAGACAGATACAAACACACAGATGCACCCAGAGACGCCCACAGGCGTGTGCCCCAGAGGGACACAGACACAGGCGTTCACACAGGCTCGGGTACACACACGCACGCTCACACCCCCCCAGAGAAATTTATGAGTGGTCACCACTTGCACGGATCCAGACAGAACCTGACCCGCCTAGGACATTTAGGCAAATCCACCTGGTGTCTCTGTCCGTGGTGCTGAAACAAGAATGTTTGAACGTCCTCCCTATGGAAGCACTAACAGGAAGTAGAAGGGAGAAAAAGACCTGGGAATGGGTGGTGGACAAAAAAGAAGCAATGGAGGAGAAAGAAGAGAGGGGAGAGAGAAATCTGGTGGTAAGGGAGATAGAATGTAAAGGATTCCAGGAGGACCAAGGACTGTCTGAACCCTGGGACTAGGAGAGGAAGAAGAGGATGGAAGATGATCTCAGCCCCATCCCTGTCCCCTGAATGTGTGGCTCCTGTGGCCTCCAGTTACTCCTTCCATATGCCACCTTGCCCTAGATGACCTGAAAATAGTAGGGAAAGGAGATGGACCTGGGAAAGCCCTATAGTGGACCTGCAGATAGCTCCCTACCTGATTACTTATCTCAATTTGTGTTGGGCAAGTGGACAACACTGTTGATCTGGATTTGTTCTGGGGATTGCAGGGATTTAGTGACTGCTTAATGCTTATCCATCAGATTGGATTATGGGTTCCTTTTGCTGTCTCCTGAGGAAAAAACAACAACAACAACAACAACAAAAAAAAAAAAAAAAAAAAAAAAAAAAACTTCCCTTCAGAGAGATTGCATCCCTAATAGGGATGGCTCTCCCATCAGCAGCCCCTTAGTTGTGGAATTTATGTAACATGAGGAATGCCCACTCTTCTGGTGGGGAGACATCTTCAAGGACTGAAGGGGTTATCATATAACTAGGTGGAAGGGGATAAGGGAAGACGGGAGAGAGAAAAAAGAGAAAAGAGAAGGAGAAAGAATGTGTGTGATGGATGAGAGGATGAAAGAAGGAAGGAAAGAGGGAGGAAGAGGGTGGAGATGCAGATGGCAAGAGTAAGGCAGGGCTTGAGTGAACCAGACAGACTCCTGTGTCCAGGGAAGGGGCAGGGAAAGTGTGCCAGTTGGAGCAAATTGCTCCCCTCAAGTGTCCCAGGGGCCCAGATAAGACTGGAATTCCAGCCTAGTCCTGCAGCTGTTCACAGTGGCATTCTTCACCCAGAGCTTTGGGCAAAAAGACCCTGTGGGCCAGGACTACCGATGTGAGGAGCAGCTGCTCTGGCGAGGAAGGTGAGGTCAGATGCAGTCAAGTGCATGTGTGGTTTCCTCATGGGTGGGGTGAGGACAGTGGGTGTCTCCTGGGGTGTTTCCACCTATTCATATGTAAGCAGTGGCAGGAGGCAGATGCCACATGCTTGGGTAGGCCCTGGAGAGTGGGTACTGGGTTAATTGAGGATGAGGAGCAGGCAGAGGAAAAGGAAGAAGAGAGCAGAGGGAGAGGAGTAAGTAGGAAGAAAAGGATATTGGATCGTCTTCTAGAAAGTTCTGGACCTTCTGTTATTCTCTTTTCTTCCTACAATTTGAGAAAAAGGCCTAGGCTCAGCTGGGTATGGTGGCTCATGCCTGTAATCCTAGCACTTTGGGAGGCTGAGGCGGGTGGATCACTTGACTCTAGGAGTTTGAGACCAGCCTGGGCAACATGGCGAGACTCCATTTCTACAAAAATATAAAAAACTATCTGGGTGTGGTGGTGCATGCCTATAGTCCCAGCTACTCGCGAGGCTGAGGTGGGATGATTGCTTGAGCCTGGGAGGTGGAGGTTGCAGTGAGCCAAGATCTCACCACTGCACTCCAGCCTGGGTGACAGAACAAGATCCTGTCTCAAAGAAAAAGAAAGAAAAAGAGGAAGAAGGCCTAGGCTGCCAGCTGGGCACATCTACCTCAGTGTCTTTGTCTGTGGTATAAGTATAATGACAGTCCCAAGCTCATAGGGTTGTTGAGAGGATTATCAACTCATGTATAACGCTGAGTCAATTACTAACATATCACAAGCTCCAAGTGTATGTTACCTTCCATATTGTTGTTGTTGTTACATCTTGGTTTTGCACTGGATCATTGGGGATTTCTTTTTTTTTTTTTTTCTTTTTTTGAAACAGAGTTTTGCTCTTGTTGCCCAGGCTGGAGTGCAATGGCATGATGTTGGCTCACCACAACTTCTGCCTCCCAGGTTCAAGCAATTCTCCTGCCTCAGCCTCCCAAGTAGCTGGGATTACAGGCATGCACCACCACACTCGGCTAATTTTGTATTTTTAGTAGAGATGGGGTTTCTCCATGTTGGTCAGGCTGGTCTCGAACCCCTGACCTCAGTTGATCTGCTCACCTCGGCCTCCCAAAGTGCTGGGATTACAGGCATGAGCCACCGCACCCGGCCCAGTTCAGGAATTCTTCACGCATAACTAGACCTTCTTGCTATGCCCTTAGGTTCAACACTTTTAGGTCTTCCTTTGCACACATGGAGGACTGTGATTTCTTAGATCTTCAAATTTACTCCTGAAGAGAGGCAGCCAAGAGGTTTTCTGGAATGCAAAGCGAATACCCCATGATAAGAAAAGTCTAGGGTACAGGTCACTGAGTTTTCCCACCAGAGGCTGTCACGGAGGTTTTCCTGGATTCCTGAAGAAATTGGACCCTGGACCTACATCAGTGCCTCCCTATCCAGCCTGGAGCCTCAGCCATCTGCCCCATGCAGTGCTCCTGTCCGGGCCCCACCCAAGCCTGTGTGGGTTTGGGTCATTTCTTCCAGACTCCTCTTCCAATCCCAATTCCTTCTCTTCATTCACTTTCTTCAACTCACCCTCTGCTCCTTTCTTGTCCCTTTTCTTATTCTCAGGAATCTAGTTGGAAGGAAAGGAATTCCCTCACTACTTAGAGTGGGATTCCCCCACCCTGCATGGGCAGAATGGATGGTCTCCTGCTGGAGGTCAAAGAAGCATGTGGAGACTGGCCTAGGAGGGGCGAGGGGTGGCAGGGCAGTCCCCATGTCCCCCTATTCTCCCCAGCTCCTGTCTCATCACTGTCACCATTCAATCATAGCAGATGGGCTGCAGCTGTGAGCGCCAGCCCGGCACACAGGCTGGTCCGTGCCACTTGGGAGAGAAGGAAGAGAAAGGGAGGGAGGGAAGGAGGAGGGATGAAGGGAGGAGGGAGAGAGGAAAGGGAAGAAGAGGAGGAGGAGGAAAGGAAAGAGAGTGGAGGAGGAGAGAGATGGCTTGGAAAGAAAGGAGACTTAGTGCCTTTTATGCCTCTCTCTTCCCAGCAGAAGAGCAGAGGCCAGGGCTGGGCTCACAAGCTGGGCAGTGCCAGGCAAGATGGGCATATGCCCTTGATTACTACCAGGACCGCAGGCCAAGCCTCCACAGCCTCCACGGCCTCATAAATCAGTTTTTAAGTAGCAACCACATGGACATTTCCCAGCCGAGAGGCCTGGCCTCTGTTGGTGCAGCTAGGGCAGCCCTGGTGGAGGGGCAGGTGCCAGGCCAGGGCACCAAAGAGAGAGGGGTGGTCATTGAGGTTTGGCGGGAAGTGAGGCTGGAGCTTCTTCAAGTAAAACCTGGGGCAGGGGCTCCTGCCAATAGAGACTAGGTAAGAAAGTGGCAAGTGGCTGGCAGTGGGTCCAGGACTCCCTGCTGGGTCCCCCAGACCCTGTGCTGGATTTCCCCGGTGAAGCTGCTTACAGAGGAGGGGGAGCGTGTTGCTACTGGAACTCCTTCCCTCCAGCTCCCACCCCTCTATAAGAACAAAGAGTCAGGGTGAGTGTGAGGGCAATGTGTGCGCCTATGCACTTGGGTATCCGAATGTGCGCACCAGGCCTTGAGGGGCAGGAAGGTGTTTCCTGATACCCAGCCCAGGCCTGGCACAGACAGGGCACCCAATAAAGTTGCTTGAATGAATAAGTGATGGAGTGGGAAAGGGGCCAGTTATGCAGACTTGCGTGCGTTCACAGGAATTGGAGATTTCTATCCGAGTGTGTCCTGACTGGAGTCTGTGTGTATGTGTGTATGTGGGGGTGTCTGTGGGTGCTCTGGTATGTGGGAGGGGGTGGGGAAGCAGGAGGTGAGGGAGCTGGCGAAGGGGATCTATTTCAGCCAACGTCCCTCCACATCCTCCCTTTCAGGACGTCTTCCCTACACAGCCCTCCCCAGAGCCACGATTCTCCCCTTCTAAGAATCCATCAGTGGGGCGGCAGCTCCCGCGCCCCCACCCCCTGCCCCTGCTGGATCCCGCGGTTGACGCCCTCCTCTCCTCCTCCCCGCACTGGCCGCGTAGGTGGCCTCGGGTGCGGAGGTCCCGGCCTGGCGCAATCAGTTGCAGAGCGGATGGGGCGGGGGCGCCCAGCCTTCTTGCGCGCGGTGTCTCCTCCCTGGGTGAACAGATGTCTCGGAATTTTAGATGTGCTCTCCGCCCCTCCTCGCAATAACTCCCCCCACCACCCCCGCAGCTGGCACCGGCTGTGGCGTGGCGCCCTCCTCCTCCCCCAACTCCCAATAGCAAAACCGGGTGATGGATCCGGGAGCACGGCTGGAGGCTTGGGCCAGGAGGCCCGGGAGGCCCGCGGCGTGGCAGTGGCGGCTCCCAGCGCGGAGGGAACCATTGGGCGCTGTTCGGACCTCTTCCCTTGTGTCCTTCCTTCCCTTCTCCCGCATCCACTCACTCCCATCTCTCCACTGTCTATGTCCTTCTCGACCTCTGCCCCACCCTACAGCCCATCCCAGCCACCGCGTCTACGAAGATCCTCTACACGGACCCTCACACTTCACGACAGAAACTCCTCCTGGCAACTTTGGAGGAATTCTTTCCTCTAGAGACCCCTTTTCCTGCATTCCTGAGCCGCCCCCCATCACCATCAACTGGCTGCCTGCCCTCAGTAGAAACCCCGAGTTAATCCGGAAAACGTGGGGGGAGGACGGGAGGGGAGTAGGGATTGAGATTAGGGAGGTGGAGAAGACCGGGTTGGCCCTGGCTGAGAGACACCCAAATTTTCTAATCACTGCTAATTAATGAATAATCCAATTCCACGGACCCCCAACTCAGGGAAGGGGGCGGGACCCACAGCGGGCAGGAGGGGGCCTTGGCAGGGCTTCGCAGTCGGGGTGGTGCCAGGAGCCCTCCCCCCCACCCGCCAGCATTCCGAGGTAACAGGCATTTGTTACCCAGCTCGTGCCAGGAGCGATTGGCAGGTTCGAGCAGCACAGTCATTCCGCACACAGATGTCCCTGCGTTCACTCTTCTGATATGAATTCTGTCAGCTCCGAATCCGAGAGAGACAAGCAGACAGCTACACAGACAGAGTCACAGACAGACACAGACACAGATAGAGCAATTGTCTGGAAGACGCAGAACTCTACAGATATTTTTCTTCCCTGAAAACATATTTTAAAAAAGAAAGAAAAATAAGAAAAGCTCCCATTAATTTGGGGGGACAGTCCCCGTGCCCCCGATGAATGCCCCCCTTCCTCTCCTCCTTGTGTTACCTGCCCAGACATTTCAGCGGCCCCAAGGGCCCCACAACATCATCACGGAGCTTCAAAGTTAAGTGGTGGCAGAGAGAAACTCTAAAGTCCGCGAGATCTGTCCCCTCACGCAGGACCCTTTTGTAGTTCTAGAAATCCAGTATCCCTGAGAGTTCTAGAACACCACCAAGGTGCAAGTTCCAGCATTCTAGAACCTCTGAAATTCAAAATTCCAGAACTCCCATGAATTGCAAATCGTGCTGAGTGCCCAGTTCTTATATTGCCCTCTTCGTGGGTGCGCGGGAAGTGGATGCTGTCCGGTGCCCCGAGCGGTTCGCACTGCATGCCTGGTCCTCACCGGCTGCCTCCAGAACCTTGGCCACCAGCCAAAAGTGCAGCCTGCCCTTTGATTTAGGAACACAGAAAGGTCAAGTCTCCCTGGCTACTGTCCCTTTCTGACGTTGCCTTCCAGAGCGGACCCCATTCCTGCTCCTGTCCCACCCTGGCCCTCCACGCCTGACCTGGCTGTCCTGCCTCTGCCCCTGCCAGCGGCTGTGGGAGTGAGCTGGTTGGTCACTGGGCATCTGTGAGCTGGCTGGGCATGAACAGCCCTGGGGTTTGGTTCTCCCTGGTCATCCCTACTTAGTGGACGAAGAAAAAGGGGGCAAAGAAACTGGTCACGACAGAGGAGGGGGCACAGAGGGGTTTGGGCTGTGGTTTGTGGGGTTGTGTTTTTTAATCTTTCCTACTTTCTTTTTTTAAAAGAAAAAGCCCCCATCCTGTGTCATCATTTTTATGGGATCTGCAATTCTGGCAAAAATCTGTCTTTAATTTAGCTGTCCATATAAAAATCCTCACTGTATAATAATGAACAGATGCCATGGAATTTAAGCTGGAGCCTCGGCTCCTCCCCGCCTTCCCCCCGCGCCTGGCACCGGGCACCGGGCACCGGCTGAGTGGCACAGACTGGCACCAACGCGCGAGGGTGGGCAGGGGGCGACCTGGGCTCAGCGCCAGGGCTCTGGGGTGGTGAAGGGGCGTCCGGGCGCTGGGGTTGGCCAGGAGGGAGCTTTTCCGTGGTGGTACCAGGGAGAAGTGTCTGCGGGATTTTTCTGTCTTTTTCTACAAGATTATCAGTAGTTAAGGATTTTGGTTTGGTTTTGCTTTGGCTCTTTGTGGTTCTTCCGATATATTTTTTAAAGCACCGCCCTCCATTCCATATAAACCCAAATGTTTTTGATATTTTAATTGAGTTGTTTTTAACCCTCCCCCTGCGCCGCGCCCCAGCCTCGGCCTGGGAGCCCGGCCGAGCGCGAGTTCGCTGCAAGCGGGATCCGCTCTGAGCCCGGCCGGCCGGCAGCCTCCGCGGTATTCCCGGCGCGGGCCCCTCCAGGGGCTCCCCTGCGGCTCCTGGGGGCAGGGGTACCCTGCTGCCCTCCAAGACTGAGGCTGGATGTGGCATCTGATTGGGAAGTGGGAGAGATGAAGGGAAGAGAGAAAGCCCCAGTGCCCTCACTCCCATTCTCGGGCTGTTCCCAAGGGAGAAGGAAAAAACTATGTGAGTCCGTTGTGCCCTCCTGCCTCCGCCTGCGGTCAAGAAAGGGGGCACCGGCTCAGGCTTGAGGGGTTGGTTCTGAGCCCCCCACCCCCACCCCTCGCTTTTAATGCGACTCTGGCGAGAACAGATGTCCCAAACCGGGCGAACTGCCCAGACCCCGCCCAGCTGTGCCCTTGGTGAAGACTTGGCTAAGAGTAGGAACTGGCATGCAGGTCCCCAAAGGGGTTCGGGGGTTCCCGCGACCCCTGTGGGACCTGACCTAGCAGCCTTGGCCTCCTGGCCAGCTCAGCCTCAGGCGGGAGGCGGAAGAGACCCGGAAAGACCCGTTCCTAATTCAATTAATTCCGAAAAGAGGAATGAGACGCAGACAGATACTGACAGAAGCTGGGAGAGAGGTTTAAATACCCGAACACCAGACACACACTCTGGTATGGAACTCCGCAGCCCCTGTCAGCGCGGGGAGACCTCGCTGCGCTCCCGCGCTGGAGAGGGCAGGAGAGTTGGCTGCGCTAGAGCCATACCCTGGCTCACATCTGGGCAGCGTCTCCACCCAACGCTGTGCCCCAGCTCCCTGGGCATGGCCGGCGCCTAGAGGTTCCCTCTTCTCCTCCCCTCGGAGCGCCCCAGCTTCCCTTCCCTGCCCTAGGGAACTAAGGTGACTCCGCTCCTCGCATCTCCCTCCTGAAATCCGTTGCCCTCCTTCCTGTGAACCCAGCCCCGGTCTTGGCCTTCTTCTCACGTCCACACTCCCAGGGCTGGCGCCCCTGTCCCAGTGCTTTAGGTTGGAGAAAGTTTCCAGAGCAGAACAGCCCTCCCAAGGCAGCTGCGCCCTTTCTTACCACTTCTCACCCAGGGAAACTTTGTCGAGAATTTTTAAAGCTGCAGGACAGAAAGGCAGAAGCTGCTTCAGGATTCAGAACCGGGGCAGGGTTTTAAGGTTTCTCACAGTTCAGGTGTCATTTCTGCTCTGGCCCCGTGGCCAGCGCCTGGGTATCCCAGCCCTGAAGGATGGAAAAATGACAGTGTCTTGGGCTGTGAGTTGGGGAGCCTGTTCTGACAGCAGAGGCCCATCTGCCCCTCCCACTTTTCGCAAAAAGCAGCATCCTCCTTTGAGCACACTGGAGCAGGTCAGATGCAGTCCCTCCGCGCTGCCCCTCTGTTGTCATGGAGGGGTTGGGAGGGTAGGTCAGGCTAAAGCTGCTCAGTCCTGGCGTCTGCCTTCTCTTTCTCCTCAGGTGCCTTAAGGACTAAACTGCAGAATCTAGAACCATACCTTAGTCTCAATCCCCCCTCAAATCAATGGCTCTCCTCAGAGCAGATGAATTCCTGTCAATGATTCTGGGGAAGAGGAGGAAGCAAAGGTTGCCAAGAGAGAACGAAATCTCTGACCTCTGCCCAGAAATTCTTGTATCCACCAGCTTGTGGACTTTCCCATGAAAGGGAAAAAGAGAAGCAGGCACAGCCCCGTGGAGCTTCCAGAGTATCAGGGTTTTCCTGCCACTGATCCTCCTGGGGGTCGGTGTCCCGCAGTGATTTATCGGGCTGTCTCCCCGAGTCACAAAATCAGGGCTGGGGGTTCACTGGGGGTCCATAGCTCACTGTCCGAGTCATGGCTGGAACGCAGCTCAACAATGAAGGGACAGGAATGGAGCTCAACAGTGAAGGGACAGGGAGTAACTGCTTTCCTTCCCTTTCCCGCCAGATGGGCAAATGGCCTGGACTCGGAGATACCTCTTTTTCTCTGTCATCTTCCAAATGCTGGACTTGGAATGGGGTCTGGAAAATCAAGAGGAAGATGTCCTCCTGATTGAACTTGGATCCAGCCGTCGGGTTCAGCGGCCCAGGGGTTGAGCTGAGCCGGCTGGTGGACGCTTGGAGAGCCTGCCGCTGAGGCTAGGGCAAGAAGGGCGTCCTCTCTGTGCCTTCTCCCCAGGCCAGGCACAGCGCTGGCCCCTTTCCTCCTCCCTCCCCTGCTTCTGTTCTTGGAGCATCTCTGGGTGTGTGTGCGCAGGCGGGAGAGCAAGCAAGAGAAAGAGACCTGCGAGGGGACGTTTGGGGCCGCTTGTCCGCGCACATCTTCTTCTCCTGCTCATCACACCATCTCGCCAGGGAAGTTGAGCACTGGGGAGGAGGGTGATGAGAGGCTAGAGCCAGCCAGAGTGCAGGGAATGTGGGGGGAAGGGTCAGAAATCGGGAAAGGGGCGACTGGTGTGGATGCCGGGATTCACCAGAAGCTGAGTCACTCGGGGGGATTTCTGTCCCAAAAGGGACCTGTGCACCCCCACCCAATGTGATCACAGCTCACAGAGGCCCAAAAGTCATCAGCATCTTTCTAAAAGGGCTGGAATCTGGCTTCAAAAACAGAATTGAGCCACGTAGGGTAGCTGAAGAACAATGCATAGAAAGAAGTCTGTGGTCTGGCCAGGAGAGCCACATGGAGGGGTCCTTTGCTTCAGGCCCCAAGCCACCTGGATCCCGCCCAGCTCTGGACTTCTGAGCGGGTTCTAGGAAACTGACTGAGTAGGGGAGAAGCCCAATTAACCTTGTTCTCAGGGCAGGATAAGAATCAGGCCTCGGGATAAGTGCCAAGTTCCTTTTCTCTGCAATTGCCCCTGCCAGGCCTTGCTCCACGCCATGAGTGCAGATCAGACTTTTGCAGGTTAGGATCTGGGGTATGTGCCTTGCTCTACACTCCCTGCAATAAGTGAGGGGGAAGGAAGATGGGCCAACTCCTTTCTTCCATGAATAGGAGTGATTCAGAGGTTTCTAAGATGCTGAAGACAGGGACACATCCGGGGGATGAAGGCCCTAGTCTGTGATCTCACTCTAGAGAGGCGATGCCGGGAGAATTCCAGAGAAGGCAGTGAAATTTTGAAAGAATGCTGGTAAATGTTCTGAAAACTGCTGGAGAATTCCAGTGCAGCATTGGAAAGGGCCTCCTGCTCCATGTTCCCCTGGGTCAGGCAAATGGACCTCCCTCTGCAGCCAGAAGAAAAGACACTAGACGAGGGTCAGCATGCCACAGTGGACAGCTCCTGGCCTTGGCGCCTCTGCCGACAGCTGTCCTGACCACCGGGAGGGTATTCTTTCTACTGGGGGACAGAAGAGGTTTGAGGACAGACATTTAGGGGATGCAATGAGCTCAAGTTCAGAGTATAATTTGATCCACCCTTCAATATATAGGACTTCCTTCTTCAACAATCTTTCCCTTTCCTGCTTGTCAGGGAGATATTATTTTGGGTTCTTGGACCCAATCTTTAAAAGCCTTTGCATGCCTGACCTTAATCCTCAACCCCAACACTACAAACCCCACTTCAGCCCTAAAATGAGTCACAGTGTTTGGAGAAATCATTTAAATGAGCAGCATCAGAAACAGCCTCTTTGGGGGACTCCTAAATGTGTTCAGGCTTTAGGATGGGAGTCTTTGGGGCTCAGAACCCTCTTCAAATATTCTAGGGCTACAGCATGCACTGAGGGCTGAGCAGGGGGAGTAGGAGGGACTCTATCAGGGAAGTCAGTTAAGAGCTGCCCCTGCCTCTCAGGTTCAGAGAAAAAAGAATTGTGAGGCCACATTGTCTGAGCAGGAGATGCTCACCCAGTGCCCTTCCTCCCTTCTAAGCCCTTAGGGTTCCCTCTGTTCAGAACTGTACCAGACAGGAAGAAATCAGCCCAGATTTGGACTGGGTGGGCGCCTGCTGCCCTGTCCCAGGGAGTACATGGTTAGGCTCCTCTCTACTGGGTGGGCGCCCAGACTCAGCCACCTCACAGACCTCTAGGGGTGTTCCTCCAACCTTGTCCACACCCCTAAACATGTCAACATTCCTGAGACCAAAATGGCCGATTCCCCTGAGTCCACCGAAATACAATTTTAAGATGAAAAAGGGGCCTCCCTCATTAATATTTCATCTTCATGACCTTATAATGTTTTGTTTTGTTTTGTTTTGTTTTGTTTAAAAATACCCCTGTCTGATTCAAATGGTTGTCTCTTTGTCTCTGCCCACTTGCTTTTTGCAACAGTGGGCAGAGAGTTGTAAAATGACTGGCTGTTCCCAACTTGATCATTTTTCAGTGATGAAAAGGTATTTTGTTTTCAAGGGAGGTGCCTGTGCATGTTCAGGAATGAAGAAGTGTAAGGATATCAGTGCTTTAGTGCTGGGAAGGTGCGAGCCTGGGTTGGGTCTGGGAGGGGTAGCTAGTATAGCCCAGTGGGTGTATGGGGGGTGGTTAGGGAGAGAATACTACCCAAGAATGTCCAGGGTCCCTCTGTTTGGCCTCTGCACAGTCACTTGACACTCTGCCTTCATCACCCCAGCCCCAGCTCAAACCTTCTCTCCCCCCTCAATGAAATGAGGCCACCGTGAGAAACCGGTCCGGCTTTGCATCTCATTTACATAAATATTTATTAATCGTCATTAAACTGAACAGAAACACGCAATGCACTTCGGGTGTCCGACGGGAGTTTCATCTTCGCTACAAGAGGAAGGTAAAATTGCGTGTGTGTGGGTGAGTGTGTGGGTGTGTCGCCTGTGGGATTGCATTTTTGCATCGTGTATTTGGATGCCTGATCCCCTGCCTCCGGTGGGCAGAGGGTCTCCTTTTGCCCCTTTTTGGGGGAACCTCCAGTAGGAGCCCTCAGACCTCTCCCCGCCCACCCACCAGCTAAAGCCAAGAGGACTCCTTGGACCAAAAAATACTCTCTCCAGACACCGGAAATCGCCAGGTGGCACCCACCGAGGCACAGTCCGGGCAGGGGTGGGGCTGCCCCCAGGTCTCCATCCCCACCCCTCACCCCAGGAGGGGACAGAATGGCCGCGGGGAGGAGGAGCCGGCGAGCTCACCTCCTTCTGCCCCCCGGACGCCGGCGCCGGGCCTGCTTGTGCGTGCGGTGTGGTGTGCGTGTGTCTTTCATGCAAACCCTCCCTCCCCAAACCGACCCCCCAACAGTTTGCCATTCCATACAAATTTGGAAACAGGTTTTTAAAAAACAGCATGACGCACAACGGGGACGGGGCGGGGGAGGGCAGTGGCACTGGGGCCCCAAATCTCCGAGTCACTGATTGTAAGAACCTGGGGAGGGGGAGGGGGCGGCGCGGGCCCCCACTTCACCAAAGTGCACAGATCCGCGCTCGGGCGGGGCGGCCCGCAGGCCGGGCGGGGCATCCCGGGGCCGGGCCGGGCCGCGAGGCTCAGTGGAGCCTCCTTGCATAGATATTTGTGTCTTTGATTATTGGTAGTAGTGGTTTTTTTTTGTTTGTTTTTTTGTTTTTTGTTTTTTTTGCCTTTTATTGCTTCTAAAAGTCCTTACTGCGTTTTCTCTCCGATCCGGACTCTGCGTTCGGCTTCCGTCGCCTCTTAGCTTTTTTTTTTTTTTTTTTTTTTTTTTTTTTTTTTTTTTTTGTATGTTTGTTTGTTTAAAAAAAGGAAAAGGGAAAAACGGATTCTAGTTACAAATTGTCTTGGCCTCTCTCTTTCCTCTCAATCCACTTCCCCTCCCGCCAAAATTAAAATCGCAAAACGCGGAGACTGGAGGTTGGGGGTGAGGGCGTTCCAGGCCCGGGCTCCGGCGCCCTAACTTCTACCCTCTTCAAGAAAGAGGGAGCGCCTGGCTCCTTTTTGCCTCGGCAGCTGGGTGTCTGTTTTTAAAATAATAATGAGAGGGGGAAACGCGTTCCATTGCTCAGCTGCCCCCTTACCAACGCCTTGGGCCTGCAGGGAGGAGGGGGAGGAGGAAACCTCAGCGAAGATATTGGGAATGGGGGAGGGGTGCCTCCAGGGAGCCCCCGGAGAGAGGTCCCTGGAGAAGCACTCCTTGGGAGAGAGGAGGAGGGAACCCCTTGGGGAGAGAGAAGGCGAGTCCCCTGGGGGAAGCGAGGCCCCTGGGACAGGCCACCCACAGGTAACAGGACTGCGCTGCCCCAGGAGAGCGGCAGGACCGGTGGCCCGCTCCCCGCGCCCGGCGCCGGGGTAGGATGGGGGTGTCCCTGCGCTCTGGGGGCTGGGGACAGGGGGGCGGGCAAAGGCAAAAGAAAAAGAAGGGAGCCGGCGCGAAGTCTCAGTTATGAAAAAACGCATTGAGCTCCTCGTACATGGGGCCCCGGTCGTGGTGAAGGTGCATATCGTAAGACAAGAGATTCTCCGAGTGGACGCCCCCGCGCACAGCCGACGAGCCGAAGACTAGCCCGTGGCCCGTGGGCCGCGAACCGGGCAGCGCCGAGTAGTGCATAGAGTAGTGGTAGCTTTTCTCGTGGTCGGGCGAGGAGTCCTGCTTGAGTGAGAAGTTGCCATTGAGACAGAGCGGGGGGCTGAGCGGGCCCTCGTACTCGGAGCTGTTGTAGTCCGGGCTCGCGCCGCCACCGCCTGCCGCCGCATACAGCGTCTCGTAGGCGGCGCAGTAGCCGTGGGTCCGCAGGGCGTGCGCCGCGCCGCCGCCCAGGCCGCCGGCCGCCTGGCACTGTGCGCCCGCCAGGCGCGAGCACGGGTACGGGTAGGGGTGCATGGCGAACGGGCCGCCCGAGCCGTGGAAGCGGCCGGCACCGTCGGCGCCTTGCTCCGTGAGGAAGTTGCGAGAGTTGAGCTGCAGACAGCCGGCCACCAGATTGGTGGTGGGCTGCGACAGACCCTTGCACAGAGTCTGCACGTAGGACACTAGGTCTGGCCGCTTGCCGGAGCGCAGGATCTCCGAGAGCGCCCAGATATAGTTCTTGGCTAGGCGCAGCGTCTCGATCTTGGACAGCTTCTGCGTCTTGGAGTAGCAGGGCACCACCTTGCGCAGGTTGTCCAGGGCTGCGTTCAGGTCGTGCATGCGGTTGCGCTCCCGCGCGTTCGCCTTCTGCCGCCGAAGCTTGGAGCGCTCCAAGCGCGCCTTGGTCATCTTGCGCTTCTTGGGCCCGCGCTTCTTGGGCCGCTCGCCCTCCGCCTCGTCCAGTCCTTCTTCCTCCTCCTCTTCCTCCTCCTCCTCTCCCCCCAGCTCGCCTTCCTCCTTGACCTCGGCCAACGTGGCCTCCGTCCCCTCTTCTCCACGGAGAGGGACTGGCTTGGCCGCCCGGGCTGGCCCCGGAGCCCCTGGCCCGGGCGCAGGCGGTGGCGGTGGCGGCGCGTCGCCCTTGTCGCTCCTCGGCTCGTCGTCTTCGCCGTCGCCCCAGCTGGCGAACTTGGGCACGTCCGAGAGAAGGCCGGGCTCGCTGAACAGGCGGGTCAGCATGGTGCCTGAGGGCGCCCCGCGGGCGGGAAGGGGAGACAGACAGCACAAAGTGAGGGGCGCGCTGGGGTACCGACGCCCCCCCACAACCCTCCTCCACCCCCGAGTCTCGTGCGGGCTCCTGCCTAGGCTACCCTGGATGCCCACCTCCGCCGCCTGCCCCGCCCAGAGCCGGCCCAGCCCTACCCGGCTGCCGGCCTGGGATCTCGGCCCAGGCCCTCTCCCCGGCGCTGGGCCCCGGCTCCGCCCCTCGCTTGAATGGGGGGCTGCTCCCCGCGCCTGCTTCTTCTCAGGGTCAGGGCAGGGACCGGGTGGGGGTTTTAGGGACCAGATATCTTTGCCAGGGGAGGCGGCGCGCTCGCCCTGAAAGCCCGTTCTCTCCTGGCGGTGGAGAGAGGCTGGTCGGCCGCCGGTGGGGACAGCTGCCCCGCTCCGCGCTCTCGCGGCCCGGGCCCCCCGGCCCAGCTCCCTCACCCCTCCCGTGGCTCTCACCCCCACGCTCCCTAATCCAATTTGCAACTTGGCTGCGCGCCGCCCCTTGCTCGGCCCCCACCCCCGCACCCCCAATTCCAGAGGCGGGAGGATCGTCTCCTCTAGCCGATGCGTCCCCAGCTCCCGGAGCCGGCTCTGGGCGGCGAGGACTGAAGCAGCGGGGCGTGGGGAGGAGACTGAGAGAAGCGAGCCCAGTCCGTCCCCTCTGCGGTCAGGGACCCCCTTCCCCCTTCAAGCTGACTCCCTCCCACAAGGCTCTTCAGATCTCGTTGTATTTTGGGATTGATGGGGGAAAAATCCAAATTTGTTTGTTTGCTTCCCTTTTTTCGGTGGTGGGGAAAGGTGGCAGGCTTTTTGGGACAACCATGGAGGGGTCCTCCGTCTCGGCCTCTTCGCATATCCCCCTCCGTGATCCTGCCTTCCCCCCCCACCGAGCCCATCGCAGGCAGAGACACCTCCTCTGCAGCCCCCTGGGCTGCAGCCCCTAAGGGAGAGAGAACCTGGGGCCCCTCCGATGCCCACCCAATGAGGGGGGCATCATCCCAGGAAGGAGGTATTTGAGGACCCTCCTGTCGGCCGAAGCTGCCGCCCCTCCTCCCAACCGGCGGGTCAGATCTCGCTCCCTTTCGGACAACTTACCTCGGAGAGGAGTCAAGGGGAGAGGGGAGGGGAGGGGGGGAGGGGGCAAGAGAGAGAGGGGGGAGAAGAGGGATCTTCTCGCTTATTTCATTGTTCCCCCATCTTCAGGGAGCGGGGGCAGCGGCTCCTCAAGGCGGCGGGCGCCGGCGTCTTCAGAGCGCCATGCGAACCGCGGAGCGAGTGTGGCATCTCTACCAGGCGGGGTACCAGCCTCTATGCCAGGCCATATGGGCTTGGCACGTCACGGGCAGCAGCTATCACATGAGAGACGGTGATTGGCATGCGTCTGCACTGGGGGAGAGCCGGCTCCCCCGGGACCCGCCGCCATCTGTCACTCTCTACTCCAAAAAAAAAAAAAAAAATTAAATAAATAAAGGAAATAAATAAATATTTCTGCCGCCCTCCCCTCCCCGCCCAACGCAGGGAAAGCAGGGATTGAGAGGAAGGTGGGAGGAGTTGCCCCCTGTATATAGAGACCCCCTCACGGGAACAATGGGGTGGCAAGGCTGGACACTGGGGGCTCGTGGTGGCCAATTCTATGCTCCCTCAGGGTCCCGCTCTGTCCATTTCCTCCCCTGCAGGCCCCCAAGGTGGGTCAGGGACCAGACCCCGGGTTGGGGAGAAAGGACCTCTGTGCTTGCCCCCACTCCCCAGGAGGGTCCCCTTGGCCACAAAGGGACAGCTGAGACCCCCTCCCAGGATGGCTGTAAGGGGCGTCCCTGGCCCGAGCCCCATAGGTAGATGTTGGCACCATGCCATCCCTCATCCCTGTCTGCCCCTCCCCCACCCACCCTCACGCACACACAACATATGTGGCTAAACGAAATTCAAACCAAGGGAAAGACAGAGAAAGGGAAAGATGTGCCTGGATGTCTGTGCCTCTGCATGGGCGTGTGTGTGTCTGTGGGGACATGTGTGTATCTGTGGAGTCAGCCGATGGGAGATCTTTCCTTGGTTGTTGGGGGCGTATCCATGTTAGGGTGGAGTGGGGAGGGGCCGCGAGATGAGCCTGTGCACCACCCATCTGGGGGTGGAGGGGAGGGTCTAAGTCTGGATTCCTAACCTAGAAACCTCTCACTCTCCTCCTCCCACTGCCAGACAGGTGACCAGTCCACCAGCGGCTTTCTCTCCTGGTCTTCAGACTTGGTTATTTGAGGGAGGAGGAGCAGGCAGTGCTGAGAACTGCCTAAGTTCCTGGATGAGACTCAAGCATTCTCCTCCCCTTCTGAAAAATCTGAAAATACTGAAGCCAACCCCAGTAATCCCAAGAGTGGCCAAGGGGAGGTAGGTCAGACAGCTGTCTTGATAAGGGAGGTAGGAAGTTGCTGTTTTATCTTGTGGCTCACCTTTCAACACTCTCATTGGGCCAGACACAGATACAAATGGCACAGGTTGAAGAGGTGGCTTTGGACACACACACACACACTCATGCACACACACATACACACACACACGGATGCATACACATGCACACATATACCTGTTCCTCACCCTGTGGTGTAGAAAAATAGATAACATACCCCTACTCAGATAGACACATGTATGTGAGCAGGTAATCACAGCCTGGTGTAGACAGACCCTTGCCCACACCCCATTTGGAGCATTTGTATGTTTTAGACCCACATTTCTGCCCCTCCAGACACTCTAGCTGACATATATACACAACTTCAATTATACTTTCAGCACACACATTTTGATGTCTACCATGTGCCAAGCACTGTGGTGGTACAAAAATGAGCACGGGGAGGCCTTTACCCTCAATCTGGGTGGGCAGGGCTCTCTCCCTCTAGGAGGCTCCCCAGGGACCTTGGGCTGGTAAGACACTGATCTGATGTTGGGTAGGTTGGATTAAGTTCTAAATAGAGACACACATCAGGAGGCCTTGGAGATAGGGGTGCTGGTGCTGCCTGGGACTCTTGAGTCACTTGGCTGGGAGTTGAAAGTAGCCTGAGAATGTACCTCTCCAACTCCTCATCTTACAGAGGCCCATGGAGGGAAACTGACCTGCCTAGGAACACACAGGGGAAACACAGAACTGGGCCTAGAATTCAGGCACTTGACCCACAGACCAGTACTCCACTTATAAGCCCACAATCTGCCTCAGTGGTCTCTAAAAATAAGCCTACCATGCTTCCCTTCATTCACGAATCCTGGGTCTGCAAGGCGAATCCCATCTCTGGCAGATAGTCGTGGTGGGGAGATTCTGGGCATGGCAGAGAAAGAGGCCAAAGGATGGGCTTCAGGTAGGGCAGAGACTCAGGAGTGCTGGCCAGCCTCCACCAAGTTTGGGCACAGCCTCCAAGGCTTTGCAATCCTTTTACTGAAGCAGGGTCCTCAATCCTGACTAGTAGCCTTTTTCCTGGAGTCTCCTGGCTCTGTGATATTTCAATTACATGCCCATGCTCTGGGCTTCTGATTCCTGGCCAACCCCATTACCAACTTAAAAAAATGTTGGTCCCAGCCAGGCATGGTGGCTCACGCCTGTAATCCCAGCACTTTGGGAGGCCGAGGCGGGTGGATCACGAGGTCAGGAGATTGAGATCATCTTGGCTAACACGGTGAAAACCCATCTCTACTAAAAATACAAAAAATTAGCAGGGCATGGTGGCGGGCGCCTGTAGTCCCAGCTACTCGGGAGGCTGAGGCAGGAGAATGGCGTGAACACGGGAGGCGGAGCTTGCAGTGAGCCGAGATCGCACCACTGCACTCCAGCCTGGGCGACAGAGTGAGACTCCGTCTCAAAAAAAAAAAAAAATGAGAGGCCCAGCATGGTAGCTCACACCTGTAATACCAGCAGTTTGGGAGGCTGAGGCCAGCAGATCCCTTCAGCTCACAAGTTCGAGACCAGCCTGGGCAGCATTGTGAAACCCTGCCTCTGCCTAAAAAACAAAAATTAGCCAGGCATGGCGGCGCATGCCTGTAGTTCCAGCTACTCGGGAGGCTGAGGTGAGAGGATCGCTTGAGACCGGGAGGCAGAGGTTGCAGAGAGCTGTGATCACGCCACTGCACTCCAGCCTGGGTGATAGAGCCAGACCTTGTCTCAAAAAAAAAAAAAAAGTGCTGAATGCTTTGAGCAAGTTATATAACATCTCTTGGTCTTGATTTCCTCATCTGTAAGATGGGATAAATTATGCTACACCTTCATAGGGTTGTTGTTAATACTAAATGGGATAATCCATTCCATGAATGAGCCTCCAATAAATGCCAACTCTTAATTAAAACACCTTGGGAACTGTAAAATGCTTTACAATATTAATTTTTTTTGCTCATACCCCTCCCCACACACATTCAGAATGCTTGGTCTATATAGAAATTGAATTTTTGTTGAATTGATGGGCGAGTGAATGGATGAATAAGTGAATAAATGCTTCCTTAGGGGAGAAAGTTTTCTCTCCCTGCCTTCTCCCTTGGACCCTGAGGGCTGGGTTAAACGCTTCAGGGGTCTCACAGGCAGGAGGCAAAAACTTGTTCAAGATAGGGGAGCCCTTGGTTGGGGGGTTCCTGCCACCCTTCCGGCCACCTGTCAGGAATGACCTCAACTCTCTGGGTCTGAGAAGCTCCCCTCAGTCACCCAGAGAAGGAGGTCTGAGGTTGGGGGTGTGCACCTGGGGACTTCATCCCTTTCGCTCTGTCTCCTGCCCCTGTCTTTTCTTCCTTCAGAAAAATGGAACAAGTTTTTCTCACTCGACACATTTCAACTTTTTTTTAGAAGATACAATAAAAACCAGGGGAAAATTGGAACAGAGGGAGGTGTGGGATGGGCCTGCTTCAGACATGGGCTTGAAAGAGGCACAACACGTGTGTTCACATACACACAAGCAAGCATGAACACGCAGGGACATACGCGCGCCTCTCTGTGCACCAGAGATGCAGAGATGCAGTGACGGAGAGACAGAAAGAGCCAGAAATGGAAGGAAGGAGACGGAAGGAGAAGGACACCCAGAGATGCCATCTGTTCCTCCCCCTGGCATTGGGGGAAGGGAGTTGGTGAGGGGCCTGGTCCCCTCCAGGTCTCTGAGAGAAAAAAGGGAGTGATGGGCACCTCAGCCAGGCCTGGAAGGCCCCCATTGCTGCTGCCCACTCCTCTTGGAAGGAGCTAGGAGCTGGGGGGCCTGAGGTTCCCATGGAGACATAGCCCCATCCCAAGGGAGGCCACAGTCTGGGCACCTAAAATGGCTGCCTCAGAGGGGTGGCAGCCATTTTGTACAGGCTCAGGTCCTGGGGGCAGGGGTGAGGGGGGCAGAGTGTGTGTGGAGGGGAGGTGGGAGGTCATACCTGAGCAGTCTGGGGGACTCTTGCTCAGGGGACAGGAAGAGTGTTCTAGAAACTGCTCTTGTTATACCCCCGCTCCACCAAAATACATACATAAATCTTTAACTGCTCCACTCCATTCTGACACCCAGAAAGACAGCTAGCCAGTCACCACCCCCTCAATAAGATTGGTGGGGGCAAATGTGCTGAAGGAGACTTCATTTCCCACCAAAGCTCCAGGCAGGGAGAGGGGCGGCAGGTGGATCAAACCCAGGTGTCCAGCCCCTGGCCTCAGCCACACATCTATCCACCTCCTGGGGCCTCTCTGGGCTGAGTGGGGCCAGCAGGTGAGAACCCAGCGAGCTTGGGAGCACGGGGAGGGAAGGGGCCACCTGTCTTCTCACCCCCCTCCTCAGATTTGAGGGGAAGGGCAGGAATTTGGAGATCCTTGAGGGACCTGTGTTCCTGCCATTAGCCGTGCTATGGGGGGAGGAGGAAAGGGAGGGGGCAGGCTGGCACTGCCCAGCAGTGTTCCAGCAGTTCAGGATGCTCGAAGATTCCTCCTAAAGCATCGGAGCACCTGCCACCTCCCTCCCCAGCCCCTGCCTCACATCAAGTCCAAAGGATGCTGGGGGAGGGGGACCTGCAGCTTCTTCCTGGCTCTGGGGTGGGCACCTGCCCCACTGCCCCCTCCTCCCCGCCCGCCGCAGTATGCCGGGGAGCGGCGGGCACGCCAGATGGCGTGGCTGAGAATGCGGCGACGTTGCCGGGAGGTGAGGGCTGGCACGGGTGATATGCGGCTGCGTGCCTTGTGGTGCCATGGGGGAGGGGAGGGCAGGGCCAGTGAGGTGTAGCCCCCTCCTCCGTGCTGACCTCCTGTCCTGACCTCCACTCACCGCCAGGATTCTCTTCAACTTCCTCCGCCTGCTCCCTGGGCTCCCACTGTGGGCCTAGACCCCACCCAAAGATGGGTGGGACCAGCCTGATGCTGAGAGACCGAGGTCAGACCTCTGTTGCATCCTTGTCCCCCTGTCCCACCCCCAATCAGGGACAAAGGATGGATAGAGGAGACCCACCAGTCCTGCACCAAAGCCAGCCCCCTCCGAATTGTTTCCTTGCTCTAAAGGTGGCGTGACCTTTGCTCCCGTAACCTTTGACTTCTGGCCTCTGAACCCTGTTTTTCTGAGAAGAGCTCTTTCCCTGATGGGCACTGGTCTCTGAGTTTCCCTTTGGTCAAATGCATTCTCATTCCTCACTAAGATGCTTCCTGGACACCTCCTCCTGGGAGCCTTCCCTGACCTCCCCAGGCAGGGGAGCTTACCACCCTTTGTTAGAAGGACCCATTTACCCATCTGTCTCCTTGCCTGGACCCTGGTGACGACTTGTTCTGTATCTCTTTAGTCTCAAGCTTCGTGCTGGGCAACATAGTGAGACTCCTGTCTCTTAAAAAAAAAAAAAAGCCCAAGAAAGAGTCCGCACCCTTTATGCCAGGCAGTCCTTCCCAGGTCCATGCCTGGGGCTGATTCAACCTGCCTGGTGCCACGCACATAGCTCTCACTGAGTTGGTGCTTAATAAATGCTTGTTGCATTAATGCCCAGCTGGGCCAGAAACTTTGGGTCCTGGAACCTTTCTCCTGAGACTCTCCTAAAGCAGAAAGGCTGAGGGTCCCGGTCAAGCCCAGAGTCCTCAGCCCCTTCCCTTGCCTTTTGCACAAATTGCAGTCTGAGGAGGTGGACTTGGGATGGGGGTCACAGATTCCCCCCAAAGTAGGGCGAGGAGGCTGAGCCTGGGACTGCCAGACTCTTGCTCCCTGGTACCAGGCCATGATCCTGAGGCCACAGGGCCTGCCCTGCTGTGGACCCCCTGCTTGGTCACCACACCTTCACCTTTCAGCAGGCTCAGAACCCCCTCCTTCTTACCCCACGACATTCTTGCCCTGCATGGGGCACTCTGAGGAGAGATGAGGTCCAGGGACACAGCTGCGTCCTGCTCCCGCTGCTGCATCTCTGCTGATGCTGCTCCCCAGTATCTCAGAACCCTTCAGCCTTATGGGCCTGGCCCAGGCCCTCCTCCTCCGGGAAGTTGGCCCTGACTTCTGTTTTTTTTTTTGAGACGGAGTTTCACTCTTGTTGCCCAGGCTGGAGTGCAATGGCGCGATCTTGGCTCACCGCAACCTCCGCCTCCTGGGTTCAAGCGATTCTCCTGCCTCAGCCTCCCGAGTAGCTGGAATTACAGGCCTGCACCACCAAGCCCGGCTAATTTTGTGTATTTTTAGTGGAGATGGTGTTTCTCCATGTTGGTCAGGCTGATCTCGAACTCCCACCCTCAGGAGATCCGCCCGCCTCGGCCTCCCAAAGTGCTGGGATTACAGGCGTGAGCCACTGCGCCCAGCTGGCCCTGACTTCTTAAGGGCCCTTGCTCCTCTGGCTTACCTCACGGGACCAAGGCTACCCACCCTGCACATCCTATCCAAAATGCAAATACCATGCAAACATGGTATTTGCCTACTCTGGTGCCTTCCATGGCTCCCAGTGTCCCTAAGATGAGGCCATGCTCTTTAGGGACACCCCTGATTTGGCTGCTGCTTTTATCTGTGCCCTCAGCAGCTCCAACTATTTCTGGATTTACAAGCCTCATGCCTAGTAATCTTTGTTCAGGCTGTTCTGTCTTCCTGAGGTGTCCAGTCCAGCTTCCTCACCCCTTAAGCCTAAGCATCACCTCCTCCAGGAAGCCGCTCTGGGCAGCACATTTCACGAAGGCAGGAACTGGACCCAGAGCCTGGCACACAGAATATCCTCAATATATAGCTGTGGCACCAAGATCTGTCCTGCTCCTGTTGGGAGGGTGGTGGTGTCAGTTCTTCTGCCCCCAAAATGGAAGGCTGCAAGCCAGCACAGGACCTCTACCCACAGGAAGTCCCTCCTCAAAATCTTCCCTCTTTTCTCTTCAGCTTCCCCACCAATATCAGCACTGACATGGAATGTCAGTTTTCCCCTCTGTAAAATGGGCGTGCTAATAAGCTTCAAATGAGCTAACAGCTCTCTCCAGAGGTGGCTGATTTTGCCTCAGGCAAAATCAGTGTTATTTTTTTCCTTTTTTCTTATTGATTTATTTGTTTGTTTGTTTATTTTTGAGACAGGGTCTCACTCTGTCACCCAGGCTGGAATGCAGTGGCACAGTCTCAGCTCACTGCAGCCTCCACCTCCTGGGCTCAAGCAATCCTCCCACCTCAGCCTCCTGAGTAGCTGGGACTGTAGGCGCACACCACCACGCCTGGCTGCCTTTTGTATTTTTGGTAGAGATGGGGTTTCCCCATGTTGGCCAGGCTGGTCTCGAACTCCTGACCTCAAGAGATCTGCCCACCTCGGCCTCCCAAAGTGTTGGGATTACAGGCGTGAGCCCTGCACCTGGCCCAATGTTATTTTTTTAATTTTGTTCCTGCAGCTCTCTTCATCACCATATCTTTGTTCTGCTTCTCTTGTGAGTTTTCCATGGAGAAGTTGATATGTCTTGTTCCAGCCCCTCCCAAACCCACTCCCAGAGTCCATACAGGAAGGCAGAGGAACAGGGAGCTCAAGGTGGCAACTGTACCAGAGTTAGCAGCGTTGTGACCTTGGTCAGATCATGTAACCCCCTGCTTCCTCATCTGTAAAATGGGACTAGCACCACGGTTCACCTGGTCACCTGCAGTTCAGCACTGATGGGAGGAACAAAAGGACGGCAGGTTATGAAGTGCGCACTTGGGTGGCCAAGTGCTGGCGGATGGGGGTTGGGGAACTCCTCCCTGATGCTGCAGCGCAGGGCAGTGGGGACAGCACAGGACCAGGCTGCATCCTGGGCCCTCTTTCCTTAGGGCGGGCTCTGTTGTGACCTTCCCTGTGACCTGGGCATTTCCCAGTTTCTGCCCCTGGAAATCAGAGCCAGGGATCTGGGCTGGGGAATTTTAGGGGCTTGGTGCTGGACTATTCCCTGAAACGTCCCTTGAGCGCATGGGTGCAGGGGACATATGGGCCTGACAGTAGGCACGGATGACCCACACCATAGTGGTGATGCTAGTGCTCAGGAGGACAGCCCCAAAAGGTCACTGGGGCAGAATGTATGGTGTGTGCAGGACACTGTGGTCAGGGCAGGAGGTCACAATTTAACCAGAGATCTCTTGAGTCAGCCCCAGGAGTGGACCTGGGAAGGACTGCCTGGCATGAAGGGTGGAGATTCTTTCTTTCTTTCTTTCTTTCTTTTTTTTGAGACGGAGTCTTGCTCTGTCGCCCAGGCTGGAGTGCAGTGGCGCCATCCCAGCTCACTGCAACCTCTGCCTCCCGGCTCAAGCAATTCTCCAGCCTCAGCCTCCAGAGTAGCTAGAACTACAGGCGCACGCCACCACGCCCAGCTAATTTTTGTATTTTAGTAGAGATGGGGTTTCACCATTTGGCTAGGCAGGTCTCAAACTCCTGACCTCAAGCGATCCACCCACTTTGGCCTCCCAAAGTGCTGGGATTACAGGTGTGAGCCACCATGCCCAGCCGTTTTTTGTTTTTTTTAGAGACAAGAGTCTTGCTATGTTGCCCAGACTGGACTCAAATACCTGGCTTCAAGCAATCCTCCCACCTGAGCCTCCCAAGTAGCTGGGACTACAGGCCCACACCACTGTGCCCTGCCTGACTTTTTAATTGGGGTCCACAGGGAGGGAAGGGAATAGTCTAGAGAGGTAGGGTCTCATGGGCTCACTCCCCATTTTACAGATGAAGAAGCCACAGAGAGGGGAAGCAACCTGCCTTGTGTCACACAATAAGTGAGTGGCAGAGCTGGGACTGGAAACCAGGACTCTGTTGCCACTTTGGGGTCCTCTCATTCCCAGAGCCTCAGCACTCTGTGTGATAACATACTTATTAATGTAATAATGACAATGGTGAGTGCTATCTGTGCCAGGCACTGGCCTTCACAGGAATCATTTTATTCTTGACAAGACATCTGTGGGAGGGATTCCTAGTACCACCACTTAAAGACCAGGATGCTGAAGCACAGAGAGGTTGCCGTCAAGGCTGATGTGTCAAGGTCACATAGCTAGAAAGTGGCAGAGCTGGGATTTGAACCAAGTTTGACTTGACTCCAGGGCTCATGCTCTTACTATTATAAAGTGTGTCCCTTTCTCTGAAACCGCTGTGGTCTCCACACCGTAGGACCAGCAGACCCCGCAATGGAGAGGGAAAGGAGGGTGCCCTGGGAAGGACTTGTGCCCAGGGTTTGCCCTCTGGCAACTGGCCTCTGGCCAGGTCCCCAAGTCACAGGAGCCATGATGCCCTGGCCTGGATCTATCAAGTTCTGCTCATGGGTGGGTAGGTGGGTGGAGGCTGCTTCTAAACACAGAGAGGGAGCAGTCACATTAACCATGGAGTTTTTCCACCCTGTATATACCACTTTCCTCAGCTTCTTCAGAAGACTCCCTCCTAGCCCTTGCAGACTCAGTGAGGTGCTGCCTCCACCAGGAAGTCCTCCCTGATGTCCCCTGATGGCGCTCCAGCCTCTGGCCCTTGGCACCGCGTTGAACATTTGGGGATGGACAGACCAGCTTCAGGAGCCCCAGCTTCACCACTTGCTCACCAGCTACCTGCAGCCCCCGCCCCCGTCTGCCCTCCTGTCTGTAAAATGGGAATAAGAAGCCCTGCCTCACAAAATCTTTGCAAGGAGGAGCAGCGGCGTCCTAGGAGCAAGCACCTGGCGCCCGGTGAGCCCCCGCCACTCGCTCCTTCTCCTCCTTGTCCTTCTCCTGGCTTGCTCCCGGTTCTCTCCTCGCCACCCCCGCCCCGCGCCTGGCACGGCGCCCGGCGCGCCCCAGCCGCCCAATCCCGGCTCGCAGCCCTGACTTCCTGCCCGCCGGGCTCCCTCGGCACGTGCCCCGCGCCCCATGGGACCGCGCGCCCTCCCGGGGCGGCCTCCCCGCGGCCTCCCGCTTGGGGGAGCCGGGCTTGGGGGAGCGGGTCGCCCCGGCTCGGAGGTGGGGTCGGCGGGGGCCGGGCGGGCCGGCCGCGGCGGCGGGAAGGGGACGCTGCCCCTTTAAGGTGCCACCGCCGCGTGGCAGGGAAACAGCTTGTGCCAGCCCCATTCCGCCCGGCTCCGTTCGCTACAAGAAACACAATGCATAACAATCAGGCGCGCGCTTGGAGCCATGCCACGCGGCGGGGGCGGGGCGGGGCCGCGCGCCGGGCGGGGCGGGGGCTCCGGGGTCTCGGCCCCCGACCTGCGTCCTGGGCCCGCAGGGGAGTCCTGCCCCATGCTCCCGGGCGGGGCCGCCCTGTGCCCCAGCGAGGTGCCCCGGTGCCCCCCGCCTCGCCCGCGCTTGCCCCTCCCTCCCCGCCATCTCGCTCCCTACAAAGTTCATTCCCACTAACTCTTTTCCAGGCCACTTCCCCCTCACATCTGACAATCGGGGCCCCTCATTCTCCCAGTAATCACTCCACTGCACTAATTGCACATGCAAATATGCAAATGCGTATTAATTAATTACTATACTAATTAGTTCTGTGGTATTTGCGAGTAATAAATCATTGGATGGGAGCGAGGAAGCTGGAGACCTGGCCCATTTTCATTCTGCATAAAATTTTAATGGTCTCTCTGGCTGATCCGGGACGGCAGCGCGCGGAGAGGCTCTTAAAGGGCCAGTGGCGGCGGGAAGGGGCAGCGGTGGGGATCGCCGTTGACCCCGGCGGGGACTGGCACCCTAGAAGGAGTTGGAGATGCGGCCTCACATTCTGCAGGGGCCGTCTCCGGCGTGCGGTGGCTTCTGCCTCCCCCTCTGGGGCTCAGTGTCCTCCTTAGTGGCTTCTAAGGAGAGAACCTGGGCGGGGACCAGGAGCTGAACTAGGATTCTTTAAGAAAGGAAAGAGGTCTAGGAGATGTGAGAGGCCAATGCCAAGGCTTTGGGGCCCCAGGTAGCCTGGGAGACAGGAATGAAGACTCCATCTCCTGGATGGCTGAGTAAACTGAGGCACAGGACAGGCAAATCTTAGCTCCCACCCCTCTTCTCCCAAGGGGAAGGAAGCTAGAAGGATGTTCTGGTTGGCCCCAGCCTTTTCTTATATCTGGTGGGCGCCACAAGGTTGGGGGTGCCTCCAGCTTTCCCCTTCCACACGATCAAACCGCTGCCCCGCCCCCATGGGCACCAGCTGGCACCCTGGCAGAGTAGTCCTGGGCTTGAGTGGGCCCTGGGGACCCTGCTTTATTTCCAGGAGGTAGTCAGGACCCGGGCACAGGGAGGGGGCTGGCTGCTTTGCAGGGCCATTGACTGGGGGAGGCAGACAGAACCAGTTGTGCTCATGCCAGGGCGTAGGAGGATGCCAGAGGTGGGCACCTTAAGGAGGTGGGGACTGTGGGCCTGTCCTGAGCCGGTATTCCCCGTGCCAGGGTCTCTAGTCTGGTTCTGCTCAGCCTCCAACCTTCTGCCATCAACAAGCCCCTGGATAAGGCACAGCCTAAGGAGGGTCAGTGCTCTAGTGGGGGCCGATGATAATGACAGCAACTAACAAGACTATTAACTCGGCAAACATTTATTTAGCTGGAGAACTGTTCAGCAAGCTCTAGGTGCCTCACGACCCCCCAGTGACACAAGTTCTGTTACAGTCTCCGTTTTAAGGATGGAGAAACAGGGGCACACGAAGGTTAAGCAACCTGCTCAAGGTCACCCAGCTGTGAGTAGTGGAGTGGAGTTTGAACCCAGACAGTCCAGCTGTGTGTGGGTTCTTTCCAGCACACCACCTCTCCCCACCACCATTTCTGCAGCTCCTGCTCTGAACCACATCCTTTGCTAAGAACTTCATGGGCAGTATCCCATCCAAACCTTGCAACAACCCAGAAGGTAGGTTCTGGAATTATCTCCATGTGGAACACAAGGCTCAGAGAGGTTGACTAAGCTGCTCTGGAACACACAGGGAAGATGTAGCAAGGCCAGGCTCACACCTGGCTTGTGTGAGGGCAGAGTCCAACAGAGTCCTCCAGGCCCTCTGATCCCTCCCCATCTCTGCCCCTGCTGGGATCTCTGCCTCCTGGAAGAGCAAGAGGGCGTTGTGGTAGCCCCTGATGACTAGAGAAATGGAAGGGCTTTCAGTTAGATGGTAGAGAGAACTTGCTTCTTGAAAGGTGGGAGCTCCAGGGGCTGGGGTGGGATGGAGCCTTTTCTTCCTTTCCCAGACAGGCCAAGGAAGGGCCTTGGCTGTGTAGTGGGAGATGGGTGGGGATGGGGGTGGAGGGGTGGGGGAGAACAGAAGGGCCCAGAATGATAAAGCCTTGTGAGGACCACAGAACTCAGGAATCCTGGCTGGGTTTTAAAAATTTTGTCCCTGATAGGCCGGACGCGGTGGCTCCCACCTGTAATCCCAGCATTTTGGGAGGCCAAGGCGGGCAGATCACTTGAGGTCAGGAGTTCGAGACCAGCCTGGCCAACATGGTGAAACCCTGTGTCTACTAAAAATACAAAAATTAGCCGGGTGTGGTGGCGGGCATCTGTAATCTCAGCTACTTGGAAGGCTGAGTCAGGAGAATTGCTTGAACCTGGGAGGCGGAGGTTGCGGTGAGCCAAGATCACTGCCACTGCACTCCAGCTTGGGCGACAAGAGCAAGACTCCATCTCAAAAAAAAAGAAAAAAAAATTTGTCCCTGCATTCCTACCTGCCCCCCACCCATTGCCCCTGGAAATGTCTTGGGCACCCCCACCTCAAGAATTGCTATTTGGGTTTCCTATTTGGGTTTTCCAGGAGCTTCGGTCTCCAGCAGGGGGATGAGAAGATAATACTAAGCAACACTTTGTAATAAATCACTTGTTTTTTTAAACTGTGTGCTTATGAGCATCAACTTGCTTAGTTTTCATAATTCTATTGTTATCCCCGTTTTATAAATGGAGACACCGAGGAAGGAAAGACAGGTTAAATGATGTGGCCAAGGTCACACAGCTACTAAGTGGTAGAACTGGGACTTGAGCTTCTGAGCTGGGGTGCTTCACCACCCTGCACACGCTGAGCCAGATTGACCCCCTTGCCCAGCAGTCAGGGATCATGGTGGCAGGTGGCCTTTCACCCTGGGTCCCTTTGGAACTTGCAGATGCAAGGAGAAAGAACAGGCCTCAAGCCCGCAGTTCACATGGCCCCTCCCCATGTGAATTTTCATGGTGCTGTTTATATGCTAGCAGAAGCTGGGCAAAGTGAGTATTCAGGTGGCCCTGATCCCTCCACACTGGAGCCTCAGGACGGGTGGGCACTGGGAGCTCCAGAACAGGATGCTATCCCAGCATCTCTTGCCCCCTGCCAGCCCACCCTTGAGAGCACAGCAGGGTCAGGGAGTCAGTCTATTAGCATCTGTCAGGGGGACCACCCTGAGACAGAACACTGGGATTCCCATGATCTCAGGGTCCCCTTACCTCCTGGTGGCTCAGGGGGACTTCCCCAGGGAATCTGGACACCCTCATTTCCCCAAAACTAGAGAAACCTTTGACACCCACCTTCTGGACCTGAAAGTCGGGTGGGATATGGGGGTTGTGGGACTTAGGGAGGGATGGCCCTTGGGCTGCAGCCCATTAGGAAAGAAAACCCATCCCTGTCTCAGCACTCCACTGAAGACCAGAGAATCGGGGTTCATCAGGGTCCACACCCCTGCCCCCACCCACCTGCCCTGCAAGATGCCCAGTTTCTGGGTGAATGGGAGCAAGTTGGAGAGGTTGGGGGAAGAAGGCAGGAAGGGCAGGCTGGCGGCTCTGAGCTTCTCCATGCAGCCCCCGGGGCCGGGTGCCTGGGCAGGAGGACGGGGCAGAGCAGCTGCTGGCGATTTATTAAGCAGTCACGGAAAAATTGGTTTATAAATTAACAGCTGTTTTAACTTTAGGGCCTCTTCTTCAGGGAATGGAAGCAGCCGACTGGACCGGGATTGGAGTGTGTGTAAGGCTGGTGGAGGGAGTGGGAGGCGGGGGGCTCCGGCAGCTGGCATTCTTCGGGGGCAGCCTCAGCTGGCACCTCGGGGGGCACCAGGCAGTGGCCAGAGCAGGGGGTCTCCAGGTGCCGGGGACTGAGGCTACCCCTGCTGTGGGCTGCAGCTTGCTCTCTTCTCAACTTCCCAGCTCCCACCTGGGGGCGCCAGAGGGCACATATACTGCTGTACTCGTTTGTGCCACCAGAGGGCAGCCTCCGCACATCGATCTCTACTGCTTCCGAGAACTGTCCAAACCGGCGGGACTGAGAGAGAGAAACCTGGTCCAGGGCAGAGAAAGAGAGGAGCCCACTGCAGTGCGTGCAAGCGATCTTCCACGCGTCCATCCTGAATGTGTTAAAAGCAGCAGTTAAAGAGGGAGGGCTCTGGAGTTGGACTGTTTGCGTTTGAACCCAGACTCTGGGCAAAAGCTGCTGAACCTCTCTGAATCTAATAGCCTCATCTGTGAATTGGAAGGATACTAGCGAGGATTAAATGAGAGTGCATAGGAAGGGCCTAGCCCCGGTGCCCAGCACAGAGGCTCCATATGTGTCACCGTTGTCAATTTCTGACTCATGTATTCATCTATTCATTCACTTCTCAAACCATCCTCTCGGCGTCATGCAGTGCCTGCTGTATTCTGGGTACTGTGGCAGGTCGGTGATGATGTAAACAGAGATGGCGGCCAGGGACGGTGGCTCAAGCCTGTAATCCCAGGCCTTTGGGAGGCTGAGGCGGAAGGATCACTTGAGCCCAGGAGTTCGAGACCAGCCTGGGCAACAAAGTGAGACCCTGTCTCTACAAAAAACAATAATAAAAAAAACATTAGTCAGGTGTGGTGGTGCACATCTGTAGTTCCAGCTACACAGAAGGCTGAGGCAGGAGGATCGTTTGAGCCTAGGAGGTCGAGGCTGCAGTGAGCCGTGATGGCGCCACTGCACTCCAGCCTGGGCAACAGAGCAAGATCCTGTCTCCAAAAAAAAAAAAAAAAAAAAAAAAAGGTGAGAAAGACACGTATCAAAATAGTGTGCTAAGAGTTACGATACACCCAATGAGGGGAGAAGGGAGATTGACTTGGATGGGGCAAAAACGAACGTTCTGGGGTGACAGAAACATTATATATCTGTATTGTGGTGGTCAAATGCTATATAAATTTCCAAAAACTCATTGAAATGTATATTTAACACTTTATTGTAGGCAAACTGTAACTCAACAAAGCTGATTTGAAAAAAAGCACCTAAGCACCCAATGTGAATTTACTGAATGGGCAAAGGGATGGACGATGGGTGAATGAATGAATGAGTGCATGTGTAAATGAGTGTCTCAGATGGTTGTCCACCTGTCTTGGTGCCACCACTGCTCCTACTGAGGGTGTCCTTGCCCTCTCCTCTCGGGTACACGGGTTTCCCCAGAGAGGTGGGTCTTGGAATTCCTCTTCCTCCCGCGTCCCCCCTTCTCCCTTCCCCCAAGGGCAGGGAAAGACACCCCAGTGCTCCCAGCCAGCACTCCCCGGCTCCTCTAAGGGTGTTTCCTGGGACTTCCGGGGCCTCCCTTCCAGCTGCCACATGCCAACCCAGCCGGCTCCGGCTCAGCTCTGTGGTGCCAAGGTCACGGGTGTGATGCCCAACTCCAGACCCACAGTGCCTGCAGCAGCCACCCAAACCCTGGCCGACTCCGCCACCTGCCGGCTCTTTCTGGAAGCGCATCCCGAGAGCTCTAAGCGGGAACCTCGGTCAAGGGCTATCAGGAACCCTGCCCTGGCGGGGGCTTTATTTTTCTTCCTATTGAATAGTCACAGCCACCATGTGAGGTGGGCTCTGAAGCATAAGGAAACTGAGGCACAGAGAGTAGCTAAGAAATGTGTCCAATTTCACACAGTAAATTACAGATCTGAAATTCTACCCAGGGCTGGGACTTCCCAGTTGATGTTCTGTCCAGGTAAACACATCTTGCTTGGGAGGAGGGAGGGACAGATCCCAGTGTCCCTTCTCCCCCCATCCGGGGAAGAGGGCAAAGGCCTCACACCACCCTCCCAGATTTTCCCTCCAAAGGTGAATGCAGGGCCTCCTGCACGCCAGGCCCCGCGGCAGGCATCCAGCAATGGCGTGAAGATACATGATGGGAAAGAAACGCCTCAAAATAGTGTGCTCAGACCTATGGTACATTAATAGACACCCTACCGTCAACTTTTTCTGTCAGTCCAAGCAGAGAGACCCACAGTTCAATCAGAGTTACGTCAAATGAGGTCTTGAATTTGTTCCTTGGACCCAACCGCCTGTGCTTCTAACCCAAGAATAATAACCAAGGAGTGGCATATTATTTTTACATCTTATTTGCATATGATTAATTCTAAGTCAAAGTGAATGCAGGGCACCCTGGCCCCTTGCTTCTCAGTGCCCTCCCACCCCCACCCTGTGCCTGGTCCTAGCCATCTCCCCCAGCCCCTGCCGGACTCCACTGTCCCCAGCAGCCCCTCCCCACTCCTTGCCCCTGCCCACCCCTCCTCCAGCTCTCAGGAGTCCCATTCCCTTCCTCCTCTGTCGCCCACACAGCCCCCACCACCTGGCCGCCCACCTGAAAAACTTTTCCCCAAGTTCTTGAGAAGTCGCGTAGGATCCAGGAGAGAAAAATCAAAGTAATAAAACCTCATTTAATTCCTAACGGAGGGCAGAGCTGCGAGCTGCAATTATCTTAATGCTGAGCTATTTTTACTCTCTCTCCATCTCTGTCTTCTGCCTTTCTCTGTTGTGAGGTTCGCTGTCTCTCTCTCTGCCTCCCTTTGTCTCTCCATCTCTCAACCATGTTTTCTGTCTCTCTTTGCTTTCTCCTCTCTCCCCCCAATCTCTCTCTCACGTCCTGTCTCTGTGCAGTCTCTTCCTCCTCCTTCATGTCTGTCCCTCTGTCAGCCAGTCTTCCCCACCCTTCTTGGCCCCAGGATTTAGATGCCAGCCTGGCCACAGGCTGGGGGAGATGGGCAAAAACCCTCCCTCCGCTCCCAAAGACCTCATCTTCCAGGCCTAGCTGAGAGGGAGGCTTCTCTGCCCTCATCTCCCTTCTCAGCTGCCCCAGCCTGGGATCCGGGGAATGTTTCCTGATCTGGGGTCTCCCAGAGCTCCAATAAGTTCAGCAGAGCCTCCGTAAATAAGCCCTCCTGCTCAAATGGGGCTCAGCTGCCATGTTCCCTGAGGCCTTTTCAGCTCCTATGGGCTCTGAGGTGCAACTGGTGCTGATGCCTCCCTGTCTCCACCCTCTCATCACCCTCCCAGCTATCCTCTGTCCCCTTCATCCCCACGATCCTTCCCCACACTGCCAGCACTGGAAGCCACAAGCCCCTTCCCCACCTCTGCCCACCCAGTGGCTGTCCGGGCCACTGCCTGGGCCATGCCCTTCCCATACCCCTTCTTCCTTTCAGGACCTCCTTATTTACCCTCCGAAGGCACTGCCAAACAGGTCTTTGCCACTCCCCACCACACCCCATCTTCGACAGAGGTTCTGGGCCAAGCCTAGGGGCTGCCAGAGATGCCTACACCCCTGGGCCAACAACTTATCATCCAGCTGTTTCCCAACAAGTATATAAGTCAACAAACATACAGGGACTTGAGCCAGGCCTGGGGTGGGCTGATGTGGAGCTGGATGGCCAGGACATCCCACTCCTATGAGCAACACTCTGGACCTCCTGCCACCCTTTCCCTCACCCCCAGAGTGGGCCCTGACCCCAATTCCAGAAGATTCCTCTGGCCTTTCACTCCACCCAGGACCCAGATGCTGGGGCTGGGAGTGGAAAAGCTGCAGGAGGATTGGGGGTTTCAGGCCTGAGAGTGACCAGGAGAGAGGACGCCAACACAAACAGAGCCCCAGGAAAACATGCATGTACACGTCTACACACACCCTCTCAGTGCTAGACAGAAGCATTCAGACCCTCTGCACAGCTCCAAGGAGGGAAACAGCAGCTCCTGCAAAGGCACCCAAGGCCCGGACAAATAGACCAAATAGACAGGGACATTCCACCCACAGGGCCAGCTCCTCCCGCTCCCGCTCCAGAGACACACACAAATACCTCTGGAGAGAGAGAGGCTCACACCTGTCTCCCCCAACCCTGCTTCTGAATGCACCAAATTCATGCACGTGATGGCACGTGTACAGGCAGCCCCCAAACCCACCCCAACTCTGGGCCGGCCCTGTCCTCCCCACCCCATTAGATCCGGAGAGGAAAGACAGGAGCCACGTGAATCTACAGTACATCATGGCAGGGCACATTCCCCTTCTCCCTCACAGGAGCGCTCACACATCCACAACCTCATACCCCAGCAACTGCACAGCGGAGCTGTGGATACAGTCCCCCACCCCCTGCAAGCTGGCACACGCCTGCCCATCACCTTGACAGCCTCTGACATCCTCCCCCACACCCACACCCTCCCCCGCACACACGCAGTCCTCCCACACCCTGCCACTCACACCTGCATCTTTGACACTCTGACACACTTACACAGACACACTCACACCACACCGGACCCCCCAAAACACACTCCCTGGCTATGGGCACCACAGGGCCCCGGCACACCCCTGCACACTCTCCCTGCCACGATGACTGACACGTGTCCTCCCACACACAACTCGGTCACACTCGCTCCCTTTCCAGGACACCCCCATTCACAGCGTGACAGGCTGGTACTCTCCCCACGACCTCGCAGGCCTCTCTGAAACTCCCAGTACCAGGACCACGAAGGGGTTAAAGCCAGAGTCCTGCCTCCCCGCTGCCCCTCTCCCCCTCCCTCCCCCTTTATCCTCTCTGCTGGACTCCATCAATAATGCAGCTTCAAGTTCTGGGGAGACCGCAGGGGGCCCCCCAGCTGGCTCCCCAGGCCTTGGCTCTAACTCCCACCCTCCTCCCAGCCCCAGGAGAACACGATTCTCCATGCTCATTGGCCAGTTTCCCCTAAACCCTCCCTCCGAGCACCCGGGCGCCAGTCCCAGGCGGAGGGGACGGGCTGGGGACCCCAAAGCTGGGACCGGAGGGTGAGCCCGGCAGAGGCAGAGACACACGCGGAGAGGAGGAGAGGCTGAGGGAGGGAGGTGGAGAAGGACGGGAGAGGCAGAGAGAGGAGACACGCAGAGACACTCAGGAGGGGAGAGACACCGAGACGCAGAGACACTCAGGAGGGGAGAGACACCGAGACGCAGAGACACCCAGGCCGGGGAGCGCGAGGGAGCGAGGCACAGACCTGGCTCAGCGAGCGCGGGGGGCGAGCCCCGAGTCCCGAGAGCCTGGGGGCGCGCCCAGCCCGGGCGCCGACCCTCCTCCCGCTCCCGCGCCCTCCCCTCGGCGGGCACGGTATTTTTATCCGTGCGCGAACAGCCCTCCTCCTCCTCTCGCCGCACAGCCCGCCGCCTGCGCGGGGGAGCCCAGCACAGACCGCCGCCGGGACCCCGAGTCGCGCACCCCAGCCCCACCGCCCACCCCGCGCGCCATGGACCCCAAGGACCGCAAGAAGATCCAGTTCTCGGTGCCCGCGCCCCCTAGCCAGCTCGACCCCCGCCAGGTGGAGATGGTAAGGGGCCCGTGCCCCACCCCGGCAGCGTACCCGACACACCCCGCGGGGCTTCTTCGCCCTCCCAAGGCGCTGCCCCGGCCGGACTGGCCTGGGGGTGGGGGCGCAAGGAGAGCCGGGCTCTGCCTCGGTCAGGACGGGGCGCGGGGCCGCGTGTGAAGTTAGCTGGAGACTCGTGCAACTTTTCCCCGCGGCTTTGGTCCTGATCCCGGGGCAAGAGAGTTCCTGGCAGTGAGGCTGGGGGTGCGGGGGTGGGGGGACAGGCCGATTCCAGACCGCCCAGGAGTGGGGTGGGGGCGTCCTTTGGTCCCAGCACAGTCCCCAAAGGGTAGTCAGTCTCCTAGGCTACCACCGGGACCGCTCCGCCTGGCTCTGTCCCAGAGCTGGTCAGATGTGAGCAGCGGTGGACACTGACCTTGTCACCCAGGGCAGGAGTATGAGGCTGCCACCGGGTGAATCCACTACCCTGCCCCTCTCTAATCCCGCGTGTGTGCCTGGGCTGGGGTCTCCAGAACCTGGCTCTGGCCTCCTGCTGTCAGGCCCCAGAGCCCCAACCCCAAGGAGGGAGAGGTGGGGAGTCATCACAAAGCCAGACCTCTTCCCACAGACTACTGAGTCCTCCTGAGGGCCTTCTTGGGGGTTGAGGGGCTTCCAAAGGCTGGCGGGTGCTGTGACAGAGAGCTCCACTTCCCATCCCTAGTGGAGCAGGGGTCACTTGTTGCTGAGCTGAGATGCAGCTGGCTCCCCACTGAGCAGTGATGAGGGGGCCAAGTCATTATGGGGGGAGATAGAGGGCAGGGGGTACAGTCCTGGGCCTAAGCAGCTTTGGGTCATGAGGGTGTCATGGGGAGCTTGGCTGGGGAGGTGGCAGTTTCAGCTTAACTCACCTGGTTCTCTTTGTGCATTTCCCTGGAGCTCAACAGGGACCTAATTAACTGACAGTTGGTCTGATTGCCAAGCTGAGGGGCGGGGCGGGGAGGGGGGCGGTCAGTTGCTGCTTGGCTCACGTAGCAAGGAGGGCAACTTTTCATTTCTCACAAGGACTGGGTGAAGAGTTCTGCAGCCTTACAGAGACTGGAAAAGAAGCCCAAACCAAGGCCCCCAGAGAGGTCCCCCAGGCCCCTTTGGGTCCCTGAGCCTCAGCTGGAGGTGGGGGGTGCCTGCAGTGCGCTGGCTCAGTCTCCTTCTGAAAAGCTGGATCCAGCTTGTTTGAAGCCCTTGAGCTGATCTTAGGTGGGCAGGGCCACATGGGTGCCATGGCCCGTGGGGCATCTTCCCCAGAGGGCCCAGCCGTGGCAGCTGGAGCTGTAGCCAGCTTTGGCTTCCGAGGTCTGATGTTTTCAGAAACTGGAGAGAGGAAGGGCCTTGGTGGGAGAAGATAGGAAGGGAGATGTCTGTTCTGGAGTAGCCATGGAGTGGGACAGGCATGGGCTGGGAGTCAGTGACTGGGGTTTTTCTCGTCCTTTGGACTTGTTGTGCTGTGTGGCCTTAAGCACATTGCCAAATCTCTCTGAGCCCTGCTTTTTCACCTCTGTAAAATGAGGGGGTTAGGTGAGCTACAGAGTTCCTTTTGGCTCTGACAGACTTTGATTCAAAGGTTCCCTGGGGACTCCAAAGCACTGTTTGTTCCCTGCTGCCTGGGGGTGGGGGAGGGCTGCAGGTGTCCATCCAGTCACCCCTCCCTCCATCTCCTTAGATCCGGCGCAGGAGACCAACGCCTGCCATGCTGTTCCGGCTCTCAGAGCACTCCTCACCAGGTAGGCCCCTCCCTGCCCACTTAGCCCTGGCCCCACCCTAGCTCTGATGCCTTCCTAGGGGCCCTGCCAAAGTCCCATGAACAGGAGTCAAAGCTGGAGACTGGGGAGTGGATAAGGTCTGGGAACCCAACTCTATTGGCTTTATTTATTGACATGACACCTCCCAGCCGCAGGAGGGAGAGGGCACACTTTCCCTGTCCCCAGAGATTGAGACCCTGGGGAAAATAACTCGGATTCTTTCTCTCTCTCCCTCTTCTCTTTTCCTCCTCGCTTGGTTCTGGTTCGGTTGGCTTTGGTGGCCTTCCTCAGAGGAGGAAGCCTCCCCCCACCAGGTGAGTTTCCTGGGGCAGCTGGAAGGAGGGATGCCTGGGCCCCTTGGGGTGGGGTGGACGGGTGCCTGCAGTGACAACCAACCAGTATGGGGTGCCACCCAAGAGGACACATTAGCATATCAATGGGCAGTCCTCTGAGAGTGCCTCATGCCAGGGTGCCACCAGCAGATCCTCCTCTGCTCAGACTCAGGGTGGAACCTCCTGGACCTAGAGTCCTGCCCTGAACCAGGCCATGGCTTATGGGGGGCCCCCCCTAAAGCCACAGGGTGGGGAGGCTCAGCCTAGGTGCAGGACCCATTAGCAGTGGCTAAATCAGTCTGCTTGGGTGGCCATGGGTGGGATGGAATGGAGGGATGGTGAAGGCAAGGGCCTCTGCTGAGCCCCTTTAACCTGGCACTTCCCCTGGCAGAGAGCCTCAGGAGAGGGGCACCATCTCAAGTCGAAGAGACCCAACCCCTGTGCCTACACACCACCTTCGCTGAAAGGTACTATACCCCCACCGACCTTCCTGGCTGTCCGCCTGATCCCTGGAACTGGGCAGACGCTAGGGGAGCTTTTGTCAGTGGGGAGGGATTGTTTCGCCACACATAGCCCGCTGTCAGCGTGGCGCAACAACCCAACGTAAAGACCAATTTTTTCTCAGTCTGGCCTTGCAAAACACAGGAGTCCCGAGGCTGCAATGGGCAGCTATGGGCCTTAACATCGGGTTGTGGGCTTGAAAGAAAAGAGATGGCTGGCCTAAGACAACCAGCAGGCATCCGCGTGGAAGGGACTCCACCTGCAGCTCCTCTTCACCAGCCTGTGGTGGACCACCTCCCACCCCTGCTCATCCAGGGCGCCTTCTCCTGTGGGCTTCACCCCTGGCCTCCCCTCCCATTTGCATCCCATTTGCACAGATCTGCACACTGGTCTCCTCTTTCCTGCTTCCCTTTCTCCATGGAAAAGCAAGCCATTCCTTTTGCACACTTACTCAACACCTAGTATATGCCAGGCCAAGTTGGTGGGCATTGGGCAGAATAAGATGAGTCAGATTTGGTCCCTGCCCCCTTGGGGCTCTTTGCCTCAAAGGGTCAGGGAGGGGCCAAGTAAGGTGGCTCACACCTGAAATCCCAGCACTTTGGGAGGCCAAGGCGGGAGGACTGCTTGAGCCTAGGAGTTCGAGACCAGCTTGGGCAATACAGTGAGACCCCCATCTCTATGAAAAATTTACAAAGTGAGCTAAGCGGGCCGGGCGCAGTGACTCACGCCTGTAATCCCAGCACTTTGGGAGGCCGAGGCGGGCAGATCACCTGAGGTCAGGAGTTTGAGACCAGCCTGACCAACATGGAGAAATCCTGTCTCTATTAAAAATACAAAATTAGCCAGGCGTGGTAGCGCATGCCTGTCATCTCAGCTACTCAGGAGGCTGAGGCAGGAGAATCACTTGAACCCGGGAGGCAGAGGTTGTGGTGAGCTGAGATCGCACCATTGCACTCCAGTCTGGGCAAAAAGAGCAAAACTCTGTCTCAAGAAAAAAAAAAAAGTGAGCTAAGCATAGAGGTGCACACCTATAGTCCCAGATACTTGGGAGGCTAAGGCACAAGGATTGCTTGAGCCCAGAAGTTTGAGGCTGCAGTGAGCTATGATCGCACCACTGTGCTCCAGTCTGGGCTACAGAGTGAGAGCCTGTCTCGGGAAAAAATAAAAAAAGAAAAGGGTCAAGGAAGGTACACAAAGATGTTTAAGCTTGGATTTGAAGGATCATAGGAATTTAACAGGCAGGCAAGGGCATCCCAGGTCCAAGAAGAGGGAAGAAGGTGTGCAAAGAGAAAGAGATGCGAGTCAGAGGGGGACTTCTGGGCCAACCTGGAGGAGGCTTCGTTTCTAGTCAGGGAGCTGGGGAGATATACCTGAAGGACATAGGAGGGCCTCTTCCTGACTAAGCCCTGTTGCCTACCAACCCCCCACCTCAACTCCTGCCTGGGGCTCTTCCTGCCCGGCCAGCCCCCTCCGCTCCTGCGGAGGTTGGGAGGGAGAGCTACCGGAAGAGTATGCTGGGAAGTGGTTCGGGGGAGGGTTTAATAAGTTCCCAGCACCAGCCAAGGTCAACAGGTATACCTGTCAGCCCACTTGCCAGGGTTGGGAACAGAGAGGAGAGGCTGGGAAGGGAGGAGAGAAGGGAAGGGGTTATTTTGCTTTCCCCAGGACAGGAAAATGAAGGGTCAGAGCTGCAGCAAGTGGGCAGTGTGGCTCAGCACCTGGAAGGACCTCCCCACCTAGAGGGGTGTGTGGAAGGGCCCCAAAGCAGGCATGAGGGACAGAGTGTCATCTTCTCAGGAGAGAATTTAAGAAATCCCTCTCCCTCCCACCTTGGGCTGGGTAGGGAGAGGCTGGGTGGATGTGAGGGGAAGACCTGGCTCTTGACTGCAAGCATGGGCGAACAGGCCAGGATGAAGATGTTAGGGCCAGGGTGCTACCATGCACCGTGCAGTGGTCAAAATTGTGCACCCCCTCAACTGCCCCTTTAGGCCACATCTTAGGAGAGTCCAGGTGAGTAGAGGCAGGGAAGAGGAAAGGGATCAGGAGAGGGGTGGCCAGTCTGGGGCAAGGCTGGGGACCTTCCAACTGAAGAAGGAAGACTTGTGGTGGGGGGAGTTTGGGGCCCCACAGAGTGGGGCAGAGAAGGAGACAGCCTGGAAGGAGTGATGGGGAGACCCCAGAGAGCCCAGGAGGCATGAGGGAGGTGGGGGAAGCGAGGGAGGCTCACGGGGCACCAGCGCAAGCACCGCACACACCTTCTGTTGTCACTGTGGCTCACGAAGTGAACTCTCCTCCCCCGCTGGGGGAGAAGGAAGCTGCCTGGGCTGCCACCTGCTCTCCTGCCTTACCTCCCCCCACAGCCCTCATGGATCCTTCTCTACCAGGAGGGCACTGTTTTGTAGGCTTCAGTCCTTTTGTGGGCAAGGGAAGGTGCCCGGCAGGGTTGGGGCTTGTCAGGGAAGAATCGAGGGCCCTAGAGAGAGGGGCACAGCACTAAGTCTTAGCTTGAGGGGTTGTGCTCCAAGGCTGGAGCTCTCACACTTGGCTCAAGATGAAGCTCTGCCGCGTCCCCAAGGTCAGGGTAGGGTGATTTATTGTGCTTTTATTGCCTGGATAGCTTGCCCAGAGCCAGCAGGAGGTACTGGGCTGGGAGCTGGGGGCTGGGTGGGGCAGCGGGCACATACAAAGCACCCTCTGTGCCTGTCCCCGAGTTGGCAGGAGCATAGCACCCTGCTCACTGTGCCGGAGGTTTCCAGCCTGGCCCTACCCCTCTGGGCCTTCTGAGGGGAGGGGCCACTGGCAGACCAAGAAGGAACTGCAGCAACTCCCCATTCCCCACCCCCAGCCCCTCCTCAGCATCTTGTCTGTGGCCTGTGAACTTTGTGTCGCATATGTTCTAAGATCCTGCCAGCTCCTGCAGCCTCTCCTCAGTGGCCCCTCAACCTCTGCCATCCCCCAGAACCCCTGGCCTTGGCCCCTTTCTCTAACCCCTTGCTCCTTTCCATCTTTTGGAAACTTGTCTCCAGCTGCCCACACTGTTCCCTTCCCAGCCCTATCTGAGCAGGTCTTTGGAGGCTGGGGGGGTTGCTTTCTAGGTCACCGCAGAGGGAGCTGGGAACCTGGGGATGTGGGTCAAGATTGTGGGGGCCGCATCTGAGCATGCCGCATCCCCCGGCACAGACTGCACTGGCTGCAGACTATTATGTCCTCAGCCTCGGAATTGTTCTGTCCCTTGGAGCCCGGGGCAGGAGTATGTGGATTGGCATCTATGACTGGGCAGTGCCAGGGAGTGGGGACTATGCATCGCATGGGAGGTAGGATCAGGGTAAGCAGTGAGCCCTCAGCAGGCTGGGCACCCCCAAGAAATGGAAAGTGGCAAATCCCCAGGCCCTGGTTCCTACGCCCTGTGCCTTCTGCCTGGGCTTGAAGCTGGGAGACACTGTCTCCCGTACTGGGTACTTGGAAAATCAAGCTCTCCAGCCAGGGAATGTTAAGCTGCTGCTGTGCCCGCCTGGTCTTGCCCAGCCTAGTGCCCTATGGTGTGGGGGAGCTGCCTGGGGGCTAGCATCTTAGGACAGCTTAAGAGCCAAACATGATCAAATCTACCCCTGGCTGCCTCTGCCCTGGTCTGACACCCATCAGGCTGACCTGTCAACTTTGGCCTTTGAACTTGGGCCCCTGAGGGGGTATTCTCTGCCCCAGGCCTACGGGAAGGAGGCTGGGGGCTAGGCCACAGGCTATCTCCAGATCCATGGGCTGTGTCTAGCTGACCCTTGCTTTCCTCGGTCTCCTCTGTGCCAGCTGTGCAGCGCATTGCTGAGTCTCACCTGCAGTCTATCAGCAATTTGAATGAGAACCAGGCCTCAGAGGAGGAGGATGAGCTGGGGGAGCTTCGGGAGCTGGGTTATCCAAGAGAGGAAGATGAGGAGGAAGAGGAGGATGATGAAGAAGAGGAAGAAGAAGAGGACAGCCAGGCTGAAGTCCTGAAGGTCATCAGGCAGTCTGGTAAGCTGAGGGGCCTGTGACATGTGGATTAGCTGTGGGTCCTCCTTGAGTATACGAGGACGTCCCCTTCTAGTTCAGTGTCTCATACACGCAAACTGTAGTGACACCACAGGGGCCTCCCTGTCTTCTCGCTCCATGGGGTGCCCCGAACTCAGCCCTACCTGAGACATGGGTTTCCTCCATCCTTGGCTCAGTCCCTCTCCCAATCAGGTTTTCCCTAATAATTCCTCTCTTCCCTGAGAATTAAGGCCAAGGCCGTTTGGGGTTTGAGGCTAGAGCCAAAAGAGGACTTCCCACCTATGGCAGTAAGGGGGCGTGAGGACATTCAGGGATGGAGGACCAGGAGAGTCCAACACCCCTGTCACCTGCATTTCACCTACATTTTTGAACCTAGGATGTGGTCTCTGCTGGGGTGCAGAGGGCTGCCTCATTTACTTGCCCTCTCCAGGACTGTTGTCTGTTTCTCCTCTTTTTCCTTCCTAGGATGGAGTGGGAGGGTGCCCTCTAGTGTTTAGATGTAGAATTTAAAATTCAAGAACCAGCCCGGCCCATTAACCTTTTTAGTCTCATTATTTATGGGAATACTGAAGAGTCAACCACCCCTACTAGAAGCTGTCAGCTCTTCCACACAAACAAAAGGCCTTGGGCCTCCTGCCTGCATATCTGGCAGTGAAGAGATTGGCCATGGGGGCAAAAGCTGTTGCTGGGCTTCAGTCCCTTTGTGGGCAAGAGACAGCTGGAAGACCTGAATCAGTCCTCACTGAGACCCCTCCAAAACAGTGGAAGAGGGGTGAGAGGAGACTGTTCCCTCAGGAAAAGCAGCAGGTGGCTGGGTGCGGTGGCTCATGCCTGTAATTCCAGCACTTTGGGATGCCAAGGCTAGCGGATCACTTGAGGTCTGGAGTTCAAGACCAGTCCAGCCAACATGGTGAAACCCCATCTGTAATAAAAATACAAAAATTAGCCAGGCACAGTGGCACACACCTGTAATCCCAGCTGCTTGGGAGGCTGAGGCAGAAGAATCCCCTGAACCTGGGAGGTGGAAGTTGCAGTGAGCTGAGATCGCACCACTGCACTCCAGCCTGGGCAACAGAGTGAGACTCCATCTCAAAAACAAAAACAAAAAACCAAAACAAAACAACAAAAAAAAACAAACAAACAAAAAATGCAGAAGGGCACCGGGTCAAATGATAGTCCTATGATGGAGCAATATAAACCACCACGACTCCTAGTGGCTCCTGGGTGCTGGCGCTGGGCTGGGCAGGGTATTCACTATTACATCTTGTTTAAGGTAATCTACACAATTTCCCCCTTTCTATTTCCTTCAGAAAGGTACTAACTGACTTACGTAAGCCATATGGCTAGTTGCTGGGAGAGCTGTTCTAGCCCAGTTCTCTCTCCATGCTTCCATGATGCCCCTGGAAAGCTTAACCTCAGCCATCAGACACTTAGCTCACACTCCAGGACAGCCGGATGGATACGCAGAGCCTGTGTTCTTATCTCTTCTTTCCCATCCCCAGCTGGGCAAAAGACAACCTGTGGCCAGGGTCTGGAAGGGCCCTGGGAGCGCCCACCCCCTCTGGATGAGTCCGAGAGAGATGGAGGCTCTGAGGACCAAGTGGAAGACCCAGCACTAAGTGGTAAGGCTTGGGAGTGTGAAATGGGGAGGAGGGGCTGGGATCTTGGTGGGTGGGGCCAGGCCCTGAGTCCCTCTCTGCTTGCCTTTCAGAGCCTGGGGAGGAACCTCAGCGCCCTTCCCCCTCTGAGCCTGGCACATAGGCACCCAGCCTGCATCTCCCAGGAGGAAGTGGAGGGGACATCGCTGTTCCCCAGAAACCCACTCTATCCTCACCCTGTTTTGTGCTCTTCCCCTCGCCTGCTAGGGCTGCGGCTTCTGACTTCTAGAAGACTAAGGCTGGTCTGTGTTTGCTTGTTTGCCCACCTTTGGCTGATACCCAGAGAACCTGGGCACTTGCTGCCTGATGCCCACCCCTGCCAGTCATTCCTCCATTCACCCAGCGGGAGGTGGGATGTGAGACAGCCCACATTGGAAAATCCAGAAAACCGGGAACAGGGATTTGCCCTTCACAATTCTACTCCCCAGATCCTCTCCCCTGGACACAGGAGACCCACAGGGCAGGACCCTAAGATCTGGGGAAAGGAGGTCCTGAGAACCTTGAGGTACCCTTAGATCCTTTTCTACCCACTTTCCTATGGAGGATTCCAAGTCACCACTTCTCTCACCGGCTTCTACCAGGGTCCAGGACTAAGGCGTTTTTCTCCATAGCCTCAACATTTTGGGAATCTTCCCTTAATCACCCTTGCTCCTCCTGGGTGCCTGGAAGATGGACTGGCAGAGACCTCTTTGTTGCGTTTTGTGCTTTGATGCCAGGAATGCCGCCTAGTTTATGTCCCCGGTGGGGCACACAGCGGGGGGCGCCAGGTTTTCCTTGTCCCCCAGCTGCTCTGCCCCTTTCCCCTTCTTCCCTGACTCCAGGCCTGAACCCCTCCCGTGCTGTAATAAATCTTTGTAAATAACTGCTGAGACTCCTCTTTCAGGGGAAGCAGGAGGAAAAGGGAGGTAATGGGGCGTCCTGATAGGGAAGGCCGGTGGTCAACCAAGGGTTAGGGTTTTGACCCTACTGTCCAATCCTCTAGTCTAGGAGTCTTTCTGGCAGACAGCAGGCTCGGGGCACTCAGAGGAAGAACTACAGAAGTTCTAGCTGCTGCTTGGGATGGCTGAAGGAGGCAGGTGGGGTGGGGAAGTCCTTCTCGAATAACTGGATTCCTCCAAAGATTTCCCCATCCCCACAGGACTCCCCTCGGGAAATTCCCCTTTTTCCCTCAGTGCCAGGCCTGTGTGGCCTAATAACGACGGCCCTGGTCTTCTTCCCACTCCCCTACCCTTAGGTAGGCCCTTAGACTCCGGCCTTTGAGTCCGCTTCTGCGCAGGGCCGGGGCTGGAGGCGGGGCGAAGGGGCGGGGCCGCAGGCGAACGCAAGTCCCGCTTCGCTCTCGGGGGCGGACTCAGCGGCGGAAGTGGCGCTGCCGGAAGATCTTCTTCCGCTCTGAGGCGCTACTGAGGCCGCGGAGCCGGACTGCGGTTGGGGCGGGAAGAGCCGGGGCCGTGGCTGACATGGAGCAGGTGGGTCCCGGAGCGGTCGCTGGGAGCGGGTGGCGTGCGAGGGCCGTCTTCCGCCGGTCGAACCCGCTTCGCCGCCCGCTGTCCGTGCTGGGTTCCGTCCGACCCTTCCCACACCCGCTGCGTCTCAGGTTCCGCCCCCTTCCTCTGTCTGGCCTCGCGCCGCCCCGCGCGGGTTGGGGTCTCCAGCAATGACTCTTGGCGACCCCGCCTATCCTGGGGAGCCCGGGGAGGACGTTCGGGATCTCCTTCCAAAGCCTCCGTCTTAACTGAGGGGAGAGGAGAGGGTGAGGTGTCTGGGTGTTATGAGCAGGGGCAGGTATGGGGAGGGGTCGGAATCTGGGGTGAGAGGAAAACATCTACGCATTCCGGTAGCTCTGCGTCTCAGTGTCATCCCGTGTCTCCCCAACTTCCTTTCGAAACGGCCGTGAATAACTTCCTAATTGGTATTAAAAGGGCCCTTTGAAGTCTTGAGTTCTTAGAGGTGCATAGTACCATTGACACTCATTTCTAATGACACGTTCCCTCACCCCGCATTTTTGGGTTAGTCAATGTCTCCTGGTTTTCTTCGTACCGCTCTGACAGTCGGTCAAAGTCCCGCTTCACGTTTTCCTCTGTCGCCCAACCCCTCGCTCTGTACACTGAATCTCAGTGGTCTTATTTTCCCCCACGGCTTCAGCTTTACACCAACTAAATACCCAGATCCACATCTTCAGCGCAGCCCTTCCCTGGAGCTCCACGCTTGCCCATCCAGCGGCCATTGGGACAGCTCTGCTTCACATGGAGCTCACTGGGTCCAAACTTGAACTGGTCTTTTCCTTGCAGATTAATTCTTCCTCTACCCCAACCCAGCCGGAAGTCTGGTAATTTCCTTACACTTTCTCCTCTCTTTCAAGTCCCACATCTTAAAAGTGACCTAGTACTGCCAACTTCCTGAACATCCTTCAAACCTGGGCCAGCTCCATCTCTTCTGTTACCACGCTGTTGATGTATTGTCAATTCCCAACAGTCCAGCCCTGGCAGCTTGCAACCCAGTCTCCAAACTGTAACTCTTGTGATCCTTTTAGAACACAAGTCTTACGGTGCCAGTTCCTTGCTGATAACCTTTTTCTGGCTTTCTATTGCCTATGTGCTGAACCCCTAGCACAATTTACACAGCTCTCTGTGATCTGACCTAGCAGTCTCCTGTGTGCACCCTAAGGTCCAATAATACGGCACTGCAGCATGCGCCATGCCTACCCTTGCTGTTCGTATCTTCATGACTTTGCACACACCAGCCCCCGCTGCTTGGAAACCTCCTCCTTCTCTTGTCTGCTGGGCTACCTTCTACATGTTTTTCAGCGCAGGCAGCGCTGCCTCCGCCTAACCCCCAAGGTTAATTGCCCTTCTGTGTCCTGTAGCACCCTGTCCATAATAGCATAGTAGCTGAGAATACAGACTCCTGGATCAGACTGCCTGGGTTCTGACCTGTTTGGTAACCTTGATGAAGTCAGTGCCTCAATTTCCTCACTTGTAAAATGGAGGTAGGAATGTCTCTACTTCATAGAGTTGTGAGGATTGAATGGAATATTGTATGTTTAGGTCTTAAACCAGTGCTAGGCACAAGAATGCTCAATAAATTAAAGTGAGTTGCCTGGGTGCAGTGGCTCATGCATTAATCCTAGTACTTTGGGAGGCAAGGCAGGATGATCGCTTGAGGCCAGGGGTTTGCAACTAGCTTGGGCAACATAGTGAGACCCCATCGCTACAAAAATTTAAAAAACTAGCTGAGCATGGTGGTACGTGTGGGAGGATCCTTTGAGCCCAGGAATTTGAAGTTACAACGAGATATGGTTGTGCCACTGCACTCTAGTGTGAGGGACAGAGTGAGATCCTGTTTCTAAAATAAATAAATAAAAAGTTATTACTATTATGTAAGGACAACATAGTTCACCAGTTATGATTTTTAATTTCATAAGTTGCCTGAGGATGGTTGAAGTGGCTTACTAGTCATTGGATAGAGCCTGGCTCTTTGCCAATAAATAAAATGCTGGAGTGGAGGACACTGGGGGCAGGGTCTGGATTTATTGAGTGAAGATTCAAGAGTGAAAAAGGCTCAGACCTGGTCTGCTCAGGAAAACCAGTCTGGAAGTGTGTGTGTGTTACATGGCAAGCATTAAATCTAGAGAAATGTATAGATCTGGGAACTAGAGGGAGAAAAAGACCAGGGGCGGCTTCTGAGGAGCTGACAGTTAATGGGGCCTATAAAGCGATGGGAGGATTTTATCAGAGGGAGGCAGAGGCTGGAGTGGGCTCAGAGATCAGAAAGCTGGGTCCTCTGAACAGAGCTCCAGTAGATGGTGGCTGGGTGGGGGAACAGGGGAGACGGAGCTGAGGAAGACAGAGGCAGCGTCCTTTGCTGACGCTGGCAATTCCTTTCCTGTATTGGCCATGAGGAAGCATCCCTTGACTTGGGAGCCAGCAGGGACCATGCCTGGGGGCAACTATGCTCCGGAGGCCTAGTACCTGGTGTTTGGGACCAGGCCCCCTGGGTAGGGCCATTGTGCATGCCTTTGGGCTGGGCCTTCTTTGGAGCTCTTTTGCCTCCCTGTAATGCCCACCCTCCTTGCCTCCAGCTGATAGATGCTGACTCTTCAAGGCCAGGGTCAGATGGCCCCTCCTCCCTGTGGCTTTTCTGACTTCACTCATTCCAGCCTGGGTCAGATGATCCCTTCTCTGGGAGCCCACGGTCCTTTGTTCATTCCTCCCTGAAAGCGCTGATCACAGCATGGTATTATTTATCTGCCAGTCTTCCTCACCAGACCCAGAGTCCCTGATGGACCAGAACAGGGTCCTGTGGCCCCAGGACTTGCACTGTGTCCAGCATACTGTAGGCCCTTGGAACCCGCATGTTGCATTAAGTTGAGCTCTCACACAGCTAGACTTGTTAAGGGAGAGCGGTGCGGGGGAGATAAAAAATCCGGCACATCTGGCAGCTTGTGCCTGTTCCACTGAATGCGAGAGCCTGTTGGCTCCACTTTACAGATGAGGAAGCTGAGGTTCAGGGGAGGTAAGGTCAAGATCACTCAGCAGGGATTTAAAGAGCTGTCTCCTGACTCCAGGTCTGCATGTCTCCCAGAAACTGCCTTGGGGTCCCAGCCTCCAAGGGGGCAGGTGCCACATCAGTGGGACAAAAGAAAAGTGTCCCTTTTTCTGGCTGAGGAGAGGCTAATCCTGGCTTTGTCCAGGCAGGGTTGGTGCCTGGAGGATCCTGTGCTGAAACCGGCTCCCTTCCATCCCCCCAACCCCCCCACCCCTTGTCCCTTGCCCTATGGGGGCCTTTTCTTGAGAGGGCTGAGATCTCTCCTGGAAGATGACTAGCCGTTTCCAGACTAACCTTGGGAACTTGACCTCACTGGTTTACATAGCAGCACGAAGAGGGCAGGTGGGGCCTGATTCACTGGCCCTGAGTGGGTCAGGGGTCATGGAATCACAGAACTGGGGGCATCCCTGATGATTCACAGGGCCTGGCACAAGGGGGAAGGGAGGGCAAGTAGATCTCAGTGTGTTAGGGTCTTCCTGTACACTGCACCCGCAGAGCCTCCCCGGCTGGGGGGAGAAGTGTGTGGTGGTGAGTCTTGTTTCTATTTGGCTTAACTCTTCCCCTTCCGCTTCCTCAGAAGGAAAGGAGAAACAGAGCCAGGCTTTGGCTTTGGGTCTTATTTGTCACTGTAGCTGTGTCCTCCTCTCCCTACACTCCCACTTCTCCAGGGGATTTCCCAAACCCTCTGTGGAGGGCTATAGTAGGGCCAGTCAGCCAACCATCCCGAGGCTGATGGCATGGGCCAGTAACCCTGAATGTGCCATCCTAGCCAGGCGCAGTGGTGCACACCTGTAGGCTCAACTACTTGGGAACCTACTCCCAAGTTTTTGACTCCAGGATTGATGTCCAACCCCAAACCCACACCCTTTCTCCTGTTCCAGGGTGGACATTACGGATCCACAGACTAGCTAACTTACTAGACATGTACCGTGGCCAGGCACTGTGGCTGTGACTTGGACCTCAAGGGCTTAGGACAGATGGCCTTGAAACATCTAGCTGTGATAAGGGAAATGCTGACCCAGAGTTACTTGGGAGGCTGAGGCAGGATTGCTTGAGCCCAGGAGTTTGAGACCACAGTGTCCTATGATCGCGCCTGTGAACAGCCACTGCACTCCAGTCTGGCAACATAGTGAGACCTGTCTCTTAAAAAAAAAAAAAGTGTCATTCTGGGTCAGCCCCCTGAAGCCAGGGTCTACCCTTCCATTCTGCAGTACTGCTGGGACTCTCAGTTTGGGCAAAGTGCTATGCTGGACCTGCCTGGCCAGGGTCCTGCCTCTAACACTGTCCCCATGGGTAATAGTAGTAATAGCTGCTATTAATTAAGCACAGACACTGTGCATGTGTTGTTTCTAATCCCTTCAAGCTCTGTGAAGTAGGTACTATATTCTCCCCATTTTACAGAAAAGGAGACTGAAGTTCAGAGAAACCCAGTGATTTGGTCAAGGGCACACAATCTAATAAGGAATGGCCTTAGGTTTTTGCCTCCAGGACTGGTGTCCAACCCCAAACCCACACCCTTTTCCCTGTTCCAGGGTGGACATTATGGATCCACAGGCTAACTTACTAGACATGTATCATGGCCAGGCACTGTGACTGTGACTTGGACCTCAAGGGCTTGGGACAGATGGCCTCGAGACATCTAGCTGTGATAAGGGAAGTGCTGACCCAGAGTTCTGAAAGGTCAGGGGAGTCTGGAGGGTGAGGAGAAGCTCTGCCCCGGAGGTGACATTTGAACTAGTCTCTGAAGCGCCAGAGTTCTCCCCAAAGGAAGGAGGTCATTCAAGAATGAGGAAACAGGGCGCCCAGGCGATGGGCTGTGGTGTGTCCTGGGAGCAGCCAATGATCAGCAGAGTAGAGGCAGCGAGTGTTGACCCCCATAGCAAAAAATGAGTGCTGGGGTCTGGAGTCCTCCCTCCTCCTTAACCCTCCTCTGTTATCAAAGACTCAAGGTTAACTCACCTTACGTCTTCTCCCTACAAGTCAGGCTCAGGGAGGGGAGCAGATACCCTGCTTGAGGACCCCCAGGAAACCAGTTCCTCTTTCCTTCTTGTGGAGGGAGTGCCTGGGCTCTGGGCAGGGAAGACCCCCACAGAGGGTGGAGTCCAGCTCCAGGAGAGGCAGCCTGGGCAGGGAGGGGCTGCTCTCCCGGCTGGGCGTGAGTGTCCATGTGCACTTGTGCATGTGCTGCTGTAGGGAAGGGTGTAAATGGCCGTTCAGTGCATTTCCTGGAAACCCACTCTGAGCCTGGTACAGTTCTGGCACTGGGCATGCAGCAGGGAGCAAAGCACAGGAAGTCCTTACTTTCATGGAGTTCGCATGCCAGTGGGAGACGATGGGCAGTAAACACAGACCAGTGAATGTATCATATGTCAGGGGTGACAAGTGCTGTGAAGAAAAATACAGCAGGGTAAGGGATGGAGGGTGGGGGCTAAATAGAGGTTCAGGAATGGTCTCTACAAAGGGACATTTGCATAGGGACCTCATTGGAATGAGAGAGCAAGTCATGCAAAGACCTGGGGAGGAGCTCCCGACAGAGCAGCAGGTGCAAGGGCCCTGGGGTAGGAGCATGCTTGATGTGTCCGTGGACAGCGAGGGACCAGTGTGGCTGGAGTAGAGGGCTCAAGGGGAAGAGGAAAGGGGAAGAGGAGGACTTGTAGGCTAGGGTGGGGACTTACGCCTTTATTCTGGGGAAGCCATTGGAGGTTGGGGCACTGGGGAGATGTGATCTGGCTTTTAACAGGATCCCTGTGGCTGCTGTGTTGAGAACAGGCTGAAGGGGTGAAGACAAGAAAGAGTGGCAGGTAGAGGTGATAGCCTGGACAGGGTGACATAGTGGTAGGTGAGCAGTGGGCAGATACTGGCCAGATTTTGCAGGAAGAGACAACAGGATTTGCTCATGGTTTGGATGTGGAAGGGAGGTGTGACCAGATGAATGCTAAGCCCAAAGAGGGCCTCTTGACACACTGTCCCCCAGCTAGCAAGGACTCTTGCAGGCAGCAGCATTTGTACTTAGAAGGTCCCAGCCTGTCATGGGGGAAGGTCATGTTCCTCTGGGGTCGGCTCCGCTCTGCCTCTTCCTGGCTAGGGGACTGTGGGCAGCTCTCCTTCCCATGAGTCATCACTACAGCTTCTGGGAAGGGGTGTGATGCATTAAGGAGATGGTGTCTGCATGGTGCCACCGCAGGCCATGGCCAGCTGGATCTGTGTCTTCTGCACCAGCCCATCTGGATGCAGTGCAACCTGTCTGGTCTGCTATCCTGCGTTCCCCTAACTGGCACCCTCCTGGGCCAGCCAGCAGCAGGACATAGACCAAGGCCAACCTCCTCCACACCCAGGGCCTCTGCCTTCTACCCTCTGTGGAGTCTCCATTAACTTGGCATTGACAGGGCTGCTTGACTCAAAACAACCCCAGCCCTGCCCTGAAGCCATCTCGCCAGTCAGTCAGAGCTCAAGACTCTCTCTTTCTCTGGAGAAGAGCAGGAAAGTAATCCCAGCTAACCCTCATGCAGCCACCACTCTGTGTCAGAATCTCTTCTAGGCCATTGCATTGAATAAGTCATTTAATCCATATAAACCTGCAAGGAGTAGGTGATATTGTTAACCCCATTTTATAGGCGAGGAAACTGAGGCATGGTGAGGTTAAGTGACCAGCAAGGTGGAAATCTGAGGTTTGACCCATCTCCTGGTGTGGAGTCCAGTTCTCTCAGCTTCACTGATCCTTCCTGATTTGTGCTGAGTTAGGGACCCCTTGGGAAGCCCCCATGGGCAGGGGGTGCTGGTGCTAGCATTTCCTGTGGATTATGGGAGGGGGATGTGTGGAGGACCTGTGTCTACTGTTCCTCTAGCCTCTGGGGGATTTGGAGAACCCACTCTGCCCAGAGATGTAAGTCATCTTTGGATATAGATGAGACTTGTTCCCCCTCCCCCTGAATCCCAGGGCACAGCTCTATGGAATAAGCTCTAGCTGGAACTTGTAAAGTTTGGCCCAGCCCTCCCTGGGAGGCTAGGAGGTGGGGAAGAGCCAGGAGACTCGAAGTGGTGGTGGTAGTTAATGTCTATGTGGTTAGACGTTAACCAGTTACTCTGTGGTGCCAGGCACTGTCCTAGGCACGCTATAGTTATCATTGTCTCCTTTGGTGCCCCCAGACAGCCCAGGGTCAAGACAGGTAGCCTCAGTTTACAGATGCAGCAGTGGAGGCTTGCACAATGAGTAGGTGGCTTTGTTCAAATCACAGACCTAGGCCAGGTATAAAAGCCTAAGTGTGGTGTAATTCCAGCACTTTGGGAGGCCAAGGCGGGGAGATTGCTTGAGTCCAGGAGTTTGACACCAGCCTGGGCAACATAGTGAGACCCTGTCTCTACAAAAAAAAAAAAAAAAGAAGAAGAAAAGAAAAGAAAAATTAGCCTGGCATGGTGGCATCTGCCTGTAGTCCCAGCTACTCAGGAGGCTGAGGCAGGAAGATCACTTGAGCCAGGGAATGTTTGAGGCTGCAATGAGCTGTAATCACACCACTGCACTCCAGCATGGGCGACAGAGTCTCAAAAAAAAAAAAAAAAATCGCAGACTTGCCTTGGCTAGGAAACGCCTACTGAGAGCTGCCGTCGGTCAGCTGGGCTTTGGAGCCGCCTCCCTGAAGAAAGGTGTCTGGAGCTTCTGGCCTGGGGTATGACGAAGGGCTAGCAAGGAACCCTGTCTGTGGCTCTGCAGCCTGAGATTTGTGGAAATTGAAAATTGGAGGTGGGTGAGTGGGAGGCGGCTTAGCCATCCTGCTGTCCTCCTCTTCTGTCTGCGGGAAGGGGCAGCCGATGCTGTTCCCTGGGTGGGAGCTTGCAATTGCAGAGGGGCCGGTCTCAAGAGGAAGGAGTAGAGATCAGCCCCTGCACTCCCCTAAGAGCCTCTGCCAGGAGCCAGGACAGTCCTCTACTTCCTGCCCCTCCCCCAACCTGGAATTCACCTCTGCCTGCAGCTGGATAACCTGGCCTTTCTATAGATGAAGGAACCAGGCTAGAGGGTTAGGGAGCTTGCTCTGAGCCACACAGCAGGTGAATTGTAGAGTTCAGATTTGAACCCACGCCTTTTGGGGTGATTTTTATTACATGTCACTATAGTGTATTTAACCTCCCTCGCTCACAATTTCCCTCTTACTTGAAAGGTTTTTGTTTTGTTTTGTTTTTTTGAGACAGAGTCTCACTGTGTCACCCGGGCGGGGGTGCAATGGTGTGATCTCGGCTCACTGCAACCTCCGCTTCCCGGGTTCAAATGATTCTCCTGCCTCATACTCCCAAGTAGCTGCGATTACAGGCACACGCCACCATGCCTGGCTAATTTTTTTGTATGTTTAGTAGAGACGAGGTTTCAGCATGTTGGCCAGGCTGGCCTCAAACTCCTGACCTCAAGGGATCCTCCCACCTCAGCCTCCCAAAGGGCTGAGCCACTGCTCCTAGCCCCATCTTACCCGAAAAGTCTTGCCAGCTACTTAATCTATCTCAACCACCACTGACCAAGCGGTTACCATACTCCCTCCTGACACCTACCTCAACACCCATCCCTGTGACATAGGGATTCTTGCCTTTTTTTTTTTTTTTTTTTTTTTTTTTTGAGATGGAGTCTCACTCTGTCACCCAGACTGGAATGCAGTGGCGGGATCTTGGCTCACTGCAACCTTCGCCCCTCAGGTTCAATCAATCCTCCCACCTCAGCCTCCCAAGTAGTTGGGACTACAGGTGCACACCACCACACCCGGCTATTTTTTGTAATTTTAGTAGAGACAGGGTTTTGCCATGTTGGCCAGGCTGGTCTCAAACTCCTGACCTCAGGTGATCACCTGCCTCAGCCTCCCAAAGTGCTGAGATTATAGGTGTGAGCCACCGTGTCTGGCTTCTTGCCTTTTCTTGTCATGGTAAAATATACATAACATAAAACTTACCATTTTAACCTTTTGTTTGTTGTTTTTTGTTTTGAGACAGGGTTTCTCTCTGTCACCCAGGCTTGAGTGCAGTGGCACAGTCTCAGCCCACTGCAACCTCCACCTCCCCGGCTCAAGTGATCCTTCCTCCTCAGGCTCCTGAGTAGCTGGGACTGCAGGTGTGTGTTACCACGCCTGGCAAATTTTTGTATTTTTTGTAGAGACGGGGCTTTGTTGTGTTGCCCAGACTGTTCTTGAACTCCTGAGCTCAAGCAGTCCTTCCTCCTTGGCCTCCCAAAGTGCTGGGATTACAGGCCTGAGCTACCACACCCAGCCTATTGTTGCCTGTTTTAATGCAGCTGAGGAAACTGAGTCTCAGAAGGGTTATGCTTTGCCCCAGAGCACACAGCTAGGAAGGGGACAGTCTGAGATTTGAACCATGACCTTAGAGTCCATTCCTTTTTCCATGATACCAGCCACCTCCTGTTTGTCCTGAGTCCAGGACACCACCCAAAACCCTATTACAAGTGGGGCTGGTACTATTGTATCCTAGGGTGAGGAAGAGAAGGCCTGGAAAGCGGTGTGGGGGCGTGTGCCCACCCCTTCCCTTTGCCTCATGAATAATCCGCTGTTCCCTGGCACCTGACTTCCCCCCTCCCCACCCGCTTCCCCCTCTAACCCAGGATGGTAAAACCTCCACTTTTGCCCGGCGTGGTGGCTCACGCCTATAATCCCAGCACTTTGGGAGGCCGAGGTGGGCGGATCACAAGGTCAAGAGATCGAGACCATCCTGGCCAACATGGTGAAACCCCATCTCTACTAAAAATACATAAATAGGCAGGCGTGGTGGCGGGCACCTGTAGTCCCCTCTACTTGGGAGGCTGAGGCAGGAGAATCGCTTGCACCTGGGAGGCGGAGGTTGCAGTGAGCCGAGATCGTGCCACTGCACTCCAGCCTGGTGACAGAGCGAGACTCTGTCTCAAAAAAGTTAAAAAAAAAAAAACCCTCCACTTTCCCCCCTACCTCCCACTCTCACTCCCTCCCCAAGCAGTTCAGCTTCTGCAGACACTCGACTGTCAAGTCTGCAGCCATCCCAGGCAGACTCTTTCACACCACACGTGCTGTTCCCCTCCTGACACTTCTGAAGGTGCTTGGGAGAGGCCAGTCACAGCAACCAGTGGGCTCTTTTGGCAGTGGGTGGGGTGCTGCTCCCAGGGGGCTGGGCTGTCTCTGAATTGTCCATTCCTGCCTCCCCCTCATCAGGAGGGTGGGTGTGGTGGGTGGAGGCCTGCGCTAGCTGTGATGCCTCCAGGGCTAGGCAGCCTACAGTCAGCCAGAGAATGAGCACTTTGGGGACTGCACAGGGCAGTTCCACGCCACGGTGGGTTTTCATCACTTAGACTGGCAGGTGGTCTGATGGAGCTCAAAGGCCTTTCAAAGTCATCTGAGTGAGCCCCATTTTCAAACCCTAGCCAACGAGGCCTCACTCAGGGTGATGCTGGAGTTTGAGGAAAGGCTGACAGGTGGGATTCAGTAGCTGCTTTTACCCATAGCAGTCTGGTTTTTATCTGTTTTATATATTGAGGTTCCAAGTAAGGTATTACTCTTTTAAATGTTTCTCTTGCTTTGCAAAGGAGGTGGTTTGTAGCTGGGTGTGGTGGCTCATGCCTGTAATCCCAGTACTTTGGGAGGCTGAAGTGGGAGGATCGCTTAAGCCCAGGAGTTCAAGACCAGCCTGGGCAACATAGACCTTGTCTCTACAAAAAATTTAAAAATTAGCTGAGCATGGCCGGCCGCGGTGGCTCACACCTGTAATCCCAGCACTTTGGGAGGCTGAGGCGGGCGGATCACGAGATCAGGAGATTGAGACCATCCTAGCTAATACGGTGAAACCCCATCTCCACTAAAAATACAAAAAATTAGCCAGGCGTGGTGGTGGGCGCCTGTAGTCCCAGCTACTCGGGAGGCTGAGGCAGGAGAGAATCGCTTGAACCCAGGAGGCGGAGCTTGCAGTGAGCCTAGATCGCGCCACTGCACTCCAGCCTGGGCGACAGAGTGAGACTCCGTCTCAAAAAATTAATAAAAAATAAAAAAATAAAAATTAGCTGAGCATAATGGCATGTGCCTGTGGTCCCAGTTACTCGGGAGGCTGAGGCAGGAGGATCACTTGAGCCCAGGAGGTCAAAGCTACAGTGAGCCATGTTCACGCCTCTGGACTCCAGCCTGGATGACAGAGTGAGATCCTCTCTTTAAAAAAAGGCAGAGGGAGATGATTGAAAAAAACCACTGACTTTCCCCCAGATAAACAGAGGCTTGGTGAGAAGGACTTGCCCAGAGTTAGGCGGAATTACTGGTTGCCCGGAGACTGGGGTACAGGTTCCTTAACTCTGGGCCAGTGCTCTGCCTACTGTACAGGCTGTCATTTGGACTTTGAGCTGCTTTCGGTGGGAGGGTGATATCAAACCCCCTTTCTTTGACTCTTGGCCAACTGTCCCCGCCCCTGCCTTCGAGCCCCCATGCTTGGCTCCCACACTCCCTGGCATATTTCAACTCTCCCGGGCTCCCGCAACACCTCTGCTCTAGCCCCATCTGCGTCTCTCGCTTCGACAGGGACGTCTGGGCATGTGAGTGTCAGTGTGGTTGCCACTCCAAGTGCGTCTCACACCCAAGCTGCTGCCATCCAAGTCCTGTCCCCAAGGAGAGAGAAAGTCAGAGGGAAAGACAGACAGACACAGAAGTAGACTGGAGTAGGCGAGCGACAGCACCTGGAAGTGAGGCAAGGACCAAGGAGGGAGGGAGGGAGGAGAGAGGCAGATAGAGAAGAGAGAGAGAAATGTGGAGAAAGTGGGAGAGACTGATGGGAGTGGAGAGAAAGACTCATAAATGGGAGATAGATTGAGAGGAAGACCCAGATGGGGAAAAATAAAGACAGACATGGATGACGATATGTTCTGTGGGCTGTGGGGAAACAGGCATTCTTGTACATTGCTAGTGGGAGTGCAAACTGCAAAGGGAACTTGGCAATACCTCACAAAACCACATATGCAATTTGACCCAGCAATACCACTTCTAGGAATCTGTCTTGAAGATGTATTTCCAACAACGGGAATATATATATGCGCTCAAGGTTATTCACTGCAGCATTTCTGGAATTACAAATCTAAGTGCTCATTCATGGGAGACTGAATAAACTATGGTTTGTCTATAAAATGGAGTACCAAGCATCTCTATCAAAGAACGAGAAAGACAATGTAAAACTGACATGGAGTGCTCACCAGGATATACTATTTAGTGAAAAAATAACAAGCAAGAGCCCATCTGTAGTAAGCTACTGTCCATGTAAGAAAGAAAGGATATAAGAAATATAAGGCTGAGCGTGGTAGCTCACGCCTGTAATCCCAGCACTTTGGGAGGCCAAGGCAGGCAGATCACCTGAGGTTGGGAATTCAAGACCAGCCTGGCCAATATGGTGAAACCTCATCTCTACTAAAAATACAAAGTTAGCTGGACATGGTGGCACGTGCCTGTAATCCAGGCTACTTGGGAGGCTGAGGCAGGAGAATCGCTTGAACCTGGGAGGTGGAGGTTGCAGTGAGCTGGGATCGCGCCACTGCACTCCAGCCTGGGCCACAGAGTGAGACTCCGTCTCAAAAAAAAAAAAAAAAAAAAGATATACAAAGAAAGCATATTCCTTTATACAAAAGAAATATAAAAAGGATAAAGCAGACACTAAAGCTGTAAGTTACTGCTCACACGTGTAATCCCAGCACTTTGGGAGACCAAGAAGGGAGGATTGCTTGAGCCCAGGACTTCAAGAACACCCCATCTCTTAAAAAAAAAGATAGGTTACTGTTAGGGGTTGAATCGTGTCCCCCGCAAAAAGGATACGTTGAAGTCCTAACCACCTTTACCTCAGAATGTGATCTTATTTGGAACTGGGGTCATTGCAGATGTGATCAGTCAAGGTGAGGTCATCTTGGAGGAGGGTGGGCCCATTATGACTGGTGTCCGTATCAGGAGATGGCAGTGTGAAGACGGACACATGGGAAGAGCACCATGTGACAGCGAAGACCGGTCGGCGTTTGTGGCTACAAGCTGAGTCACGCCAGATTGCTCGCACACCGTCAGGAGCCAGGAAGAGGCAAGGAAGGGGTCAGAGGGAGCACGGCCCTCCCAATACCTTTCTCAGACTTCCAGCCTCCTGAACTGTGAGATGATAAATGTCCATGATTTCAAACAAACAAACCCAAAATGGCAGACATGGGAGAGGGAGAGGGAGACAGCTAAAAAGATAATTACAAAGGAAATAGGCCAGGTGCAGTGACTCACGCCTGTAATCCCAACACTGGGGGAAGCCAAAACAGGAGGATCCTTGAGCCAGGGAGTTTGAGACCAGCTTGGGTAACATAGTGAGACCCTCGTCTCTAAAAAAAATAAAATAAAATGAATTAGCCTGGTGTGGTGGCGGGCGCCTGTGGTCTCAGCTACTTGGGAGGCTGAGGCAGGAGGATCGCTTGAGCTTAGAAGTTGAAGGCTGCAGTGAGCCATGATCGTGCCACTGCACTCCAGCCTGGTTGACAGAGCAAGACCCTGCCTCTAAAAAAACAAACAAAACCCCACACAGATGGAAAGTTACTTTGTGAAACAGATACAAAAGATGAGGAGAGATGGAGAGAGTGAGGAAGGGAGACAGGTCTGGCTGCAAACAAAAGGGCTGTCAGAGGCAGGGAAATGTCACCTGCCCTGGAGCTGCGGCCTGTCACCATGAGGGATGCACTGAGCATGCAGTCTGGCACAGATCTGGCTGATAGATGTTGGGGATCCCATTGCCAGCGGCCTGTCACATCCCCTCCCCATCGCCTGTTTCCAGAGCTGAGCCCAGCTTTTCCGTAGCACTGTGGAGATGAACCTGTCATGGGGCTCAGAGTGTGGTGTTGGGAGTAGCCTTGGCCTGGTGCCTCTGCCTCACCTGCCCTCCGACTCTGCTGCAAACAGTCAGTTCCTGTTTGTGGGGGCTTGCACAGGGGCAGAGGGATGGACGAGCTGGCTTGCTCAGAACCTCCTGCCAGCCACAAACTGAGCTGCGCTTGTTTTGGACGTGGTAGACTGAGGGGCCCAGGAAGGTAGTCCACATAGTGAAAGTGTGGCAGGACACCTCAGGAGGGGAGAGTGGTTAGATCTTGCCTCCCAAGATCAGGGACAAACATCTAGAGCTTCCCTTCCTCTAGACCCCAAACTACTCCCTGGTGCTGGGATGTGGGGAGACTCAGGGAGCCTCTTGGTCAAGTCCCAGAAGCTCAGGCCCCCACCAAGCTGGTGAGTTTTTGCCTCCCCGCTTCAGCTCCTCTGACTTTCTTTTTTTTTTGAGACGGAGTCTCGCTCTGTCACCCAGGCTGGAGTGCAGTGGTGTGATCTCGGCTCACTGCAAGCTTCACCTCCTGGGTTCACGCCATTCTTCTGCCTCAGCCTCTCGAATAGCTGGGACTACAGGCACCGGTCACCACGCCTGGCTAATTTTTTATTTTGTATTTTTAGTAGAGACGGGTTTCACTGTGTTAGCCAGAATGGTCTCGATCTCCTGACCTTGTGATCCACCCACCTCCCGCCTCCCAGAGTGCTGGGATTACAGGTGTGAGCCACCGCGCCCGGCTTCCTCTCTGACTTTCAGTGGGACCTTTCCTTCTCACCCAAGGGACGGGGCCTCTTAGAGCCCAGCACATGGGTGGGGCAGAGACTGTAGGCCTGGGGGCTACATGGCAGGGAGGGAGTGCCAGAGTTCCTTTTGTCTTTAGGGTTCCTGAGAGCCCGATGCTGGCACAGGATGGTAAGGGATTGGGTAAATCCATTCACCTCTCTGGGCCTTGGTTGTCGTATCTGTAAAAGAAGAGGAACCGTCCCTGCCCTGAGTGGACGTGAACGTGGGTGTGGATCTGTGGGCATGGGGTGGGGGGCGGTAGAGCACTGGGCTGGCCTCCAGAGTGGCTGCTTCCTACTCTCTTTAGGGTTTGCCCTGTTCCTGTCTGTTATGTAGCATGGAGCTGAGGGCCAGGAGACCTACTGAGCATTCATTTATTCAACAATCAATTACAAAGCACCTATTGCATGCCAGGCATTGTGCTGGGCACCAGGGAGACAGCAGTGACCATGTCAGATAAAGCCCGTGAGGCCATGGAGTTTACAGTCTAGTGAGAGAAGGGTAAACAGTGAAATAAAACAATAAAGATCGTTTCAGATAGTGACCCACTTCACTGAAGAAAGGAAGGCAGCTTACTATCATGTTATGCTGTGATTTGGAGCAGGAGGGTGGGAGGCTTTCTGAGGAGAGGACTTTTGAGCTGCCTGTTGAAGGGTCTGTGGGAGAACATTCCAGGCATGGGGAGAGCCAGATCGAAGGTCCCAAGGCAGGACAGGGCAGCTGTATTGAGGGATGTAAAAAAGGCCAGAGTGGCGGTGGCAGCAAGACAGAGAGAAGGGCTGGGCAGAGGCCACCTGCAGGCCTGGACTGAGAGGGCCTGGTGAGGAGACTGTTAGCCTGAGAAGGGTGGGAAACCGTGGGAGGGCATTGCAACGCATTCTCTAGGCCGGCTATGTGAAGAGCAGGAGGGTGAGAGAGGCAGCCTGGAGGCCCACCCGTGAGAAGCAGATTGCCATGGTCCAGGCAGAGATGGTGGTGGTTGGACCTAGGCAGGGCAAGGGGTGGTGGAGCTGAGAGGGACCAAGATGCCTGCTCTCCATAGCTCCAAGCACACAGACACTGCTCTAGGAAGGCCCTCCCAGTTGCCATGGATTAGGGGGTGGGAGGGGAAGACTGGCTGCTGGGAGGGAATGTGGCTTTGTGCTTGGAAAACAAAGAACAGAGCTTGGGGCCCTCTTCTCCTGGGGGTGGTGGCAGGCCCAGAGGCTGTTGACAGGACCAGAGGCTGGAGCTCAGGGCTAGGCCTGGTAGGAGCAGGCTACAGCCCCAGGGATCCAGGAGGGGGTAGGTGCCCATGCAGAGGGACCCCAGAGCCCTCCAGGGGTGAACCCTGTGGCTGCTGGGCTTGGGGCAGGGAGCACCAGGAAGGAGGACAGATAATTAGCGGAATGCTCAACCCTGCAGCCTGGGAGCCAGGCTGGTGGAGGACATTTGGGCAACAGTGCCCTGGGCCCTGGGCTTGGGACCCAGTGTAGAGACAAATGCGTTTGGGAGCCAGTGGTGGCCCTGGTGGCTGTGTGGGAGGGACAGGAGGAGTTTGACAGGACTCTGCCTCTGCCTCGCCCCCAGCCCTGCTGCTGAGGCCGCGCCCTCCCCGCCCTGAGGTGGGGGCCCACCAGGATGAGCAAGCTGCCCAGGGAGCTGACCCGAGACTTGGAGCGCAGCCTGCCTGCCGTGGCCTCCCTGGGCTCCTCACTGTCCCACAGCCAGAGCCTCTCCTCGCACCTCCTTCCGCCGCCTGAGAAGCGAAGGGCCATCTCTGATGTCCGCCGCACCTTCTGTCTCTTCGTCACCTTCGACCTGCTCTTCATCTCCCTGCTCTGGATCATCGAACTGAATGTGAGTGGGGGCGAGGTGGGGGCACAGGCCATGTTGCAGGCCACCCGGGCCTCAGTTTGTCCATCTGCCACATGGGAGGGCTGCCTCTCCCCTGGGGTTGGTTAGCTGGGTAAAATGAAGACTGGGAGGAACAACAGGGGTTCTCATATTCTGAATGAAGGAATGTGGAGGGGTTCGGAGGGGTTGTGTCATTTGGCCAAGGTCCCTCTGCACCCAAGTGTGTGAAGGCAACGGCCTTGAACCTACCCTCCAGCTGAGTTCATGCTCTTGGCCTCTGCCCCATACTGCCCCCTAGTGGAGGCTCCCGAGAGAGGAGGAGGGGGAGACCCAGCTCTGGCAGAGCTGTTGAAACCTTTGTCTTCTTTCTGCCTGCCACTGCCCTCTGGCTCCAGTTGGTTCATTCATTCGTTTGTTCGATCATTCATTCATTCATTCATTCATTCATTCAGCAAACATTTTTTGAGTCTCTGCTGTGTCCCAACCACTGTGCTAAAACCAGACGCTAGCCAGGTGTGGTGGTGCACACCTGTTGTCCCAGCCGTTTGGGAGTCTGAGGTGGGAGGATTGCTTGAGTCTAGAAGTCTGAGGCTGCAGTGACCCATGATTGCACCACTGCATTCCAGCCTGAGTGACAGAGTGAGACCCTGACTCAAATAAATAAGTAAATAAAAGCAGAGGGCACAGTGGGAAGCAAAACAGGAAAAACTCCCAGTTCCCAGTGGCTCTAATGAGATGCTGCCGGGCAGCCTGGAGACCAGAGCTGCCCCACCCCCACCCCACGCAGTGCTTGGCCCACCCTCAGGAACACAGTCTAGTTGGCAGTGGCCTGATCTGGTCTCCAGGCAGGGCCAAGCCCACATAAGCAGGAGCCCTGGAAGCAGGGCACCCCAGGCTCAGTTCTGTCCCAGCTCCTCCTCGGCTTTGGCCCGATGACCTCAGCAAGGGACTCAGCCCCTTGAGTCCTCCCCTCGTTTTCCTTCTGCAGCATGGGCTCCCCATCAGACTTCCGGATGGCAAGGGCCCTTCCTCCAGGTCTCATGCTTATGTGACAAGAAAACAATGTCTTGTTAATAGAGGTGATGAGCTCAGAGAAGGGGCCAGCTCCGGGCAAAGAGATTAAGTTTGATTCTGGGCATGTTGAGCTGGAGGGAGAGACAGGGCTCTGAGGGTGACTGTCGATTGTGCACCAGAGATGAGCTGGCACCTTCAGTGAGCTGGAGCCATGGCCATGGATGGCCCTAGGGGCCATCTTACCCATGAAAAAGCTGTGGCCCAGCAGGCTCAGGACCTTCTGCAGAGCTTCTAAGGTCTTAGGCAGACTTCCTTTTCAAGGTCCCATCCAACATCAAAGCAAACACTAAAACTTACCTGCATCCTTCATTGAATACTTGTTTCCTTACCCAAAAAGAGCTGAAAAGATTTTGATAATTTTACTTTCGTTTTGTTTTGTTTTGAGACAGGGTCTTGCTCTATTGGCCAGGCTAGAGTGCAGTGATGTGATCATAGCTCACTGTAGCCTCCAACTCCTAGATTCAAGGGTTCCTCCCACCTCAGCCTCCCCAGTAGCTGGGACCACAGGTGCATGACCACATTTGGCTATTTTTTTTTTTTTTGGTAGAGATGGAGTCTCACTATGTTGCCCAGGCTGGTCTCAAACTCCTGGGCTCAAGTGATCCTCCCATCTCGGCCTCTCACAGTGCTGGGATTAGAGGCATGAGCCACTGTGCCTGGCCTCTGTAATTGTGCTTTTGAAGTTATTTGGCTGTGTTGGCTGCGATTGCTCTGCAGTCCTCATGCGTACCTGGGAATTCTTGCAAAGTGAGAAGATCTAACTTACTAATTGTTTTCAGATGTCATGAAACATTTCAGAATCCTGCACTGAACAATTAGTAGAGTCCACATGATGTTTCCCTTGGCAGACATTTAATTAAAATTGTATTGATTTTCAGTCTTGTAGTTTTACTTTTGTATTTGGGAGCATATATTTTTAGTTCGCTGACAGACTGTGTCTGTGTTGCCCAGTGGTTACAAGGACTCAGTAGGGTCGTGCTGAGCAGGGGGTTTGGAGCCAGAGAGTGGCAAAGCAGGGGCTGAGACTTGGCTCTCCCGAGTCCTGATCGGTCAGCACCGGTGGGTGCCCAGGCTGGAAAGAGGAAGGAGGACAGAGCTCTGAGGCCTAGTGACTGAGGGTGGAAGGGGCTGCAGAGCCCAGGGCAGAGTCTGAGGAGCAAGAGGAGTGCTGGGTGGTGTGGGTTGGGTGGGATGGGGTGGGTGGGTGGCAGGCCTGGGGGCCTCACCGGCAGCCAGAGGAGAGGTGGCATCAGATTTCATGGAGCTGGGGTGGGCTTGAGGAAGAGGCACATGGTGGGGCTGTGTGCTCAGTGGGGGAGCATCTGTATCTTTAACAAGCCCCCCCAGATTTGGCTGCCCTGCTGGAGAGCGGAAGCCCCAGTCTAGGCGGTTGTGAGGGGTCTTCCTCTCCAGGGCTCCTGGGCTCCATCGCCCAGAGTCCCTGTGTCCTCCCTTCTCCAGGGTGGCTGGTGCCCCACCTGAAGGAGCCTAGGCCCGTCACCCCCGTCATTCCAAGGAGTCAGGTCGCAGTCTGGCCTGGTGTCCATCCAGTTCCCTCAAACCTCTGGACATTGGAGTCAGGGCCAAGGCCTCAGGGGTCCTGGTGAAAATGTCTGGTGGGCTGGGGTAGGGACAGGGGCAAGGACACATCCACTCCGTCTCCACTTCACCCTCTCAAGCAGCGTGATGGATTTTGCCCATTAAGCATAAACCTAATCAATTGATTTGCCACCTGAGGCTCCGTCTGACACCACTGCCCACCCCCACCCCCCATCAGCCCAGATGGATTATGGCTGGGAAGATGGAGCACCGCAGTGCTGGGAGGGAGATGGGATTCTGTCAGAGGTGGGCTTTCGGCGCCCTTCTGCTGGCCCTGTATAGGGCGCATTGCCTCCCCTGCACAGCCCCGAAGCCTCCAAGCCTGCCCCTTCCTGGGCAGGGTGCTGGAAGCTAGCCCTGCCCATCGGGGCGGCCTGGATCCTTAGAGGACTGGTATTGGTGCCTGAGGTCTCTGGCCGTGGGCTGAGATCCCTTGGTGCTTCCAGGGCCCCCTGGGTGGTGGCTTAGCATCAACAGCCTCCCCTCCAGGTTCCTCCATCCCCTACCTCTTGCCCCTTCCGGGAGGTGAGGGGCAGCCCCAGGCCCTTGCTTCTACCTGCAGAGCTCTTCCTGTCTCCCTCTCACAGACCAACACAGGCATCCGTAAGAACTTGGAGCAGGAGATCATCCAGTACAACTTTAAAACTTCCTTCTTCGACATCTTTGTGAGTGGCCTTGGCTGATCCTGGGGACCCCGGAGGCAGAGAGGGAGCAGGGAAATGACTTCTGCTGGGTTCTCTTTTGGCAGCATATATCCAGTCTGATCAGAGACTCGGCTCCCATCCTTCGGGAGCCATCAGTCATTAAAACCTTTGCTCCACAAGGCTGGGCGCAGTGGCTCACGCCTGTAATCCTAGCACCTTGGGAGGCTGAGGTGGGTGGATCACTTGAGGTTAGGAGTTCGAAACCAGCTTGGCCATCATGGTGAAACCCCGCCTCTACTAAAAATACAAAAAATTAGCTGAGCATGGTGGTTCGCACCCATAATCCCAGCTACTTGGGAGGCTGAGGCAGGAGAATCACTTGAACCTGGGAGGCGGAGGTTGCAGTGAGCTGAGACCGTGCCACCGCACTCCAGCCTGGGCGACAGAGCGAGACTCTGTCTCAAAAAAAAAAAAAAACCTTTCCTCCACAAAGCCCCCTTCAGAGAGCCCCAGGTGGGAGAGGGAAGATAAGACCCCTGTGCAAGGTTACATCCAAATTGTCCCAGAGACATGCTGACTCAGTCGTTGTCCCCTGAGGTGTGCATGCCCATAGGAAGGGAACGTGGGGGCAGGACCAGAGGGGAGGTCAGCCTGCAGCAGGGTGGGGGGCAGTAGCTTCCTGTGACTGCCTTGCTCCCGTCCCCCACCAGGTCCTGGCCTTCTTCCGCTTCTCTGGACTGCTCCTAGGCTATGCCGTGCTGCGGCTCCGGCACTGGTGGGTGATTGCGGTAAGATGCCACTTTCCTGGCAGCTTCTGGGCCCTGGCAGGGCTGGTGGAAGGGATGGGATGGAGGAGGACTCACTTCCCAGCCTCTGCCTTCCCCTTCCTCCCTCCCTCCCCTGGGCAGGTCACGACGCTGGTGTCCAGTGCATTCCTCATTGTCAAGGTCATCCTCTCTGAGGTCAGTGGCTCAGGGTCTGGCCAGTCTGGTGGGCATCAGACCTGAGTGGTATGCTTCTAGAGAGGAGCATTTCTCTAATTTGGGGTGTCTGTCCCTGTTGTCCGGGTTAGGGGGAGAGGGAATCCTGTCCTTTGGTATCTATAAGGAATCATCCTTCACCCGCTTCCCTGACTTAGCCCCTTGCAGCTCTAGGAATCAGAAGGTTCTTTCTCCAGCCTAACCCCAGTTTATCCTGCTGCAGACTTGAGAGGGTTCCCAAGCAGCTGCTACCAGGAATGGGGTGTATGCCAGTTTGGCTGGCTAGAGTTGGTAGCCACAGAAGGGGGCTCTGGGTTTGGGGTGACCCCTGCCATGGAGCTCAGCCCCCTCCCTTCACAGCTGCTCAGCAAAGGGGCATTTGGCTACCTGCTCCCCATCGTCTCTTTTGTCCTCGCCTGGTTGGAGACCTGGTTCCTTGACTTCAAAGTCCTACCCCAGGAAGCTGAAGAGGAGCGATGTGAGTGCTTGCGGGTAGGGGGGTGCAGCGAGGGTTACCCACAGCCCCAAGAGAGGGGAGTTGCGGGCATGAGAGTCAGTCTGAAGCATCTCGCCACCTCTGAGCAGCCTCCAGTAGCCTGAGGGGGAGCTTGGGTGGGGGTACCCCAGGCTGCTAGGGTGTAACTGTCCTCGGTCCGGGACCGAGTCTGCTCCTCCAGGGTATCTTGCCGCCCAGGTTGCTGTTGCCCGTGGACCCCTGCTGTTCTCCGGTGCTCTGTCCGAGGGACAGTTCTATTCACCCCCAGAATCCTTTGCAGGTGAGGGCTGGTGTGTGGGGGAACTGCTTTCAGGGAGGGGCCTTGTGAGGAATGGGGTAGGCTGGGTCTGTTCTTTCTATTCCTTCTATCAGGCTCCCTGGGGAAAGCCAGCAACCCTCTCCCACACACTTTTATCCCCCACATCCTTGCACTCACATACCCGAACCCCACTACCTCCCCACACTCTCTCCCCACCCCTTGCCATTGTCATCTGTGCCTGTTTTCTGCAGGGTCTGACAATGAATCAGATGAAGAAGTTGCTGGGAAGAAAAGTTTCTCTGCTCAGGTATTTGCCTGCCTACCCCTAACCCCTGCCCTTGGAATGGGTGCCTGGAGGAGGGCGGGTGCAGGGGTCAGCCGGGGTGGGCAGGGGTTTCCCAGTAGAGGCTGAACCTCGGGCAATGCCCATCCGAGTGTCTCCCCCACCACCAGTCCGGCCCCCCTGGTCTGCCTCATGCCTGGGCACACAGGTGGAGCAGCCACAAGCCTGCAGGGCCCAGGGAGACCAGCCCAGATCCCACATGTGGCTGGGCCAGGCCCCTCTGGGAAGCATGTGGTATGTCTAGAGAGAGAACAGGCCACGAACATGGTGGACTGCAGGCCCCAGGCTGACCCCTCCCTGCCTCCTGCTTCCGTCCAGGAGCGGGAGTACATCCGCCAGGGGAAGGAGGCCACGGCAGTGGTGGACCAGATCTTGGCCCAGGAAGAGAACTGGAAGTTTGAGAAGAATAATGTAAGAAGCCCTCTCCCACCTGACCTTCCCATGCGTGTTAGGAGTTTCTGTTCTCTTTTCTGAGGCCTGAGGAAGAAACCCAAAGATTACATGGGTTGGAGCCATATTCCTGCCCCAAGAGAGGGAGCTGGGCCCTCGGGTCGGCAGGAGGCTGGGCTGGATTGGACGTTTCCCCCGTGCCCCTTGGCCCCCCTTCCCCGCACCCCCCATGTTTACTTCCCTGCTGTTCTGCCCCCTTGGCTCCAGGCTTTGAAGGGGAAGCCAGGCTTCTGCTCTGCATCCGTTGTTTCGTTTCATGATCAAAACAACATTATCTACAAAGATCGTAGAGAGCTTGGAAAACAGAGAGCAACATGCCCCAGTCCCTCTCTCTGGCCAGTTCTTGTGGCAGCCCCATTGGCCTGGAGACATGGTTTTTTGTGGTTGCAGCTGCAGCTGTCCCCCCGTCTTTTAACTCGACATCAAAAGCCTCTCTCCTGCCAGTGCCATAGGTTTGTTAGAGCTACTGTTTTGTAACAGCTGCTCAGGTGTCCCCAAACTCCTGGAGTTTTCCACCCTGAGCTGTTAAAAACCTGCCCTGCCTGTCACCCATTTCTGTGCCACCAGCCCACCCCCTGCCTCCACTCTCCTCCCTGCCACCTTCTGTCCCTGCCATAGGAATATGGGGACACCGTGTACACCATTGAAGTTCCCTTTCACGGCAAGACGTTTATCCTGAAGGTGAGTGAGGGGAGCGGGTGTCCTGGAGCCCCAGACAGCACAGGAGGCTCCAGGAAGGTGCCGAGGGGCCCTCTGGTGGGTGCCCCCCACCAAGAGGGAAGGGTTGGTCTGCCCGAGCCCATCTGGCACCACCCAGCCCTCTGCCGCCCTGTCCCAGACCTTCCTGCCCTGTCCTGCGGAGCTCGTGTACCAGGAGGTGATCCTGCAGCCCGAGAGGATGGTGCTGTGGAACAAGACAGTGACTGCCTGCCAGGTGAGCCCAGTCTGGCTGCCTCTTAAGGCACAGATGGGGGCACAGCCACGCCTCAGTGGGATCACTGAAGCACTCAGCGCCTCAGCTGCCCCATCTGTACAGTGGGTGTGATGGTAACAGTGCCTGCTCGGGAGGGTCGGGAGGAGGGCAGGAGGAGTGCTCATCAGGCGCTGCCCAGGGCCTGCCTGTGGCAATAGCAGTTAGTAAAGGGGCCTGGGGTGTTCCCATCCCTGGGGTTTTCCTGGGGCGACCTGTTCCAAAAGTCTCCGTTGACGGCCCTCAGATCCTGCAGCGAGTGGAAGACAACACCCTCATCTCCTATGACGTGTCTGCAGGGGCTGCGGGCGGCGTGGTCTCCCCAAGGTGAGTCCATGCCGGGCCCCCTCCTTTCAGCCAGGTCTTCTGCACTTTGGCCTTGGGTCATTGTCCCCTGAACTAACCCTCCCTCCCGCAGGGACTTCGTGAATGTCCGGCGCATTGAGCGGCGCAGGGACCGATACTTGTCATCAGGGATCGCCACCTCACACAGTGCCAAGCCCCCGACGCACAAATATGTCCGGTGAGCCTCACTTTGCCTGGGGTCACCCCTGCCAGCCCCTCCCCTGGGAGCATTGAGCAGTGCAGGGTACAGCATGTACAGCTGGGCACTTCCCCTGCTGAGGCTGCGTTCCTGTTCCCTGTCCCGCTGGGCTCTGCTCCTCCTGGCTACTAATCCTGCTAATCTTGCTGCTCTGTCTGTGGAGATGGGGGGTGGTGGACAGCTGGAACCAAGCCACCAAGGCTGGACGGGATGTGCGGCGGTGGCTGGCTGGGGTAGACCATGGATGGGGACCCGTGCAGGGAAGGGGCCTGAGAGCCATGTGCTCACTCTGGGCTGATTGACCTGAGCAGGAGGCTCTATGCTCTGGGTTTCATCTTCCTGCCTAAGGAGACTCGGGTCCCCTTTCGTCCTCCTCACCCTGTCCTCACTCCGTCATCTTTCTCTGGAGTGGCTCAGGAGTTCCCCCAAAGATAAAGGGATTATGGCCTTCCCGCATCTGTGCCTGGGCTTCTGGAGTCTTCCCTTTTGTCCAGTCAGGCTGTGGTGCTGCGGGTGGCCCCCTCCCATAGACCCCACTCTTCCCCATCCCCTCCTGGGTTCCAGCAGGAGCACTGTTCTTTGAATAGGATGCCAGGCTCTGCTTTGGGCACTGGACAGACTTGCTGGGTGCAGGGAAGCTCACTTCCTCTCTGGATGCCAACTTCCTTATCTGCAGAATGGGCTTAGGTGTGCTCAGTGGAGCTGAGGGAGAATGAAATGGTGATGGGATGTGAACCGTGCCTCCCAGGCTTAGCCTTCTCCTGAGCAGGTGTCCCCTCCTGAAGGGGAAGGGGTAAGAAGCGCCAGCCCAGCCTACTCTGCCATAGCAGGGCTGACCTAGAATCTCTGGACAGAGTGTATGAGGGCTGGGAAGGTGGTGAGCTCTCTGTCCCTGGGGGTGTGCAAGCACCAACAGGCCGTTGTAGGAGGATTCAAGCATCACAGAGTGGGTGGGGGTGGAGGGCCGATTCTGCAGCCCATGGGACACCTGTGCTAAGCCTTGTTCAGATAGGGTAGCTCTGCCTTTCTGCTTCCAGCCCAGTCCCAGCTGGGCCAAGAATGGAGTGTGAGTGGTAGGGGCTGCGGGGGGGTGTCAGGGCCTCACTCTGTTCCAAAGTCCCCCCAATGATGCCTCTTTCCATAGGGGAGAGAATGGCCCTGGGGGCTTCATCGTGCTCAAGTCGGCCAGTAACCCCCGTGTTTGCACCTTTGTCTGGATTCTTAATACAGATCTCAAGGTGGGGTGCTGGGGGGCTGCCAGGTGGGTTCTGTGGAGTGGAGGGGACCCTGCTGCTGACTTGGTTGCTGCATGACTTTGGGGGCTCTCTGCCATGCCTGGGCCTCCCCTTTGTCAGCCACCTTTCTTACTTGAAAATTTGGGTCAGGGTCCAGATGGTCTCTTAGCCCTGGGTTGCTGTAGGGCATGTGCCCCCCCTTCTTACCTCTGAGTCCTGAGGCCCTGAGGAAGGGTGGCTGGTGGCCAGCCCGGCCCCACCCTGGTCTGTTTGTGTTGCTGGTGCCAAGAGCCAGGCCCAGCATGTTCTTCCTGCCAGGGGTGAGTGGGAGAGGGCGACCCAGGCTGGATTCCAGAGCTGCACCTGCATTCTGGCCCAGAGCCCCCCTGCTGGTGCCAGCTGCAAGGGGAGACCCTGCTGAGGGCAGGCCATCAAGTGTGACTTCTGCCTGCCTTCCCCCAGGGCCGCCTGCCCCGGTACCTCATCCACCAGAGCCTCGCGGCCACCATGTTTGAATTTGCCTTTCACCTGCGACAGCGCATCAGCGAGCTGGGGGCCCGGGCGTGACTGTGCCCCCTCCCACCCTGCGGGCCAGGGTCCTGTCGCCACCACTTCCAGAGCCAGAAAGGGTGCCAGTTGGGCTCGCACTGCCCACATGGGACCTGGCCCCAGGCTGTCACCCTCCACCGAGCCACGCAGTGCCTGGAGTTGACTGACTGAGCAGGCTGTGGGGTGGAGCACTGGACTCCGGGGCCCCACTGGCTGGAGGAAGTGGGGTCTGGCCTGTTGATGTTTACATGGCGCCCTGCCTCCTGGAGGACCAGATTGCTCTGCCCCACCTTGCCAGGGCAGGGTCTGGGCTGGGCACCTGACTTGGCTGGGGAGGACCAGGGCCCTGGGCAGGGCAGGGCAGCCTGTCACCCGTGTGAAGATGAAGGGGCTCTTCATCTGCCTGCGCTCTCGTCGGTTTTTTTAGGATTATTGAAAGAGTCTGGGACCCTTGTTGGGGAGTGGGTGGCAGGTGGGGGTGGGCTGCTGGCCATGAATCTCTGCCTCTCCCAGGCTGTCCCCCTCCTCCCAGGGCCTCCTGGGGGACCTTTGTATTAAGCCAATTAAAAACATGAATTTAAAAAAAAAAAAAAATTCCAGCCCCTCCCACTGCCTTGCCTCTTGAGGGAAGAGAAAGGCAGGCAGCAGCTTGGATGAAGAGGGAAGACCCCTCACACAGCCTCTCCTGGGCTCACAGGAGGGCGGAGCCCGGGGAGCCAGTTCCTGAAACATGCCCCCCATTCCCCCCCCGCCCACCCCCCACTCCCCGCTTTCCTGACCAGTTCAACTGAGCAGATGACTGGTCAGAAAAAAATGCCCCGCCCCCTGCCAGGCTTCAGCGGGGCAAGTTTAAAGTCTCTAGTCCAGGAATGGAGGTGGGGGTATGGGCACCTGGCAGTGCCCACAGCAAGCCTTGACTGTGTGGCCTGGAGATGGGGCCTGAGCTTCAGGGTCACTGAGGCACCTCTGGGATCCAGGCCACCTGGAGCCCCGGACCTCCCAGACTCCACTCACCCATTCCCTCTCCCCGCACGGCACTCACACCAGGGGCGGCCTGGAGCCCGGATCGCAGGGCGGGGCCAGGCCACTGCCTGCCTTCCTCCTCCCTCCCGGCTGGCCTGCCCCCTTGCCTGCCTGCATGCAGGCTTCCAGCAGAGCCAGCTTCTTCAGAGCCAGGTGGATCCTGTTTCGGTCCTGCCTAGGTGTGTGACCCTGGGCGAATCTACCTCTCTCAGCTTCTGCTTCCCACTTTATGAAAATGGGACTGATGTCACAGGGTTGTTATGAGATTAAAAGATATGAAGAACCGGGGACAGTGCTCAGTAATCAATAGTCTGCAGTTCTGCACCCACGTGCTCCTGGGTACTCTGCCGTCCCCACAGGGTCCTCAGCTCAGCCCCTGTCACTGCCTCTCCTGCCACCCTTTGTCCACTCGGCAGTGTTCTCACTCCTCATCCCCCCACACCCACCACCTGTCTGCCAGCCTCTTGCACCATGAGTTGCTACTCCTGGGGTGCTGGACTGTCCCCACAGCCATCTGTCTCCCCTGCTCCCCATGAAGAAGAGCCAGTCCCCTCCCAGGTAGCACATCAGAGCGGGCAGGCTCCAGAGCTCTTCTGGTCCTCTTGCAGTGGCCAGAAAGTGGGGAAAGGGGCCCAGAGAGGGGCAGGGACTGACCCATGGTCACACAGCCTATTTATGGCTGATCTGGAGCCAGGCCTTCTGACTATCACCCATCAGAGCCCCTGGATTCCCATTTCACCCAACACAGGTGTTGGGGTAGAACTGGGGGCCCTCCACCCCTACTAGCCTGACTGTCTCCTGAGACCTGTCTCCTAAGACCACTTACCTGACCACTGGCCATGGGGAAGGAAAACACCTGGCCAAGGCTCATGCCCCAGGTTCCCAGGCATGAAGTTGACTGTCTCCGCCCCTGCTGGTGTGGTGAGGGTGACTGGGGACTAGGCACTAGGCCTTTGGTGCAGGCGCCTGAGGACGTGGTTGCACTCTCCCTTCTGGGGATATGCCCTTGAGCCCAGGCAGAGGAGAGCACAGCCAGGGCAGGACCTGGCAGCCCTGGTACAGAGCCCAGAGGGGGCATCAGTTCCTGCTGGTCCTGCTCTGTTTACAGACAAGCTGCTGTCCTCCCTGCAAAGGGGAGTGGGTGGGGCAGAGGGCAAGTGCCAGGGGGGCACAAGGCTGGGCATGTGGCTGGCATGAGACGGTGTCTGAGTAATGTCAGGCACCTGGAGGCATTGACCCCAGGACCTTGGACCCCAGACCTCTGACCGGGGGGCAGCCAGCGTCCAGGTACCCCAACCCCTGCCCTGGGTCCGGCGTCCCCCCATTAGTGAGTCTTGGCTCTACTTATAGCATCTGACACCAGAGGGGCCGAAAATAGCCCCTGGAGAAGGGGGAGGAGGGGGCTATTTAAAGGGCCTGGGAGGGGAGAGAGAATGAGGAGTGATCATGGCTACCTCAGAGCTGAGCTGCGAGGTGTCGGAGGAGAACTGTGAGCGCCGGGAGGCCTTCTGGGCAGAATGGAAGGATCTGACACTGTCCACACGGCCCGAGGAGGGGTGAGTGTGGGTCTGCTAGAGCCCTGCCTCTGCTCCCCCAGAGCACCCTCACTGAGCCATGAGGCCAGAGCATGAAGCCCTGGAGAAATTTCTGGGGGTGGGGGCAGGAAGAATGCCCCATGGGGAGAGCAAAGGGGAACCACCCTTCCTGCCCCCAGGTCCCAGCAGCCCAGGGGAGCCCCCCACCCAGCCTGTGCCCAGAGAGCAACAGCTCCCAGGAGCTCACTGCCCCTCCCCTCTCCCCAGCTGCTCCCTGCATGAGGAGGACACCCAGAGACATGAGACCTACCACCAGCAGGGGCAGTGCCAGGTGCTGGTGCAGCGCTCGCCCTGGCTGATGATGCGGATGGGCATCCTCGGCCGTGGGCTGCAGGAGTACCAGCTGCCCTACCAGCGGGTACTGCCGCTGCCCATCTTCACCCCTGCCAAGATGGGCGCCACCAAGGAGGAGCGTGAGGACACCCCCATCCAGCTTCAGGAGCTGCTGGCGCTGGAGACAGCCCTGGGTGGCCAGTGTGTGGACCGCCAGGAGGTGGCTGAGATCACAAAGCAGCTGCCCCCTGTGGTGCCTGTCAGCAAGCCCGGTGCACTTCGTCGCTCCCTGTCCCGCTCCATGTCCCAGGAAGCACAGAGAGGCTGAGAGGGACTGTGACTTGGGCTCCGCTGTGCCCGCCCTGGGCTGGGCCCTTCCTGGCTAGGACTGTGGAGGGGAGCTGCTGGCCATGGCTGCTTTGTAGTTTGCCCAGAGTTGGGGGCTAGGGGAGGGGGGAGCCAGAGGCCAGGATGCCTGAGCCCCCTGAGTTCCCAAAGGGAGGGTGGCAGAGACAGTGGGCACTAAGGGTGGAGAGTTGGGGGCCAGCACAGCTGAGGACCCTCAGCCCCAGGAGAAGGGACAAAAGGTACTGGTGAGGGCAAGAGGTGCCTGGGAGGAGTGGCCCTGATCCAGGAAAATGTGAGGGGAATCTGGAACGCTCTAGGCAGAAGAAGCTGGGAGGGAGGGGGAGGTGAAAAGGGCAGAGGCAAGGATGGTGGGGCCCCCAGCACCCTCTGTTAGTGCCGCAATAAATGCTCAATCATGTGCCAGAGTTGCATCTCTTTCCTTGTGGTTGGGGGGGCTGGCCCATGGGTGTCCCCTCAATGCCCACTTCTGGGACCAGGCTCCGCATCTGAGCTAAATATGGCAGAGCTAATGGGTACACCCCATACTTGGGGTGGGGGTGGGGGCAGGACAGAGCTGTAAACAGGGTGCTGTCTCCAGTCTCCTTCCCGTACCCTGACCGCTGCCCAGTCCTGGCTTCTGTGTCCAGCCCCCTGGCACTGGGTGGTAACCAGCAAGCCAGCTGGCATCCGCATCCAGGGTTTGTTTCAATGATGTCTCGTGGAGAATATGGAGGGGCTGGTGCCAGGACTGTCCTTGGCTTTGCCTCGGGGTGTGAACGGGGTCAGTGACCTCTAAAACTAACCTGCCTCTCAGTTCTGAATCCAGACAGAATCAATCCTCAGCTGTGTCTCGCTCCACACCCCCTGCCCTGGAAGCCAGGGAAGGTTGGAGGTGCTAGGGGGTCAGGCTCCCCTCTGTGACCCCTGCAGCTGTTGTGGTGACTCATGTCCCAACCTAGCTGCCTCTCCCAAGGAGACTTTCCCCTGGGGACAAGGGGGAGGGAATGGCATGGAGGAGGCCCACATCAAGCGGGGCCAGGAACCCACGGTGGCAGGAGCTGGGCTGGTGACCTACCCAGGGCAGAAGGGCCCGGGACTCATCCAGAGGGGAAGGAAGGGGTCTTCAGGAAGACCACGGAGATGCCACAGGCAGAATTGGCTTCCCATCTGGGAGATAGGTGGGGAGACCCTGGCATTTTGACAGCCAGAACCTGGGGTGCTGAGCAGAATCTTCATGCCTGGCCTGGCCGCTCCTTCGGAGGGAAGCTGGAGGGTGGGCTGCGAGAGGAGTGGGGTCAGAGCCCCTACATCCGCAGGACCCCAAATCGGCTGGGCCCCAAGGCCCGGACTGCGCTCCCCGGTGGCCCCGGCGGCCCTCCGCGAATGCGTCCTGCCCCTCCCCTGCCCAAGCCCTCTGCCCTCACCCGGGTCCGGCGCCGCCCCCGAAGTGGCGGGAACAACCCGAACCCGAACCTTCTGTCCTCGGGAGCCCCCAGATAAGCGGCTGGGAACCCGCGGGGCCCGCAGGGGAGGCCCGGCTGTTCCGCCCGCTAAGTGCATTAGCACAGCTCACCTCCCCTATCGCGCCTGCCATCGGACGGGCAGTGCCGCGCCCTGCTCTGGGGCCCCCGGAGCGACCACAGCGGAGGCCGGAACGGACTGTCCTTTCTGGGGCGGGGTGGGGAGGGGGTGTCGCTGGAGGGCCCGGTGGCATAGCAACGGACGAGAGAGGCCTGGAGGAGGGGCGGGGAGGGGGAGTTGTGTGGCAGTTCTAAGGGAAGGGTGGGTGCTGGGACGGGTGTCCGGGAGGGAGGGGAGCCTGGCGGGGTCTGGGGCCTCGTCGCGGAGGGCGCTGCGAGGGGGAAACTGGGGAAAGGGCCTAATTCCCCAGTCTCCACCTCGAATCAGGAAAGAGAAGGGGCGGGCTGCTGGGCAAAAGAGGTGAATGGCTGCGGGGGGCTGGAGAAGAGAGATGGGAGGGGCCGGCCGGCGGGGGTGAGGGGGTCTAAAGATTGTGGGGGTGAGGAACTGAGGGTGGGGGGCGCCCAGAGGCGGGACTCGGGGCGGGGCAGGCGAGGCGGAGGGCGAGGGCTGCGGGAGCAAGTACGGAGCCGGGGGTGTGGGGGACGATTGCCGCTGCAGCCGCCGCCCCACTCACCTCCGGTGTGTCTGCAGCCCGGACACTAAGGGAGATGGATGAATGGGTGGGGAGGATGCGGCGCACATGGCCCCGGGCGGCTCGGCGGTCAGCTGCCGCCCCCACAGCGGACCGGTCGGGGCGGGGGTCGGGCGGTAGAAAAAAGGGCCGCGAGGCGAGCGGGGCACTGGGCGGACCGCGGCGGCAGCATGAGCGGCGCAGACCGTAGCCCCAATGCGGGCGCAGCCCCTGACTCGGCCCCGGGCCAGGCGGCGGTGGCTTCGGCCTACCAGCGCTTCGAGCCGCGCGCCTACCTCCGCAACAACTACGCGCCCCCTCGCGGGGACCTGTGCAACCCGAACGGCGTCGGGCCGTGGAAGCTGCGCTGCTTGGCGCAGACCTTCGCCACCGGTGAGCGGGGGAAACTGAGGCACGAGGGACAAGAGGTCGTCGGGGAGTGAAAGCAGGCGCAGGGAAATAAAAAGAAGGAAAGGGAGACAGACCAGGCGCCTAACAGATGGGGACCAAGAAACAAGAGATAGCTGAGAGGTGCAAACAGAAGAGAAAAAAGAGCAACATCCCTTAGGAGAGGGGCAGAGGAGAGAGAGGTGGAGAGAGGGGGCGGAGAGTGCTCAGAATTGAGAGCTAAGGTGGGGGATGCAGGACAGACTGAGGTGGAGATGCATAGGAGGAAATGGAGGCAGATGTGGGACAGGGGTGAGAAACTGCCAGGATTTCCTCGCTGAGCCTGGCTGGTAGGTATAGTTGTTTTCTTTCTTTTTCTTTATTTTATTTTCATTTATTTACTTATTTTTATTTTTTATTTGTTTTGAGACGGAGTTTCGCTCTTGTTGCCCAGGCTGGAGTACAATGGCGCCATCTCGGCTCACTGCAACCTCCGCCTCCCCGGTTCAAGCGATTCTCTTGCCTCAGCTTCCCTAGTAGCTGGGATTACAGGCATGCGCCCCCATGCCTGGCTAATTTATTTGTATTTTTAGTAGAGACGGGACTTCTCCATGTTGGTCAGGCTGGTCTCGAACTCCCAACCTTAGGATCCACCCACCCCGGCCTCCCAAAGTGCTGGGATTACAGGTGTGAGCCACTGCGCCCGGCCAGTAGGTATAGTCTTCTAGATGTGAAACCTGAGTCTCAGAGCGGTGAAGTTCCCTTCCGAAGGGCAGCCCATGTTGGAGCTGGGTTCAGTCTAACTCTGGGGCCAATGCTTTTTCCAGATGGAGACACATTTGCAGAGGAGAAGGAAGAACTAGAGAGAGGCAGGGAGATGCAGGGGAGGGAAGGGTAAGGAGGCAGGGGCTGCCTGGGCTGGCTGGCACCAGGACCCTCTTCCTCTGCCCTGCCCAGGTGAAGTGTCCGGACGCACCCTCATCGACATTGGTTCAGGCCCCACCGTGTACCAGCTGCTCAGTGCCTGCAGCCACTTTGAGGACATCACCATGACAGATTTCCTGGAGGTCAACCGCCAGGAGCTGGGGCGCTGGCTGCAGGAGGAGCCGGGGGCCTTCAACTGGAGCATGTACAGCCAACATGCCTGCCTCATTGAGGGCAAGGGGTAAGGACTGGGGGGTGAGGGTTGGGGAGGAGGCTTCCCATAGAGTGGCTGGTTGGGGCAACAGAGGCCTGAGCGTAGAACAGCCTTGAGCCCTGCCTTGTGCCTCCTGCACAGGGAATGCTGGCAGGATAAGGAGCGCCAGCTGCGAGCCAGGGTGAAACGGGTCCTGCCCATCGACGTGCACCAGCCCCAGCCCCTGGGTGCTGGGAGCCCAGCTCCCCTGCCTGCTGACGCCCTGGTCTCTGCCTTCTGCTTGGAGGCTGTGAGCCCAGATCTTGCCAGCTTTCAGCGGGCCCTGGACCACATCACCACGCTGCTGAGGCCTGGGGGGCACCTCCTCCTCATCGGGGCCCTGGAGGAGTCGTGGTACCTGGCTGGGGAGGCCAGGCTGACGGTGGTGCCAGTGTCTGAGGAGGAGGTGAGGGAGGCCCTGGTGCGTAGTGGCTACAAGGTCCGGGACCTCCGCACCTATATCATGCCTGCCCACCTTCAGACAGGCGTAGATGATGTCAAGGGCGTCTTCTTCGCCTGGGCTCAGAAGGTTGGGCTGTGAGGGCTGTACCTGGTGCCCTGTGGCCCCCACCCACCTGGATTCCCTGTTCTTTGAAGTGGCACCTAATAAAGAAATAATACCCTGCCGCTGCGGTCAGTGCTGTGTGTGGCTCTCCTGGGAAGCAGCAAGGGCCCAGAGATCTGAGTGTCCGGGTAGGGGAGACATTCACCCTAGGCTTTTTTTCCAGAAGCTTCCTTGAGGCTAGCATTCTGTACCACTCATTCTTCCCAAACTAAGGAAGGCCAAGGTCAGGGGAGCTCACCGGGCACCTGCAGTGCACCAGGCACTTGTGATATGCCATTGTGTCCATCGCATCATTCATTCCTGCATTCAGCAGCAGGTCCTGCTAGTCTGTTTCCAGGTGAAGCTCAGAGAGGTGAAGTCACAAACAGTGCAGACTGCTTCAGACCAGAACGAGGGAGAGTGGGGATCATGAGGAGATGGAAGTAGAATCTGCAAGGTGGTGGGGAGGTGGGGGTGTTATGATTGAAGCACAATGGCCGAGGGAAGTGAAAGGGAAAGAACTGGCTCCAGCTCCCTCTCACAACTGGACTTGAGTTCTGCCCAGCTCTGCCTCTGGGGCCTGCCATTCCCCATGCCACGTGCCCAGGCAGAGACCTCACCTCTGTTTACTGCCTCCAGCCAGCTCTGGGACCTGCCCCTGCCGCCACAACTGTCTTCTCCTGCCCTCCAGCCCACCCTATTCACACAAATGAGCTGAACAAGGGCAGGTGAGGCTTGGAATTGATTTATTAAGCACATCCCTTGCCACCCTCCCACCTTAAAAGTTTTCAGTATCAAAAGAAGCTAGCGCAGGCCACCCGAGTCCCTGAGGTTGGAGTCCTAGCATAGCTCCCCTCCCTCAAAGAGGGACAAGGGGTCAGGGGCAGAGCAAAAATCCAGTCTGCTTCAACCACGGAGACTGCCTTTGGGATGGAAAGTTTCTGGAGCTCCCTCCATTCTATTCCTGTGGGGCAGGAACATGCCAGGGCTGCTGGTAAATGGCAGGGGTCACCTTTACCAGGGCGCAGGCATAGTGTGGCCCCTGCCTGCCCTGGGGCCACCCTGGAACAGTAAGACCCTCTGGGAAGGGAAGAAACCAGACCCAGCCATAAGCTTTCTCCCCTTCTCCCTCAAATCGCCCCTTCCTCCTCCCCAAAATCAGGCTATGGCAAAGGGGCTGGCAGCAGGGGAATGGAGGTTTTGGAGGGGAAGGCCAGCCATGCGAAGGCAAGGAGAAAAGGAGGATGGAGAGAGCCCCAGCCATCCCCATTTTCCTTCCTCTGCCTCCGAGGGGCTGCTTCTGGAGGGCACTGTTGTGTGGGGACCCTGTGAGGTTTGCAGGAGGCGGGCAAAGGGGCACCAGACAGGGAACATGCACACAGGCAGCCTGGCCATGGAGAGCTCCTGGCTGTCCGCCCAGGTGGCGCCTTGGGCAGAGCTGGCGCTCCACAAGTGATTATTGATGGTGACAGGATTCCCTCATCCTGCTCCAACCTCTCAACTGTGGACACATTCACCGGCAGTCACTCATCTCACATGCCCACCAGCACGCGCACACACGTTCCCCTAACCCACGCTAACACACCCACCCCCTGCACACACACACTTTGAAGCCACACCTCTTCCCCGACAACACCCGTCTCCACACTGCGCACCTAGGCCTGAGCTCACACACACCCAGGCCCATGCTCACGGCCCTGTCACCTATGCACTCAGCCTGGCCCACACTCCCGACACACGGTGGCAGGCTCTCAACCAGACAGCAGCACAGGATCCTTGCCCTGGGCTTGCTGGAGCCCTGGCCCTGAAAGGGAGTATGGTGAGGCCTCCTGGGAACCTGGCTAGGGCAATGGTCAGGGTGAAACTCCTTCCCAATCCCAGCAGCTTGGTCCCTCAAGATCCCATGGGGAGAATCGCCGTGAACCTTGGCTGGCCAAAGAACAAGCATCCAGCACCACCTAGTGGTGTCCTGGAGGAGGGTGGGGGGTGGTAACAGAAGGGGACCCCCTGTATCCCTAAGGCCTGTGGTCCCTGGTCTCCCAGGTAGACAGAGGGCTTCAGGACCCAGCCAGGCAGCTGGGGATGTGGGGAGGAGGCTGATGGGGAGGAAACAGGCAGCTGTCCTCCCGGTAGAGCTAAGAGCACACTCAGTTCCACCCCAGTTCAGCTCCAGGAGGTAGAGGGGCTGCCCACTCTCGAGTCCCAGATGCTGGGAGGCCTTCCCTAGAACAGACTCCAAGGCTGGTGAGGGCCAACAGGGGGTGGGCTGGCCACATGATTCTGGGCCCACATCCTTCATGTCCAAGTTCAAGAAGTTGAAAAGAGAAAATCATCTCAAGGGTTGAGGGGAGAAGGGAGGCCAGCAGGGCGGGGGCAGGATCCCCACTGGGGCAGACTCGCTCCAAGGTCTTCAGTCCAGCTTGAACTTGTCCTCTGATTCCTTCAGCAGGTACAGGCTGTCATCTTCCAGAAAGCTGTGGGCCAAAGGAGTAGCCCATTGAGGCACACAGCTCTGACAGCTCGCATGGAGACAAGGGTGGGGTGCATGCAGGCAAGGTGGGAGGGGGCGGATGGGCACACAGAGCCCCCAATCTCCCCTAAGGAGTGGGCAAGGAAGGGTCCAAAGAAGGTGAGCACCAGGCAGGGGGCAGCACCCACCTGAAAAAGAGGACGTGGACAGGGATGGTGCTGATGTGCCAGATGGCATGGGCATCCAGGACCCAGAAGAGCGGTGGGAAGTCAAGCAGCTCGAGCAGGGACAGCCCCTGCAGCAGCAAGACCACCACCACGCACTTGCGCACGTGAGGCAGCCGCCGCTGGTTCCACAGGCACCAGGCCAGCCACCACACCACGTTGACCAGGCCTGGGTGCCAGTGGGGGCAGGAGAGACTCATTCCTTCGGCTCCTTCTCCCCAAGGCCACCCCCAACTCCATGCTCTCTGACCCCAGGATCATCCTCGGACTCTCCTCCCAGCCTCCTCTCTCTCCCACCTCAAATTCTTCTCCATTCCTCTACCCCAAGAGTCTCTCTAGAACCTCCTTCTCCAGGAATGGCACCAACCTCCCACTCGCACCCCAAGCTAGCACTTCTGCAGATGGCCCAAGCCCCCCAGGGCCTCACCAATAGCCACGTTGGCCACCAGGTTGTAGCCATAGTCGAAGCGGATGAGGCTCAGGTAGGAGACGTGCACGGTCAGCATGAGCAGCAGGAGAGCCCGGAAGGCACTGACCACAGCTGGGTGCTGCAGCCCCACGGTCCTGCCCCACCGTCCAGGGTTGCTCAGAGGGCAGGTGGCCCATCCCCAGAGCAGCATTCCCTGAAGCATCTCCTCCCCCCAACATTGGTGCATGGCCCCTGAAGTCACTACCCCTCTCCCCACCAAACAGGCCACAGCTGGGCAGCAAGTGCTACAGCTCCTTGTCAGGAGCCAGGGCCCCCAGTCCTACCCCAGAGTCCTCACCCAGGACAGCTGATGTGTTGGGGGTTGGGGGGCGTAGGTGTTGGGAGACTAGTGAAGAAGGCCCCCAGGGGAAGGCTGGGTGACCCCTTTCTGCCCCCAGGGTTCGATTTTGCCCCTGCAGCCACCCAGGCAGGCTCACCTGACGCAGCACAGGTAGATTGAGTGTAGGATGACAGTGGAGGCACAGAAGTAGTCCATTTTCTGAGGACAGGGAAGGGTGGTGAGGGACCAGCATGAGGCTTCACGGAGAGGACCCGCGGGGATGGGGGCATGGAGGAGTGGCAGAGAGGGGCCGGGGTCCTGGGCCTGCCTATCACTGTTTCACTCTGACTGAGTCTTGTGTTCACATCACCATACAAGTTTTTAAAAATGTGCCCAGGAACAAGGCTTTAGGGACGCTGGTGGAGGGTTCCTGCTGAGGCTCCAGGACATGACCACGCTGCACAGAATTCAGAGCACAGTGTGGAGTCTGACAGCCATGGGGTCACGTCCTGTGGCAACCCTTCACTGGCTGGGTGCCCCTAAGCATGTGGTCCCCCTGTCGAAGGCTCAGCTGCCTCATCAGGCAAGAAGAGCGAATACTCATCCCCACCTGATGAGGCTCACTGAGGATCAAGGGCACCAACAGGTTTAGGATGCCCACCCCATACTCCTCCCAGTGCTCCTCAGAGGGAGTTGGCATGACCCTCTAGAGCCCCTCTGCCCACTTCTGGGCTCCTCTGGGACCACCCTGTGCAGGAGGGGGAGCTGGAGGAATGCTCACCTCTGTGAGGTCAGTGTCCCTGGTGTGGAAAACTGTGGACCAGAACCATGCATTGAGGGACACCTAAGGAGGGAGGGGCTGGTGAGCATGCTGCCCCCCACCCTGACCTCAAGGCAGGGACCCCCATTTGCTCACATCCATTTCACCTTTGGGAAGGGGCTCTGCAGGACAAGAAATGTGCTTTTCCTGCCCCTGGAGCCCTCTGAACAAACCTATGTCCCTCTACCCCCACCCAGCCAGGGTCCCTGGGGTGGACTTCCTGCCACCCCAAACCCCCAAGGCCACGGGGGGCTGCAGCCTCCACAGGTTCCGGCCTGGCCTGGGAACCAGTTCCGGTATAGCCAAGCTCCCTAGTTACTCAATTGCTAAGACAACAGCCCCCAGGGGCCTTGCCTCCTCCTCCAACCGGCAGGTGTTGACAGCACCACCCCACCCGGGCCCAGGGGAGCCAGTGACCTCAGCCTCTGGGGGCGGGAATGAGGTGGGTGGGGTGGAGGGGCTCGAGCCAGCTTGGGGTGTGTTCCAAGCAGCAGGGGAGGGAGATCAAGCAGATCCCACTGGGGCACAGGCTCCCAGGAGGAGGGTGAACCAAGCCCAGCTTCCTCCTGGCTGGGCCTGCCCAACCCGCCAGACCAGTGGCTGCTCCCGAGCCTGGGAGGAGTAGAGGGCAGGACTGGAGGGGCTGTGGTGGGCCAGGGCCCAGGGGAATGTTTGAGGCCTTCTTCCTGGAAATTAGCTGCGTGGAGAGAGCACAAAAGTTATCTAGCGAATGAGCCTAAGAGCTTGTGGGCGTTGGTGCTGGCACTTTCTTCAGGGACTGCTGTGTCCACAGCAAAGGCCCAAACTGCTGAAAGCAGGGTGGGCTGAAGGGAAGGGCTGGGAAATCGTGACAACCAAAGGAACAGCAGGCCAGGCCGGGAATGGCCTGGAGGTGGGGAGGGATGCGCTAGGGTGGGACAGGCCTGGCGGAGATGAGGAAAGGCCAGGAACTGCTCAGTTGGCTCCAATGTACCAGGAAAACTGGCCAGGCAGGGGACAGAGGGAGGGGGCAAGAAGCTACACTCTGTCTGGCACTGTAGCAGGCAGGTCAGACAGTAAGATGCATTCCAAATGCAGGTCTGGGGAGCTCAGGAGAGAATGGGAGGAGAAGGGGTACAGGCGGGGCAGAACTGCTGCACAGCCAGTCAGGTTCTCGGGGTGCCAAGCTCTGGAAGGCGCAAGGCTGCCTAGTGCCCCTGTCTGGCCTGGGCTCTGGGCTGAGCCTTGCTGCTTCTGCTCCTCTTGACCTGGTCAAAGGGCCCTGCCCTTCTCAGCCCAAGCTTCCCCCGGGACAAATCATGGCTCAAGTGAAACTTCAGTTCCTTTCCAGCCTGGCGTTAGGTGGTGTGGTCTAGGGCAGGCTGCTTCCTCCTTTGAGGATGGCCACTCTGTCCCTTCCACCAGACTCAAGGCTCTGCCCTGCTGCAGCCCCCTCCCCAGAGACAGGCATGGAGGCTGCACAACAGGACTGAACCTGGTGGCTTCTCAGACACTGCTCCCACAGTCTGAAAAGCTTAGAGTCAGCATGGGGAGAGGAGCAGGCTTGGGCTGGAGACGGGACCCAGGCAATCACATGGACCAGTTCTCCCTGGCAGGCCAGGAACAGGGACATCCTTAGGGAGGAGAGTGGCCCTGGAGCCAATGTGGGAAGGAGAAGAGGAAGGCGGCAGGGACTGGCAGCCAGCCAGGCCTCCTTGTCACCCACAGCAGGAAGGGGGAGGTGAGAAGAGGACTGCAGGACTGAGCTAAGTGGCTCAGAACACCGAAAGCAGGGGGTGTGTGTGCGGGCAAACATATGCGTAGGGCCACAGGATGGGTGGGGCTGCTGGGTCCCCTCTCCAACCGCCTCCCTGGGTGCCTTCCACTCACAGAGACCCACCTGAAGCCTGGCCTCTGCACCCCTGAAAAGCCCCTCCCCCCTGGGGAGCATCCCACTCTGGGGGTGCTCCTCTTCTCACCCTTTCCTCAGATTTGGGAGGTAGTGGTATCATTAAGAATGCAAGCCCTACAGCCAGACTGCCAGGGTTCAGTTCCTGGCTCTGCATTTCCTGTGTGTCCTTGGGCAAGTTATTTAGCCTTGCTGTGCCTCAGTTTTCTCATCTGCAAAATGGGAATAATCATAGTTGATAAGGGTTTAATGAGCAATACAAATACAGCGTACAGCACAGAGCCCAGGACAGGCTGAAACATGAGTGTTCTCTCCACTTGCCTGACCAGCACAGAACCCCGTCAGCTTCCCATAGAACTGAGGCCTAAGAGGATGTCTGCCTCCCACTCTCCCTGCAGGCCAAGGATGTTTAGGCAGATAAGGGGTGGTCTCCTAGCTGCCTAGGCCCACCTCCACAGCTCCAGGCTGGGGGAAGAGTGTCCAGTCTTCACAATGAGACAGAGTCTGCATTCAAGTCCTGCCTCAGCCCCTACGCAGCTGTGTGACCTTGGACACATAACCCAGTATGTGTGAGCCTCCACTGCCTCACCTACAAAACAGGTTCATAATGATGCTCACTGCACAGGAGGCCATGAGGACGAGGTCTGCGGAATGCCTGGCACCAAGGAACTCCTCTGAATGGCTGCTGGTTTTGCTGCCTGGTCCATAGTAGGTGCCCATCAATGTCAGTTTCCTTCATCAGGTCCAGTAGACTGACTCTCACCACGCCCGTTCACCTGCCCCTCAACTTCCCTTTCCGCAAGGGTCACAAAGTTTGAGGTCAAACTATGGGGCCTCAGGGTCTCTCCATTCCAGAACGGAGACACCTCAGCTATAGGAAGAGCCCCTCCTCCTTCCTCTGGAGCCATGTTCCCATCAATGTGAACCGAACAGATCCATTTCTCCTCACTCAGAGTTTGTCATCAAGAGCAAGCAAAGGGGAAAGATGGGCTCTGGAAGGAAGGAGAGTTCCAAGATGCCAAGGCACGGCTACTCTCGGACTCCTTGCCACGCTCAAGTGAAGGGGGGCAGGGAGGGGAACTGGCCAGGAGGGCGACAGGCTGCCCAGCAGGCACCCAGAGCTTTGCGTAAACACTGAGGAGAGGGGGTGGCCAGGGGCAGGGTGCCAGTGGGGGTGGAATAGGAGACTGGGTGGAGGGAGAGCAAGAGGCTGTTTCAGTCTGTTGGAAATAAGAAAATCGAGACAAAAATATCACAGCCGTGAAACTGGTTGGATGCCAAGTGAGCCAGATCTGTCAGGAATTCGACCCGGCGCTAAGCCCCAGTGCTCGGGGCTGTCATTGACACCATGGCGGTGGGGACAAGTGGGGCTTAAAATAGCTCAGTGTCTCAGAAGTGGGGGAGGCAGAATGTTAAATATGATGCCTGCTGCCATCCTGGGCTCCTCTGGAGGCCACAGTGTCTCACCCCCTGCCTCAGGCAGGGCAGGCCAGCCCCAGCTCACTCCTGAGAGAAGGGAGACAGAGGTGGATGCGGATGGGAGAAGGAGGGCTTTTTCCAAGATCCCAGAGGATCCCTTGATTTCCTGCCATTGCCTGTTCCACTAGCTCTTGTCTGACCATGGGAAGTCCTTCCTGAAGTCTAACCATCATTCTACTACAGCTGCAACCTACCTCTTCTTGTAGTTTGCTTAACAGAGGAAGAGAAGAATCAGTCCCCACCTACACAAACCACTCTACAGAGATGGTTTGGGCTTCCCACCACTTCACCCTCCTCTCTACACCTGAGGACCTTTCCTGACTGGATGAAGGCCTGGGGAATTGGTTTGGCCTTCTGGCTTTGGCACACAGCAGGGGCCCCTACTCCGTGAAGTCAAAGAGACATGGTATGCGGAGCTTTGGTAGGCTCCCCACCCGCCGCCTGGCTGCTCCCCAGCCCAAGCCCAGGCCTAAATGGCAAGGCAAGGGCTGCCTTCTTGTGCCAGCGTTATCATGAGTCCTGCTGGAGGGCGGGGTCTCCTCATTTCCCAGAGGCAAAGCTGAGGTACCCTTCCCCCAAGACTTAGCCCGGAGCGGGTGAGGGACCTTGCCTTCCTATCCTCACCCCAACAGAAATCAGGAGCCTCAGTGCCCCAGAAGGCCCAGGTCAAAGTCCACTGCCGCACCCTCCATACAGCTCAGGATCCCTCCCTCCTGCAGAAACTCACAGGGCAACTGGGAAGCCCAAGAGCAACTGGGAAAGCCAAACTAGGCCATCCACAGGAGTGTGGGTTCTGAGGCTTTGTTTCTTGAAGGCCTAGTGAGAGCATGAGGGGGTCCCATGTCCCAGAACCCCACATCCCATAAGACACACAGGGCCCAACTATCTGCCTTCTACCACCCCAACATCTAACATCTCCTGCTTTTTCTGTTTTTGTTTTTGTTTTTTTTGAGATGGAGTCTCGCCCAGTCACCCAGGCTGGAGTGCAGTGGCGCCACCTTGGCTCACTGCAACCTCTGCCTCCCAGGTTCAAGCAATTCAGCCTCCCGAGTAGCTGGGATTACAGGCACCCATCACCACGCCTGACTAATTTTTGTATTCTTAGTAGAGACGGGGTTTCACCATGTTGGCCAGCCTGGTCTTAACTCCTGACCTCAGATGATCCACCTGCCTCAGCCTCCCAAAGTGCTGGGATTACAGACGTGAGCCACCATGCCCGGCCATCTGCTGCTTTTTCTCTAGGGTCCTTAGTCACACTGGACTGCAGGCTACCCTGGGGAAGTGTGACCCCCCTCTCCAAGAAGGAAGCTGAGTTGCAGATACCATTGAGGTGAAAAATCCAAGAATCAGGGATGACAAGACCAGATCTGTGAAGTGACCCCTGGCCTCTGGCACATGTTATAAAGACAAGGGGTGGGACCCTCCGATCTAAGAAGGCTCTAAGCTTCTTCAGAGTTCAGGCAGGGCTGTCCCATGCTCTCTAGTAGAGGTGGGGACAAGTGGGTGGTACACGCTGTGGGCCCAGACAAGCAGTGTCCGTGGAAGAACCCCAAAGGAAAGCAGACAGGTGTAACGTCCTCAGCTTCCCTGCCCTTCCTGCTTTCTTAGCCAGGACTAAATTTGCTTCGCTCCAAGAGGCCTACACAGGAAGTGGTGGCTTTATCTCACCCAGCCTGTGACAGTGTGTGCCGATGCCAGGCCCTGCCTACATCAGAGCCCCTAGCCCTCAGCCTGGCACTCAGGGGCCTCTCTGCTCCATCTACTCTTCTACTCCTATTCACACAGCTACAATGGGGCCAAGGTTTCCTGGAATGCTGGAATTCAATCCCCTGTCCCCACACATGTATGTGTCTAAGCCTTGCCCCACACATGTATGTGTCTAAGTCCCAGATTAAACCTCTCCTCCTCCCCGGGCTTCCCTGGCCTGGCAGACTTCCCCAGTTAGAGGACGCGGTCTCCCCACCTCACGACTCCCAGGGCTCTCTACCGGAGCACCCCTTGACTCTGCCTGCCGTCTGCTGCCCAGGCTGCCCAGAACTGCACCTCCCACTATGCTTAGCTCCCTGGGGCAGGGGATTCAGCCTCCACAAGTGCTAAACCCTGTCTCCACCCCCAGCAAATGCTCAATGGACACTCATCACAGGACACGGAGTGGCCTAGAAGAAGAGCTAAGTTCTCAGGCCCTGGAGCCAGACAGCCCTGGACACCAACCCTGTCTTTATTCCTTGCTAACTTGTTAGCTGTGCATTTTGGGCAAGTTTTTTTCCCCTCTGAATCTAACTCAGAGCTCATAAGGGTACTATGAGGATGAAATAAGGAAATGTATGTAAAGTGCTTCAGACAAGCCTGTCACATGGCTCCTGTTCCTTAATTTATCACAACTGTTATTAATAGTTGTTGAATAGGAAGTATTAAGGAGGGTCCATATTTCCCAGAGGTTTAACAGCCTCCTTCCCTGACCTCCTTCCCACGCCCACCTCCCAAGTCTAAGGCTCGGCCTGGACTTCGCAGCACGCCCCATCTATCAGCTTTTCTAAGGCCCTAGAGACCTCTGTGTCTCCAGATTCCGGGGTCTCCTTCAGTTCTCACGTGTACAATTCAGGACAGCAGAAGCCTCTCTCCTTCCTGTGCTCATCCCGGGAAGCACAATCCAAGCACACTATCTCCCAGTTCTCCACCTGCCCCTCCGGCTACTCCTTCTGTCTCTGTGTCTGGCTCATCTTCCTTTAGCCAGCCATTACATTTTGGGGTTCCCCAGGGCTTTGCCCTAGATCCCTTCTCTTTTCACTAGGCTCTCCTGGGGTGATCTCATCCACACCCACAGCTTCTATCACTGTCTTTTTTTTTTTTAAAGACAGGTCACCCTTTGTCACCCGGGCTAGAGCAACAAGAGTACAGTGACAGGATCACAGCTCACTGCAGCCTCGACCTCCTGGGCTCAAGTGATCCTCCCACCTCAGCCTCCTACTAGCTGGGACTACGGGCATGTGCCACCAGGCCTGGCTTATTTTTTTTGTATTTTTGGTAGAGACGGGGTTTCACCATGTTGCCCAGGGTGGTCTGGAACTTGTGAGCTCAAGCAATCCGCCCACTTCAGCCTTCCAAAGTGCTGGAACCGCAGGTGTGAGCCACTGCGCCCGGCCTCCATCACTGTCTTATAAGCAGAAACACAAGGGGTCATCCCTTACTGCTCTTTCCTCATCTAATCCACTCTTGAAGTTTATCAGCATAGCCAAGATGTTGAAAGTGTGGACTCTGGAGCCAGATGCCTGAATTCAAACCCTGGCTCGGTGATCTGTGGCTGGACTTAACCTTTTCAGTCCTTGGTTTCCTCATCTATAAACTGGGGATGAGAATAATAATACCTATAAGCTGCGTTAAACAAAAATTACGGGAGGCCATTGTTCTGGATTGAGCCCCCGCACTAGACCCAAGAGACCAGACAAAAATGAAGTCACTCATGCTAAATGCCACATAATCAAACTGAAACTTTTTTTTTTTCTGAGACGGAGTTTCACTGTTGTTGCCCAGGCGGGAGTGCAATGGCGTGATCTCAGCTCACCGCAACCTCCGCCTTCCGGGTTCAAGTGATTTTCCTGCCTCAGCCTCCCAAGTATCTGGTACTAAAGGCATGCAACACTATGCCCAGCTAATTTTGTATTTTTAGTAGAGACAGGGTTTCTTCATGTTGGTCAGGCTGGTCTTGAACTCCTGACCTCAGGTGATCCACCCGCCTTGGCCTCCCAAAGTGCTGGGATTACACGCCTGAGCCACCGCACTTGATCTTCAAACTGAAACTTTAAGGTAACTGATAGGTCCCAAAACAGACCACTTTTTCCTGAAAACAGGAGAGTCCAGTCTACCCAAGTAAGGAAGTCTCCTCTGCTTTAACCCTTATAAAAAAAAACCTGATGTGGGCCGGGCGCAGTGGCTCATGCCTGTAATCTCAGCACTTTGGGAGGCCGAGGCAGGCGGATCACGAGATCAGGAGATCGAGACTATCCTGGCTAACATGGTGAAACCCCATCTCTACTAAAAATACACACACAAAAAATTAGCCAGGTGTGGTGGTGGGCGCCTGTAGTCCCAGCTACTTGGGAGGCTGAGGCAGGAGAATGGCGTGAACCCGGAAGGCAGAGCTTGCAGTGGGCCAAGATGGCGCCACTGCACTCCAGCCTGGGTGACAGAGTGAGACTCTGTCTCAAAAAAAAAAAAAAAAAAAAAAAAAAAAAAAAAAAATCTGATGTTAACCAATCAGGTTTCTTTCTATTGTTCTGTTTCCTGGTTCCCACCTTACAAAACCCACTGTTCTGCTATTGCCCAATGGAAACTTGCATTCTATTTTGTAGAACGGAGGCTGCACCAATTCATGAATCACAAATTAAAGCCAATTGGCTCTATAAGTAAGTTTGCTGTAATTTGTCTTTTGCCACTTGTTATGGATGAACAAGCTTAATACTTATAAAATGCTTAGAGTGATGCCTGGCATACAGTATGAGCTATGTATGTATTTGTTAAGGAAATAAATTTTTAAAAAGCTTTAATGTTACCTCCAAAACACAGCTCAAGTGTACTTCTCTTCAATGCCCAAGACCCATGCCACCTCTCTAGTCTAGCTACTGGGCCCTGTGCTAAAACTACCAACTGGTCTACTGCATCCACTCCCGCCCCCTTCAATCTGTTCTCTACACAGTAGCCAGAATGAGCTTTCCAAAGGGCAAATCTATTCATGAAACAACTTTTCTCCTCAACCCTCATTTAAAATCCCTCCGTAGGCCGAGCACGGTGGCTGATGCCTGTAATCCCAGCACTTTGGGAGGGTGAGGTGGGCGGATCACGAGGTCAGGAGTTCAAGACCAGCCTGGCCAACATAGTGAAACCCCATCTCTACTAAAAATACAAAAATTAGCCAGGCATGGTGGCACATGCCTGTAGTCCCAGCTGCTCAGGAGGCTGAGGCAGGAGAATCGCTTGAACTGGGAGGCAGAGGTTGCAGCGAGCCAAGATAGCGCCACTGCACTCCAGCTGGGGCAACAGAGTGAGACTTTGTCTCAAATAAAATAAAATAAAATAAAATAAAATCCCTCCGTACTTCCTGATGCTTTGAGAGTCAAGATCTCCAATGTGAGGCTCTCCATGGCTGGCCCCATCCACCACCCATCAGTCCGCCCAGCTCACACCCACTCTCTGATTTCCTGCATGTCAGGCTGCCTGGAATGACCCTCCCTCTCTCCCACCTGGGCACTTTCTGAGACTTCTCTTTAGAAGCCTTCCCTTACTCTTCTCAAATTTACCTAGTTAACATTCATGCATCCTTCCCACCTTACCTTTAATGCCCCTTCCCCAGGGAAGCCTTCCCTGATGGCCCCATGCTGGTCTTGGTCTGCCTTTACACACACCCCTGAAGCACCTCTCCCCGACTGCACTTTTTCATAGTTGTACTCTTACATTCAATTGTATGATTAGCACCAGAGGGCAGACTTCTGGATCTCCAGCAAAGTGCCTGGCATATAGTAGGTGCTCAACACCTGAGTGAATGGCTTCTGTGAGAGCAGGAAGGTGAGTGAATGGAAATTTTTTCCTTAAGGCTTACAGGGGCAGCTCCGACCTAGAGACATCCGTTGCAACCTTTCATTCTCACACCCTTCCCAAGGCCGTCACGGTCCATATCTGCACCCCAGTCTGTGCTTATCACACAATACCAGGCCCTGAATACAGCTCTTTAGACCAGCCGTACTGTGAAGCTGACAGCCCTTTCTGCACCTGCAGATGTAACCATACCTGGGCTTCTCCAGGGATGGTCTAAGCCTAGGCTGAGCTCGCCAGGTGCAGTGACTCACAACTGTAATCCCTGCACTTTGGGAGGCCGAGGTGGGTGGATCACCTGAGGTTGGGAGTTCGAGACCAGCCTGACCAACATGGAGAAACCCCGTCTCTACTAAAAATACAAAATTAGCCAGGTGTGGTGGCACGCGCCTATCATCCCAGCTACTTGGGAGGCTGAGGCAGGAGAATTGCTTGAACCCAGGAGGTGGAGGTTGCAGTGAGCCAAGATTGCGCCATTTGCACTCCAGCCTGGGTGACACAGTGAGACTCTGTCTCAAAAAAAAAAAAAAAAAAAAAAAAAAAAAGACTAGGCTGAGCTCTACACAGAGACTATGGCTGTGACTCCCCACCAGGCCTGGGCTGGAATTGAGATTGCTCCAAGTCCTCCAGAAGGGCCCTTGGAAAGACCTGTGGTCCCAGCATCCTCTTTAGCCCCCCATCTCCCCTCTGTGTTTGTAAACTGTCCTACTGGGTCTTTTAGTGGCTTCCTTCTTCAGGACAAGAAAAATGCCCTTCTTTCCTCTCTCCTTCCCAAACAGCCTGACCTAGGGCTCTGCTGGAAAGGTAAGGCCCGATTCAGCACCCTCCCTGTTTTCTCCCCAGGCTTTACCACCCTGCAGCTGCAACTTTAGCCCTGGGAAACAGAGGGGAAGCTGGTAAGTAGAAGCCCTGTTGGGTGTTAATAGGGATGTAGAGCTCCACCTTCCTAGATAAGAGGAGACAGCAGGAGTCCTGCTAGGTTACCTACCCAGGCGAAGGCCACACAGGTGTGGTACATGGGGGAGGAGGCTGGCACGAAGGTGCGGTAGCGGCAGAGCATCACCAGGCTGGCCAGGCCATTGAGAAACGAGGCCACGGCCGATGCCGGCTCTTGAAAGAACAGGAACCGGGAGAAGGGCCACTGAAAAAGGAGCAGATGAAGGAGGTTTGAAGGGCAGGCAACCCTCAACTGGCCCAGTCCACCTATTCTTGACATGCTGAAGCAACAGGTCCTCAGCTGAGTCCTCAGCTCTGGAGTTTGGCCAAAGCCTCAGGTTCAGTACCTCTTCAGACTAATGAGCCACCCTCCAGTGCCTAGTTAAGAGTTATACCCCCATCCTGGCCAGCAGGCACAGCACTGTAAGCCCTGATCTCTGGGAAGACCAGATGGGTCAGGGTAGATGACTCAGTATGGCCTGGTGGAAACAGCACAGAGTTGCCATCCAGAAGACACAGGTCCCAACCCCTCCTCTACCACTGACCACGGTCCTTTGAGCCTCAGCTTACTCTGTGAAAAACTGGGGTGAATACTTCCTGCCAACCTCAACAGGCCAGAATGAGATAATACTGGATTGAAACGTACCAGCAGGCCAGGCGCGGTGGCTCACGCCTGTAATCCCAGCACTTTGGGAAGCTGAGGCGAGAGGGTCACAAGGTCAGGAGATTGAGACCATCCTGGCTAACATGGTGAAACCCCATCTCTACTTAAAAAAAAAAAAAAAAAAATACAAAAAATTAGCTGGGTGTGGTGGCACACACCTGTAGTCCCAGCTACTTGGGAGGCTCAGGCATGAGAATTGCTTGAACCTGGGAGGTAGAGGTTGCAGTGAGCCAAGATCATGCCACTGCACTCCAGCCTGGGCGACAGAGGGAGACTCCATCTCAAAAAAAAAAACAAAAAACAAAAAACAAAAGAAAGAAAGGTACCAGCAAACTGTGCCTCGCTAGACAAGCTGAAGCATATTACTGTGAATCCAGACCCCTACTGGAGAAGCAACAGGAAACAAGCCACAGTAGGTAAGGGAATTTGTCCCTGCAGTAAGGTGGGCATCTCAACCACTCTAAGAGGCCCAGCACCACTCTCTGGGGAGACTCCAAAGCCTTCCAGATATTGCTACTCCAAATCCAGAGGCAGGACACATGGGTCCTATCCAATTCTATGGAAACCAGCAGATTTTGGGGAGAACAGGTAGCTGCCCCAAACACACACGCATTACCCCATGCCTCAGACTGCTTGGACAGTGTGGTCCAACCAGGGGGTATATTACTCCTACCACGCTACTACCATATGCCTACCCTGACCCTCCAACTCACCTTGCCATGGAACTGAGGCACTTTGTGACCTTCCTGGAGGTAGAGCCCAACGGTGACCCACATACACTCATACTTACAGTCGTCCCGACAGGTCCAGCCTGAAACAGACAAATGTGGCCTGGTGAACTCCCCAGCACAGAGAGGAAAGAGAGAGCATGAATGGGGTCCAAGCGCAAATGTAGGCCAAGAGGGCCTGTAAGTTGGAGAGAACCAGGAGAAATCTCAAAATTCTAGCTTCCCCTTTGAATGAATGAGAGATGATGAGATGTACACATAGGGGAAGGTGTATGTACGTATGTATGCATATTTTAGTGAGCAATTAGAGATATTCGTCTTTTTTTTGTTTGTTTTTTTGAGACAGTTTTGTTTTTGTTGCCCAGGCTGGAGTGCAATGGTGCGATCTCGGTTCACTGCAACCTCCGCCTCCTGGGTTCAAGCGATTCTCCTGCCTCAGGCTCCCGAGTAGCTGGGATTACAGGCATGCACCACCACACCCAACTAATTTTGTATTTTTAGTAGAGATGGGGTTTCTCCATGTTGGTCAGGGTGGTCTTGAACTCCCAACCTCAGGTTATCTGCCTGCCTCTGCCACCTAAAGTGCGGGGATTGCAGGCACGAGCCACCGCACCCGGCATTTTTTTTTTTTTTTTTTTTTTGAGACAGGGTCTCGCTCTTTCATCCAGGCTGGAGTGCAGTGGGGAGAGCATGGCTCACCACAGCCTTGACCTCCTGGGCTCAAACGATCCTCCCACCTCAGCCTCCCAAGTAGCGAGACCACAATGTCTGGCTAATTCTTTTATTTTTTGTAGAGAAGGCATCTTGTCATGTTGCCTAGGCTAGTCTTGAACTCCAGGGCTCAGATGATCTTTCTACCTTGGCAGACATTTCCTCTCCTTTTGCTCAAGTCCATCAAGATGTTGGCATCTGATGAACTCATCTATGGAAACCTGGGTTTATATTTGTCCTTCCTGAATATAGGATTTGCTCTTACTCTCCTGGAAGGAGTTCTTGCTATCTTACTCCCTTCCTATGAAAATGAAGCCCAAATTCTTCAACCTGACTTTTGAGGCTCCAAATTGCCTTTCCAACCGTATTGGTCACTACTCCTGTTCATGTACCCTGCTCCCTGAGTAAATAAAGCTCCTGGATGTGCCCACATCTGCCCAGGGCATCCATTCTCTCTGTTCCCTCTGTCTGGAATGCAAAGTGGTATAATAGTAAAGAGGACAAGCTTGTGGTCAAACAGGCCAGAACTGGAAACTCCACTTTACTACATACTGGCTGTGTGACCTTGGGCAGGGCATTTAATCTCTCTAATCCCCATCTGTAAAACTGGGATTAGAGAAACTATCTCAAAGGGTGTGATAAAAATTACTTGACATATTGTGACACCTGTCACACAGTGAGTGCTCAATACGTTGGTTCTTTGCCCACTATGGTCCAAATCGAATGTACCAGTCCAAAGTCCCTCCTTCAAACAAAACGTTCCAAGATGATCCCTGCCCCCACGTCTTCAAAGCCGGAACTGACACCTTCCTATCCCAAATGCTTCCTAATCAAAGAGTCTTTCAGGGGCTCAAATCATTCTCTGCCTTGCACTTGAAAAGGCTCATGTCCCCGTGGGGACTGTGAGTCCCAATGGGCGGGACCCTGGTCTGATTTCTGTGCCATTCCTAGACATTGTGGCCCGAATGTATTTAATAAATACCCTTTTGACTGAACAAATAAGTAAATGAAAGCTTCTGGGAAAGTAAGAGAGGCTGGTAAGGCTCTCATCACCTTAGGGGCTTCACTCACATTCATAAGAGACCTCGTGGGGAAACTAAGGTTCAGGGATTGCAGAGGCGTATTGGGGGCGCAGGGGGCGGGAGCAAGACAAATGGGCGGGGCTTACCGTGGGGGTGGGGCTTACCTGCTAGACTCATGTAGATTGGCTGGCGGGAGCGGAAGTGATTCAGAGCGCCCCCAGAGCAGTTCTGCTCTTCGCACTGCAGTACGCAGTCGCGGTACACCGGCTCACGGTCGCCCTGGGAGCCGCTCGCCAGCGCCGCTGCCCCAGCTAGCAGGACCAACCGCGCCGCCAGGCCGGCCATCCTTTCTCCCTGGCTCGCCGCCGGGGGAGGAGCTTAGGAGTATGAAGCTTCCACTTCCGGAGTAACCGGAAGTTCCTGTGTTCTTTATTCTACTCTCCGCTGAAGTCCACACAGTTTAAATTAAAGTTCCCGGATTTTTGTGGGCGCCTGCCCCGCCCCTCGTCCCCCTGCTGTGTCCATATATCGAGGCGATAGGGTTAAGGGAAGGCGGACGCCTGATGGGTTAATGAGCAAACTGAAGTGTTTTCCATGATCTTTTTTGAGGTAGGGCTGTTTACTGTCACCACCCCTGTCGGATTTTACTTCCTAAACGTACCTGTAACTATCCACTTCTCTCCATCTCTTCTGGCACCACCCTGGTTAAAGACACCATCATGTGTCGCCAAGACAGCCGCAGTAGCTTCTTAATGGCTCTCCCTGCCTCTACTTTTGCCTCTTCCAACCTGCGCTCCATTTTGAAAAATTAAAATTTGCCCATATCACTTTTTTTTTCTTAAAATTATTTACTGGCTCCCAATTACCTTGGGTAAAATACAGTCTCCACAAACCCTGCCTGATTTGGCCCCTGTCCACTGGTCTCCCTCACTCCCTTGCTCCAGACCCGCTTCAGAGGGCTATGTCCCTCAAGCTTCCTGACTGCCTGGCCTGGTCTGAATCACTCACTCTTCTTTTTTCTTCTAGTCGCAATTGAAGTACCACCTCCCGAGGGTGATTGCTTCCCCATGCGGGGTAGAACCTTTGCTGTCCTGTTCACCACTCTACCTCCAGCACAGAATTTGGCTTATGGTAGGCGCTAACTGCGTTTGTTTGTTCTTCTGTTTAATGAATGAACAGCATACATCAACATAAGAACTTGACAAATCCAGGGCTGTAAAATCATCAGTATGGTTCTGCACTGAGATCGGAGAGAAGTAATATTTCTAGGAAAATTAGGAACCCTGGGAACAGGACGCTTGCTTTAGTATCCTCTCCCTGCTCACCTCCCCTGCACTCCCATCAGCACCGACCCACACCCAATCTCATAGAAGCCTTGTAGCTAAGGATCACCCTTTCTCCTCCCCCACTCTCCTCACCCCTTGTCAACTTTTCTTTTTCGTCCTGGGGGTTGGAATGAGTAAGAAGTAGCCTGGGATTCCATTCACTCACTTAACAAACATTTCTGAGTCCTTAGCTCTAGCACCTTGCTAAGCAAGGCAAAATCTCCAGGAGGCACCATTCACATTGCATTTTCTGTGAATGGTGCTCTGGGGAGCAGCATTCACATTGCCTTTTCTGTGAATGGCAAATTCTTCCAGTTAAATATAACATGAATAGTGTCCCCTGGAGTTGACCACCCAACTGATACTGACTGAGAAGCTGAAATGAACAAAACAACCCCTTAGCCCTCCAGGAGCTGACCGGAAATCCAGTGCTAATACTACTTTGCATCTTACAGATTAGTTCTTTTACAATACTGTTTTTTTTTCTTTTTTCATTTCATTTTGTCCTTTCTGTGACTCTGGGATGAGTCTTTTTATGAGGATCCTCATATAAAGATGGACATTTAGGATTAAAGAGGATGAAATCCTGACAAAATAGGGAGTCTCCCCTTTAGAAAATTCCTAAGTAAGGCTGGGGGTGGTGGCTCACGCCTGTAATCCCAGCACTTTGGGAGGCCGAGGCGGACGGATCACCTGAGGTTAGGAGTTTGAGACCAGCCTGACCAACATGGAGAAACCCCATCTCTACTAAAAATACAAAATTAGTTGGGTGTGGTGGTGCATGCCTGTAATCCCAGCTACTCAGGAGGCTGAGGCAGGAGAATCGCTTGAACCCAGGGAGGCAGAGGTTGTGGTGAGCCAAGATTGCGCCATCGCACTCCAGCCTGGGCAACAAGAGCGAAACTCAAAAAAAAAAAAAAAAAGAAAAAGAAAATTCCAATTTTGAAGGCCTCATCCTATATTATGTCAAACATACTGAAATGCAGTAACGCCCCACATTAAATAAGATTTATAAATAACTATACATATATATAATTCAATCTAATTGCTGTTAATAGTTGACATATTGCTACATTTATATACATTTAGTTAAAAAAAATTTTTTTTCCCAGACAGCCTCTCACTCTTTCACCTAGACTGAAGTGCAGTGGCATGATCACGACTCACTGCAACCTCAACCTCCCAGACTCAAGTGATCCTTCCATCTCAGCCTCCTGAGTAGCTGGGACTGCAGCATGCGCCACTATGCCCTGCTAATTTTTTTAATTTTTTGTAGAGACACGGTCTTGCTATGTTGCCTAGACTGGTCTCCAATTCCTGGGCTCGAGTGATCCTCCCGCCTCAACCTCCCAAAGTGCTGGGATTACGGGCGTGAGCCATGCCACACGGCCATAAAATATTAATTTTCGCAGCTTTCTTATATTTTAGAACTAACAATGGAAATTTGTTCGGGTCTAAAGTATTTCAGAGGTCCTTGAAAACCCATGCCTACATACCTGATGGAAAAAGCAATCCTAGGTTAATGGTGGAAGTGGGAGTAGAGACTTCTGTTCTGTTGACTTCTTGGAAGATGGGGTACTGTCTCTCTGGGACAGCTCTTGAGAATTTCCCTGCCAGCACAGCCCCAGATAACAATCTCTAGATGGCGATTACCTGGCCTCTCTTCCCAACTTTCTAGCCTGGAGCCCCTAGTTCTCCCCTGAGCCTCCTTAGCTTGTCCTTCTTCCTAACTTGTATTTGGCTTCAGATGTGATCCACAGTCTGAAAAGTCACTAATTCATTCCTTCAACTCAGGCTTATTGAGTCCTCCTGTGTATCAGCCATTGTACTCATGGGGGAAAAAAAAGACAAAGCATATGTTAATAGTAGAGTGTGCTGGACAGGCACAGTGGCTCATGCCTGTAATCCCAGCACTTTGGGAGGGCGAGGCAGGTGGATCATCTGAGGTCAGGAGTTCGAGACCAGCCTGACCTAACATGGAGAAACTCCTGAGATCGTGCCATTGCACTCCAGCCTGGGCAACAAGAGCAAAACTCCGTTTCAAAAAAAAAAAAAAAAGTATAGTGTGCTAAAGGCTCAACGGCAAGCTGACCATGTTCTTAGATCAAAATTGGTAGAGAGTCTACAATGTGGGTTCCTTATTCATCAAATGTTTATTAAGTTTACCATGTGCAAGTCTCTGGGAACAGAGTGATGAACAAGGCACTGTACTTTTCATGGTCAGAGGAGGGAAACAGGCCATAAACAAGTGTCAAACAAAAGACTGAAGCCAGGTGCGGTGGCTCACATCTGTAATCCCAGCACTGTGGGAGGCCAAGGCAGGCGGATCATGAGATCAGGAGATCGAGACCATCCTAGCCAACATGGTGAAACCCCATCTCTACTAAAAATACAAAAAAATTAGCTGGGCATGGTGGCACGTGCCTGTAATCCCAGCTACTCCGGAAGCTGAGGCAGGAGAATTGCTTGAACCAGGGAGTTGGAGGTTGCAGTGAGCCTGGATTATGCCACTGCACTCCAGCCTGGTGACAGAGCGAGACTCCATCTACATTAAAAAAAAAAATATATATATATATATATACACACACACACACACACACACACACATACCCTCTAACCCAGGAATTTCACTCCTAGGTATACCTACATAAGCTCCAGTATACCTAAACAAGTGCAAATTTGTTTAAGTACAGTTATTTGTGGTAGCATTAGTCATTGTTTTCAATAGCAAGAAGAAAAAGGAAACAACTAAATGTCCATCAATAGGGAATGAATTATATTAATGGAGGGAGAGCCATACAATGGAAGGCTGAACAGAAATTAATAGGAATGGGGCAGATTTGTAATGTACTAGCATGGTAAAACCTTCATGATAGATATAGATATAGATATAGATATAGATATAGATATATATACATATACATATACATATACATATACATATATATATATATATATATATATCTCTTGTGTCTCAGCCTCCCGAGTAGCTGGGATTACAGGTGTGTGCCACCACATCCGGCTAATTTTTGTATTTTTTAGTAGAGACAGGGCTTCACCATGTTGGTAAGGCTGTCTTGAACTCCCGACCTCAGGTGATCCACCTGTCTCAGCCTCCCAAAGTGCTGGGATTATAGGCATGAGCCATCACACCTGGCCAAATATTTTTGATAAGTATCAAGTGCACAGTGCAGAACAAAATATGTGTGTGTGTATGCATGTGTATGTACACCTATACACTTATATACAGTACCCCATGTGAAGAAAAATAAGGGTACGTGTTATGCGCGTAGTATTATGGTTGTTATTTTTGAGAATATATCTAGAAAGATAAAAAAGAAAGTGGAAATAGTTCTTGCCTCTGGTGGGAAGTGGGACTATGTGCCTGATCAATAGGGAAGTAAGGAACACTTTTTTTTTTTTTTTTTAAACGGAGTTTTTGCTCTTGTTACCCAGGTTGGAGTGCAATGGCGCGATCTTAGCTCACTGCAACCTCTGCCTCCCAGGTTCAAGCGATTCTGCTGCCTCAGCCTCCTGAGTAGCTGGGATTATAGGCATGCGCCTCCACGCCTGGCTAATTTTGTATTTTTAGTAAAGATGGGGTTTCTCCATGTTGGTCAGGCTGGTCTTGAACTCCCCACCTCAGGTGATCCGTCCGCCTCAGCCTCCCAAAGTGCTAGGATTACAGGCGTGAGCCACCGTGCCTGGCCAGGAACGCTTTTTATTTTTGTACCTTTAAAAGTGTGTACCGTCTGTGTATATAATCAGTTAAAAACAAAGAAAAGCTGAGTGTGGTGGCTCATGCCTGTAATCCCAGCCCTTAAGGAGGCCGAGGCCGGCGGCAGATCACCTGAGGTCAGGAGTTCAAGACCGGCCTGACCAAAACGGTGAAAACTCATCTCTACAAAAACATAAAAATTAGCCAGGCATGATGGCAAGTGCCTGTAATCCCAGCTGGTTGGGAGGCTGAGGTGGGAGACTTGCTTGAACCTAGGAGGCAGAGATTGCAGTGAGCCAAGACTGTACCACTGCACTCCAGCCTGGGCAACAGAGCAAGTCTCTGTCTCAAAACAAAAACAAAAACACAAAGAAAAAATGTAAAACAATTTCATGCAGTAGCAAGCATCGAGTTAAATACAGTTGACCCTTGAACAACACAGGTTTGAATTGCACGGGTCCATTTATACTCACATTTCTTCCACCTCTGCCACCCCCAAAATAGCAAGACCAACCCCATCTCTTTTCCTTTCTCTTCCCCCTCCTCAGCCTACTCAATGTGAAGATGATGAGGATGAAAACCTTTGTGATGATCCACTTCCACTTAATGAATGGTAAATATGTTTTTTCTTACTTATGATTTTCTTAGTAGCATTTTCTTTTCTCTAGCTTCCTTTATTGTAAAAATACAGTATATAACACATATCACATACAAAATGTGTGTAAATGGACTGTTTGCTATTGATAAGTATTCTGGTAAACAGTAGACTATTAGTTTTTTTTGTTTTGTGACAAGGTCTCCCTCTGTCGCCCAGCCTGGAATGCCGTGGTGTGATCATGGCTCACTGCAGCCAAAAACTTCTGGGCTAAAGCAATCCTCTACTAAAAATACAAAAATTAGCCAGGCATGGTGGTGCGCTTCTGTAATCCCAGCTACTCAGGAGGCTGAGGCAGGAGAATTGCTTGAACCCGGGAGGCAGAGGTTGCAGTGAGCTGAGATTGCACCGTTGCATTCCAGCCTGGACAACAGAGCGAGACTCCATCTCGAAAATAAAATAATAATAATAATAATAATAATAATAATAATAATAATAGGGCTGGGTGTGGTGGCTCATGCCTGTAATCCCAGCACTTTGGGAGGCCAAGGTGGACAGATCACCTGAGGTCAGGAGTCTCAATTAAAAAATAAATAGGCCGGGCACAGTGGCTCATGCCCATAATCCCAGCACTTTGGGAGGCCGAGGTGGGCAGATCACCTGAGGTCAGGAGTTTGAGACCAGCCTGGCCAACACGGAGAAACGCTGCCTCTATCAAAAATACAAAAATTAGCTGGATGTGGTGGTGCATGCTATAATCCCAGTAATACCAGCTACTCGGAAGGCTGAGGCAGGAGAATCACTCGAATCCGGGACACGGAGGTTGCAGTGAGCCGACATCATGCCACTGCGCTCCAGCCTGGGTGACAGTGAGACTCTGTCTCAGAAAAAAAAAAAAAAAAAAAAAAAAAAAAAAAAAATATATATATATATATATATATATATATATATATATATATATGTGTGTATATATATATATATACACATATATATGTGTATATATATATACACACACACATATATATGTGTATATATAAAATAAAATAAATAATAATAAAACATTTACTTTGGCTGCTGTTGCTGCGGGGAGAATTGCAGGGTGTCAAAAGTAGCACTGGTGGAGGGGTAGTGATCAAAGTCTGGTGCTTTAGCCCAAAGGAGAAATGATAGAGACTCAGACTAGCTGGTGATGGAGGTAGAATAAGCATAAATGTATCAAAAAGAGGAGTTGATAGATCTTAAAGAATGATTGGATTTGAAGGGCAAAGGAAGAGAAGAATCAACCAGGTGGGTTCAGTGAATGAAACCATCAGAAACGAATTGTCCCCTGAAATCAAGACTTTGTGATTGCCATAGTTGTATGCTTCTCAAAGGTTCCTCGTCTCCTCTTCCTTGGACCAAAAGTCAGAGGCAAGAATGCCCTCATTCATACCCCAGTGGTCTATACCTCCAGCAGCAAGTCGAGTGAGCAAGTGATGTCCTGAAAGGCCCAGTGGATCAGTGGAATGAAGCGGGCAGGAAGACTTAGTGCTCCTGAAACAAGGAATCCAGAATCCAGGAGAAGGATGGCTCAGTGGGGCTTTCAAGGGACAAGTATGGGGGTTGAAGGGGTCACTGTCCCTATACCAAATCCGAAAATATTGTGACCAGGAACCATTCTGTCCAACTCTTCTATTTCAGGTGGCAAAGCAAAGCTATATTCAAGACCACATGCAAAGCTACTCCCTGAGCAAAGAGTCACAGATAAAACGGGGGCACCAGTAGAATGGCCAGGACAAACGCAGTGCAGCACAGAGACTCAGACCCTGGCAGCCATGCCTGCGCAGGCAGTGATGAGAGTGACATGTACTGTTGTGGACATGCACAAAAGTGAGGTGAGTCGCAGGACAGAAGAGTGCTTTTTGTTTCAGCAGAGCAGCCTGGGGAGAGATAAAAGCTACTCCTGGGGCCTGGGCCTGCATTCCTGAGATGTGGGTAAGAGGGGCCCAGGGTCAGAGTGTCTGGCAAGCTTGGCTCTGCCCCTTTGCTGTCCTGGAGACTAGGGCTAATCCTGGGCTCAGGGAGTGGCCTCCCCATGGTTAGGATACAAGTGCTCATCAAGGGCCACCCCTAGGAAGGACCAATTTTCCTATCAGAAGCTTCTAAGTTATCCTCCTTTGGCCCAAAGGGACACCTCAAGCCTACTCTGAGGAACTCTTTCCAATGAACTAATTCCTACAGTCACTTCCCCAGCAACCTGTGCCTCAGCCTCAAGGCACTGTGGGGTAGGCCTCAGTTTGTGGCCTGGACATCGGACTGTGGACCAGACGACTCCTCCCGATTTCTGTTTGTTTTCAGTCCTCTGACCCCAAGCTGGCTGGTGAAGTAGGTAGAGGGAGGAGACTTTGGTGCATGCATACACACACACACACACACACACACACACACACACACACACACACACACACACACGTCTCCTGTGCCCCCCAGTCTCCATGGCTGGTCAATGATTGACTGGCATTTCACAGGCCGCTGGTTGCAGCCCCAGCCTGTTGACTTAGAGGTCACCCTCGGAAGCTAGAGCCCTGTCCTGCCTCTTCAGTGTCAGTGGTCACTCCACTGCCCACAGGCTGGGGTCTTGGGCAAAACACACGCATCTGCCCTGATCTGAGTTTGCTGCCCTCTGTCCCGCAGTCAGCCCCACTCTGTTCCCACTCCCTCTCCCCAGCCCCCTAGCTAGACCCCTCTCACCAGCACCCCTTTCCCTTCCCTGAGGGTCCCCCTCGCTGTCTTTGTCCCTCAGACATCCTCTTTCCTGGGCTCTCCTGCCAGGCCCTGCTGGAGGGACAGTTAAGGAGGAAATCGAATCAGCAGCGCCCACCCCTGCCCCCCTTCCTCTCCTCTTGTCAGACACCAGACGAGGTTTTTTCCTCTGGCTTCCCAGCTCTGAATGGGCTCATTCTTTTTCAGAGGCTCGGCCCCTCTCGAGCCTCCTCCCCAGGGCGTGAGTTCTGACCCCAGCTCCTCCCCCCATCCCCACTCCAGCCCCCTCTCCAGCTTGCTCCACCCTCTCTACCGCCCACCGGGACTGGGCATTGTCTGCCAGTCCGGGTTTCTTCCTGGGATTTGGGATGCAGAGAGGATGGGTTTGCTTGGGCGGGGGGGTGGAGAGTGAAGGGGGGAAGCAGGATCTTTGTAGAGGGAGGGACCTACAGTTACCTGGACTTCTTTCCTCTGTCTCCCCTCTTGGTACCCTTGACTGGGGCTCTTGAGGGTAATGGGTGAAGCCAAATCTGCCATGGCTCAGTTCCCAGCTCAGCTCTGTGACCTTGGGAAAGTTCCTTTAGCTCGTGGAATCTCAAGGCTCAAGGTTCCTCTTCTGCAAAATGGGGAATGATAACACCTGCCTCCTCTGGAGTCTTGGGGACTCAGTGTTCTGAGGAACGTGGCTGTAGGTCAGAGTGGCACAGAGTAGGGTCCAATGAAGCATGGCGTCCACAGTAGCTTTCCTGACTGGACTAACCTTTCCGGACACAACAGCAGGGCAGGGGTGGGGCCTGGGGAGAAAGGACACCTCTAACCCTGATCCTAACATCCCGATGGCCTCTAAGGCTGCCTGCACACTCATCCAGGTGCAAGCCCTCCAAGGTGTGGTGTGATGAACCAGTGACTCCTGGAGCCAGGTCAGCGCATCCTCTTCCCGCAGGGCTGTAAGCTGCAGGACTGAGAGGCAGGTTGACCAGGTCCTGGGCTGGATGATGGGGTGAGAGTAAGGGGTCAGTTTTGATACATGCCCAACTTTTCTCTCTAGCCCTAAGACATCCTGGGCAAATTGCTTACCTCAGTTCCCCTGATCCTCACCCTAACCCTAACACCAGCTCAAGAGAAAATAGGGATATTGATGGCCATCCAGAAGGGCTGCTGTGTTCCATACACAGCAATATTTCTCGAATGTTTGTGACAGCGGTCCAAGGAATAAGTTAATTTTACATTATCACTCTGGATACCTGTACAAAACTCCACCTTATCCTTACTATATGAATGTGCTAGGGTTGTTTTTTTGTTTTGTTTTTTTTTTTTTTTTTTGAGACAGAGTTTCGCTCTTGTTGCCCAGGCTGGAGTACAATGGCGCGATCTTGGCTCACCGCAACCTCCGCTTCCCAGGTTCAAGCGATTCACCTGCCTCAGCCTTCCCGAGTAGCTGGGATTACAGGCATGCGCCACCATGCCCGGCTAATTTTGTGTTTTTAGTAGAGACAGGGTTTCTCCATGTTGGTCAGGCTGGTACCAAACTCCCGACCTCAGGTGATCCACCTGCCTTGGCCTCCCAAAGTGCTGCAATTACAGGCATGAGCCACCGCACCCAGCCGTGCTAGGGTCTTTTTCTGTTCAATTCCTTTCTCTCTCTTGCTCTCTTTCTTTCTTTCAATGGAGTCTTACTCTGTCACCCAGGCTGGAGTGCAGTGGCAAGATCTCAGCTCACTGCAACCTCTGCCCTCTGAGTTCAAGCAATTCTCCTGCCTCAGCCTCCCGAGTAGCTGGGATTACAGGTGCCTGCCACCACACCTAGTTAATTTTTGTACTTTTAGTAGAGATGGGGTTTTGTCATGTTGGCCAGGCTGGTCTCGAACTCCTGACCTCGTGATCTGCCTGTCTTGGCCTCCCAAAGTGCTGGGATTACAGGCATGAGCCGCCATACTCGGCCAACTTTGTATTACTTTCTTAAAGAGAGTTTCCCAAATTATATAAGCTTCAGGCCCCACAAAACCTAGATCTGCCCCAGTATAACTAAATCTGGGACCATTTATTGAGCAATTATTATGTGCCAAGTATTGCGCTGAGTGCTTCCAGAGCATTATCTCCTTTAACCCCAGCATAGTATGTCAGATGCTGTTTTACAGATGAGCCAACTGAGACCAGAGATGCTCAGTCACTTGCCCAAGGTGACATGACTGATATGGAATAGAGTCAAGATTTTTTTTTTTTTTTTTGACACGGAGTCTCACTCTGTCTCCCAGGCTGGAGTGCAGAGGCGCAATCTCAGCTCACTGCAAGCTCTGCCTCCCAGGTTCACGCCATTCTCCTGCCTCAGCCTCCTGAGTAGCTGGGACTACAGGCACCCGCCACCACACCTGGCTAATTTTTTGTATTTTTAGCAGAGACAGGGTTTCACCGTGTTAGCCAGGATGGTCTCGATCTCCTGACCTCGTGATCTGCCTGCCTCGGCCTCCCAAAGTGCTGGAATTACAGGTGTGAGCCACCGCGACTGGCCAGATTCAAGATTTGAACCCAGGTCCTCTTGGTCCCAGAGGCCCCTGTTTCTCAACTCCCTAGGATGGCATAGCAACCTGTCCCACAAGAGGTGCCTGCTTTAAGTGTGCTCAGCACATGGAAGCAAGTTTAGAAATGCAAGTGTATACCTGTAAAGAGGTGTGGGAGATGGGGGGGAGGGAAGAGAGAAAGAGATGCTGGTGTCCTTCATTCTCCAGTCCCTGATAGGTGCCTTTGATCCCTTCTTGACCAGTATAGCTGCATTCTTGGCTGGGGCATTCCAACTAGAACTGCCAAATTTAGCACATAAAAATAAGGAGGCCCAGTTAAATTTGAATTTCAGATAAACAATGAATAATTTGTTAGTATAAATATGTCCCATGCAATATCTTGTTGAAATTAAAAAAAAAAAAAAAAGTCTTCCTTCCATCCCCACCCCTACCACTAGGCCTAAGGAATAGGGTCAGGGGCTCCAAATAGAATGTGGTTGAGAAGTGGAATTAAGCAGGCTAATAGAAGGCAAGGGGCAAAGAAGAAACCTTGAATGCATTGGGTGCTGGGTGCCTCCTTAAATAAGCAAGAAGGGTGCATTTTGAAGAATTGAGATAGAAGTCTTTTTGGGCTGGGTGCAGTTGCTCGTGGTTGTAATTCCAGCACTTTGGGAGGCTGAGGCGGGAGGATCACCTGAGGTTGGGAGTTCAAGACCAGCCTCACCAACGTGGAGAAACCCTGTCTTTACTAAAAATACAAAAAATTAGCTGGTCATGGTGGCACATGCCTGTAATCCCAGCTGCTCGGGAGGCTGAGGCAGGAGAATCACTTGAACCAGGGAGGCAGAGGTTGTGGTGAGCAGAGATCGCGCCATTGCTCTCCAGCCTGGGCAACAAGAGCAAAAGTTCGTTTAAAAAAAAAAAAAAGTCCTTTCGATGTGACTGTCTCCTCCCAAATTTGTAGACCCTCTTAAGATCATGCTTTTCAGATACTTCAAAGATTCCAGAAGATATGCCCCGGGGGTCCTGGAAGCCACAAGGTAAACACAACACATCCCCCTCCTTGACTATCAATTTTACTAGAGGATGTGGTGGGAAAACCATTATTTGATATTAAAACAAATAGGCTTGGGATGGAGTAGGATGCAAGCTCCCCAGGAAAGTTTAAGATAAAACCTGAGACTTAAAAGGGTGTTAAGAGTGGCAGCCTAGGGAATTTATCCCGGACTCCGGGGGAGGGGGCAGAGTCACCAGCCTCTGCATTTAGGGATTCTCCGAGGAAAAGTGTGAGAACGGCTGCAGGCAACCCAGGCGTCCCGGCGCTAGGAGGGACGCACCCAGGCCTGCGCGAAGAGAGGGAGAAAGTGAAGCTGGGAGTTGCCACTCCCAGACTTGTTGGAATGCAGTTGGAGGGGGCGAGCTGGGAGCGCGCTTGCTCCCAATCACAGGAGAAGGAGGAGGTGGAGGAGGAGGGCTGCTTGAGGAAGTATAAGAATGAAGTTGTGAAGCTGAGATTCCCCTCCATTGGGACCGGAGAAACCAGGGGAGCCCCCCGGGCAGCCGCGCGCCCCTTCCCACGGGGCCCTTTACTGCGCCGCGCGCCCGGCCCCCACCCCTCGCAGCACCCCGCGCCCCGCGCCCTCCCAGCCGGGTCCAGCCGGAGCCATGGGGCCGGAGCCGCAGTGAGCACCATGGAGCTGGCGGCCTTGTGCCGCTGGGGGCTCCTCCTCGCCCTCTTGCCCCCCGGAGCCGCGAGCACCCAAGGTGGGTCTGGTGTGGGGAGGGGACGGAGCAGCGGCGGGACCCTGCCCTGTGGATGCCCCGCCGAGGTCCCGCGGCCGGCGGGGCCAGAGGGGCCCGGACGAGCTCTCCTATCCCGAAGTTGTGGACAGTCGAGACGCTCAGGGCAGCCGGGCCCTGGGGCCCTCGGGCGGGAGGGGGCAGTTACACGGCAGCGGCTCGAGATGGCCCATCCAAGAGACTGGCGCTTTCCAGGCTCCGAGGGGCTCCGGGAACTTGTCAAAGAAGTTCTCTGAAATTGTTCAGAAAGTTTTCCCGCAAAGGGTGTATTGCGTAGAGCGCGCGCGCGCGTTTCCCCCCTTCTTGAGCCCCCTCAAGCTTTCTCAAAGCCTTTCCAGTTGGCAGCCTCCGCCTCCGGACTGGCCTGGGCTGGATTCCTTGGGGGGGTCCTCTGCCCTGCCCCTCCTCCAGCCCCTCCCCGCTCCCCTTCAGACGATTTTGGTTTGGTTGCTCCTGCTTCTGGCGGGGTCGGGTGTGTGTGTGTGTGGTGGAGTGGAGGGTGGCATAGCAACCTGTCCCAACCAGAGCCGGGGAGGAAAGGGTGGCCCGGAGGGTGGCCTCTTGCTGGGGTCTGGGTTGGGGGCGGGGGAGACGTTTGCTTTGAACAGATTCTTGGGGCCAGCTTAGGGACTGTGCTCTGTGACTTTTGGAGCGCGTGGACCATGGAGGGGTGGGGGTGGGTTTCTTGGGGTGTAAAGTGGGAGAGTTCCCAGAGAAGGAAGCTAAGAAATAAGGCCAGATGGGAGCCTAGGGAGGGCTGCGTTGTTCTGCTGCCTTTTCCTTGGTGCTGTGCGTGGGGAAGGGTGAGTGGGGGCAGTGTGTATCCTGACCCATCTGTCCACCTGTGTGCATTAATCATAAAAGCTAACATATAGCCTGGGCCAGGTATACTCTGCCAGGAACTGTTTGTGGTGTTTTGCATGCATTCTCCTTTAATCCTAGAACACCCCTATAGTGGAAGTTCTGCCAGCATTCTGGACTGAGTAGCAGTCCAGAGGTTGAGTAGCAGCTAGTAAGTGGTGGGGTCAAGATGGGACCCCAGGCAGTGCGACCCCCAACCATGCATTCGAAATCGCTATATGGATGAGTGCACCTGGAGCAATGAGGGACACTGCTCCCTGAGTCACTGGGCTGCAGGGGAGACAAAATGAAAGTGTTCTGGGAGTCGTGGGTGGTCTCCATAGGTCAGAGGGTCTGGGGAGGGAGTGGGTGTCATCGTGGCTGTGTGTTGCCCGAGGGGCCCTCTGTGAGTGAGTGCATGGCCGTGTTATCTCTGCAGGTCTACGCCAGGGTGTTCCTCAGTTGTGTGGTCTTTGTATTTGTGTGTCTGGGCTTTGTGTTGCCAAACAGCAGTCTCTCTGCTGACTTGGGGACACAGGCTGAACTCTGTCCTCTGCAGGAACTCCCTTAAGGTGCTGGGCCAGATCTGCCATAAACAGAGGGAGGTAGCCTTCTATGGCCACGCCTTCTTGCTGAGGAAGAAGGTTCCTCTCTTCCAGGGAGTACATCCTTGCCCTCCCTGTTTCCCAGACAAGCATCTTCACCTCTCATCTTCTGATGAGAAGGGTGAGGCCATACTGAGCTGTCAGGCTGAGCTGCTGCCCTTCCTCACCTTGGGCTGGGAGTTGATCAGGGAATGGCAGTTGCTGCAGAGCTGGATTTGAGGGCTGGGTTCTCTGGATGGGGCCTCCTCATGTCCTCACCCCTCAACCTGCACTATTGATTGTGTTGTGCAGGAGTTAGTTAAAAAGTCATTGCACAGCCTGGGCAACAAGGCAAAACTCTGTACAAAAAATACAAAAATTAGTTGGATGTGATTACACGTGCCTGTAGTCCCAGCTACTCCGGAGGCTGAGGCAGGAGGATCACCTGAGCCCAGGAAGTTGAGGCTTGCAGTGAGCTGTGATTGCAAATGCTCTCCAGCCTGGGTGACAGTGTGAGACTCCGTTTCAGAAAAAAAGTATACCACCCAGCTGCCTCCAGCACCCAGATTTTACCCAAGGGGTGAGGTCTGGGGCAGGAATGTGGGGGAAGGGGAGGCCTAGGGGGAGCCCCAGAGGGGTCAGGATTTTTCTGAAATCCTTTCTTAGAGGTATGGGTTTTACAAATTGCAGCAAATACATCCTTTTAATCTTGCAGAACTCCTTCATATTTTAATTCCAGTATGATTCTTCCAACAGCCTCCTCTCTTTACTATACTTGGGGAAAGTACTCATTTTATTTGTCAAGAAAAAAACAATTGAAAAGATAGGGATCAAATGTAAAAAGAAAAAATACGTGGCATTCCAAAGTCAAACACAAAGCATGTTTAATTTTCTCGTGGTTTGGGATTACCCATATTCCTGCTGTATGAACCTGTCTTGTCTTAACTTTTAAGAAATGTACGGTGTACTTCCTATATGCTAGGTTTTTATCCATGCTTTCATTTAATCTCTGTGACAGTCCTGTGAAGTAGGTGCACAGATGAGAAAATGGAAGTTCAGAGAAATGAAGCAACTTATCCAAGGCTCCCAGCTACCCAGTAATGTCCAGGGAATTTTTGGACTCTGAAGAGGAGGCATTAAGAGGTGGTTAGAGTCTTATTCCAGCCAACAATAATGGGTTGAACAAAGCCTTAGGGGCAGGCAGGTGGCCAGATGGGAGGAGAAGCGCTCCTCTTGTTCAGGCGAATGACCTTTCCATCCACTTCTCTAGGCTGTAGAAAGTGGAGCTGAGCTGGGGGCCCTGAGGTTCCCTCTTGACTTCAGAGTCCTCTCCCTTCCTGTCCAGCCAATGCCTGTCTTCCTTTTGGGCCCTACCAGCATGACAGGGGGCTGCGGGCAGGAGGGGACAGAGGCCACGTTGACACACAGGGCTGTGGGTGAGAGAGACAGCTGAAGTGTCAGCGTGAGGGGCCAGTGTGGGGCTGCGGCTGGGAGGGCTGGGGTGGGGCCCAGGGTAGTTGTGCCTGTCCTTGGGTGATGGAATGATCTGGAAAGAGATTCCTTCCCTGCCCTCCACCTGTGAGAAGCCCCTCTAGAGTGACATCTCCATCTTATGTTTGGCCACCCATCCTCCCCCTGGGAAGAGAGCCGAGGTGGGGTAAGGGATGTGTACTCTTTCAAGGAGTGGGAGAATTATTCTAGCGAATGTTTGTGTTGTCCCAGTTCTGTTTACAAAGCCTCGTCATGTTTACAGATGGCTGCGCAATTCATTACCTCATTTAACTCTCATGTACCTCCTCTGAGGGAGTAAGAGCTGTTACAGCCAAGTTTAGGTCAGTAAATATTCACCAAGTTGCAGGTACTGCAGGGCATAGAGATGAATCCGATTTAGCTTCTGCCCTGGAGGTCTGGGAACTTGCTCAAGATCACTCAGTGAGCAGCTGAGCTAGGGTTCTCAACTAAAGACCCTGGGCCCAGGCCCTGGTCTGATGTCAGGCCTGATACACCAGGTGTTTGTGGTCGGGGAATCCCAGTGTCACTTGAATGGGCTGTGACATTATGGGTCTGGGAGAGCTGAGCTTTGGGGACACAGGTCATTTTACTGTAGTATTCATGGAAACCAAGGGAAGTATTGGCTTTTCTGCTGTGAGCAAGAGGAGCAGCTGGGGCTGCAAGCTGGTGGGGAGGAGAGAACCCACCTGAGAGAAACCTCAGGACTGGGGTCAAGTCCTGACCACCAGAGTCCAGAGAGACATGAAGGACTGTGACCAGCTCTGAGCAGAGAGATGGATTCCATGACCTCAACTGGTCCCTTTTGTTCGGAGACTCGTGACTGGACTTCATTCATCCACTCATTCATTCATTCACTCAGCAGACACTTATCTAGCGCTCCCTGTGGCTGGTCCTGCCTCATACTGTCTTTGCTCTGGAGAATTGGAGGTTGGGGTTCCTGAGGGGCAGGGTCCTGGAGACAAGGACACTCCTGGGTAGAATTAGGACCTACCCCCCAGGAAATCAACGGGGACCAGGTGCCGTGGCTCACACCTGTAATCCCAGCACTTTGGGAGGCCGAGACGGGCGGATCACAAGGTCAGCAGTTCAGGACCAGCCTGGCCAACATGGTGAAACCCGCCTCAACTAAAAATACAAAAATTAGCCAGGTGTGGTGTCAGGCACCCGTAATCCCAGCTACTGAGGAGGCTGAGGCAGGAGAATTGCTTGAACCCGGGAGGCAGAGGTTGCAGTGAGCCGAGATTGCGCCACTGCACTCCAGCCTGGCGACAGGGCGAGACTCCATCTCAAAAAAAGAAAACCAATGGGACAGGGCAGATATGGGGACAATGGTAAGGAGATGGGAGAGTGGGAGGGAGGTGTCAGGAAGACCTTCTTGACTTCATGTAGGCTGGTGGGGGTGTTAGCCAGCAAGCCTCCAGTTCCCTGGGAACCGTTCTCAGGGTACCAATTTTACCACCTGTCTGCAAACACTTTAAGATTCTTAATCAGACTCAAATTGGCCACAAATCAGGTAAACAAACTCACTAGTGGGGTGGGGCTACCACCCGTTCTGACCCTCCAGCCCAACCCAGCCCAGCCACCCTGCCCTCCGTAGAGCCTGTGGTGTTTATCGGTGGCATTGGGAGAATTAGTGTGTATTTATGTTGGCGTGGGGTGTGGGGTGGATTTGTGTGTGTGCAGTTAGGCCTAGTGGAAGGAATGTGGGATCTGAAGGCAGGCCAGCCTGAGTTCCAGTCCTGCCTGTTGCTCACAAGCTTTATGAGGCGAGAGCTAACCCCTGCCAGCCTCAGTTGTCTTCTTTGCAAGATGGAGGTTGCAGCCCCAGTCTCTGGAGCATGTTATGCAGATCCACCGAGAGTGCCTGCCAGGCACACAGTAGGTGCTCAGCTCAGTTACTGTGGCGGCCCCCACTCCCCATTGTTGTTGTTTTCCTATTGCCTGGCGGCCACAGCTGGTATCCCTTGAAAAGGGCTACAGGGGGTGGAGTCGGACCCTGCCCCAGCCCTGTGGAGACCCTGGGCTTGGGCCAGGGCCTGGGGTCTGGGCCTGCAGACAGCTGTGTCTATAAAGCAGCTGAAGGGCTGAGGCCGGGGGAGGTCCTGGCAGCAGGGCGTTATTTTGGGCCTGGCCTGCCACCCCCAGCTCCTGTTTCTCTTGGGAGTCTGTTGGGGGAGGAAGTGTGGGGAAGAGGAGGGGGTGCAAGTGGGTGAGGCATGGAGTGGGGAGGCCTCCCTCAGGGACATGGACCCTTGAGTTCTATTTCTGTTCCTCCCTCCTGTTCCTCCCTCTTTGTCCTTATCTGCCTAGAGAGGTGGGAATAGAGGCCATTCTGAGTATCACTAGGAGACCACCAGTTTGTGGCCACTGGCCACTGGCCCAGGCAGGGAACCTGGGGGCTTGCCCTACCAGCCTCTCCCAGCAATCTGAAGGCAGGGGGTACCTCGTATTACCCCCTAGGATTTGACCTTAGGCTCCAACTTGCTGGGAGAGCAGTGCCTCTGGTGTCAGACCCCAAGCCAGCCCTTGTGCTGTCCCTGAATCTGCATGTAGCCTGTGGGAGGCGGAGCAGTGACCGGCAGGAATTCTGGGCAGCTCAGGCACCTGTGGGCCTGAGGGTGCCCTCTGCCCCCACCCTTCCGATCTCCTGGGCAAGACACGCCAGGTGATTCATCTCACCAGAGCAGAAAAACAAGTTCAACTGGGCACTTTAATCTCCCCTCACTGGCAGGCCTGGTGTGAGCTGCTACCCCGGCGCCCCTCACCAGGGGTGCTTTACCTCCTCTAGTATTCCTGACCTTAGTGGGCATTTCTGGTCTCAGGGATACCAGGCTGGGGTCCAAGTGGGCCAGGTGTGGCAGTTCAGCCCTATGCCCCATGGCTGATGGCTCGCGCTGGGCAGGTATGCAGGGCTGACGTAGTGCCTTTGTGGCAGCAGTTTCGTGGCACACATTCTGCCAGCTGGTTCTGGAGTCTTGCCCTGAGGAGGTGGCCAGGGTGAGGGTGCCAGCGCAGGAACCTTTGGCGCATGCTTCACCCTGGCCTGGGATCTGCAGCCTGGGTCCAGATGCCCACAACTGGAATCTGACGCTCCTTTTCTCTTCATGGGGGACTCCCAGAGGTCTCTGCAATGACCAGAGCCCCGGTTGTCCCATGCCTCAGCTGCAACTCCAGCTGACCCTCCTTCCCCACTCTCTGGGTGGCATTACGGGGGTGTGGATCCCTTGCCAAGAGGTTGGCATGTGGGTGTGCTGGAATGGCATAGGGAGAATGCACCGAGTTTGTTTGCTTGGGAGAGGGGCAGGGGGTATCCAGAAGATTCATGATTCGTCATCGCCTCTCTTGGGGGATTTTTACCCCTTTGCCCTGAGTTGTGCCTTTGGGACAAAGGAAGCCTTTCTTTGCCAGCCAACACCCTGTACTGGCGGGCGAGCTCCCCAGGGCTGGCACGCTGGGGCAGCCTCTGAATGCACAGGGTGGGCCTAGTCAGAAGAAGCCTTTCCCCTGAAATCCCTCTACTTCCCAAGCACGCAAGCTTTCTCCTGCTGTTAAACCTGCAGTGTGCAAGGGACATGGGCGGAGGGGTCCTTCAGTCAGGCTTCTCCCTGTCTGAGGTGGCATGACTTGGAGTGAGTTTGGATGGGGTGGCCAGGTCTGAGAAGGTCCCCCGCCAGTGTCCTCTGACCCATCTGCTCTCTCCTGCCAGTGTGCACCGGCACAGACATGAAGCTGCGGCTCCCTGCCAGTCCCGAGACCCACCTGGACATGCTCCGCCACCTCTACCAGGGCTGCCAGGTGGTGCAGGGAAACCTGGAACTCACCTACCTGCCCACCAATGCCAGCCTGTCCTTCCTGCAGGTGAGGCCCGTGGGCAACCCAGCCAGGCCCTGCCTCCAGCTGGGCTGAGCCCTCTGTTTACAGGTGGGTGGCAGAAGAAGGTGCCCTGCCCTTCTGTTTCCTCTCTTGTTGTGGTTTCTCAACCAGGAAGTCCTTTCTAACATCTAACCCCCATTCATTTTACTGCAGAATCAGTTGACTCTCTCTATAACGTGGCTGGCCGAGGTCATGTCTGGATGGGATGCGTCTGTGTTTCCGCTAAATCTTGTGCTCTCTTGCCAGCATGATCATGTCCCCTGTCCACCTGCTCCAGCCACTATCCCTCTCCCACTTACAGCAGAAGAAAGGGCTGGTGAGAAAGGTGGATTACAGGCCCACTTCTGCCACTGACGAGCCCTATGAATGTGGCCTACACCCCCTTAGCTTCACTGGGTCTCAGTTTCCCTATCTGTATATTGGGAGCAGTTGTGAAGCTCAGAAGAGAAATGTCTGTGAAAAGGTTATGAACAGGAGGGAGAGTGGAAACCAACCTGCTGGATCGTGTCCACAGACCCTGGAATGGGGCCACATGCTTGGTTTGTCAAATTGCAGACGCCGGCCGGGTGCGATGGCTCATGCCTGTAATCCCAGCACTTTGGGAGGCCGAGGCGGACAGATCACTTGAGGTCGGGAGTTCGAGACCAGCCTGACCAACATGGAGAAACCCCGTCTCTACTGAAAATACAAAATTAGCCAGGCATGGTGGCACATGCCTATAATCCCAGCTACTTGGGAAGGCTGAGGCAGGAGAATCACTTGAACCTGGGAGACGGAGGTTGTGGTGAGCCTAGATCGTGCCATTGTACTCCAGCCTGGGCAACAAGAGTGAAACTCCGTCTCAAAAAAAAAAAATTTGCAGACGCCATCCCATCCAGGCCTTTGCTTTCACTGATGAAGAAACTGAGATACAGAGAGGGCAGGGCACCTGTTCGGAGTTTATGAAATGCCCCCCCACCATTATCTTTCTTGATCATATAAGAATCTGGTGAGGCAAGGTAGGGCGTGATCTTTATCTCTATTTTATCGTTTTATTTAAGCGGGAACAGGACTGCTCAGTGGCTGGGGGCCTTGCCCAAGATCTCCAAGTACTGGGGAACCCCAGGGAGGCCCTGGGGGGTGGCAGTGTTCCTATTTCAGCCCCACTCTGCTTCCCCCTCCCAGGATATCCAGGAGGTGCAGGGCTACGTGCTCATCGCTCACAACCAAGTGAGGCAGGTCCCACTGCAGAGGCTGCGGATTGTGCGAGGCACCCAGCTCTTTGAGGACAACTATGCCCTGGCCGTGCTAGACAATGGAGACCCGCTGAACAATACCACCCCTGTCACAGGGGCCTCCCCAGGAGGCCTGCGGGAGCTGCAGCTTCGAAGCCTCACAGGTGGCCTTCACCGTCATTGAAACCTTCTCTTGGTTATTCAGAGCTGACCAGGGCCACTGCTAACCAGGGGGAGGCTTTGTGTGCATTAGAAATGGTGTCCCTTCTGGGCAGACGCAGGCAGAGCCCGGGAAGACGCCCTCAGAAGATTGGAAAAAGATTCCCCTTCTTCCTGGGAAGTTGTAGCTTGCGTCAGCACATATAATTCAATCGTGAGAATGCAGGCTGGGTTTTTGCCCCCACTTGGCTGAGTGAAGTGTACAGTGAACAACCTATGTAACTATTTGCTGGCCCTGGAGCCGACTCTGCCCCAGAGTCTGGGTGCCAGGTGCTTTGCCCGCATGGCCCATTTCAGTCACGCTGCAGTCCTGTCAGGAAAAAATCAGTGTTATTCTCATTCTACATATGAGAAAACTGAGGCTTGCAGATATAAGGGCCAAAAGTTACACAGCTAGTGAGTGATGGGGCTGAGTTTCAGACTCCACAGTCTCTTAACCACCAAGCAGCATGCCCAGAGTAGAGGTGAGAAGGAAGGAGAGAGCTGCGGTCCACATGAGCATCTGGACCTAGCATGGACAACTCACTCCTCCCTGGCTCTCGCTTTGTTCTTGTTGCGGGTGTGGTGGTGGTGGGACTCAAAGACGGTAAAGATAGCTTTCTCTCCTCCCTGGGGAATCTGGGGGTTGTTTAAAAGGCCTGCTCCTCTTTTAGAAGGCAGGAGGGCCCCAAGGGAAGCAGAAGGTGACAGAAGGGGAAAGGGTCCTCTGATCATTGCTCACCCCACAGAGATCTTGAAAGGAGGGGTCTTGATCCAGCGGAACCCCCAGCTCTGCTACCAGGACACGATTTTGTGGAAGGACATCTTCCACAAGAACAACCAGCTGGCTCTCACACTGATAGACACCAACCGCTCTCGGGCCTGTAAGCCATGCCCCTCCCTGCTGCCTCTTCTCTCAGACAGCCTGACCCCAGCCGCAAACTCCCAACTTACAACCCAGTGCCTGCCCGCCACTGCCCCAGCCGCCTACACCACCCATTTCCTCCCTCTCTGTCCCTCCTGCCATCTCCCTGTGCCTCTTCATCTCTGGGGTTCTCTGTCTTGTCTCCCTCTGCTTATAGGTTGTGCCTCTGGTTTGGGGGCCTCTCAGCCTGTCTGGGTCCCTCCCTTGCTGTGCAGTTGGCCTCGTGGCCTCTGCTGCTGTTTGTGCCTCTCTCTGTTACTAACCCGTCCTCTCGCTGTTAGACATCTCTCTCACTGCCTGTCTCTGGTTCTGTCCTCAGGCCACCCCTGTTCTCCGATGTGTAAGGGCTCCCGCTGCTGGGGAGAGAGTTCTGAGGATTGTCAGAGCCGTGAGTCTCAGGGAGGCCTGGAGTCAGGGAAGGGGAGGGCTGGGGCCGGGTGGAATGCAGGTGTCATACAGGTGACATGGGAGGGGTGGGATAACAGGCTTGGGATGTCTCCCCTGGGCCAGGTAGTCTCCCTAGAAGGTGATGCTGATGAGGGTCTGGTGCCCAGGGCGCCACTCAGCCCTCATCCTGCCCTTTGCCCAACAGTGACGCGCACTGTCTGTGCCGGTGGCTGTGCCCGCTGCAAGGGGCCACTGCCCACTGACTGCTGCCATGAGCAGTGTGCTGCCGGCTGCACGGGCCCCAAGCACTCTGACTGCCTGGTATGTGCCTCTGCTTTGTGCCCAATGTGCTCTACCCCCCAGGATGCAAGGGGTGGGCACCCTGCCTGGTACTGCCCTATTGCCCCTGGCACACCAGGGCAAAACAGCACAGTGAAAGCCAGCCACCTGTCCCCCCAGGCCTGCCTCCACTTCAACCACAGTGGCATCTGTGAGCTGCACTGCCCAGCCCTGGTCACCTACAACACAGACACGTTTGAGTCCATGCCCAATCCCGAGGGCCGGTATACATTCGGCGCCAGCTGTGTGACTGCCTGTCCCTGTGAGTGCCAGGGAGAAACACAGTTTTCTCATTTTGGTGGGGAGGTTTGTTTCTGTAAATGGGAGCATATGGGGAGCACTGTCTGCATCTTGCTTTGAGAGCTGGTCATGACAGTTCCTGCCGAGCTGCCTTGTTCTTTCAACAGCTGTGGAGCAGGTGGCAGTAAGGAGAGGCAGCTAAGAGCCCAGACTTGGGAGCCAGACTGCCTGGGTTTGAAACCCAGCTCTATCAATTAGTAGGCACGTGACCCTCTTGCTGTGCCTCAGTTTCCTCATCAGTAAAATGGGGGCAAGAATAGTCCCAACTGCATAAGATGGTTATAACATTTGAAAGAGTTAATATTTGTAAAGCTCTTAGAACGGTGCCTGGTATGTACTAAGTGCTCCTAAATGTTAGCTTTTATTCTATAGCCTGGTGAGGTCAGTTTTACCTTTCGTTTTGTTTTTGAGACCGAATTTAGTTAGCTCTATCGCAGTGGCGCGATCTCGGCTCACTGCAACCTCCGCCTCCCAGGTTCGTGCTATTCTCGTGTCTCAGCCTCCTGAGTAGCTGGGATTACAGGCGCCCACCACCATGCCTCGCTAAATTTTGTATTTTTAGTAGAGACAGGGTTTCACCACGTTGGCCAGACTGGTCTCGAACTCCTGACTTCAGGCGATCCACCTGCCTCGGCCTCTGAAAGTGCTGGGATTACAGGCGTGAGCCACTGCACCCGGACTTTTTTTTTTTTGGCAGAGTCTCGCTCCATTGCCCAGGCTGGAGTGCAGTGGTGCAATTTTGGCTCACTGCAACCTCTGCCTTCCGCATTCAAGCAATTCTTGTGCCTCAGACTCTTGAGTAGGTGGAACTACAGGCATGCACCACCATGGCTGGGTAATTTTTGTATTTTTAGTAGAGACGGAGTTTCACTATGTTGGCCAAGCTGGTCTCGAACTCCTGACCTCAAGTGATCCACCCGCCTTGGTCTCCCAAAGTGCTGGGATTACAGGCATGAGCCATCGTGCCTGGCCTAGCTCAGTTTTATTTAACAGATCACCTATTTACTGATGGGCGTTTATGGACTGGGCTCAGACCTGGGGAACCTCTTTCCTCCTCTCACAGGAACAGGAGTGGGCCTTCAGATCCTGGCTGACTGTGTTAGGGAGAGGACAAAATGTAGAGCCAGACCATTTGGGTTCAAATCCTCGCTCCTCCACTCACTAGCACAATGACCTTGAATAATTTACAGAACTCTCTGCTTTGGTCTCCCTTTTTGCAAAATGGGAATCTCACAGTGCTGATCCCGTCTGGTTGTTGTGAGGGGTAAATGGATGTCAGGTGCTGATGCGTGGTAGGGCATTTAAGTATTGGTTGATATTATTCTTCTTGTGCCTGGGCACGGTAATGCTGCTCATGGTGGTGCACGAAGGGCCAGGGTATGTGGCTACATGTTCCTGATCTCCTTAGACAACTACCTTTCTACGGACGTGGGATCCTGCACCCTCGTCTGCCCCCTGCACAACCAAGAGGTGACAGCAGAGGATGGAACACAGCGGTGTGAGAAGTGCAGCAAGCCCTGTGCCCGAGGTACCCACTCACTGCCCCCGAGGCCAGCTGCAGTTCCTGTCCCTCTGCGCATGCAGCCTGGCCCAGCCCACCCTGTCCTATCCTTCCTCAGACCCTCTTGGGACCTAGTCTCTGCCTTCTACTCTCTACCCCTGGCCCCCCTCAGCCCTACAAGTGTCCCTATATCCCCTGTCAGTGTGGGGAGGGGCCCGGACCCTGATGCTCATGTGGCTGTTGACCTGTCCCGGTATGAAGGCTGAGACGGCCCCTTCCCCACCCACCCCCACCTCCTCAGTGTGCTATGGTCTGGGCATGGAGCACTTGCGAGAGGTGAGGGCAGTTACCAGTGCCAATATCCAGGAGTTTGCTGGCTGCAAGAAGATCTTTGGGAGCCTGGCATTTCTGCCGGAGAGCTTTGATGGGTAAGAGTGGGCACGATGACCTGAGACAGTGTCAGGGCAGACAGAGTCCTGAGGATCCAGATGTGGCAGCATCTCTTGGGGATGGCAGGAGACAGAAGTGGGGGGATCAAGAATGCAAAGAAAGCAGATGGGAGACCAGAGGAGCAGGGCCTTTGGTGGGTGGGGGTGATTATTTTTGTAAATGACATGCTATCCGTGAACAAGGACTTGTATGGAGGTCAGACCATCTAGATAAAGTAAAATTCCCTTTGAGTTCATAGCAGCTTTATTCAAAATATCCCCAAATTGGAAATAACTCAAATGTGCATCACTAGGTGAAGGAATAAACAAGTGGCAGTGTATCCATTTGGTGAAGTTCTACTTAGCAACCAAAGGAAATGAACTACCGATACAACATAAATGAATCTCAGAAACATTACATTGAGCAAAAGAAGCCAGAGACAAGATTCCATACTGTCTGATCCCCTTTATGTGAGGCTCTGAACCGAAAAAACCACTCTGTGGTGGGAGAGATCAGAACGGTGGTTGCCCCAGGGTGGGGGGCTTCAAAAGGGAGGCACACAAGGACATTTCTGGGGTAATAGAAATGCTCTGTATAGTGATTGGGGTAGTGGATACATGAGCGAATCCATTTGTCAAAACTCATCAAACTGTGTGATAAGAGTCTGTGCATTTTATTTATTTCATTTTATTTTTTGAGATAGAGTCTCACTCTGTCAGCAGGCTGGAGTGCAGTGGTACGATCTTGGCTCACTGCAACCTCTGCCTCCTGGATTCAAGCAATTCTCCTGCCTCAGTCTCCTGAGTAGCTGGGACTACAGGTGTGTGCCACCATGCCCAGCTAATTTTTGTATTTTTAATAGAGATGGGGTTTCACCATGTTGGCAAGGATGGTCTCGATCTCTTGACGTCGTGATCCGCCCACCTCAGCCTCCCAAAGTGCTGGGATTACAGGCATGAGCCACCACACCCGGTGCATTTTATTGTATATAAGTTATACTTCAATAAGAAATGAATTGGGGCCAGGCACGGTGGCTCACGCCTGTAATCCCAGCACTTTGGGAGGCCGAGGCAGGCAGATCACTTGAGGTCAGGAGTTCAAGACCAGCCTGGCCAACATGGTGAAACCCCATCTCTACTAAAAAATATAAAAAATTAGCCAGGCTTCCTGGCATGCGCCTATCATCCCAGCTACTTGGGAGGCTGAGGCAGGAGAATTGCATGAACTCGGGAGGTGGAGGTTGTAGTGAGCTGAGATTTCGCTATTGCACTCCAGCCTGGGCGACAGAGTGAGACCCTGTCTCAAAAAGAAAAAAAAAAAAAAGGGTCAGGCGCCGTGGTGCACACCTGTAATCCCAGCACTTTGGGAGGCTGAAGCAGGAAGATTGCTTGAGCCCAGGAATTCAAGAACAGCGTGGGCAACATAGTGAGATCCCATCTCTACAAAAAAACACAAAAAATTAGCCGGGCATGGTGGTACGCACCTGTAGTCTCAGCTACTAGGGAGACTGAGGTGGGAGAATCACCTGAGCCTGGGAGGTGGAGGTTGCAGTGGGTTGAAATCATGTCACTGTACTCCAGCCTGGGTGACAGAATGAGACCCTGTCTCAAAAAAAAAAAAAAAAAAAAAATTCCCTTTCACACTTCCTTTACCTCCACTCCCCTTTCCAGAGGGGGCCATGGTTAACAGTGTGTGTGTTCACCTAGACCGTTTATGCATCTGTAGACACACACACAGTGAAGTGTGGTTTTCGTCGTTTTGGTGGGGAGGTTGGTTTCTGTAAATGGGAACATATAGGGAGCACTGTCTGCACCTTGCTTTGAGAGCCGGTCATGACAGTTCCCATTGAACTGCCTTGTTCTTTCAATAGCTGCAGAGCAGGTGGCGGCAAGGAGAGGCAGCTAAGAGCCCAGACTTGGGAGCCAGACTGCCTGGGTTTGAAACCCGGCTCTACCACTTACTAGGCATGTGACCCTTGTGCTGTGCCTCAGTTTCTTCATCTGTAAAGTGGGGGCAAGAACAGTCCCAACTTCATAAGATGGTTATACCACCATGCCTGGCCAGATGATTATAAAGTTTGAATGAGTTAATATTTGTAAAGCTCTTAGAACAGTGCCTGGCAGATACTAGGTGCTCCTAAATGTTGGTTTTTATTATGTGGCTGGGTGGCTCGGGGTTTTATTTAACAGCTCCCCTATTTACTAATAGACATTTAGATCATGTTCCATTTTCACTCTTACAAACAGTTCCACTTTGTGTGTGGCTCTGGGAACATGGGCCAGTGTCTCCCTAGGCCACATTCCTAGAAATAAGATTTCTTTTCTTTTTTTTTTTTTTTTGAGACAGAGTCTCGCTTTATCGCCAGGCTGGTGTGCAGTAGTGTGATCTCGGCTCACTGCAACCTCTGCCTCCCGGGTTCAAGTGATTCTCCTGCCTCAGCCTCTCGAGTAACTGGGACTATAGGCGCGCGGCACCACACCCAGCTAATTTTTGTATTTGTAGTAGAGATGGGGTTTCACCATGTTGGCCAGGATGGTCTCCATCTCTTGACTTCGTGATCCGCCCGCCTCGGCCTCCCAAAGTGCTGGGATTACAGGCGTGAGCCACTGAGCCCAGGCAGAAATAAGATTTCTAGATCAAAGGATATAAATACTGTTTTGATAGATGTTGCCGAACTAAGGCCTGGGCTTTGAAGCCCAGGATGGGAACAGCTGGGCTCGATGGGCAAAGGGTTTGAGTGAAGGCATTCATGGTGGGGAGTGGCTGGCATGGCCAGTGCTGGGAGTGATGTCCACCCTGTTCCTGGCCCTGCTGACTCCTCTCCTGACCCCTCCAGGGACCCAGCCTCCAACACTGCCCCGCTCCAGCCAGAGCAGCTCCAAGTGTTTGAGACTCTGGAAGAGATCACAGGTGGGCTCTGTCTCTGCATCCTGTTCTGCAGGGGCTGGGAGTCCTTGTCCTGTCCCCACTCCTTTAATCTCACCCTCTGCCTGCAGGTTACCTATACATCTCAGCATGGCCGGACAGCCTGCCTGACCTCAGCGTCTTCCAGAACCTGCAAGTAATCCGGGGACGAATTCTGCACAAGTGAGCACTGAGAAAGAGGGGGCCTGATGGGGAGGAGTCCCAGGGAGGAGTCCCTGTGGGAAGCTTTGGGCCTGAGGGAGTACTCCTGTAGCAGTAACCTTTCCATGAAAGTCTGCAGAGTGTGCTGGGGATGGAGGAAGATGAGAATAGCCTTTGCTGACCGGGAAGGGGTCCGTGGTAAGGTGCCCACCTTTCTCCCATAGTGGCGCCTACTCGCTGACCCTGCAAGGGCTGGGCATCAGCTGGCTGGGGCTGCGCTCACTGAGGGAACTGGGCAGTGGACTGGCCCTCATCCACCATAACACCCACCTCTGCTTCGTGCACACGGTGCCCTGGGACCAGCTCTTTCGGAACCCGCACCAAGCTCTGCTCCACACTGCCAACCGGCCAGAGGACGAGTGTGGTAAGACAGGGAGCCCAGTGTGCGCACTCCCCATCTGCCAGCACACAGCAGTGCCCAGGGGGCCCTGGCAGCAGCGTTCTTGGACTTGTGCAGACTGCCCGTCTCTGTGCACCCTTCTTGACTCAGCACAGCTCTGGCTGGCTTGGCCTCTTGGCATGGCTTCTCTAGCTGGGTCCTACCTGCCTTGGCATCCTTCCCTCCCCCTCTGTTTCTGAAATCTCAGAACTCTTCCTCTCCCTACATCGGCCCCACCTGTCCCCACCCCTCCAGCCCACAGCCATGCCCACAGCCAGTTCCCTGGTTCACTTGGACCTGGGGCCTCCCCTAAAAGTCCCCTGCGGTCCCTTCCTCCTCACTGCAGTGGGCGAGGGCCTGGCCTGCCACCAGCTGTGCGCCCGAGGGCACTGCTGGGGTCCAGGGCCCACCCAGTGTGTCAACTGCAGCCAGTTCCTTCGGGGCCAGGAGTGCGTGGAGGAATGCCGAGTACTGCAGGGGTATGAGGGGCGGAGGAGAGGGTGGCTGGAGGGGTGCATGGGGCTCCTCTCAGACCCCCTCACCACTGTCCCTTCTCTCAGGCTCCCCAGGGAGTATGTGAATGCCAGGCACTGTTTGCCGTGCCACCCTGAGTGTCAGCCCCAGAATGGCTCAGTGACCTGTTTTGGACCGGTGAGCTGCTGGCGGGCTCAGAGCTGGGTGGAGGGGGGCAGCGAGGGGGATTGCCAGGGACTTGGCAGGATGGCGAGATGCAGTAGGGTGTGCTATCTGGTAAAATATCCCTGGAGAGGGCTCAGCGCTCAGACCTGAACAGCAACAGAGTGGCAGAAAAGGGGCCTGGGGGACACTGGGGCCCTTCAGACTATGAAAAGGTTCTAAGGAGGTCTGTGTTGGTGGCTGTGACTGTGGCTGTGCTAGGGTGGTGAGCCCTGTGGGCTCAGGCGTCAGACTACCTGGATTCAGACCCAGCTCCTGCTTCCAACCTTGGTTTTTTATTCCTAAAATGGGTATTGTAATAATACCTACCTTGCTGGGGTGTGGCAAGAATGAAATTAAACAGGGCTTGGCACAGTGAAGCACGGGAAAGGCTTTCTACAGAGCAGTGACTGTTGTTACTCGCTGTTACACCTTAGGTAATGCGTTTTCCTCTCTGGGTGCCTCCCATTTTCTGGCTCAAGTCCCTGCCCAGGATCAAGCTTGGAGGAGGGCCCCGAGGGAGGGGCCACAGAGACTGGGTGAAGAGCAAGGGTGTTTGTCCCAGGAGCATGGCGAAAATTGCTGCTGGGTGGCCTTGGGAAGCACAAAGGGGACCCAACTAAGGGCCTGATCCTACTGCCCTGGGGGTGTCAGTGCCAGCCCCCCACAAATCTTTTCTGCCCCCCCCAGGAGGCTGACCAGTGTGTGGCCTGTGCCCACTATAAGGACCCTCCCTTCTGCGTGGCCCGCTGCCCCAGCGGTGTGAAACCTGACCTCTCCTACATGCCCATCTGGAAGTTTCCAGATGAGGAGGGCGCATGCCAGCCTTGCCCCATCAACTGCACCCACTCGTGAGTCCAACGGTCTTTTCTGCAGAAAGGAGGACTTTCCTTTCAGGGGTCTTTCTGGGGCTCTTACTATAAAAGGGGACCAACTCTCCCTTTGTCATATCTTGTTTCTGATGACAAAAATAACACATTGTTAAAATTGTAAAATTAAAACATGAAATATAAATTAATGCCCTAGCAGTTCTATCCCCACTGTTAATAATTTGAAATATTTTTCCTCTAGTTATTTTTGTCTGTGCACATTCTAATATGTATATATAAGTTAACATATATTAATATTATTCTCCAGTTATTTTTATCTGTGCACATTTTAACACACACACACACACACACACACACACACATATGTATTTTTAGACGGAGTTTCACTCTGTCGCCCAGGCTGGAGTGCAGTAGTACAATCTTGGCTCACTGCAGCCTCCACCTCCTGGGTTTAAGCAATTCTCCTGCTTCCGCCTCCTGAGTAGCTGGGATTACGGGAACGTGCTACCTTGCCTGGCTAATTTTTGTATTTTTAGTACATAGGATTTCACCATGTTGGCCAGGCTGGTCTCGAACCCCTGACCTCAGGTGATCTGCCAGCCTCGGTCCCCCAAAGTGTTGGGATTACAGCGGTGAGCCACCATGCCCAGTCATATATTTCTTTTTAACAAATAGAATCATAGATCATACATATTGTTTGCAAATTGCTTTTTCTCACTTTCCAGAACCTTGAAATGTTTTTCCATGTTCTAACATGGTGATCTACCTTATTCTTTTAATTTTTCTTATTTAGTTGTCTTTACACATGAAACACATGAATACATCCTTGTGATAAACATTTTCAGTAACATAAAAGTATAAATGTTACAAAGCCAACGTGCCCTTTCACTCAACTCCCTGTCCACCCAGTCTCTCCTGTCTGCTGGGAGAACCACCGCATTGACTTGTGTGTTCACCCTTCCAGGCTCTTTTCTGCACACTTATATAGACATACTACATTTATATTAGGTCGAGTCAAATAAGATTGCTGTTTGTGTAAACCAAAAAGTGTCAAGAGCCTGGGCGCAGTGACTCACACCTGTAATCCCAGCACTTTGGGAGGCTGAGGCAGGCAGATCACTTGAGATCAGGAGTTCGAGACCAATCTGGCCAACATAGCGAGACCCCGTCTCTACTAAAAATACAAAAACTAGCCAGGTGTGGTGATGCTGTTCTGCACTTTGCTTTCCCCCCGACTTGAGGTATCCTTTCTTGTGAGTACAGACGGATCTACCACCTTTATTTTTTTTTTAATTACTCAACCTGTAACATGGATGTAATTTCACTTTGTTTTTGAGGGATATTGAGCTTGTTTCCCTGTTTTTGCAGTTTATTGCAATTGAGCTCCACACACAAGTGAGCCCTCTTTTGTATGCCCCCTAGTGGGAATACAGTGCTGGCAATGTTTATCACAAGGATATATTCATGCATTTCAATTTAAAGACAACTAAATGAGAAAAATTAAAAGAATATGGATCCAGGCTGGGCATGGTGGCTCACGCCTGTAATCCCAGCACTTTGGGAGGCCGAGGCAGGCAGATCACCTGAGGTCAGGAGTTCAAGACCAGCCTGGCCAACATGGCAAAACCCCGTCTCTACTAAAAATACAAAAATTAGCCAGGCGTGGTGGTGGGCGCCTGTAATCCCAGCTATTTGAGAGGTTGAGACAGGAGAATTGCTTGAACCTGGGCAGCGGAGGTTGCAGTGAGACGAGATTGCACCAGTGCACTCCAACCTGGGCAACACAGTGCAACTCCTTCTCAAGAAAAAAAAGAAAAAAAAAAAGAATATGGGTCCAGATCCATATGGATCCTAGATCCAGATCACGGTGTTAGAACATGGAAAAACATTGCAAGATTCTGCTAAGTGAAAAAAGCATTTGCAAACAGTATGTACAGTCTATATTCAGAGGAGGAACTGCTGGGTCATAGATGATATTTCATAGGTATTGCCAAACCGTTCTCTGGAGAAGTGGTATGGGTTTACCCTGGGATTCTTCTATGGAGGGAATAGTTGAGCTCCCGGGCTTGCTCTTCTGGGTGCCCCTCCCCGCTTCCTATCCACCACAAGGAGCTGCAGGGGAGCGGGGCATGCCGGTTCCTTGGCTGGAGAAGGAGTCTCCTTGTGAGGTGGTAGAAGGAGCACTGACGGCCTTGAGCCCAGTTTCTGCCTTTGTCAAATGGGGATAATGACCCAGCCACACCCCTCCCAGGGTTGTTGTGAGGCTGGAAAGGTGGTTCCCAAGAGGGTGGTTCCCAGAATTGTTGATGAGACTGTTTCTCCTGCAGCTGTGTGGACCTGGATGACAAGGGCTGCCCCGCCGAGCAGAGAGCCAGGTTGGCCTGGACCCCAGGATGTACCCTTCATTGCCCTTCACTCCCCCACTGGATGCTGGGTGGTCACTGCTGTAGGGAGGGGACCCCCTGACATATGTCCCTTCCCACCCACTCTTCCACTGTGGAACCTCCTGTCATTTTCCACTTCACCAAGTGACAGAGGACCTGCTCAGATGCTGAGGGGAGGGGACTGCAAGGAAAGATGGCTAGGAAACCCAGTCCCTCCACACCCTAGAGTAACTTGATGCCTTGTGAGGGACACAGGCAAAGTTCAATTCCTTGGAAGTCAAGGGAGACTGAGAAGAGTACAGCTGCAGCACTGAGGGAGTGATGAATTCTTAACTGGGGATGGTGGGAGGCTTCGAGTGGGAGGTGGCATTTGAGCTAGGCTTTGAGAGAGGAGCAGGTATTGCACTTGCATTTAGGTAGAAAGCATTGGGGTGCAAGGTGACACTGGAGGGGGAGGCATCAGGAAATCCAGGATGTCTTCAAAGTTCTGGTGTCGGGGGCTGTTGAGTAAGCACAGGAATAAGGGGGTCAAGTTAGAGTCAGGGTGGGGTCTGACCTGGATGCCATAGGACCTGATCCCCAAGCCACAGGGTGGGACTTGACTGGGCAGTGGGGACCTTTGGAAAGGACTTTGGGGAGAAAAACAGACTGGAGTCTGTCTTAGGCGATCATCGGTCCGTGAAATGAGCATGTGTTACAGGCTTGGTATGTACCAGACCCTGTGCTAAGCAAGGGGGTATGGAGAGGAGAGGGTGACAAGAATATTGGATCAACACCCGGGAGCTCCATCTATCCCAGGATGCACTATCTTTTTTTTATTTTTTTGAGACGGAGTCTCACTCTGCCTGCAGGCTGGAGTGCAGTGGCTCCATCTCGGTTCACTGCAACCTCTGCCTCCTGGGTTCAAGCGCTTCTTGTGCCTCAGCCTCCCAAGTAGCTGGGATTACAGGCACATGCCACCACACCCAGCTAATTTTTGTATTTTTAGTAGAGACGGGGTTTCACCATGTTGGCCAGGATGGTCTCGATCTCTTGACCTCAAGATCCGCCCACCTTGGCCTCCCAAAGTGCTGGGATTACAGACATGAGCCACCGTGCCCAGCCAGATACGCTATCTTTTTATTGAGTGATTGAGACAGGGTCTTGCTCTCTTGTCCAGTCTTGAATGTGGTGGTGTAATCACAGGCTCACTGCAGCCTTGACCTCCTGGGCTCAAGTTACCCTTCTGCAGTAGCTGGGACTATAGGAGCGTGCCACCACGCCTGGGTAATTTAAAAAATTTTTTTTGTATAGACAGGGTCTCACTATGTTGCCCGAGCTGGTCTCAAACTCGTGGGCTCAAGTGATCCTCCAGTTTTGGCCTCCCAAAATGTTGGGATCACAGGAGTGAGCCACCACTCCTGGCGATGAGCCAAGTCTTTTTTTTTTTTTTTTTTTTTTGATATGGAGTCTTGCTCTGTTGCCCAGGCTGGAGTGCAATGACACGATCTTGGCTCACTGCAACCTCTGCCTCCCAGGTTCAAGCAGTTCAAGCAATCCTCCTGTCTCAGCCCCCCAGTAGCTGGGATTACAGGCATGCGCTACCACGTCCGGCTAATTTTTGTATTTTTAGTAGAGATGAGGTTTTGCCATGTTGGCCAGGCTGGTCTTGAACTGCTGACCTCAGGTGATCCACCTGCCTCGGCCTCCCAAAGTGCTGGGATTACAGGTGTGAGCCATCGTGCCTGGCGGAGCCGAGTCTTAAAAGATGACCCTGTGGAGAAATGGTGGTCCAGGCTGAAGGGACAGCCTATGCAAACACTGGGAGGTGTGGAAAATCATGACCTGTGGGTGGAAATTTTGGCTAGAACATCAAAATCATCAGGTGTACATTCCTGTACCCATGCAGCAGTCAGAATCTCTGGGGGTGGGGCCCCAAAATTGTATGCATACAGACTGTGTGCTGATTTGTGATATTACTTAGGATTTTTTGACTTTACAATGGTGGAAAAGCAATAATATACATTCAGTATAAACCGTACTTTGAATACCCATACAGCCATTCTGTTTTTCACTTTTATTTTTATTTATTTATTTATTTATTATTTATTTTGAGATGTCATTTTGCTGTTGTTACCCAGGCTGGAGTGCAATGGCGCAGTCTTGGCTCACCGCAACCTCCACCTCTCAGGTTCAAACGATTCTCCTGCTTCAGCCTCCAGAGTGGCTGGGATTACAGGCAGGCACCACCACACCCGGCTAATTTTGTATTTTTAGTAGAGACGGGGTTTCTCCATGTTAGTCAGGCTGGTCTCGAACTCGAGAGCTCAGGTGATCTGCCCATCTCAGCCTCAAGCCACCATGCCCAGCCCTACTTTCAGTATTCAATAAATTACATAGCCAGGCACCGTGGCTCACACCTGTAATCCCAGCACTTTAGGAGGCCAAGGTGGGAGGATCCTTTGAGGCCAGAAGCTCGAGACCAGCCTGGGCAACATAGTGAGACCCCATTTCTACAAAAAATAAAAAAACTAGCTGAGTGTGGTGGCGTGTGTCTGTAGTCCCAGCTACTTGGGCAGCTGAGGTGGAAAGACTGCTTGAGCCCAGAGGTCAGGGCTGCAGTGGGCCATGATCTCACCACTGCACTCAGCCTGGGCAACACAGCAAGGCCCTGTCTCAAAAATAAATAAATAAATAACACAAACTTATTTAACAGTTTACTATAAAATAGGCTTTGTGTCAGATGATTCTGCCCAACTGTAAGCTGCTGGCAGTGTAAATGTTCTGAGCACGTGTAAGCCAGGCTAGGTGTCTTAAATGCATTTTCAGTTTCAACTTAGAATTGGTTTATCAGGACGTAGCCCCTTGGTGTTGAGGGGCATGTGTATTAACAGTCTCCTTAGTGACTTTTTTTTTTTTGAGATGGAGTCTTGCACTGGCCGTAGTGCAGTGGCACAATCTCAGCTCACTGCAACCTCTTGTCTCCCGGGTTCAAGCGATTCTCCTGCCTCAGTCTCCCAAGTAGCTGGGATTACAGGCACCCACACCACGCCCAGCTAATTTTTGTGTGTGTGTATTTTTAGTAGAGACGGGGGTTTCACTATGTTGGCCAGGCTGGTCTCGAACTCCTGACCTTGTGATCTGCCCACCTCAGACTCTCAAAGTGCTAGGATTCCAGGCATGAGCCACCGCGCCCAGAGTCCTTAGTGATTTTTACACCATGAATTGTTGAAGCCCTAAGCCAGAGCCAAGGGCAAGAGTATAGAGAATCTGGAGATGCGGAGAGGGTTCTGATTGCCTACAAGGAGTTTGGACTTTATTGTGGAGGCAGCGGGGAGCCAAGGCAGGTTTTAGAGTAGGAGAGGGTCCAAGCCTGTGGGTCACCCTTCCGACTTCCCTTTCCGAATGCCAAACACCTTCATGTCCCCCGTGGGCCCCCTTTGTCCCTCCCACCCCAAACTAGCCCTCAATCCCTGACCCTGGCTTCCGCCCCCAGCCCTCTGACGTCCATCATCTCTGCGGTGGTTGGCATTCTGCTGGTCGTGGTCTTGGGGGTGGTCTTTGGGATCCTCATCAAGCGACGGCAGCAGAAGATCCGGAAGTACACGATGCGGAGACTGCTGCAGGAAACGGAGGTGAGGCGGGGTGAAGTCCTCCCAGCCCGCGTGGGGTCTGCACCGGCCCCCGGCACTGACCCACCACCCCCTCACCCCAGCTGGTGGAGCCGCTGACACCTAGCGGAGCGATGCCCAACCAGGCGCAGATGCGGATCCTGAAAGAGACGGAGCTGAGGAAGGTGAAGGTGCTTGGATCTGGCGCTTTTGGCACAGTCTACAAGGTCAGGGCCAGGTCCTGGGGTGGGCGGCCCCAGAGGATGGGGGCGGTGCCTGGAGGGGTGTGGTCGGCAGTTCTGATGGGAGGGGCAAGAGCTGGAGGCAGTGTTTGGGGGAGGGCAGTTACAGCGGAGAAGGGAGCGGGGCCAAGCCCTAGGGTGGTGAAGGATGTTTGGAGGACAAGTAATGATCTCCTGGAAGGCAGGTAGGATCCAGCCCACGCTCTTCTCACTCATATCCTCCTCTTTCTGCCCAGGGCATCTGGATCCCTGATGGGGAGAATGTGAAAATTCCAGTGGCCATCAAAGTGTTGAGGGAAAACACATCCCCCAAAGCCAACAAAGAAATCTTAGACGTAAGCCCCTCCACCCTCTCCTGCTAGGAGGACAGGAAGGACCCCATGGCTGCAGGTCTGGGCTCTGGTCTCTCTTCATTGGGGTTTGGGGAGATATGACTCCCGCAAACCTAGACTATTTTTTTGGAGACGGAGTCTTGCTCTGTCACCCAGGCTGGAGTGCAGTGGCGTTATCTCGGCTCACTGCAACCTCCACCTCCTGGACTCAAGCGATTTTCATGCCTCAGGCTCCTGAGTAGCTGGGATTACAAGCGCCCGCTAATTTTTTTTTTTTTTTTGAGACAGAGTCTCGCTCTGTCACCCAGGCTAGAGTGAAATGGTGCGGTCTCAGCTCAGCCTCCCAGGTTAAAGCGATTCTTCTCCCTCAGTCTCCTGAGTAGCTGGGATTACAGGCGCGAGCCACCACGCCCGGCTAATTTTTGTATTTTTAGTAGAGATGGGATTTCACCATGTTGGCCAGGTTGGTGTCAAACTCCTGACCTCATGATCCGCCCGCCTCGGCCTCCCAAAGTGCTGGGATTACAGGTGTGAGCCACCGTGCCCGGCCTAATCTTTGTATTTTTAGTAGAGACAGGGTTTCACCATGTTGTCCAGGCTGGTACTTTGAGCCTTCACAGGCTGTGGGCCATGGCTGTGGTTTGTGATGGTTGGGAGGCTGTGTGGTGTTTGGGGGTGTGTGGTCTCCCATACCCTCTCAGCGTACCCTTGTCCCCAGGAAGCATACGTGATGGCTGGTGTGGGCTCCCCATATGTCTCCCGCCTTCTGGGCATCTGCCTGACATCCACGGTGCAGCTGGTGACACAGCTTATGCCCTATGGCTGCCTCTTAGACCATGTCCGGGAAAACCGCGGACGCCTGGGCTCCCAGGACCTGCTGAACTGGTGTATGCAGATTGCCAAGGTATGCACCTGGGCTCTTTGCAGGTCTCTCCGGAGCAAACCCCTATGTCCACAAGGGGCTAGGATGGGGACTCTTGCTGGGCATGTGGCCAGGCCCAGGCCCTCCCAGAAGGTCTACATGGGTGCTTCCCATTCCAGGGGATGAGCTACCTGGAGGATGTGCGGCTCGTACACAGGGACTTGGCCGCTCGGAACGTGCTGGTCAAGAGTCCCAACCATGTCAAAATTACAGACTTCGGGCTGGCTCGGCTGCTGGACATTGACGAGACAGAGTACCATGCAGATGGGGGCAAGGTTAGGTGAAGGACCAAGGAGCAGAGGAGGCTGGGTGGAGTGGTGTCTAGCCCATGGGAGAACTCTGAGTGGCCACCTCCCCACAACACACAGTTGGAGGACTTCCTCTTCTGCCCTCCCAGGTGCCCATCAAGTGGATGGCGCTGGAGTCCATTCTCCGCCGGCGGTTCACCCACCAGAGTGATGTGTGGAGTTATGGTGTGTGATGGGGGGTGTTGGGAGGGGTGGGTGAGGAGCCATGGCTGGAGGGAGGATGAGAGCTGGGATGGGGAGAATTACGGGGCCACCTCAGCATGTGAAGGGAGGGAAGGGGCTGCCTGTGCCCCACCTTGCAGGGTCTGTGCACTTCCCAGGATTAGGGAAAGACCGGGTAGGGTCTGTCTCCTGGCATCACATCTCCCCCTGCTACCTGCCATGATGCTAGACTCCTGAGCAGAACCTCTGGCTCAGTACACTAAAGCTCCCTCTGGCCCTCCCACTCCTGACCCTGTCTCTGCCTTAGGTGTGACTGTGTGGGAGCTGATGACTTTTGGGGCCAAACCTTACGATGGGATCCCAGCCCGGGAGATCCCTGACCTGCTGGAAAAGGGGGAGCGGCTGCCCCAGCCCCCCATCTGCACCATTGATGTCTACATGATCATGGTCAAATGTGCGTGGCTGAGCTGTGCTGGCTGCCTGGAGGAGGGTGGGAGGTCCTGGGTGGAGGAGCCCACAAGGGGCATGAAAGGGGACCAGGATGTATGTAGACCCAGGAGCCCTAGTATGTTAGGAGCCTCAAAACCTTCTTGTATCCCTTTTACAGTCAAAGTCCAAAGCCACTCTTGAGGAACACTCTTGTACAAAATTAAGCTGGGCACAGTGGCTCATGCCTGTAATCCCAGTACTTTTGGAGGCTGAGGTGGGAGGATCCCTTGAAGCCAGGAGTTCAAGACCAGCCTGGGCAACATAGTGAGATCCTATCTCTACAAAAAATAAAAAAATTATCTGGGTGTGGTGGTGTGTGCCAGTAGTCCCAGCTACTCAGGAGAGGCTGAGGCAGGAAGATCACTTGAGCCTAGTTTAAGGTTGCAGTAAGCTATGATTGCACCACTGAAATCCAGCCTGGGTGACAGAGCGAAACCTCATCTCAAAAAAATAAAAAAGCAAACAAAAAGAAAAAAAAAATTAAAAGGGAAACTAGAAGAGATGCCAAAGGTTCTGGCTGAAGACCCCAGAGTCTGGTGCTACTTCTCTACCACCTGAGGGCTTTGGGCTGTCCCTTGGGACTGTCTAGACCAGACTGGAGGGGGAGTGGGAGGGGAGAGGCAGCAAGCACACAGGGCCTGGGACTAGCATGCTGACCTCCCTCCTGCCCCAGGTTGGATGATTGACTCTGAATGTCGGCCAAGATTCCGGGAGTTGGTGTCTGAATTCTCCCGCATGGCCAGGGACCCCCAGCGCTTTGTGGTCATCCAGGTACTGGGCCTCTGTGCCCCATCCCTGCCTGTGGCTAAGAGCACCCTCCTGCAGAGGGTGGGAAGGAGAGATGAGTCCAGTATGCCAGGCCCCTCACGGAAGGCTGCATGCTGGGCTGGGGAGGGGCCACCATCCTGCCTCTCCTTCCTCCACAGAATGAGGACTTGGGCCCAGCCAGTCCCTTGGACAGCACCTTCTACCGCTCACTGCTGGAGGACGATGACATGGGGGACCTGGTGGATGCTGAGGAGTATCTGGTACCCCAGCAGGGCTTCTTCTGTCCAGACCCTGCCCCGGGCGCTGGGGGCATGGTCCACCACAGGCACCGCAGCTCATCTACCAGGGTCAGTGCCCTCGGTCACACTGTGTGGCTGTCTGCTTACCTCCCCCAACCCCGGTGGACTAGGGTCCCTTTCTCTGATGTTCCCTCAACTGTCACCTCTCAAGGAAACCCCATTATCCCTACAAAAAATTCTTACTGCCTTCCAACCCCTGTGACCCCATTCTCTCCACGGTGACTGTGTCATACCCCAAAGGTGACCTCTGTTTTTCTCCTGTGACCCTGTCACCTTCCATGGAGTCCCCATCCCAGATCCGTGAGTGACCCCCATCATGACTTTCTTTCTTGTCCCCAGAGTGGCGGTGGGGACCTGACACTAGGGCTGGAGCCCTCTGAAGAGGAGGCCCCCAGGTCTCCACTGGCACCCTCCGAAGGGGCTGGCTCCGATGTATTTGATGGTGACCTGGGAATGGGGGCAGCCAAGGGGCTGCAAAGCCTCCCCACACATGACCCCAGCCCTCTACAGCGGTACAGTGAGGACCCCACAGTACCCCTGCCCTCTGAGACTGATGGCTACGTTGCCCCCCTGACCTGCAGCCCCCAGCCTGGTATGGAGTCCAGTCTAAGCAGAGAGACTGATGGGCAGGGGAGGTGGGACCTTCAGCCCAGGGTCCACTGTGGGGGCAGAGGGAGTGGCAGAGACACCGGGGTTCCTTCCCCTAATGGGTCACCTTCTCTTGACCTTTCAGAATATGTGAACCAGCCAGATGTTCGGCCCCAGCCCCCTTCGCCCCGAGAGGGCCCTCTGCCTGCTGCCCGACCTGCTGGTGCCACTCTGGAAAGGCCCAAGACTCTCTCCCCAGGGAAGAATGGGGTCGTCAAAGACGTTTTTGCCTTTGGGGGTGCCGTGGAGAACCCCGAGTACTTGACACCCCAGGGAGGAGCTGCCCCTCAGCCCCACCCTCCTCCTGCCTTCAGCCCAGCCTTCGACAACCTCTATTACTGGGACCAGGACCCACCAGAGCGGGGGGCTCCACCCAGCACCTTCAAAGGGACACCTACGGCAGAGAACCCAGAGTACCTGGGTCTGGACGTGCCAGTGTGAACCAGAAGGCCAAGTCCGCAGAAGCCCTGATGTGTCCTCAGGGAGCAGGGAAGGCCTGACTTCTGCTGGCATCAAGAGGTGGGAGGGCCCTCCGACCACTTCCAGGGGAACCTGCCATGCCAGGAACCTGTCCTAAGGAACCTTCCTTCCTGCTTGAGTTCCCAGATGGCTGGAAGGGGTCCAGCCTCGTTGGAAGAGGAACAGCACTGGGGAGTCTTTGTGGATTCTGAGGCCCTGCCCAATGAGACTCTAGGGTCCAGTGGATGCCACAGCCCAGCTTGGCCCTTTCCTTCCAGATCCTGGGTACTGAAAGCCTTAGGGAAGCTGGCCTGAGAGGGGAAGCGGCCCTAAGGGAGTGTCTAAGAACAAAAGCGACCCATTCAGAGACTGTCCCTGAAACCTAGTACTGCCCCCCATGAGGAAGGAACAGCAATGGTGTCAGTATCCAGGCTTTGTACAGAGTGCTTTTCTGTTTAGTTTTTACTTTTTTTGTTTTGTTTTTTTAAAGATGAAATAAAGACCCAGGGGGAGAATGGGTGTTGTATGGGGAGGCAAGTGTGGGGGGTCCTTCTCCACACCCACTTTGTCCATTTGCAAATATATTTTGGAAAACAGCTAGGCACCGGCCTATGTCTGGGGGTGGCTCTGTGCCATCCCTTCCTGCTCACCTTACACTCAATTCCTCTTTTCCTGGAGGGAGTGGCTGGGAATCTTCAGAAAGCTTGGATGAGGAGCCAGACATCCAGTTCTCCAGCTTCAGGGTTGGGGGAGATCGGGAAGCTGGATTCAGATCTGAGAGCCCTTTGACGACCAGATCATTCTTATTTAGAACGAACTAATTCCTAAGGCCACTCACCAGAATGGGGTTATTTCCTCCTTGTGAGTGAGGAGAGTGGTGGGTAGGGTGGGGGAAAGACGAGGCAGGGTCTACTGTGGGACTCATTTTCCTTGCCTTGGCTATGCCAGAGGAGCTCACTGACCTAAGGAGTAGCTGTCCAGAAAGCCCACCCAGCCAGCACAGCCACCCTGGCGGTGCAAAGGCTGGGCTGACCGGACTTCTGTGCCCCCCACATTCCCAGACTGGACGTATAAAAACACACACTAGTTAGCATTAGTGTTTGTAGCGCCACTTTACTGCCAATAGCTGACATTGCCCTGGGTTAGGGGAGAATAAATAAAATCTGTGGCATCAGACAGGTATTACCGAGGCGAAGAGTGGACTGGGCTTTCGTGGGCACTTACCCTGGGAAGGGGGTATGAGGTGGCTGGAGAAGTGTTCATGGAGAGTGTCTCTCTCCTGCCCCCAAGGCCACGGAATCTTCTATTCCTTCTTTGTACCCAAAGGGCAAAGTGGAGGCCAGGGTCTCTTTGCTAAGGAGCTAAGTAGGGGAAAGAGGCAGGGGGAGCTCCCAGCAGGACCAAAGGGAGACCAAGGTTTGGACCCCAGAACAGAGCAGGAACCCAGAGTCCTGTGCAGTCACAGGATGACGCAGGGAGGACGGCTGTTGGTGATCTTTTCTAGGGTTTCTCCATTACTGGCTCTTCGGATGGCCTCAATGAGCTAGAGGAGTGGAATGACAGGATGATGCACTGTTGGGGTAGGGTGACCAAGAGGTCCTCCCAACGCTGTAAATACTCACATCTTTCTCATAGGGAAAGCCCCCATTCTCCAGCTTGGAGAACACCAGCTGTCCATTTATCTCTATCTCAAAGGCACCTGGTAAGAAATCAACAGATAAATGGTACACTGAGAACATAGGCAGAAGTCAGGAGTTCCTCCAAAGGGGTCCCCCGCCTTCAAGTCCCCCATCAATCCCACTGGAGACCCATTTGTAGCTCCTTAAGCAATTCCCCAACCCTGGGTCAACTCCAGGGAACCTGAGGGAGGCCTCGCCTGTGTGCCCCTCGCAACACTCAATAAAGGACTCCCTCCCCTCCAACCCTACACGATTGCAGTCTAATAGGTTTTTCCCCACAGGCCTCTGTGACACCCCCTGACCTATGGAAGGGAACTCATGTTGGCCGGACATTTTACCATGTGCCAGGCACTGCGGGCACTTTACATAAAGCAGCCAATGTCAGAACTAGAAAGCGGGAGAGCTGGGATTCAGAGCACAGACTGACCCAGCAGGTGTTCTGCGAGCCTCACCTGTGCCCCCGAGGCGCGACTCGATCTCGATGCCCGGATACTGCTCCTTCACAGCACTGGCCAGCTCCAGGTAGGTCGCCTCGAAGCCGCAGGGTTCACTGGGGAGTCAAGAGATGGGGCTGGGCTGGGGATTCGGGGGTGGGGCCTCCCGTGGACCCACCTCCGTCCGGCCCGCGGGACCAGGGTGCGGGTCCTCCAGCCGGGGCCGCTCACCAGTACTCCACCACGATGCGGACCCCACTGCCCGGCTCGACCTCCTCGGGAGGGGGCGCTACGGACGTCTGCCCCGGCTCCCCGCTCATCGCGGCCGGCTCCGCTCGGGCCCCTGCTTCCGGGTGTGACGCGAACCGCGGGCACGTGACGGGGCGGGGCCTCTGGAGCGGGGAGGGGCCGAGGGTGGCGTTCGGGCGCCCCCTGCGGGTCTCCGCCACTGCTACGTTTTGACCTCGTAGGGCAGCTCCGGAGCTCGCTCCCCGGGCAGGGGCTGGGTCCGGTCCAGACCCTCCTTCCCTGGCCCGGTCTCCCGGAGTGCCGGGCTTCCCCACTCCCCACTCCCGGTGTCCGCTGGACTTCATGGCTTCATTTACTCTAATGGACTATCTTAGACTGCAAAGCGCTTTTCAGTTTACAAAAGAAAGAGAAAGTGGTGGGGCAAGCATCCTGGGGATGGGGGTGGGTGTGGCTGATGCATGAAATAGTTGACATTTTCTCGCTAACATGCCGATGGCATTTTTTTTTTTTTTTTTTTTGAGACGGAGTTTCGCTCTTGTTGCCCAGGCTGGAGTGCAATGGCGCGATCTCGGTTCACTGCAACCTCTGCCTCCCGGGTTCAAGCGATTCTTCTGCCTCAGCTTCCCGAGTAGCTGGGACTACAGGCGCGTGCCACCGCACCCGGTTAATTTTGTATTCTTAGTAGAGACAGGGTTTCATCATGTTGGTCAGGCTGGTCTCGAACTCTTGACCTCAGGTGATCCACCAGCCTCGGCCTCCTAAAGTGCTGGAATTACAGACATGAGCCACCGCGCCTGGCCCAGTTTTTTGTTTGTTTGTTTGTTTGTTTTAGTAGAGACAGGGTTTCACCATGTTCGCCAGACTGGTCTCGAACTCCTGACCTCAAATGATCTGCCTGCCTTGGCCTCCCAAAGTGCTGGGATTACAGGCGTGAGCCACCACGCCCGGTGCTGATGGCATTTGGAACCACCCTGTAGTTACATACACAAGTGTTTCTGATCCCAAAGCTCTAAACTGCTTTTTCCAGTCTTTTGCAGCTGCTTCTTGCCTGCACTGGAAAACAGTAGATGCTCTTCAGGCTCTGTGCCCCCAACAGTTTCTGCGCATCCCTTCTCATCCAGCCTCTCACTGGGGGGCTGGCGTCATTATTCCCATTTTGCAGCTCTGGAAATGGAGTCTGCACAAGTCCTCGCTGCCTTTTCCCTGCCTACAGTACCACTATGGTATCCTAACACGCCACCCACTCTAGTGTCCCTTTAGGCTATTTATTTATTTATTTATTTATTTTGAGATGGAGTCTCACTCTGTCACCCAAGCTTGAGTGCAGTGGCGCGATCTTGGCTCACTGCAACCTCCACCTCCTGGGTTCAGGCGATTCTCCTGCCTCAGTCTCCCTAGTAGCTGAGATCATAGGTGCCAGCCACCACGCCCAGCTAACTTTTGTATTACTATTATTATTATTTTTTTGAGACAGAGTCTTGCTCTGTTGGCCAGGCTGGAGTGCAATGGTGCGATCTCGGCTTACTGCAACCTCTGCCTTCCGGCCTCAAGTGAGTCTCCTGTCTCAGCCTCCTGAGCAGCTGGGATTACAGGTGCCCACCACCAAGCCAGCTAATTTTTCTATTTTTAGTACAGATGGGGTTTCACCATGTTGGCCAGGCTGGTCTCGAACTCCTGAAGTTGTGATCTGCCCATCTTGGCCTCCCAAAGTGCTGGGATTACAGGTGTGAACCACTGCACCCGGGCTCATTTTTTTTTTTTTTAAACCAGGCAGGTCGTAGTGGCTCACACCTGTAATCCCAGCGTTTTGGGAGGCCAAGGTGGGCGGATCACTTGACGCCAGGAGTTCAAGACCAGCCTGGCCAACTCGACAAAACCCTGTCTCTACTAAAAATACAAAAATTAGCTGGGTGTGGTGGCGCACCAGCTACTCCAGAGGCTGAGGCAGGAGAATCGCTTGAACCTGGGAGGTGGAGGTTGCAGTGAGCTGAGATCTCACCACTGCACTCCAGCCTGGGTGACAGAGTGAGACTGTGTTCCAAAAAAAAAAGAAAAGAAAAGAAAAGAAAGAAAATGCAGTGATTTGTACTGTTGCCTAACCATCACTACAATCCAGTTACAGAATGTTTCCGTCAACCTGATAAGTCCTTCCCACCTGTTTCTGGTCAATCCAGCTCCCAATTCCAGTCCTGTGCAACCACTGATCTGCTTTCTGTCTCTAACTTTGCCTTTTCTGGATGTTTCATATAAACAGAATAATACACTATGTGGCCTTTTGCTTCTGGTTCTTTCATTCAATATGTTTTTTGAAATGCGTTCATCCTGTAGCGTCTAGAGTAGTTTGTTCCTTTTCATTGCTGAGTCGTATTCCACTGTGTGGTTATGCCACATTTTTTTCTTAATTCACCAGCTGATGGATATTTAGGGTTCCAGTTTTTTTTGTCTTTTTTGAATAATGCTGCTACAAATGTTTAGGTGTCTTTGTATAGGTGTGTGTTTTCATTTCTCTTGGGTAGATTCCTAAGGGTAGAACTGCTGGGTCCTGTGTTTAATTTATGATTATCTTTTTTTTTTTTGAGACAGGGTCTCGCTCTGTTGCCCACGCTGGAATGCAGCAGTGCAAACATGGCTCACTGCAGCCTCGACCTGCTAAACTCAAGCTATCCTCTTGCCTCAGCCTCCTGAATAGCTGGGACGACAGACACGCACCACCATGCCCAGCTAATTTTTTTTTGTATTTTTTGTAGAGACAAGGTTTTGCCATTTTGCCCAGGCTAGCATTTAACATTTTAAGAAATGGCCAGACTGTTTTTCAAAGTTTTCCCACCAGCAATATATGAGGATTTGTCTCTCCATATCCTCACCAATACTTGTTTTCTGTCTCTTTGATTATAACCATCCTAGTGGACATGACATGGTATGTAACTGTGGTTTTAATTCTCATTTATCTAATGACTATGTCGTGTATCTTTTCATGTAGTTATTAGCCATTCATATACATATTATTTGAAGAAACATCTATTCAAGTCTTTTGCCCATTTTTATTTGTCTCTTTATTATTGATTTGTAAAAGTTCTTTATATATTTTGGATACCAACCAAAATATATACAACCATATATACAACCATATATAGTTGTATATGATTTGCAACTATTTTCTCCCAGTCTTCGGCTAGTTTTTTTTCTTTTTTCTTTCTTTCTTTCTTTTTTTGAGACAGGGGTCTCACTGTGTCACCCAGGCTGGAGTGCAGTGGCACAATCTTGGCTCACTTCAACCTCCACTTCCTGGGTTCAAGAGATTCTTGTGCCTCAGCCTCCCAAGCAGCTGAAATTACAGGCGTGCACCACCATAGCCCAGATAATTTTTTGTGTTTTTAGTAGCAATGGCCAGGCTGTTTTCGCTATGTTGGCAAGGCTGGTCTGGAACTCTGGCCTCAAGTGATCTGGCTACCTCAGCCTCCCAAAGTGCTGGGATCACAGGCATGAGCCACTTCATCTGGCTTCATTTTTTCTTTCTTTTCTTTGAGACAGTGTCTTTCTCTGTCACCCAGACTGGAGCGCAGTAGCACAATCACAGCTCACTGCAGCCCCAACTTCTCAGGCTCAAGTGATTGTCACACCTCAGCCCCACCAAGTAGCTAGGACTATAGGCCCGCACCACCATGCCTGGATAGATTTTATATCTTTTGTAGAGATGAGGTCTTGCCAGGTTGCCTAGGCTGGTCTCAAACTCCTGGGCTCAAGCGATTCACCTGCCTCAGCCTCCCAAAATGCTGGGATTACAGGTATGAGCCACCATGCCTGACCCCTTCTTTTTTTTTTTTTTTTTTTTTTTTTTTTTCGTATGGAGTTTTGCTCTTCTTGCCCAGGCTGGAGTGCAATGGCACCATCTTGGCTCACTGCAACTTCCGCCTCCTGGGTTTAAGCGATTCTCCTGCCTCAGACTCCCGAGTAGCTGGGATTACAGGCATGCACCACCATGTCTGGCTAATTTTGTATTTTTTTTTTTTTTTTTTTTTTTTTTTTAGTAGAGATGGGGTTTCTCCATGTTGGCCAGGCTGGTCTTGAACTCCCGACCTCAGGTGACCCATCCGCCTCGGCCTCCCAAAGTGCTGGGATTACAGGTGTGAGCCACTGCGCGCGGCCTCCTGGCCTCTTATTAATGGTGGCTTTTGAAGTGCAAAAATTTTAAATTTTGACAAAGTCTAACATCAATTTTTTTCTCTTGTCAGTTGTCTTTTTGCTGTTATATTCAAGTTCTCTGCCTAACCCAAGGTCATGAAGACTATCTCCCATGGTTTCTTCTAGAAGTTTTATGGTTTTAGCTCTTACATTCAGGTATCTGATCTATTTCAAGTTTTTTTTTTCTTATGCATCCTGTGAGCAAAAGATCTAAATTCACCTTTTGGCATGTGGCTATCCAATTGATCACAGCAGCATTTATTGAATGCCTATCCTTTCCTCCATGAAATTGTCTTGGCACCTTGTAAAATCAATTGACCAGAAATGTAAGGGTTTCTACTTGGACTCTGGATTCTGTTCCATTGACCTATAAACGCATTCTTATTTATTATTATTATTATTTTCCCCCGAGACGGAGTCTTGCTCTGTCACCCTGGCTGGAGTGCAGTGGCACGATCTCAGCTCACTGCAACCCCCGCCTCCTGGGTTCAAGCAATTCTCCTGCCTCAGCCTCCTGTGTAGCTGGAATTATAGGTGCACACCACCATGCCCAGCTAATTTTTGCATTTTTAGCAGAGGCGGGGTTTCACCATGTTGGCCAGGCTGGTCTCGAACTCCTGACCTCATGATCCACCTGCCTCGGCCTCTCAAAGTGTTGGGATTACAGGTGTTAGCCACCGTACCTGGCCTTATAGTTGTTGTTGTTTTTAAATTCAGATACAACTTATACACAGTAAAATTCATCCTCTTGAGTGTACCTTTCTTTTTTTTTTCTTTTCTTGAGATGGAGTCTCGCTCTTGTCTCCCAGGCTGGAGTGCAATGGCTCGAACTCAGCACACTGAAACCTCCGTCTCGTGGGTTCAAGAGATTCTCCTGCTTCAGCCTCCTGAGTAGCTGAGATTACAGGCGTACGCCACCACGCCCGGCTAATTTTTGTATTTTTAGTAGAGACGGGGTTTTGCCATGTTGGTCAGGCTGGTCTTGAACTCCTGACCTCGTGATCCACCTGCCTCAGCCTCCCAAAGTCCTGGAATTACAGGGGTGAACCACGCACCCAGCCTTGAGTGTGCCTTTCTATGAGTCCTAAGAAACACACACATTTGTGCATCCAACCCCAAAACCAAGATACAGTATGGTCCCATCACCTCTCACAAGTCCCTGTGCCCCCTACTGTGGACCCCTCTCCCTCCTCCCCAACCCCAGACCTGGTTTTTGTTCACACAGTTCCACCCGCTCCAGAAAGCCATATAAGTTGATTCCTACAGCACTCCGCCCTCTGACTGTGGCTTTGTTTCCATCCCATCCTTCAATATCCAGGATGATCTTTCCAAAATGTAAATGTGCCCTCTCCTCTGTGCTTCTACTTAAGTCTAAATACAACTTGCAGGGTCTGGTCTTTGACCGCTACTCCTGCCCATCTGGACAAACAGGATGGATGGCTCTCAAACCTGGTTTGCAGAACAGCCACCTGAGGGCTTGTCAATACCACACCTTCCTGGGTCTTAGCCCTAGAGACTGAGATTCAGTTGCTGGAGAGGAGCCCAAGAATCTATTTTCCACACAAGGTTAGGGAGGTCTAGAGGCCACATTTGCAGAAGCACAGCTTCCTCTCTCCACACCTTCCACACCTGTCCAGGTTCACCCACGTGGCCTCTGCTTCCTCCCTTCTCCTCCAACCCCACTCTCTGTCTCCGCATGCTGCATCTCCTCCTGCCCAGAGCTCTGGCATTGATTTCCTCACTGGGGAAAGTGGCCTCCTTCCCCAATTCCCATCCACCGATTCCAACCCCCTTCCCATGTCAGCCAGCTTCTCCTCTGCTCAGCTGTCACCTCCACTGAGAAGTCTTTCCTGACTCCCTATGTGAGTCATTTTCCCAGCATAGTTGTCTCCTGTCATTTCTTATTTGTGTGATTCTTTGGTTAACATCAATCTTCCTGATTGGCTGTGTGAGGATGGGCGGGGTCTGTTTTTGTTGTTTACGCCTGTATCCCCAGCACAAAACATGGGGCTGGCATATGGTAGGTACTAAACAGATAGTTGAATAAATGAATGAGTGAATTGTCTACTCTGCCTTTGCACAAGCTGCTCCATCACCAAAGAGACCTTGCCTCCTCCCCCACTTCTTTGCTGGGCCCACTCATACCGGTTTTCCTAGGAAAACTCTGGAGAAAATTGAGGCAGGAGCCACTCATTCGTGCCCCTTCCAGGGTGGACCTCTTATCACCCTAAGGATTGTTTGTTTTCCTGTCACCCACATCAAGCTGGGTGGTGGCCGCAGCCTTTGATCTCCACCTCCTAACCCCTCTCCCAAGTACCCTGTGTTTGCCCAGCACTGAATGAGACAGCTAAAGTGATCCCTGAGAGAACTAAAGTGTTCCCTCAGGCCGGGCGTGGTGGCTTATGCCTGTAATCCTAACACTTTGGGAGGCCGAGGTGGGCAGATCACCTGAGGTCAGGAGTTCAAGACCAACTTGGTTAACATGGAGAAACCCCATCTTTACTAAAAATACAAAAATTAGCTGGGTGTGGTGGCAGGCGCCTGTAATCCCAGCTACTCCGGAGGCTGAGGTAGGAGAATTGCTTGAACCTGGGAGGCAGAGTTTGCAGTGCGCCAAGATGGCACCACTACACTCCAGCCTGGGTGACAGAGCGGGACTCTGGCTCAAAAAAAAATAAAATAAAGTGATCCCTCTAAGAGGAATCCCCAGGGGCCCAGGCCAGAGCTTTCTCCAGGTCACCATGGCTCCTCCCACTGTGCCACCCTGCCTAACCCCCTCGATTTTAAAGGAGAAGCCAAGACTCTGGACTTTGCTCAGAAGGTGGGGGGCGGGGGAGGGAGGGCTTACCCTGGGTACCTCTGAGGGGCCAGGGCGCAGCCACCACGGTAAGGGTGACTGCAGATCGAGGGGCAGGCCATGTTGCTGGACACCACCCTGGCTGGCGTCCCTCTCGGCAGGGTGCTCTTTGCCCCATGGGGTGGGATCCAGAGCTGCAGACAGGCCCCCAGGCTTGGCCAATGAACAGACCAGGTTCGGGGAGGGTGTTGGAAAAGAGTGGATGGGGTGGTTCCCCTTACCTTGCAGCCCCCAGGCCCTCCCCCCTCCCTCCCAGGTGGTCGGGACTCTTGATCTTCGCTCGTGGTACTGTCTGTTCGGCTGTCTTCCCCGCCTCTCCCCAGGCACCTGCATCCTCCCTTGGCACCTGCTGCCAGGCTAGGAAGGGCAAAAACAATCCCAGTTGGCGTAGTCAGGGAGTCTCCGCCCTCCTCCCAGGTTTCCTCCTCCCAGGCGCCTCCCCTGGACCCGCCCCCATCTGCCCAAGATAATTTTAGTTTCCTTGGGCCTGGAATCTGGACACACAGGGCTCCCCCCCGCCTCTGACTTCTCTGTCCGAAGTCGGGACACCCTCCTACCACCTGTAGAGAAGCGGGAGTGGATCTGAAATAAAATCCAGGAATCTGGGGGTTCCTAGACGGAGCCAGACTTCGGAACGGGTGTCCTGCTACTCCTGCTGGGGCTCCTCCAGGTAAGGGGACCGAGATCGGTCTCAGACGACAGCCTGCCAGGCAACCCCCAGCCGCACCAGGGCCCCAGGCTGTGCCAGTCTCCGGCTGAACTGGCCGGCGGCCCAGGTGGGAGGATTGGAGCCACCTGGCTCTCCCCCTCCCCCGCTCGGTGATGTCAGGCCAGGGGCGGGGGCTGGAGGGGGACAGGTAGTTAAGGGCCTGGCGTCTCCCTCCCTGAAGACGTGGTCCCAGCCGGGTGTCCTGACGCTCGGGGTTCAGGTAAGAACCCAAGCGGGCATTTATCCTTTGGGGGCAGGCACGGCCGGTCTGGAGGCCGGTAGGGAAAGGCTGGGTCTCCTGATGGGTTGCTTGGCCTCCCACTTTTCTCTTTTCTGTCCATTTCCCACCCTGCCCCCTCCTCCCCACCCGCCCTCTTTTCGTCCCCATCCTGGTTTCCAGCGCTCCTTGTTCCCTCCCTGTACACCTCCCTGCAGGCAGCAGCTGAGAATGGGAAGGAAGACCTGATTCTCTCCTCCGACTTGGCTTTCCCGCTGAAACTAGCCCCTCCCCGCACACCCGGGGAGAGCCGCCCTCACTCTCTGGCTCGCCCAGTTTACCCCAGTTTGGGTTTCCCCAAGTCTCTAAGACAGACGTCTCTGCGGGCTGCGGGGAGATGTGGGGAGGGCCCCCTCCACTTTGGAGGGCAGTGAAGGAGAGGGATCCTCTAAATTGTCGAGGCTTCATCTCTCCAGATTGTATGCCCTTCTCAGCAACACCGCCTCCGGCCCTCCGATGGGAAAGTGGAGGCCGGGTGAGACGGGGTCCCTCCTGGCTTCAGCATGAAATGGGCAGGAAGGCTGGAGGGGTGTATGAGGGGCTCTGCAGTGCGGTGGGGCCTGGGGAGAGTGGGGTGGGGGATAGCAGATGGTTTCTTCTGCTTGATGAGGCTAGGGAGAGACCCAGGTTCCCGGTCTGGGTCTCCCTGGCAGATTGAGGACAGAGAATGAATGCATCTGCCGGCAAGGTGGAACGCCCCCCACCCCGCCCCCCAACTAGCCGCACCGCCCCCCAGGAATGCCCTCTTTTGGTCCGCCGGTCTTGGACTCTGCTCTCCCCTCTCCTGATATCCTACTGTATGCTTGGTGGGGGGACCTCATGGAGGCGGGCAGCCTGTAATGATTAACTGCAGAGACACTCCAGCATTCTTCCCGAATTAAACTTTAAAAGAGCTGCCCCGCCTTCTCCCATTGGGTATTTTTCCTGAGTGAGAGTGGGCGGGGCCTCAGAGTCCTGGGTCCTCCCTTATACTAGGAGTCATCCAGGGGTTTCTCACCTTCTCACCTGGGCCCTGCACCCTAAAAAATTATAAGCCTCTCCCGTGGGGGCGGGGCGTGGAGTACTGGGCGGACGGGGGCTCTCCCGCCACATCCAGGCCCCTGGCCCAGGCCTCAGTCCCGCAAGCCCTTCCCCCTGCTCTGGGAAGCAGAGTTGTTTTCTGTTGGCCCTGAACACCGGGCCCCGCCACCTGCCCTTAGGGCCAGCCAGGTGGGGCGTGATTCAGGAAGTAAACAAGGAGGTTGGGAGGACGGGAACGCGGGTGGGGCTGGAACCACTGGGGGAGGAGGCAGCTGGGAAGCCACGGACGGAGTTACCTCGTTGAGGGGACAAACTGATTTTGGGGGTCGGTGTTTCCAACCGAAGCTTTACCGGGGCCTCAGTTTGAAAACTCCAGATCTCTAAGCTGCCAGGCCCACAGCCAGGACCCCTTCCTCCTCCCTGCTCACCCCATTGGTCTTGACGATTCCACCCGCCTCCAGCCTTAGAAGCTTAAGGGCACGGCTGGGGGGCTCTGAAGGCAAACCCCAGCCTTGGACTGGCCCTCTCTGATCTCTGAGGCCAGGCTCTAATGTGATTTGAATCTACTTCTAACCCCTTCCAAGCACTGCCCTCCCGAATTCTCTGCTCCTCTCCCCACCCCACTGTTGGTCTGTGATTTCGAGGCAGGCGTGGCCCCCTGCAGCCTGGAATGAAGTCACTGGGGCTGTTTGGAGACCGGGGCTGTTTGGAGGTTAGACTGGGGTGGGAGTGGGGGATTGTGTTCTGGTATTGAGGTGCTGGTGTCTCTTGCTAGCGGGTGATGGGTGTGTCGTGCCCCTCCTGGCAGGACCCTGAGCCCCCTCCCTGGCCTTTCATCCTGTCTGTCTTCTTGAGTGTTTTCCCTTTCCACTCCTGCTCCTGTGGTACCCCTCTGGCCGGGACACCCAGGAGAATGTGTCAGGAGGAACTTCATCCACACAGGGCAGGGGCTCTGAGCGATGCTTTGGGTGGGGAGGGGCACCGCCGGGATGCTGGCTTCTCTCCAAATGGGCCTCTGAATCCAGGCCGGGCATTGCCTCTCTCCTTCCCAGGCGAGGGACTCCCTGGCGAGGAGGTGGTTTGGGACTGGGGGTGAGAGCAGATCGTAGGTCCCACCTGGCCTGGAGCTAGGCCGAGGGTGGGGAGGAGGAGGTGATGTCAGGAGCCTCAGGCCCACATCCTCCTCCCCCATCCTGTTCCCAGCCCCGTGCCTCCCCCATTCCGCTCTGGCTAGCAGTGGGTTGGGGAGTTGGGGGAAGGGTGGAGGCAGGGCTGTTTTTGTTTCTCCTAAGCCAGGAAGTTGTGTGGATGAGTCAAGGTTGAATGGAGAGCCCTAGGCAGTGTTGTCCCGCCCGCCCTGACTCACCTGTCCCCCAAATCCCCTGATGCCCTCACTGAAGGGTCAGGTGCCTGCTCCCTCCTGAGGGGTCAATCCCAGGTGCCCCAGGTGGCCTCATAGTACTGGCCCAGTGTTTGGAGAACAGGCTGGGGGCTGGGATTGCAGGTTCTCCCAGGTCTCAGCCCGGCCAAAGGGGTCTGCTGGGTTCCTGCGGAGAAGGTGCCAGCCCCACCTCCACCTCTAGTGCTCGTCTTTGCCTGCTGTCCTGTCTTTACTTGTCTTGAGTGTCTGTGCAGCCCCTATAAGTGATAAGACATGGGTGAGATTGGCCTTGCCTGGGGGTACCAGGTGCCCTCAGACAAATGGGTGGATAGGACAGGTGCACAGTAATGGATGATGCGGCCCCCGCACAGTGCTGAGAGAGAGTCATTCAGTCTGAATGTGGAAGGCCAGGAAGGCTTCTCAGAGGAGGTGGCTCTAGCACTGGGGCTTCAGGAAAGAGTTGGGCAGGAGGATGGCCTGGGGAGGGTACGCAAGGTTTGGGGGCTGCTGGGGCCAGGACCCCTACCCCAGGCCCTGCTCTCCCCCTTGCACTGCAGCGGAGCCCGCTCTCCTGCCTTTCTGACTCCCATCCTTCCCCACCTCCTTCTCCCCTCTGCATCACTCATCACTTGGGCAGGCCAAACCTCGCCAAGTATGAACAGGCTCTGGCAACTGGGTCTGGCAACAAAGTGCTGGAAAAACCCGGGGCACAGCCCAGCGCAGTGAGTGCCCCACACGTGGAGGCAAAGGAGTGGGCCTTTGCCCTGACCCTGAGGGCTGAGCCTGAGAGTCTGTGGGTTGTGAAATCTGTTGTGACCACCAGGCTTGTGGTGGGTGGACCCTCAGCTCTTCCTGTGAGCAACTTTGTGCTAAAGAAAGAGCACTGGAGCCGGGCGTGGTGGCTTACGCCTGTAATCCCAGCACTTTGGGAGGCCAAGGCGGGCGGATCAGGAGTTCAAGACCAGCCTGGCCAACATGGTGAAACCCTGTCTCTACTAAAAATACAAAAATTAGACGGGCGTGGTGGTGGGCACCTGTAATCCCAGTTACTCGGGAGGTTAAGGCACGAGAATTACTTGAACCCAGGAGGTGGAGGTTGCAGTGAGTGGAGATGACGCCGCTGCAAAAAAAAAAAAAAAAAAGGAGAAAAAAAACAGAAAGAGCACTGGACTTGGAGTCTAAACACAGGTTCTACTCCCGACTCACCTGTGACTGAGGGCAAGAATGCTTTCTTCTCAGAGACTCGGTGTCCCCTTTTGTAAAATGAGGCTCATTCTGTCCTTCCCCAAGGGCTTCAGGGAAACTCCAGTTAGAGCAGTGAGGTGCTAGGTAAACTCTGAGGGGCACCCTAACCGCCGTGTGAGGTCAGGAGGTCTGAATTCTCTCATCCCCTCTCCCCAGGACAAGGGCACACAACTGGTTCCGTTAAGCCCCTCTCTTGCTCAGACGCCATGGAGCTGGATCTGTCTCCACCTCATCTTAGCAGCTCTCCGGAAGACCTTTGCCCAGCCCCTGGGACCCCTCCTGGGACTCCCCGGCCCCCTGATACCCCTCTGCCTGAGGAGGTAAAGAGGTCCCAGCCTCTCCTCATCCCAACCACCGGCAGGTACGATGGGGCGTGGGGCTTGGGGGAGGTCAGTGCTGGATAATACACAGAGGCTTGCAGGCCACTGCTCCCTTCCCCACACCTCTCTCCCTTTTTCTTCTTGCCACAGGAAACTTCGAGAGGAGGAGAGGCGTGCCACCTCCCTCCCCTCTATCCCCAACCCCTTCCCTGAGCTCTGCAGTCCTCCCTCACAGAGCCCAATTCTCGGGGGCCCCTCCAGTGCAAGGGGGCTGCTCCCCCGCGATGCCAGCCGCCCCCATGTGAGTTGTCCCTCAGAAGGGAAGGGAGGGATGCACGGGTTCTGGGTCTGTGGGAGATACACAGCCGCTTCCATGGAGGCAGGGGATCTTGGTTAGGAGTCCCTGAGGGTCTAGCAGGTGCGGAAAGGGAATGAATCACCCTTTGCCTCCCCTCAAGTCGTGTGCAATTCCTGGGGCGCAGGTAGTAAAGGTGTACAGTGAGGATGGGGCCTGCAGGTCTGTGGAGGTGGCAGCAGGTGCCACAGCTCGCCACGTGTGTGAAATGCTGGTGCAGCGAGCTCACGCCTTGAGCGACGAGACCTGGGGGCTGGTGGAGTGCCACCCCCACCTAGCACTGGGTAAGTCAGGTGCATGGAACTATCCGGGCTGGGAGATGATGCCTTGCATCTTGGGCTAGGCATGTGGCTCATCCAGGAGATCTGGTTGATCTCCAATAACCCCTGCTTTTTGCCCTTGTCCCCAGAGCGGGGTTTGGAGGACCACGAGTCCGTGGTGGAAGTGCAGGCTGCCTGGCCCGTGGGCGGAGATAGCCGCTTCGTCTTCCGGAAAAACTTCGCCAAGTACGAACTGTTCAAGAGCTCCCCAGTGAGTGCATGAGGGCTGTCTGGGCGCTGGGATGCCCTGATCCTCAACCTGGATGCTGGAGCCCTGATCCCTGACACTTGTCTACCCACAGCACTCCCTGTTCCCAGAAAAAATGGTCTCCAGCTGTCTCGATGCACACACTGGTATATCCCATGAAGACCTCATCCAGGTGGGGGGACCCCCCATTTCACTGCAGATTCACGACTCCCCAGCATTGGCCAGTGCTTCTCCACCCTTAAGTCCTGTGCCTCCCCTCTATGTTGTAGAAAGAGCCAAATCACAGTCCTGTGTGACTGGGGACAGTCACTTTCCCTGCCTGAGCATCAGTTTCTTCTATTAAATGGGGGCGAGAAATGCATGTGGAGCATTTCCTTGTAAAAACCTGAGGGTGGGCTGGGCACGGTGGCTCATGCCTATAATCCCAGCACTTTGGGAGGCTGAGGCGGGAGGATTACTTAAGCCTAGAAGTTTGAGAGTTTGAGACCAGCCTGGGCAACATAATGAGACCTCGTCTCTCCAAAAAAAAAAAAAAAAAAAAAAAAAAGGCCAGGAATGGTGGCATGAGCCTGTAGTCCCAGGTGCTTGGGAGGCTGAGGTGGGAGGATCACTTGAGCTCGGGAGGTCGAGGTTGCAGTGAGCTGTGATCGTGCCACCGCACTAGCATGAGACCCTGTCTCAAAAAGAAAAAGAAAAAGAGAAACATCCTGGTGGTAGAGGGGAAGGGAGGAGGTCAGACCTGTCACTCTCCTCTGCTCTCCTCTGGCTCAGAACTTCCTGAATGCTGGCAGCTTTCCTGAGATCCAGGGCTTTCTGCAGCTGCGGGGTTCAGGACGGAAGCTTTGGAAACGCTTTTTCTGCTTCTTGCGCCGATCTGGCCTCTATTACTCCACCAAGGGCACCTCTAAGGTAAGGTCTTGAGGGTACCAGCCCCAGCCCCTCCAGTCCCTGGTCCTTTTAGAAGTTGCCCCTTCTCTGCTGGAACCTCTGAGCCCTTCTCCCCCTGGGCCCCCCAGGCCAGCCACCTCCAGTTTACCATCTCTCCCTACATCCTTGCCTAGCTCACCTGCCCAGGGAGGTAGCAGGAGAAAAGATGATCTTAGTTTAAGTCCTGGCTCTACTTCTATTTGCTGTGTGACCCTGGGTATTCCCCTGCCCCTCTCTGGTCCTGAAATCTCCCCACCTGGCTTGTGGGGGGAGGTAATAGTGGGCGGGATCTACCTGTACCAAGTCCTGCTCACTCATGCTGCTTAGGATCCGAGGCACCTGCAGTACGTGGCAGATGTGAACGAGTCCAACGTGTACGTGGTGACGCAGGGCCGCAAGCTCTACGGGATGCCCACTGACTTCGGTTTCTGTGTCAAGGTGAAGACCTGGCCAGGCCTGGCCCCTGGCCTGGGGAAGCAGGAACTGCTCAGGCCCCTGGATCCTGCCCGGGGCTTCTGAGCCCCAATTCAGACACCTAGACTCCTCTCCCTGCACCCTGGCCTGCTGGAAACTCCTGGATTCAGCTCTGCTATGTGGAGCAGGGGCAGACATGTGGTCCTAAAGGCAGATATGGGACCAGTCAATTTCCTCTCTCTGCAGCCCAACAAGCTTCGAAATGGCCACAAGGGGCTTCGGATCTTCTGCAGTGAAGATGAGCAGAGCCGCACCTGCTGGCTGGCTGCCTTCCGCCTCTTCAAGGTGAGACCCTGGGAGTGGCATGGGGGGCTGGCCTGGCCAGAGGGATCCCCAGCTCTGCCCTCAGGAAGTCTCAGGAATGAGGAGGGCATCACAGCCTTGCTCTCTGATAACCCCCAGTCCAAGCCTGAAGTTATAGGAAGTGCCCATCGAAGGCAGAAACACAGCCCTGGTCTGGGCAAGTCCTGGTCTGAGGGGGGCGTCACAGCCACGCCCCCAGGACCTCTCGACCTCAAGCTCTCTTTCTCTCCCCACCCCCAGTACGGGGTGCAGCTGTACAAGAATTACCAGCAGGCACAGTCTCGCCATCTGCATCCATCTTGTTTGGGCTCCCCACCCTTGGTGAGTGTGCCCAAGGGGATGGGAGGGTGGGTATGCAGGCCCTGTCTTACGGGTACCTGGGCCCTGTTCTGACCTCTCTCCTCTCCTTCCATCTCCAGAGAAGTGCCTCAGATAATACCCTGGTGGCCATGGACTTCTCTGGCCATGCTGGGCGTGTCATTGAGAACCCCCGGGAGGCTCTGAGTGTGGCCCTGGAGGAGGCCCAGGCCTGGAGGGTGAGGCCTGCTGTGTGTGTGTGTGTTTGTGCTGGGGACCCACTCTCTGGGTGGGATCCCTGAAATAGGAGGGAGGAAGAGAGGGCGGGGGGAGGCCCCTGGCTGGGAAGAAGTGCTCTACCTTCCTGAGGTGCTGGGTAATGCCCCCAAGCACGCCCCGACTCTCCCGTATCTCCCACTGCTCCACAGAAGAAGACAAACCACCGCCTCAGCCTGCCCATGCCAGCCTCCGGCACGAGCCTCAGTGCAGGTGGGTGACGGCCCCGAGTCCTGGGGCGGGGGCTGCCTCAACTTCTCTTTGTATTCCCAGTGGGGAGTAGATGGTATAGGGGTCCCCTCCCCAAAGTGACCGCCCATGTCCTTCCCCACCACAGCCATCCACCGCACCCAACTCTGGTTCCACGGGCGCATTTCCCGTGAGGAGAGCCAGCGGCTTATTGGACAGCAGGGCTTGGTAGACGGGTAAGGGGCAGGGCCGGGCAACAGACCCAGGGATAAGAGAGACTGGGGTCCAGGTGGCAGCCATGGTCCTTGGGTAGTAATGCTGCCCCATCTCCTGTCTTCTGGCAGCCTGTTCCTGGTCCGGGAGAGTCAGCGGAACCCCCAGGGCTTTGTCCTCTCTTTGTGCCACCTGCAGAAAGTGAAGCATTATCTCATCCTGCCGGTGAGCTTCCCTGCGTCCCCGGAGTCCTGCAATGAGACACAGGACTCCCAGCAACCTGTCCTCCTCACCAGGCCCCTCCAGAGGCTCCCTGGCCCCCAGTGCGTCTCCCTTTTCCCTGCACAAGAAGTGGGAGGCTGAGTGCGGTGGCTCACACCTGTAATCCCAGCACTTAGGACGGCCAAGGTGGGAGAATGGCTTGAGCCCAGGAGTTCGAGACCAGCCTGGGCAACACAGGGAGACCCCATCTCTACAAATAATTTAAAAATGAGCCAGGCATGGTGGTGCACACCTGTAGTCCAGCTACTCAGGAGGCTGAGGTGGGAGCATTGCTTGAGCCCAGAGGGTCAAGGCTGCAGTGAGCCATGGTGGCACCACCACACTCCAGCCTGGATGACACAGTGAGAAAACTGTCTCAAAAAAAAAAAAAGAAAGAAAAAGAAAAAGAAAAAAGAAAAGAATAAAAGGAAATGGTGGGGCCCTGGCCCAGGAGGGAGCTTCCCAAGCCTCGGGCCCCTCCCTGAACTTCCACCCCCTTTACTGTACCCCAGAGCGAGGAGGAGGGCCGCCTGTACTTCAGCATGGATGATGGCCAGACCCGCTTCACTGACCTGCTGCAGCTCGTGGAGTTCCACCAGCTGAACCGCGGCATCCTGCCGTGCTTGCTGCGCCATTGCTGCACGCGGGTGGCCCTCTGACCAGGCCGTGGACTGGCTCATGCCTCAGCCCGCCTTCAGGCTGCCCGCCGCCCCTCCACCCATCCAGTGGACTCTGGGGCGCGGCCACAGGGGACGGGATGAGGAGCGGGAGGGTTCCGCCACTCCAGTTTTCTCCTCTGCTTCTTTGCCTCCCTCAGATAGAAAACAGCCCCCACTCCAGTCCACTCCTGACCCCTCTCCTCAAGGGAAGGCCTTGGGTGGCCCCCTCTCCTTCTCCTAGCTCTGGAGGTGCTGCTCTAGGGCAGGGAATTATGGGAGAAGTGGGGGCAGCCCAGGCGGTTTCACGCCCCACACTTTGTACAGACCGAGAGGCCAGTTGATCTGCTCTGTTTTATACTAGTGACAATAAAGATTATTTTTTGATACACCTATGAGTTCTGTCTGGCAAGGCCTGGCTGGCTGAATCAAGAAGGGAACCAGAGCTGGACGTGGTGGCTCATGCCTGTAATCCCAGCACTTTGGGAGGCCAAGGTAGGAGAATTGCTTGAGTCCAGGAGTTTGAGACCAGCCTGGGCAACATGGCAAGACCCTGTCCCTACAAAAAATAAAAAAATGAGCCGGGCATGGTGGTGTGCACCTGTAGTCCCAGCTTCTCAGGAGGCTGAGGTGGGAGGATCCCTTGTTCCTTGAGCCTGGGATGTCAAGGTTGCAGTGAACTGAGATTGTGCCGCTGCACTCAGCCTGAGTGACAGAGTGAGACCCTGTCTGGAAAAAAAAAGAGGGGAGACCTGGAGAGGTGGGCACCTGTGGAGGCCTTGGTGGAAGTGTCAAATGGATCGAGGCCATGTCTCAGCCTGCCTGGATGTTCCTCAAGGGCAGGAGTGGTTATCTGAGAGTCTCCAGTGCCCACCATGCAGCTTGACACATAGTAGGCGCCCAGTCATTGCTAATTAAGTAAGTGAATAGACAAGAGACCATCATCCCAGAGAGATTTTCTGACAGTCTAAGTCTAGAGAGGTAATTAACAGGGCCTGGGAGTTGGAGATGAGTCCGACAGCATGCTTGTCCTCCGCTAGTCCTGGACTAGCTGACGGATAGTTGGCCCCAGCATGCACACAGTTATGCATCCAGCCCCACCACCAAGACACAGAATGGCCTCATCACCCCCAACAAGTCCCTGTGCCCCCTACTATCAGCCATGCTCCCTCCTACCCAAACTGAAACCTCCTTTCTGTCCTAGTTCTGCCCCTTCCAGAAAGCCATATAAATGGAGCCTGCTAGCATTCAGCCCTCTGCATCTGGCTTCCATCTCCAACACATCCTTCAGCACCCAGAGTGATCTTTTCTCAAATATAAATTCACCACTCCCGGCAGGGCACTGTGGCTCACACCTGTAATCCCAGCACTTTGGGAGGCCGAGGCGGGCGGATCACGAGGTCAGGAGTTTGAGACCAGCCTGGCCAACATGGCAAAACCCCATCTCTACTAAAAATACAAAAATTAGCTGGGCATGGTGGCGGGCACCTGTAATCCCAGCTACTAGGGAGGCTGAGGCAGGAGAATAGCTTGAACCGGGGAGGCAGAGGTTGCAGTGAGCCAAGATCATGCCATTGCACTCCAGCCTGGGCAACAAGAGCAAGACTCAGTCTTAAAAAAAAAGACAGATGTCTGGCCTCTGCCCACTGCTCATGCCAGTCTATGTTTTTGTCTTAGAGGTTTTTTTGTTTTGTTTTTTGAGATGGAGTCTCACTCTGTTGCGCAAGCTGGAATGCAGTGGCACGATCTCAGCTCACTACAACCTCCTTCTCCTGGGTTCAAGCGATTCTCTTGCCTCATCCTCCCAAGTAACTGGGATTACAGGCGCTTGCCACCACGCCTGGCTAATTTTTTGTATTTGTGGTAGAGACGGGGTTTCACCATGTTGGCCAGCCTGGCCTTGAACTCCTGACCTCAAGTGATCCACTCACCTTGGCCTCCCAAAGTGCTGGGATTACACACCCAAGCCACTGCGCCTGGCCTTGTCTAAGAGTTTTTTAGTTTGAGCTCTTACCTGATGGGAGCTCTTTAATAAATATGTCAGATCGACTGCATCTGAACTTGCTGCTTAACTCAGGAGACAGACCCTCCTGCAGACCTGTGAACCCCAACTAGTCATTGTTTTTGTCAAAACACCAAACCTGAATCTGATTCCTTGGATTCAACAACTAGTTTACGGGAAATACAAGGGAAACAATGACAAAAATCCAGATTGGGAAATTCTACAGAACAGATAACCCAGTTTCTTCTTCAACAGCAACAAAATTACCAGAAAAGATGGGCAATCTCTAGATTTCAAGAAATTTAGACATATATCAACCAAATGATGTGTTGACCTTTGATTCAAATGCAAACTAACTGTAAAAAGCATTTATGAGCAATTGGGGGAAATTTGAATTCTGATCAGATATTCGATGATATTAAGGGATTATGGCTAACTTTCTAAGGTGTAATAATGGTATTGCAGTTACGGTTTTTTCTAAATCTTTATCTTTAAGAAATTCATTATGAAGTATTTAAAGGTGAAATCACATGATGTCTCAGCTTTGTTTTTATTCCTTTTCTTTTTTTTTTTTCCAACTTTTATTTTAGATTCAGGGAGTACATGTGCAGGTTTATTACCTGGGTATATTGAGTAATGCTGAAGCTTTGTTTTTAAAATAACCCAGAGGTGGCCAGGCACAGTGGGTCATGCCTGTAATCCCAGTACTTTGGGAGCTGAGGTGGGAGGAGTTTGAGACCAGCCTGGGCAACATAGTGAGGCCCTCTCTACAAAAATAAAAAATAAAAAATTAGCCAGGTGTGGTGACATGCATCTGTGGTCCCAGCTACCTGGGAGGCTGGGGTGAAAGGATCGTTTGAGCCCAGGAAGTCAAGGCTGGTGTGAGCCATGATTGCATCTCTGCACTCCAGCCTGGGCCACAGAACATGACCTTGTCTCAAAAAATAAAAAGAAAAAAATGAAATCCAGAGGTTAAAGGAGAGGGTGTGGGCATAGTCATGGTGTGGCCATGAGTTGACACTGGCTGTTGATATTGGTTGAAGCTTGGTGACAGGTACTGGCTATGTGGGGATTTGTTAAATTATCCTCTCCACCTTTGTATATGCTTGGATATTCTATTATATATTGATATATTTTAATGGAGAGCCCCTTCTCAAATCTTTGGGACTGACTGGGCAGGAGGTGGTGAGACGCTGTTTTGTAGGTGAGGAAACTGACGGCCCAGTGGGCAGCCTGGCCCCAGATCACAGTGGGAGAGCCAAGATTCCAACCCAGGTCTGAGGACCAGGTCTGGGCATGTTCTGCTTCCCCTGTCTGGCTGACGTCCAGGTGGCATTCCTCAGCCACAGTGACAGCAATAGTGGCCTACTGGGGTCCTCCCTTAGAGAGCCCCTCCCTTCCCTGCAGCCTTGGTCTCTGGCCTGGAGGGTTGTCCTGAGGTGACCTTGAGACTGTGCAGCCTCTGCAATCAGCCCCTGGGCTGGGTCTGGCAGCCCTGGCAGCCACTCCCGACCAAGGCACCCCCATCCTTGGCTAACTCCAGGCTGGGAAGCTGGGACCAGGTCCAGCAGACAGAGGTGGGCAGAGAGGTCTCATGCACACCCCAGCCTGGGACCTCCTGGGAATCTGCTGGAAGAACTTACTGCAGCCCAAGGGCAGGAAGGGTGGCAGATTTTGCTTCTTTTTAGCAGGACTGGAGGCAGGACCCAGTGCAACCTGCTGCCTGCCACCTGCCACGGTTCCCAGAGCCATCCCCACCACAGGCTGTGGCTCGAGCACCGAACAGGGCAGTGTCAGCTGTGTGGCTGGCCATGGGTGCCCAGGGCCACCTCCGAGGTGTGGGTGCCAGAGTTCCAGGCTGGAGTGAGAGTAAAGGGGTCAAGATGAGTCACCTCTTCAGCATGTCCAGGGGTTCAGACTGTAAAAAAAGAGGACCCAGTGTCCCTTCACAGCCTGAGGCACTGGGCAGAGACAAAGCCTCTCTGTCAATCAGCTAATTGGAGACTGTGAGACAGATGTCCTTCCCACTTTACAAATGGGAAACTGAGGCTCAGGGAAAGACAGGGACTCACCTGCGACAGGGGTCGCAGAGGGAGTTCGGGACAGAGGCCAGACTCAGCCCACTGGACAGGTGGTGAAATGCAGCCCTGCCCTGCTCTAGCCTTTGTTCTCTGCCCCCTCCCTTCTCAGTGCTGGCCACAGTGAGGGACCTAGGCTGCCGAGAGCCCTTAGAGGGGGCAGCATTTGGCCCTGATCTGGCCACCTGAGACCAGCAGCAGCCCATTCTTGGTGAGTGTCTGAGATTTCTGGCTTTTTGGAGACGTAGCTGCTAAGAGTTTGGGGGCACAGGGACCCTCTCAGGGCCAGCTCACAGTGGAACCCCTGGGTAAGATCCCCCAGCTCTGAGGATGTGGGAAGGATGCTGCTCTACCTCAGAGACTGCAGCATGACCTACAGTGGTCAGACAGCAGAAAGGACTGCCAAGGACGGCTGCAGTGCTAGATCGGGGAGGCTTGTGGTTCTGAGAAAATCTGGGCTGGTGGGAGGGGAAGCAGGGGCTTCTCTGGGGGAGAGGGTGGGGGCTGGGACCTCAGATACTGTCTTTTCAAAATTGATTTATTGGGTTTCATTCTAAAATTATACGTACTTATTAAAAACATTTCAGAAAAAAACTTGAGGGCAAAGGGGAAATTCCTCATCATCTTTCCATGCAGAGGAGGACCCAGTACTGAGAGAGGGTGACAGGGCCCACATCTGGGGAGCTGACGCGAAGTGCTGCCTGCCATGCATCACACGTTCCAGCTTCCCGGGACCAGCGTGGCCGGTGGGAGCCGGGTGCCAGGGCACATTGCTATCCTTGGCAGCACCATGGGCCTTTAGGGTAGGGGTTCTGTGGAGGGTGTGGCTACAATGTTGGCCTCCCTGCCTGCTCAAGTGTGGAGGGGAGGGAGGACTGCTGCCAACGCTCTGGACTCTGGGATGGGGGTGGGCATGATTCCAGGGGAGCCCACCTCCCTGGGCGGGGCATCCAGACAAAGCCCTGGCCAGTTCTGCAACATCCAAGTTCACGGGTGGTGGACAGGCCCAAGGGTTCAACATCAGGTCAGGGACCCTGCCTGGCTCCTTCCTTGGGCCCCAGTGCCAGGCACCCTGATGAGGGATGAAGAGAGGAAGGACAGGACACAGACAGGGGAGCCCAAAGCCACTTGGAAGGATTCTTTCTTCCAAACTATCCACATAAGCAGTTTTCTAACTCCTTCCCAGAGCCCAAGGGTTCTGGCAGGGGCTTGAGGGGCAGGTTGGGGTGGTGATGGGGGATGCATTGCCTTTCTATCTGGAACTTGAGCCTTATGGTATATTCAGGAAAAAGGCTTGAACCAGTGAAGTACTGATCTGGTCCAACAGATAGAAAGAGGGCCCAGAGAGGTCAGGGCTTGGTCCAACTCGCACAGTGGTGGGGCGTCTGCAGACTGCTTTCCTGTCCTGTGCTGTTGGCAGAACCTCAGCTTTGGGACTTGAGGGGGAGTATGCAGTGGCAATTAGGACAAACGACTCTGAGCTCTCAGTTGAGTTGGGGGAGGAGAGAAAAGAAGGAGTTAGATCCTGGGGGAGTTGGATGTTGCAGACTGGACTCCAGAGCCTGGGGGTGTGGGCGATCCTGGGGTGTGGGGAGGGCGGGCTGAGGCTGCTCCACAAGCGTTCTCGAAGTTCACCATACAAGAAGGGGCGGTGTGGGGAAATGGGGATGAGGCCTGAAATTCAATCCCATGTGGGTTGAGTTATGATGTCATCTGACACCCTCTCACACGGCTGCATCTACCCCAAGGAAGGGGCAAGTTTTTCTTTGATGGGCACCTGGGGGGGCTGTTTAGCTGGAGTTTTTTTTGTTTCGCTTTTTTTGTTTTTGTGTTTTTTTTGAGACAAGTTTCGCTCTGTGGCCCAGGCTGGAGTGCAATGGTGTGATCTCGGTTTACCGCAACCTCCACCTCCTGGGTTCAAGCAATTCTCCTGCCTCAGCCTCCCAAGTAGCTGGGATTACAGACATGCACCACCACGCCCAGCAATTTTGTATTTTTAGTAGAGATGGGGTTTATCCACGTTGGTGAAGCTCGTCTCGAACTCCCGACTTCATGTGATCCGCCCGCCTCAGCCTCCCAAAGTGCTGGGATTACAGGTGTGAGCCACCGCGCCGGGCCTGGAGCTGCATTTTTGTTGTAAGCACTTTGTTCTTACTTGGATTAGGTTTATTTTAGGGTGGTTTGGGGCAGACTGAGGGAGATTGGAAGGCAGAAACCACCCCCTCAGGACAACCACGTGGATCTCCTTAGGGTCTGGGTAGTGGAACTGGGCCCTGTGACCTTGGAGTTGGAGGGGAAGCTGTAAGCAGGGATGGAACGGGCCACCCGCACCCTCACACAGCTGTGACCAACAGGCACGGTCATCCGCATTCACCTGCCCAACTCCCATGCCCTGAGTCCTGTCCTCCAGGGCATTCCTACTGGCACTACCCCAATTTCCCAAAAGATTCCAGGGATCTCTCTCTCGCTCTCTCTTTTTTTTTTTTTACAGTCTCACTCTGTTGCCCAGGCTGGAGTGCAGTGGCTGATCTCAGCTCACTGCAACCTCCACCCCCTGGGTTCAAGCGATTTTCCTGCCTCAGCCTCTTGAGTAGTTTGGGATTACAGGCGTGCGCCACCACGCCCAGCTAATTTTTGTATTTTTAGTAGACGGGGTTTTGCCATGTTGGCCAGACTGATCTCAAACTCCTGACCTCAAGTGATCCTCCCGCTTTGGCCTCCCAAGGGAGGGTTCCTTCCTCCCAGGCTGAGGCACCCTGCCCCACACATCTACTGGAGGAACTTAGTGTTGGGGCCAGGGGGTGGCTGGGTAAGGCTGGATCCCACACTTGTCAGGCCAGGTTGGGGTAGGGGAGGATACACGGGGGACCCGTCTCTCAGCCGTTCTGGGCCGGTGCCTGAGGCGATCTGCCCCGCCGCCCGCCCTTCCGCCACCACCCAAGTCGCATGCGCGCGCCGGGGCCGACGGGCGCCAGGCTCCACCGAGCCACCCTCCGTCGTGGCGGCCCCTCGTGCCTCTGCGGAGGGAAGGCCGCCGGCTTCGCCAGGGGGCGCGCGTCGGGGTCGCGGCTCTTTGAACTCGGCCCCACGAGGGGACGCGCCATCGGTTTCGTGGCTTGCGTGGCGCCGCAGCAACGAGCCGGTCGCCCCGGGGCGTTGCTTAGTCCGGGCCTCGCTGCGAGTCTGTGGGCGAGGCGGGAGGTGCTTCCTTGGCCAGGCGGGTGGAGGAAGGTGTGGGCGCCGCATCCCAGCGTCGCGGAGCCTCCAGGCGCGGGCAGGCGAGACTGGCGTGCAGCGCGACGGCCTAGTCCCGGCGTCCCACCGTCCCCCACTCCCGCAGGCGCCGAGCCGATTCAGCCGCGCGGCTGCAGTGACACCCAGCGGCCGTCGCGGGAAGTGCGGTCGCCGCGGCCAGGCCTCCGGGGCTCCTGTCTCTCGAGGTTCCCACCCCGGTTACGCGCGGGCACCCCGGAGGAGAGCGGCCGCGCGCTGCAGATGCCCGCGGGGGCACTTCCCCTGCCCCTCCCCCGTTTCCTCCCCGCAGGCGCCCGAGCGCCGGGAGATCCTGCGCAGCGGCAGTGCCCGGAAGGGCGGGGCGGGGTGCAGCAGCGGCGCTGGGCTGTGACCCGGGCAGTTTCACTTCTGGATCCTGCTCGGGCTGTGATAGGACAGCGCGGGGGCAGCGGGGGAACACGCGGGCACGCCGAGATCCGGCGCTCGGGACCCCGATGAGGGGAGGCCTTTCACTCCTGGGGTGTCACGCGACCCACGCTTTCCTCCATGTCCACTCCCACCCCCCATGGGTTCCACTTTGCTGTCCCCCGAGCTGCCGCTCCTCCCCAGCAGACACCGTCTCCGCCGGGGCTGCCGACCCCCGGAGAGGCCCCGAGCGGCGTGGGCGGCGGGAGGAGGGAGCTGTGAAGCCGCAGGCAGGGGGTTAGGCTGCGGGCTGCTGAGACGCCGAGCTGTTTCTCAGAAGTGCAGCTGCCCCTCCCCTCACACCCCCCTCACTCCCACCGCGCGCCGCACCCCTGCCCCCTCTCCGCCGGCCTCCCTTTCCTCTCCCAGGCACCCTAGCCGGGAATCTGGGGTCTGGGTCCACGCAGAATTAAGAGGAGAACCTGAGAAAGGGCGGGGGCCGGGGGTTCAGACCCAGCCTCAGCGCGCGTTATTCCGAGCCTCCTATAATTCCACAGGTGAGGGGATCCTGTCCCCTACCCCTGGGGTCCAGGATTGGAATTTGATAGAACAGTTAGGAAAATGACATCTTGAGAGAGTCAGGGCCCGGCCACTATTACTCTAGCTCCAGCGTCCAGTGAGGAGAGGAGAGAGAGGGAAGACCTGGAGCCCGGCTGGTGCAGTGAGGTTGAGGCCTGTCTTAGGAGTACCAGCTGGAAGGCCCTTCAGAGATCCCTGACTCTGGGGAAAATCAACGCCCAGAAGGGGAAGTCAAGTGTCTGGGCTCATCCCGAGAGGGAGAGGGCTGGGATTGGAACCAGGACTCCAAATAGTTGCGGGAGTCTGCGACTGTCTTTTGCTTGGGACTTCAGAGCTTTGCTGGATTCACTGACTCAGCCTGCTTTCCCTCAACACACACAAACACACACACACGAGACACGTGCACGCGCGCACACACACAGATACACAGACACACACAGACAGACATGCAAGGAGAGAGACAGGCACACATGGAGACAGACACGCACACGCAAAGAGACACACAGCTCCCCAGGAGTCTAGCGGGGCAGCTGAGGTCTGTGAGTGAGACATTCTCAGTGAGACACTGAGAATGCAATTCCAGTGGGGGTGGGATGGGGATTGGGCGGTGGAAGGACAAGCCCGGGGGAGGAGGTGGCATCGCCCCCCTAGTTCCCATCCACCACCACCCCCAGTGCTGTGGTTTATTTGCCTAGGCAGCTCTTCTGGGCCAGGGGGCCAGGGTACTGGGGTGGAGAGGCGAGGTGATGGGAAAGGCTGTTCTGGGGCTTCCTGCCCCCTCACTCCTGGGGAAGGGGGGTAGCTGCCATCACCCGCAGGCCTTTCCACTGCAGCCCTTTCCTTGGGTATGTGTGTTATTCTGGGGGAAGATCTGTTATTTGCGGAGAAGGGAGGCAGCTGCCTACTTCACAGGTCAAGACAGAGTTAAAAACAAAACCACAGCAAATTCAACACCCCGTGTCCTTCAGGGACTTTCCATGACACCTTCCTTCCCCCCTCTCCCCTAAGCCAGGGAGCACCTCCCCAGAGGGCCTCCCCACCCCAGGTGCAGTGGCTTTTGGCTTTTATGCAAACAACTGTCTGATCCCGGAATGCTCCACAGCCCGAACTGTGGCCTGGGCCGAATGTGCCCCTCCACCATCCCTTGGGCCAGTGTTTCTGGTCTTCCTGGAGTTGTGACCTCCACTCTTCCTCAGACCCTGGATTCTGAGGGACAGGAGATGAGGGCAGGAAGCTAGGTCCTTTCCCCCTGCCTGCCCTCGGGTGGCAGTTGCCTGCAGGTGGAGGGTTTGGGCACAGCAACCTAAGTGAATGGTCCGGGGTTTTGAGTGATGGGGGAGGGGAAGAAGGAGGGTGCAGGTGTGGGGTGGCCTCCACTGCCAGGCCCACCACCCTCTAGGGCATTGAATTAGCTCCCAAGATCAGGAAGGAAAACTCTTCTCAGGCTGGGAGTCCATTCAACCCCAACGCCAGTGTGGACCTCCGGTCCTGCTCACTGGCAAAGGGGGTCAGGATCTCCCTGTCTCCCTCTCTTCTGCCTGAGCTGCTTCTGCTTTGGGGAGGGATTTGGGGATGGGGAAGGCCATATAATCTTCTCTCCAGGGCTGAAAACCAGCTACTGAGGGGCCGTTTTTGAATGTATTCAGTGCTAAAATGCAAAGGCAGGGTGCCATGCCATTCCTTTCTCCTCCTCAGCTTGAGCAAGACTGGGAAACCTGTAGGAGACCCTCAGCCAGTTTGAACATTTTGGAGTGCTGATGGGAGGGAGATGATGCTGATCATGGAGCCAGAGGACGCTGGTGCCAGCCTAGCCCCACATTTGTTAGTCTTAAAACTTCAGACAATCTTTCTCATGCCTCTTCCACAGAAGACGGAAAATGGAGGGTGCTTTAGATGAGGCTGAGCAGAAGGCCAGACTCTCTCTCTACTTTCTCTAACGTTTTCTAAGAGAGAACACAATGATGATGGAAAGAAAGCAGCCTCATCCCTATGCCATTCTCCTAGGACTTTTCCCCCTAACACCTTCGGTTTGGGTCTCCAGGTATCTAAAAACTGTATTTAAATATGGTCGAGTTTAAGGACTGCAACTCAAGTTTCCCAATGTGGATGTCTGTGAGCCCCCACACATGAAAAAGTCAGAACTTGACTGTATTTTAAGAAGAATCTCTGTTGAGGGAGGAAGGCAGAGCAGTGACTTGGAATAGGGGTGCACCATGCTGAATGTGCTGATCATGCTAAGTCCAGGTCCTCAACCTCCTCCAGTTTCCTTAGTGAACTAAGGACCAGTGGAACCAGGAACCCTATCTTGTGGGTTACAGGGGCCAGCAGCAGGATCACAGTGGTAGGCTCAGCAAGGCGTCAGGTGAGAACCTTTATTTCAGTGATAATTCATTTTTCTTGATAACTGGACTTTAAGAAATAGAGGGGCAAAATTAAGAAAGTATTCCTTGGGGCGGGATGAAACCCTTCTACATCCTGACACCAGCAGACACAAATCATAAGTGATAAGGATGCACAAGGACTAATTTCAAACATACCAGGATTTTTTTATTTTTCAGTGTAAAAATCAAACATGATAAACCTAGAAAACTATCAGCAGGGCTATTTCTTACAGGGTTCCAGCAAGGGTTAGCATTGTTACATTTCAGAAGCTGACTTTCTTTAAACCATCTTTACAGAGGAGTAAACTTCACAGTTCCACACATGGCTGGGCTCCAGGTAGAACTCCATAGGAGTGACGAGGGAAAGTCACCACTGGGCAGGGAGGGCATTTCTGAGAAATGCAGATGAGAGGAGAGGCTGTGAGCACAGGCTGTGTCAAAACCCAGGGCAAGGGCTCCCTCCCGCCTTCCCTCCCAGTGGGAAGGCCACCCTGAGCCCCAAACCACATTCTGTTCCTTCCTCGTCATTCTGCAGACAATGGTCATCCACAGACCACACGTGTGGTGGCTTTGGCAACCAGAAATTTAAAATAAGCTATGGTTTTTCCAGTAGCCAAAATGATCCTGCACCAAAGCTCATAGACTGAGAACCTGAGCATGCAAAACCACAGTCTGGGTGAAGGGATGTCTGCTTTGTAAATGACCTGCTAATTCTTTGCAACCCACAGTAATTTGGTTTCTGTGAACCCACAGAAGCAGGCCCACCAAAAAGGGCCTTGTCTGCTAGCCTGGAGTATACATGAGTCACTGGCGGTGGGATCAGTCATTTTTTAGGCTGCCCCATTTTCCTAACATGTTAAAATGTGTGTTCTCAGTCTTTTCAAGAGAGGAAGAAGCAAAGCGGCACTTACAGAGTGTGAGATAGACACAGATCTGTGGCGAGGGATTGGGGAAGGTGGGTGGCATCTTGGGACTCTCTCCAGGCTTTCTGGAGTGGGGTCAGTGGAGAGATGAACAGTGAGAAACATTTGAAATAACTCAAGTTTTGGAGCAGCGGGGGGTGGGGTACTAATGGCTGAGGACTCACAGACAGTGAGGGAGCAAAGCGCTTTGACTTCCCTGGGTGCGACACCATGAAGTGTCTATAGCACGTGGTTAGCTCACGCTGGTTCCAAGGGTCAGCAGATCCTCTGCCCTTGTGCATTAAAACAACATGAAGGAAACTGTTAGAGATCAGTTACCTCCATAATTCATTTGTAAAGGAATTGCTATTATGATCTAGTATGATCTTGGGATATTTTTCATGTCTTTAAATTTAGGACACGGTACATTTTCCACTGAAAATTTACAATCATCCAACATAATGCACACCACCCCTCAAAGGTAACATTAGCTCATATACAAAATCATGGAAAACCTCACAACATCCTTGGAAGGTAGATATTGTTATATCCTTACAAAAATTTAATACACCCATTAACATTCCTATTTCAAATAGCTCAATCGATATCAACACATAAGACAGCCCACAATTGTGATACAGTATTAAGAAGAAACTCAGGCCAGCCGCGGTGCCTCACGCCTGTAACCCCAACACTTTGGGAGGCTGAGGTGGGCAGATTACTTGAGCCCAGGAGTTCAGGACCAGCCTGGGCAACATGGTGAGACCCTGTCTCTACAAAAAGTACAAAAATTAGCTGGGTGTGGTGACCCACGCCTGTAGTCTCAGCTAGTTGGGAGGCTAAGACGGGAGGATGGCTCGTTGCTTGAGCCCAGGAGGTTGAGGCGGCAAGTAAGCCTTGATTGTGCCACTGCACTCAGCCTGGGGAAACAGAGCGAGACTTTGTCTCAAAAAGAAAAAAAAAAAGAGGAAACTTGTATCCAATTTATTCAAACTGCAAAACCCTGTGTATCTTCATAACAATGGTGGGGCAAAGACTATCTACAGCTGGGGCAAGGGAGAGGCACAGTCTTGTGTTACTTTACAAGCTCTCAGAAGTTTAAAGCCCACAATTGTCCTTCAGGCTCTTCTGAGTCCATGGTCCTAAAGGGTCAGGAGTCCTGAACCCTGGCTTATTCTCAGAACCATTCAGTCGTGCTGCCTTGGAGAACAGAGTCCTTTTCCTGAGGTGGCCCAGGTCCAGCTGCTGGTTTCAGATCAAAATTGACCTCCTTCATCGGCACTTATATCTCAAATCATTCTCCTTGTCTGAACTCTGGATATAGAGGTTTTTTGAACTATACTTTCTGTGTGAACACAAAAATAGCTTCCCATTCTCTAAAAGATGAGGTATCACTATATATCGGGTTTTTTTCTTCTGTTCCTGGTGCTAACTTTTAGGACAAAGTTTCACCACTCCCTTTTCTCTTCTTGAGCTCACAAGTCCCGATGCTGACTCTTTGAGTCCTCAGATAGCCAGGCTCTTTCACATCTTGAGTGTCCCAGAGTTTCCAAATCTCTGCTAGAGTCCAACATACCTCTTCTCAGTGGGGTACTCTTTAAAGTGAGGACTTAAACATTTCCATTGTGGTCTTATCACCTGGGATTATATGTAACAGTACTATTTTTTTCCTTAAAACATTCTTTTTTTTTTTTTTTTTGAGATGGAGTCTCACTCTGTTGTCCAGGCTGGATTGCAATGGCGCGATCTCGGCTCACTGCAACCTCCACCTCCCAGGTTCAAGCAATTCTCCTGCGTCAGCCTCCCGAGTAGCTGGGATTACAGGTGTGCACCACCACACCCAGCTAATTTTTGTATTTTTTTTTTCGAGATGGAGTCTCACTCTGTCACCCAGGCTGGAGTGCAATGGCACGATCTCGGCTCACCACAACCTCCTCCTCCTGGGTTCAAGCGATTCTCCTGCCTCAGCCTCCTAAGTAGCTGGGATTACAGGCATGTGCCACCACGCCTGGCTAATTTTGTATTTTTAGTAGAGACAGGGTTTCTCCATGTTGGTCAGGCTGGTCTCGAACTCCCAAACTCAGGTGATCCGCCCGCCTTGGCCTCCCAAAGTGCTGGGATTACAGGCGTGAGCCACCGCACCTGACCCTCCTTAAAACATTCTAAACCTCACATTCAGTAGGGCTTGGGGAGGTGGGGGTGGTACAGGAAATAGGAGAATAATAGTGATACAGATGCTACCTGGAAAAACTTTGTTCTGTCTGTTCCTCACGAAACAAAGCCGAAAAGAAAAACTTTATGTGGATGTGAGATTTGATAGTAACACAGTGTTTCACCTGAGCAAAATTTTGTGTTTTTAAACATTTCTGTTTGCCAAAGAAATCTGAGGTTGTGGCTGGGCGCAGTGGCTCTTGCCTGTAGTTCCAGCACTTTGGGAGGCTGAGGTGGGCAGATTGCTTGAGCCCAGGATTTTGAGACTAGCCTGGGCAGTATGGCGAAACGCCATCTCTGCAGAAAAATACAAAAAAAATTAGCTGTGCATGGTGGTGTGCCTATAGTCCCAGCTACTTGGGAGGCTGAGGTAGGAGGATTGTTTGAGCCTAGGAGATCAAAATCTGAGGTCATTTTATATCTGGCCGATTTTGAGTATGGGCCTAACAAAATGTTAAGCACTGCATTTAAAAGGTGAGAAATTTTGTCACTGACAAAGTCAGAAGCTGTGTCAGGAACAGCTCACAGTGGGTCATAAAGCATAAGATTAGCTGGCTTATCTGTGCCAAGGCGAATGTCTTTTTGGGAGAATAACTTGAGGAAACTAAAGACTGATGAGTTCATTTTCTCTCTTTTTTTTTTCTGGTGGTAGTGGTGGGGGCTCACGGGAGAGACACTTCTATTTAGTTTTCTTTCCGTAGGAAGTACCGATGCAACACTTCAGGTAGTGACAGAAAACATTTGGAGAGCTGGGCATTGTTTGTGCATGCCTGTAATCCCAGCTACTTGGGAGGCTGAGGCAGGATTGCTTGAGCACAGGAGTTTGAGTCTGGCCTAGGCAACATAGTGAGACCCTGGTCCTCTAAAATATACATACATATATATACATATACAAAAAAAATAAAAATAAATTAAAAAATTAAAAAACACCTGGAGCACTGGTTCTGTTTCTTTTCCACCCTCAGCCCAGTTCTGTCACCTTGGCTGCAAGGAAACTTTGCCTGGGTTTTTTTGTTTGTTTGTTTGTTTTTGTTTTAGACAGAGTTTCGCTCTTGTTGCCGAGGCTGGAGTGCAGTGGTGCCATCTCGGCTCACCGCAACCTCCGCCTCCCGGGTTCAAGCGATTCTCCTGCCTCAGCCTCCTGAGTAGCTGGGATTACAGGCATGTGCCATCACGCCCGGCTAATTTTGTATTTTTAGTAGAGATGGGGGTTTCTCCATGTTGGTCAGGCAGGTCTCGAACTCCCAACCTCAGGTGATCTGCCTGCCCCAGCCTCCCAAAGTGCTGGCATTACAGGCGTGAGCTATCGCGCCCGGCCCTTTGCATGGGTTTGGTTGTTCCTCAGACCGTGGCCTCCTGGGTGTATGGTGGAAAGCCCGCCTGATAAGAGGCTGGTGGGAAATGAAGGAGAGGGGCCTACAAGGCTCTTGTTCAGAGGGAGTCTGCATGAGAAAGTACAGGTACTATCTGAAGCTGCTCCAGGGCTTCAGTGCCCAGCAGTGGCAGATGCAAGTCCTGACTCTGCCCTTCTGCTAAGATTCTCCTTCACCCTCACCTCCCCAGCCCTGGCAAGGGGTTTGTTAATTAGTACAGCATAAGGGGTATGTACAGAAGGCAGCGTTTATCTGTGTGATGGTAACCACTGCATATCTGGTTCAACTTCAAGACTTAAGGATGCAGAGTTTCCACACATAAATTTTTTCTGGAATTGATGGGCCCCAATCTAGGCTCAGAATGCCACAAAGAAAGTGCCTTTGTGAGTGGTCACCTTACTCAGAAAACTAACCTCAGAAGAATAGAAATCATGCAGCAAATTCATTAGTCACAGGAAAAAGGAGGATCATATCTATAAAAAGAGTCCCCAGGCTGGTGGAATGGGCCTTGGTTTCACAATCTTGAGATGCAAAAGGTGGTCTCAGGCTGGGTGCGGTAGCTCATGCCTGTAATCCCAGCACTGTGGGAGGCCAAGGCGGGCAGATCACCTGAGGTCAGGAGTTTGAGACTGGCCTGGCCAACATGGTGAAACCTTGTCTCTACTAAAAATACAAAAATTAGCCGGGCTTGGTGGTGAGCACCTGTAATCCCAGCTACTTGGGAGGCTGAGGCAGGAGAATTGCTTGAACCCGGGAGGCGGAGGTTGCCGTGAGCCGAGATCGCGCCACTGCACTCCAGCCTGGGCAACAGAGCGAGAGACTGTCTCAAAACAAAAGAAAACAAAAAAAGTTGGTCTCCTCTGCAAAGACTTGAACACTAATCTGGTGGAAAGGCTTCCTTTCCCTCGTTTTCTCTTCTACTAATCCCTGCTTCCAAATTCTCTTTCTCTTGTCCCTTGAAGAACCAACAGGATGTGCGATATTTCAAGAACGTAATGAGCAACTCCTCTTTCACAAAGGGAATAAGCAATCTGGCATAGCTTGGAGTCTAGTATTACGGAAATACAGTGATATACTGAAGACTACACACCAAAATACATCCATTCCTTTAGCTGAAGTCTCAAACATGTTGGGACTGTTGCCATGGAATTTCATAAAACCTTTTTTCCTGAGACAGACGCCATGCCACAAAGAAGGATAAGCCATTTGTGCAGTCTGAGGTGGAACATTTTAATTACTGGCAGCACATAGACGAGTTGAGTTGGAGCCGAATGCATAAGCCCCTTAGAAATAAAACACTAATCTACCAGGAATTTGGGATTCTTGGCTCTGGTAGAAATGTTACAAATTAAGCTGACTCTTAATTTGTAAATAGGCTCCATGAAGTTGTCCCTGGAAGCAGAATTTATTTTCCCTAACATAATTTCTTAAAAAGTAAAAAAAAAAAGAAGGCTTTGGCAAACAGCTGCATGTGCCAATTTGTGTGTATGCTTTGTGGCAAGATCAAAATACCTTTCTGTTTTTTGTTCCTCTCCACCACCTTCTTCACATTCACAACTCAGTGGTTAAAGGAAAAACTTAACACACCATTTTCATACCAAAGGAATGTGAAACATGTATTCATATAAATACTCTTCTGCTTAATATCCATACATTAGGAGGTTTAAAAAATACCTTGTGGTTACTGCATAATCACATATGAATTAAAGCTAGAAGGGACCTAAGAGAACATTGAAATCTAATTCCTATTTTATGGATGAGGAAACTGAGTTTTTTTTGTTTTTGTTTGTTTGTTTTTGTTTTGTTTTGTTTGAGACAGGGTCTCACTCTGTCGCCCAGACTGGAGTGCAGTAGTGTGATCTCCACTCACCGCAACCTCAACCTCCCAGGCTTAAGCGATTTTTCTGCCTCAGCCTCCGGAGTAGCTGGGATTACAGGCATGTGCCACTACTGCCCAGCTAATTTTTGTATTTTTAGTAGAGACAGGGTTTCACCATGTGGGTCAGGCTGGTCTCGAACTCCTGACCTCAAATGATGCGCCTGCCTCGGCTTCCCAAAGTGTTGGGATTACAGGTGTGAGCCACCGAGCCTGGCCGGAAACTGAGTTTTAAGAGTTAAATAAGGCTGGGTGTGGTGGCTCACACCTGTAATCCCAGCACTTTAGGAGGCTGAGGCGGGCTGATTGCTTGAGCCCAGGAGTTCAAGACCAGCATGGGCAACATAGTGAGACCCCTATCTCTACAAAAAGAACAAAATGTAGCCAGACATGGTGGTGTGCACTTGTTGTCCCAGTACTCAAGAGGCTGAGGTGGGAGGATCACCTGAGCCTGGGGAGGTCGAGGCTGCACTGAGCCATGATTGCACCACTGCACTCCAGCCTGGGCAACAGAGTGAGATCCTGTCTCAAAAAAAAAAAAAAAAAAAAAGTTAAACGATTTCTCAAAGTCACATAGCTAATTAGCCAGCATTTTGTGACCTCCTATTCCAGTGCTAATTTTACCATGATAACAGCACTCCTCCTGATAGTATGTACATATTATGAGTGACAAGGATGACTTATACATCTGCAGAACCGTGATCAGACTTTCAGGAATTTTCATGGAATACAGCAGTTCCATTTAAATGGGAAAAAAAGGGCCGAAGCCTGCCTGATCAAGGAGAACCTCTCAATAGAGGTGTCCCTCCTCACCCCATTCCGGAGCTCAACTCCGATCTAAACACACATGCCATCTATCTCCAATTCCTCTCCTGTGGGGAGGGGGAGGCTGAGCCATACTTTTTGGACTTTTTTTGTGGAAAATATCATTGGCAAATTTGCTTTGGGTCTGTATCACCAATTCTCCATGAACTCTTTCAAGAAGTTTTAGGTAGCTGTTTTTTGTTTGTTTGTTTTCTGTTGGTGCTGCCAAACAATTTCCCCCTTTATACCCTTGCTCTGCCAACCTTGACCAAAGGAAAGCGATGTCATCATCCACAGTGGATAAATTTCTGGAGTTTCGATGATGGTCTATATTTAAAACCATGAGTTCTTCTGGCATAGATTTTCTTCTATAGACAACTGGTTTAGCCCAAAGCAGCTCAGCTTTTCACTGGAGATGGGAAGGTAAAGGACAGAAGCAGAAGTGCCATCAGATGACATTTTTTAAAAATGTTGTGATAGGAAATGGATCTGATGCTTGGAGAATGGGGTCTTCAGTTACTCGTAACAGATACTTATTTTATGGCTGTTCTTTTACTTACTCTTAGACTGTCATTTAGATTAGGGAGATTAGATCTTAACCCTTCAGCCTGTGAAGGGCAGAAGGGTGAGGCTTCCCAGCAAGGTCAGCTGGTCAGCTCTTCCTCTTTGTGGATTTGCATGTATGACTGAAAGGCTTTTCCACGTGTGGTTGATATATCTCAGAAAGAATGTTTCATATAGCACATCTCCGGGACCACTCATTCCACTGCTGTAGAAGATAATGACCAAATACCTTTTTGGCTTTTAAATTCCATAAAATTCAAGTCCCTGATGGGAAAACAAAGGTTTCACAAAAGTAATAATATGCTAGACCTGCGAATAATTTCTGAAGGAAGACAGTGTTTCCCTGGCTACCCCTGTGAACACAGCTAAAAATGGTATGAAAAGAAGTTTGGAACTGAGTATGTTTTGAGAGCAATCTGTTAGGCGAGGTCATTGGTTTTTAGAAACGATGCTGAATACATAGGAGCAATCCCTGAGACCAGATATTCACTTCAGCAGGGCTCTGTGTTCTCCTCTGGCTATGTGAGACGAGAACTCATACCGATCATGGCTTCGATATCCACACATGTTACACTCGAAAGGGTCACGGAAGCCGTGGCAGCCCATGTGAATCGTGAACATCACATAGTCCAGGAAGAGGACGCGGCAGTGGTCACACCGATACACATCCATCACCTCCCCTTCCTTGTTGATCACTTTGACGGAGTCTCTTGGGCAGATGGGCGGGGGCTTGAGGAGTTCGTAAGAGCGGGGAACCTCCTTCAGAAGTGGCATCCCATTGCGGGCCCGAGACAGGACCATGTGATTTTGCTGATAGATGTGATTCTGGCGTTCTTCATGGTTGCTGTCAGTGTCCGTGGAGTCGTGGCCACTATTGTTGGGAGAGAGGCCTCTCTCAGAAGGCACGCTCTTCTCTGGAAGGTGGATGCTTTTCTTTTCCAGCTCTTGAGGGGCACCGTTTGACATCTCAGCCCGGGTGAGGGCTATGGGATACATGCTGCTGATAACTGGAACCATCTCCGAGGTGGGAGCAGGCGGTGTCTGGACCAAGGGGCGCAGGGCTTCGGCGCCAAGATAGCTGATGGCGTTATTGATGGCTTGGTCCATCATGCGGGTCTGTATGAGCTCACTCTCTTTCTCATACATGTAACTTGAATTATAGTTGACATCAAAGCAGTGGCGCTTCTCACCTGGAACAAGTGACAGAAAGGGTTACAAAGGGAACACTGCCAAGGCAGAGAGTTTGTAAATATTTTCTAGAGACCTCAAAAAGGGAGGAGAGTTAAGTTGCCTGCTGCTCAAGAAGACCAAGCCTGGCAGAATGGTTTCCCATGGTGCTGTCTCAGGGGACACTGGTCGGCAGCAACGTGTTTGGATGGTTAAAATAAAGCCAGCAGGCAGAAGAGAGGGGCAGAGATGTGGTTCAGTTGAGGCCACATGGTAAGGTATGCCCACTGTGCATGTTAGAGGAGAGCCCTCAAGAAAGGAGGGAAAGAAGCAGGACACTAGGATGGGGCTAGAGGGACAAGGGAGCCACCAGCCCACAGGAGCCTGGGACTTCTGCTATAGTTCATGATCTCTTAAGACACAGTCGGCTCCCAACTCTTATTTTGCTTTTGCTTGTTATTTTCTGCTTGCAATATTAGGTAGCCAGGGGGACAGAAGTGCTGCAAAGAGTGGGGACACTCGGTGCCTCACCTCGGCAGCTTTTTAAATAGCTACAGAGATAGAGAAAATAGCCCCCCAGACTCCAACTGGCTACTCCCCAAACTCACCCGTCCTGGCTGACTGAGACTGAAGTGAAAGAGCTTCAAATGTAGAAAGTTTGAGAAAAGTTTTCTTGAGAAGAGATCATGGTCTTTGTCCCTTTCCTAACGTGTGTTTCTCTTCCTTTGCTTGGCAAGTGTATCTCTGATACACATGTGATCATTAGGGCCTATCTCACACTTAACTGAAAAAATATACTTGTGGTCACCCTCTCCTACTTCTCATGTCAAACTGCTGAGAAGTTTTGAAAACAGAGTTTAGCCACCTTCAGAGTGTGTGGGTGTTGTGTGTTAGAAAACAGAGGCTCTCTGGTCACAGGGAAGGCAGGGATGGGGACTGCAGTGAGGGCAGATGTGCTCAGTGGTGAGTGGTGGGGAGAGGGGAGAGAAAGCGAGGAAGTGGAGCCGAGTGCTGGAGGTGAGGCTGAGGTCACTGTTGAGCCTCTCCATTCTGTCAGCTTGGATCCTGGAGGGATTTGCTAAACCATATCCTTCTATAATGTTTCCTAGTCATGTTGAGATTCCAAAATTTGTCACTGCCCTACAGTAAAGGGTTCAGCAATGAAAATAAAGAAGAAGAAGAAAAAATGCCATGAGAAAACAAAAGGATTGGAAGAACCAGTTCCTGTTCTTGAGGTGTCTCCAACCTAGTGGATGAGAAATAAGACCTATATATATATAGAACTCGAGAAAAAGTATAAGTTAAAAGTTGGCCGGGCGCGGTGGCTCAGGCCTGTAATCCTAGCACTTTGGGAGGCTGAGGAGGGAGGATCACTTGAGCCCAGGAGTTCGAGACCAGCCCGGGCAACATGGAGGAACCTTGTCTCTACAAAAAAATACAAAAATTAGCCAGGCATCTGTAGTCCCAGCTACTCAGGAGGCTGAGGTGGGAGGATCACCTGAGCCTGGGAGGCAGAGATTGTAGTGAGCTGAGATGGCACCACTGCACTCCAGCCTGGGTGGCAGAGTAAGACCTTGTCTCAAAAAAAAAAGTTGTAAAAGGACTGCTTTGCTCTATGGAGGTCTTTGCTTTTATTCTAAATGCCCACATTTGAGGCATTTAGGCAGGGAAGTAACGTGTTCTTTAAAAAGAATAATAAGGTAACATACAGGCATCGGTGAGACAATTTGGTATAAATTGTATATTTAGGCATTAAGGGAATGCAGAAACTTCAGAAGTACTTGGGGAAGGGAAAGCATTCTTGGAAAATCTAAATTTTGAGAAGGGTCTTGAACTGGAAGAATTTAGATTTTCAGAGAAGCGGGAGAGGACATCCTAGTTGAGGGGGAGTGCAGGAATGAAGGCAGAGAGGTGGGACTACACGGGACGTGTGCAGAAAGCGAGTCTGGCTGAAACGCGATCAAGAAGTATGAAATACAGTATTTCTCAGGCTTCACTCTTCCTTCACATTCTGCAATATCCACACACCAGGGCAGTGTGGTGGTTGAGAGAATAAACTCTGGTGTCAGATGGGCTGGGTTTGATGCTGGCTCCATTGGTCACCAGTTTTGTGACCTTGGGCAAGTCACTTAACCTATGTTCCGTGTCCTCATGTAAAGTGAAGATAATTGTATGTACCTCACAGGGTCACTGGAAAGCACTTAGAACAGGGCCTGCCACATGGAAAACACTTGGTAAATGCTTGGGTTTTTTTCCTCTGTTTGATTTGGTTCACATTTTCTTTCTTTTTTTCTTTTTCTAAAATAAATGTGGTTTTTAAGGAAACTTTATATCACTAACATAAACGGAAAACCAGAATCACTTTCCACAAGTAGAAGGTAACTATGAAAAATAAAGACAATGAAACAGAGCATTTCATTAAATTTTGATCGGATACTACTGTGAGTACTTGGAGACTAAGATCCCTTCCCCCTTTGTTAAAAACAGAGATTACCAAGTGTGAGATTAGTGTTAAAGACAACTGGCATCAAATTAAGTCTAAATTTTTCTCCTTAGTATGATCCAGGAGACTGAAAGAGAACTGGAAAGAAAATAATTATCCTGCTGTGTGGACCCAGGTTTTTAAATGCTCCATGTGCTTGCTGGCAATTTGCATCCTACATTTGGGGAAACACTGAAAAAAGATAATGCATGGTAGGACCGAATGGTGGGCATTCCGAATGGCCCACTGTAGGGTGTGAATCCGAACCAAGAGCCAAGGCTACCTGCCCTTGAGAAAGACAGGTTTGTGGTTAACGTAACAGCAATGTGTAAGGCAGACCAGAACAGTGAGAAATTGGAGCCAGAAGAACCAGCTAAAAGATCTATTCCCATGAGATGAATTTGTCTTTGCATCCCCACAAGCAGCTGACCTTAAGGCCAACCTGATAGTTTCCAGAGAAATACCTGAGAGAGAAAAAAAATATGCAAACGAAAATACCCTGTCTTGGAAACTCAATGAGAAGCAACAGCAGAGTAGACCTTGGCCAAAGTAATCAATGTTTTTTATTTTCAGTTTCCAGATTGGATATATCTTTGGTCAAGGCCATCTGGAAGACTGAGAACATGAGAGCCAGCTAAGGTCACAGACATTCATTCCCTAGAATGTGACACAGAAATGATGAACTTCGGTTTCTTGGCCTTTTTAAGGTTATTGGTTATTTTCCACTGTGGCCACCTCTATTCATCTCCCTAAATACCAGGGGTCCTTGAGAAACTTTTTCTCTTTTCACCCAACAGAGAGGCTCCAGAAGGTTTCTGGGTGGGGTAGGCACATCACAAACTCTGATTTTATCCTTTCTCCTAAGAGTTTGCTTTACTTAACAAGGCCTACAATTTCACAATCTATACCACCTGCAGCATATGTCAGAAAACAGCTGAGTGCTAAAATTGTAAAAGGCAAAACATTAAGAGGAAGATAAACCCCTGGATGAGTGGAAATATGTGACTGAATTCTGTAGTTAACACAGACCATTGTTCATTGTTAAGGAGATGGGGCAGCCTCAGATGTTCACGTGCATGCAACTTGCAATCATCAGATCCCCTCGTCTCTGAGTTACGGTAACTTGAGCAGTGCAGATGATTATCAGTCACCTGTAGACACGATGACTCAATGTGTATGAAACCCAGAAAGGGTAAACTACAGTAATTGAAAAGCCAACAGCTCACGTTTCTTTAGTAACACACTCATAAAAAAGGTTAGTCAAACCACAAAAGTGTAACTGCTTCCAAACCTGCACGGAGCATCTGGTCCAGCTTCTAGTCAAAATCACACCACGCCTTTGAATGATTCATGATACCAGCTTCAGGCTGAATTAGAGGTCTTCTTCCAACAAAAATACACACGGCAACAGCAAGTCCTAAGTTTAGAAACTAAGGCTGCCTGGTTGGGCCATTCCCTACCTGTGGTTCTTTTTAAAGGTGTCAATGTCTTATATCTTGGCTTTGTTAACTCTAAACTAAGAAACCACCTGACCTGAACTGATGCAATGTGGTGAGGACATATGGTTGTTGGCTTCTAAGTGCCAACTTGGAAGTACAGAATCACAGGCTAGAGCTAAAAGGGCCCTTAACTGAGCAAGTGGATTCAGAACTCTGTCTGCAGGGTTGAGGGGGAAGACCCACCACCCTAATATGTTTACTTCTGGTCTTTATATTTCACAGTACCTTGCACTGTGCCTTATATACAATAATCCCAATAATGATAAGTACTATTTATTGAGCCCCTGCTGTATCCACCGTGCCATCCTAGATACTTTGCATACTGTCTCATTTTACCAGCCCATTAGGGGTTGATACTTTTTTTTTTTTTTTGAGACAGAGTCTTGCTCTGTCACCCAGGATGGAGTGCAATGGTACGATCTCGACTCACTGCAACCTCCGTCTCCTGGGTTCAAGTGATTCTCTTGCCTCAGCCTCCCAAGTGTCTGGGACTACAGGCACGTGCCACTATGCCTGGCTAATTTTTGTATGATACCTTTTAAGGTATGAATTATCATCTCTTAGATGAAGAACCTAAAGCACAAACAGTTTGATTCACTTTCCAAGATTGCCCAGTTGGTGAACAGAGAACCAGGATGTAATCCAAGAGCCCACATATCCCAGTATATGTTTGAGTGTTAACTGATGTTTCCTGGCTGCTACCTTGCCCATGGCTGCACAGCCCCACCACCAGCAGTGACTTCAGGTTTTCTGCTGTGATGGTTCCCATAGCAGAGGGAAAGGGGGCTTAGTGGCAGCAACTGCTTTTTCCACATGGACCAGCACATGCACTCAAGAAGTATATGCTGTGCAGAGTTGTTATGATATCTATAAAGTGCTTAGCAGTGCCAGGCATGTGTAAGCACTCTATTCCCATTATTTGCTTAGCACCATGGTTAGGTGATTTGAGGAATACAACAAAATTGCAATCCACTAGAGGAGATGCAGCATGTACATCATTTCATGACAAATCAGTATCCTTAATGCTACATGGTAGAACAAAACATAGAGTAGCCAAGAGAGTGGAAAGAGAAAACTGAATTACTTCTCAAATATGCCACACTTAATATGGGGCAAAGATTCATCTATTCTTTAAAGTCTCCTTGAAATCAGAGGTGGTGGTAGTGACGGTGGTGGAGACAGTCATATCTATAATAAGAAGCAGACTAGTAAACTCGCCTGGAGTGCAGAGGGAGGATGGAGCAGAGAGAGAACACAGGGGTGTGGGAATGTGGACAATGTGTGCTTCTTTTTATTTTTTATTTTTGAGACAAGGTCTCACTCTGTTGCTCAGGTGGGATTGCAGTGGCGTGATCACAGCTCACTGCAGCCTCAACCTCCTGGGCTCAAGTGATACTCCCACCTCAGCCCCCTAAGTAGCTGGGACCACAGGCCCATGCCACCACACCTGGCTAGGTTTTTGATTTTTTTTTTTTTTTCAGAGACAGAGTTTCACTATGTTGCTTGGGCCGGTCTCAAATTCCTGAGCTCAAGTGATCCTCCCACCTTGGTCTCCTAAAGTGCTGGGATTACAGGCATGAGGCACTGTGCCTGGCCTACAATGTGTATTTTAAGGGCAGATGTGAGGGAGGCCATTCAGACAAGAGTGAGATATTACACAGAAGAGGGAGGAGGAGTTCATTGTGGCTGAAGTAAAGGACTGGTTGGCTGAAATGATAAAATTAGAAGAGGTAAGTTGAAGACAGATTGTGGAGGGCTCAGAAGGCCTGACTGAATGGTTTAGATTTGATTCCACTGGGAGCCATTGAAAGGTTTTTTTGAAGAGGGGGGCAAAATGATCGAACCTTTAGAAAAATAACAGAAATCCAATATTTAGAGTCACCATGATGGGGTAAGGTGAAATATTCAGGTCTTAAGTCTTAAAGTTCTTCAAGTCACTTAAATGTGTTTGCTGCTGCGTCATATAATTTCCCACAAGTGTTATCCCTCACTCTTACTATCAGCACACATCCAAAAGCAAATGAACAAAAAAGGCAGGAAAATAGAATATCCAACCATCATCATGGCTCTGATCTCAACCTAAGTGAAACTAACACTTCTTGCAGGAGGTGGAAAACAGAGGGGAGCCAGAGAACAAGAAGAAACAGGAAGGAGGAAAGAACAGAGAGAGCTGTGGGGGTGGCACTGGGGAAAGCTGAGCTGGAGACCACATTTGGTTGCTGCAGAAGTCTTTGTCCTCTGTGAGACACTGGGAAGTGCTGTGTGGATGTCATCTGTTCTCATGGAGTCACCAGGGAAGACTGTTCTTTTCTAAAGAGAATCACCCTTGAGGGAGAACAATTGCCCTTCTTCAAGGGTTTTTTTCCTCCTATCAATTTTCTTTTTTGTTTTTGAAACAGAGTCTTGCTCTGTTGCCCAAGCTGGTGCGATCTCGGCTTACTGCAACTTCTGCTTCCTGGGTTCAAGTGATTCTTGTGCCTCAGCCTCCCAAATAGTTGGGATTACAGGCACCCACCACCACACCTGGCTAATTTTTGTATTTTTAGTAGAGATAGGGTTTCACCATATTGGCCCGGCTGGTCTTGAACTCCTGACCTCAAGTGATCCACCTGCTTAGGACTCCCAAAGTGGGGAATTACAGGTGTGAGCCACTGCACCTGGCCTCTCCCACCAACTTTCAATGACCAGACTCCTTGCTGTCCAAAGCCCCGCGCATGACATGCACTGCTCTTGGTCACCTCCTGGGGAAGGAAGGGCCTGGACTGCAGTGCCTTATAGGCCGAGGTCTGGCGCTGCTCTGTCACCTGCCAGCTGTGTCACTCCACCTCTCTGATCCTCCTTCCTTCCATGGTAAAAGAGCCTCACTGGTGGTTCCTAATAGCCCAAAAATACTATGACATTGTAATGCTTACAGGATTATGGACATCAGGCCTTTGGGAAGGGGTTGGAAAAATACTTTTTTTTCTCTTAGAAACAGGTATTAAAACTGCTTCCTGTTGCTGTTAACCAAAGCAGGCAATTTCTCATTAGTTACTTCACAGGGAGATCCGATGGTTTGTTGAAGTGTCAAAACCTCATTAACATGTTTACCACAGGTGAGTGAGATCTTTTTTTCATGTTCTTTTCGTTATGAAAACTTCCTTTAATAAAGTAATACATAAAACTTTTAAAATAAGGAGATGCTATGGTAACCACTTTGGTCTGAATAACATCTGTTTTTTTGGGAAAGAATAAAAATCAGGAGAAATATGCAGAAATGTAGTCATTTTTCTTCTGCATCCAAGAGAGAAATCCATTTTGAGCCAAGTATTTGAGGATGGCCTAGTTTGAAGTGTAGTCAAACAAGTTTATAACAGGAGAACAAGATTCAGAGAAAGGAAATCCCCTAAAGGACAGTATGTGCAAAGGAAGGTCTTCTTGTCCTTTGAAAAGAACAACTTAAACAGAATTATTCTGACAATGTAAAGATGGTGATTCCTGATGGACGTGTGTCCATTTTTTTTTTTCCCATTTGAAACAAAGACATACAAAATTTCTTGGAGAATTAGAAAAAAAAATATTTTTCTCCAACTTGAGAGCATGTTTGTGTCTCAAAATACATTTAGACTTGATCCAATCTGTCCCTCTTCCCCAGTTCATCTCTAATGGATGCAAAATGCTCCCTACTGGTAATTATCGCCAGCCCGCCTGAGATAGCAGCGGGCTGACCTGATGGTCTATTTTCACCTTTACCCTCACAGTTCAAGAGGTCAGGGAAGTCAAGGCTGGTCTGAGTGCTGTGCAACTGTCAGCAAGGATTAAAGGGAATGACTCACTCTTCCTTCACACCTTACCCATTGCCATTACCCTGGCAGCTGAATCTTCAAAAAACAGTGCCTTGGAGAGGAAATATAGGAGAAAGGAGAGAAGAGGAGAAGAGAAGGGAGGAGAGGAGGGAAGAGGAGGGGAGGGAACAAGAGGACAAGAGAGGAGAGGTGAGGTGAGGCGAGGCAAGGCGAGGGGAGATGGAGAGAAAACAGTAGCCCCATGTTTTACATCACTTCATCTCATACACTGCACAGTGTCACAAATAATGTTCCTTTCTCCCTCCGTTGACATTACTATTTTCTATCACAAAGGTTGATTCAATTAAATAATTTAAGGGGTTTCTTTTATTTTTAATTTTTAAAAACCTTTCAAACAAAAGTTTAGGATATAAGTTAATGCAAGAAGATTAGAACAGTGCCCAAAACAAGAATACCATATATATGACAGGAACTCTTAACCTTCTGTATGATGAATGAATGGACAAAAAAGTGAGTGAACAAGTAGTACTGCCCTAAGTAAAACACATGAATGTCGGGCTAATGCGACTGTGTTTTAGATTCTCAGATTTATACCATCTTCCTAAAACAAAAAAGACTCTAAAAACCTAGGATATGGTTTATAGCATAAACACCACATCTGTATAGCCTTGAGAAAAAGGCTATCTGAAGTTACGCACATGGGCTTTCTAAACACACAGTGGTATCAATAATTGCTGCCTTTTATTTCTTTTCTAATTAATCTCACAGACTTGTACATGGGAGGAGACTTCCTGGTCACTTCATCACCTATTCAGTCTCCTCATTTCACAGATGAGTAAAGAGAGGCCCAGAAAGGTTCTGTGATTGGTCTAAACACACAGTTAAGAAATGACAGAGCTAGGATCAGAACCTGGGTCTTTTAGCTTCTAATCCAGTACTCTTCTTATTGCACTACAACACAACTTACGAAAAAAAAAAAAAATTCCCCCAGTTATTCTGGGCCCTGAAGCCCTGAAGTTGCTACCTCAATCAAGAGCTAACTCTACTAGGTTTCTGATTCCAGCACAGAGAGAATGTGATGGTTCAGAAGATGAGAGAAATCAACACCTACAAGATCAGCATCTCTCACAAGTCTGGAAGTAGTGAAGTGAAAATCCTCTGGTTGCAATTGTAGCAAACAAACGAAATAGATCCCCGAGGCAACAGGCAAAATGGCATGAATTTGCACATATGAAACATGCTATATTTTTGAACCCATGAAATACCAAAGCAACTTTTATTATATTAAGTAGGGCTTTAGTTCAACTATAGGTTTAGGGCAACCGAAAATACTAGGGACTGTCTCTCAAATTTTAGTTGTCTTACACCAAAATGCATTGACCACAACTGGATTGAAATTAAGTCACAGCTGGGCGCAGTGGCTCACGCCTGTAATCCCAGCACTTTGGGAGGCCAAGGCGGGTGGATCACCTGAGGTCGGGAGTTCAAGACCAGCCTGACCAACATGGAGAAACCCTGTCTCTACTAAAAATACAAAATTAGCCAGGCATGGTGGTGCATGCCTGTAATCCCAGCTACTCAGGAGGCTGAGGCAGGAAAATCGCTTGAACCCAGGAGGCAGAGGTTGCGGTGAGCCGAGATCGCGCCATTGCACCCCAGCCTGGGCGACAAGAGTGAAACTCTGTCTCAAAAAAAAAAAAAAAAGAAAGAAAGAAAGAAATGAAGTCGCTTTACATTTTTTTCTTGCCCAGCTCTCCCTATGATGTCCCTCCTCTTGTCGGCTTCAGCCATTTCTAGAGTCAAAGCTTTCTCCAGACCAGCCTGGGCAACATGAGGAGACTCTATCTCTACAAAAAGTTTAAAAATTAGCTGAGCCTGGTGGTGCGTGCCCATAGTTCCAGCTACTTGGGAGGCTGGGGTAGGAGGATTTCTTGAGCCCAGGTGTTTGAGGCTGTGATTGCACCACAGCACGCCAGCCTAGGCAGTACAGTGAGACCCCGTCTCAAAACAAACCAACAAACAAAACCCATAACTTTCTCCAAACTAAAATACACTCAGAATAATAAGGCAAGCTTTCTTTTGTACTCCAGTCAGAACCTCTTCACATAAGTAAAGCCCAAAAGATATATGGGAATATTTGTAGACAATGTCTTAAACTCACCATTTGTTTACTGTGCCTAAACTCTAAATGGAAGTCACTACATGCTCCCCTGACATGTCTCACCAAGGGGAGGGAGGACAGCAAGGAGGAGGGGATCTCCCTAAACTGAAATATACCAACTTTTCTCTGACACAATTTGTTCTTAAAGTGACTAAAAGTGCACAAAAACCTTTCAGCTAGTCAAAATAAAATAAGTAGGCAGAAATACCAAATTAGGTAATTTTGAAATATATGGGTTCTTTCAATATACCTCTATAATTCACATAGACTGTTTGCTTGTCAAAACATTATCTATACCAGAATCAAATTTAGTCAGATTTAAAAACCAGGCAGGCAACTTATTATCTGTAAGAGCTATTGAGAAGAATAAATACAAAAGGACTGAAATAAAAAATCAACAGCGGCAAGCAGCTTTGGAAAAAGAGGCTGAGACAGGTTTCTAAAATATTACTGATGTTGAGGGAGGTCTATTTTCATGTGATAACTATTTTTGTTCAATATCACCAACTTTCAATTTATAGCAAAACTGATACATTCAATTTCAGCTGTCTACTTCACAAATACAAATCTATTTCAAATATCATGGTCACATTTATGTAAACATCTGGGAGAGTTCAGCAAAATGTCTCTGCCATTTGGAAGTCCTAACACTTCAATGAACATAATTATTTCATACCCATCTCATTCTGCTGTATTTTTTGACAATGTGAAAACCAATGGCATAAAAATGAACTCCAGTAAGACAAATGATTAAATCAAACCTTGTTATTTAAATCTATGTTTGCCCAACCACTTTCCCTTAAAGCCAATTCTCAAATTCAAGAAAATATGGCAATATGTTTTAGAGCATGAAAAAAGTTTGAGCATGCTAACGAACCAACTTGTAAAATATAATTACAAAAGATTACAAAAATGCTATCTTGAACATCTTACTGGTATAAATTGCATAAACTCTCTCATGCAACATATGTCATTCAGAGTAAAGAGGAAGGAACAGGATTTTAAACATCACATCCATTTAGGAAATTGGATATCAACTACTCCCATCTCCTGTCATGATGATGCTTTAGTTAATATCTTTTATTCTATTTTCCAGAGCTATCAGAATGAACCATGAAGAATAAAAGTACACAATGAAAAACTAATTATTTTAACAGAGGTTAAGCTAGGAAAGGCCTTGTGTAGCAAGCATCCTATGTTATTTCATTCAAACTATCTGCTAACAACAGCAGGAAAAAGGTTTGTATTCTTACCAATGAATTTCTGAGGCATTGAGCTTTTTCGTTTTGCCACATTGCTTGCTAATCTGTCCAGTACGAGAGCTCTTTCACTTCCCATCTCTGCTTTGATGTGTCTTGCCTCCGCACTTGCTAGTTTGGAAAAATGTAAAAAGAAGAGAGAAAAGAACACATTGGTACATGGGGAGAAAAGGAAATAAACTGGAAGGAGAAGTGTCCGAAGTTGGATGCACACTCTATTGTTGTTACCTGTTATAACTGCTCAGATTCTTGCCTGGGGTACCTGCTGTGGTCAGTGAAGCCGACACCAGGGCACATTCAAATCTTGCAGTCTTATGCCGAGATGGGAAAGCTCGACCCATCCCCAACCAGTACCTTCATTAGCAAGAGGAAGTATTAAATAAACAGCCTGGACGTGGTTGGTTGCAAAAAGATAGATAGATGGAGATCTAACCCCCGATCAGCCTTCTTTCTGATTCTGAGTAACTGCGTGTGACACCTGCAGACTGATATAATTCTTAACAACTTTGAAAAAAAAGCATGGTGCCCCAGATTTACTGCTCTGTTTATGTTAACAGCACTTTTGAAAATAGGTACACTCACACAGATAGCAAGACATCTACTCAGTGATTTGTGTATTGAAATTCTGAGTGGTTTCTTTCTTTTTCTTTTTCTTTTTTTTTTTCAGCACGCTCCTCTCAGTTCCTATCTTTCATATTCTGTTTCTCTGTGCTCTGTATTATCTGTTTCATATGCTCTTCACATTTCAAAATAGTCTCAATTAAAATTTCCCTAAGCAACACTTCTGCCTTGAAATTAAAGAACAATTTGTATAATGCATCTGTATTGAATTTCTAATAAAAATGTGAATAAAAACTGCCTATGGGCTGGGTGCGGTGGCTCATGCCTGTAATCCCAGCACTTTGGGAGGTGGAGGTGGGCAGATCACCTGAGGTCGGAGTTCGAGACCAGCCTGACCAACTTGGAGAAACCCTGTCTCTACTAAAAATACAAAATTAGCCTGGTGTGATGGTGCATGCCTGTAATCCCAGCTACTCGGGAGGCTGAGGCAGGAGAATCACTTGAACCTGGGAGGCAGAGGTTGCAGTGAGCCGAGATGGCGCCATTGCACTCCTGCCTGGGCAACAAGGGCAAAATTCCGTCTCAAAAAACAAAGAAACAAACAAAACACAAAAAAACCTGCCTATGAATGTGGGCCCATCCACAAATAGACCTGTGAGTGGTGTAGGCCTGTGGTTCTCAGACCTGGCTGCACATTAGACTCACCTGAATAGCAGGTAAGAAATACCTATGCCCAGGCCCCCCTTCAGATCAATTAAATCAGGATTTCTGGTATAGGGGCCTAGGCAAGAATATTTTCAAAGCTCCCCAGATGATTTTAAAATGCAGCCAGAATTGAGAACTACTAGAAGAGTATATAAATAGTGGCAATATCTAATCAACTAAAATAGTAAACTGTAATGAATATAATTTACCTCAATTCAGCAGGCAGTGCCCAAATTTATGTCTAAAGTTCAAAGAAGGCCAGGCACGGTGGCTCACGTCTATAATCCCAGCACTTTGCAAGGCCGAGGCGGGCAGATCACCTGAGGTCGGGAGTTCAAGACCAGCCTGACCAACATGGAGAAACCCCATCTCTACTAAAAATATAAATAATTAGCTGGGTGTGGTGGCGAATGCCTGTAATCTTAGCTCTCGGGAGGCTGAGGCCGGAGAATCGCTTGAACCCAGGAGGCAGAGGTTGTGGTGAGCCGAGATTGAGCCATTGCACTCCAGCCTGGGCAATAAGAGCAAAACTCCATCTCCAAAAAATAAATAAATTAATTAAATAAATTTCAAAGAGATACCAGCTTCTCTAAATACAAGGCTTGACATTTTAACACATGATGCTAGCCTGAACCAGGGATCAGCAAACTTTTGTCTGTAAAGGGCCAGACAGTAAATTTTAAAAATTTGCCAGACACATATAGTCTCTATGTTATATTCTTTGTTTTTTGTTTTTTTTTTTTCTGTTCCACGGCCTTTTAAAAACGTAAAAATCCCTGTACACAAACAGGCCACTGGCTGCACTTGCCTAGAGCGCCACAGTTTGCCCTCACCTGCCCTGGGCAAACATATTGTGATGCTGTAAACATTTTTCTCTGTTTTCTCATAAACACTTCGGGAGATCCAAACTAAAATGAACTATCCATACATTTCTATTATGTCTAAGGAAGAATAAATTGAAATTAGTTTAAGGGATTAGAGTAAAAAGCAAGTAGTGGCTGGCACAGTGGCTCACCCCTGTAATCCCAGTGCTTTGGGAGACTGAGGCAGGAAGATTGCTTGAGGCCAGGAGTTGAGACCAACCTGGGCAATATAGCAAGATCCTGTTCCTACAAAAAGTAATTTTAAAAAATTAGCTGGGCATGTTGGCATGCGCCTGTAGTCCTAGCTACTTGGGAGACTGAGGTGGGAGGGTTCCTTGAGCCCAGGGGTTTGAGGTTACGGTGAACTATTAAGGTAACTGCAAAGACCACAATTACTTTTGCACCAACCTATTAGTGCCAGTGCACTCCAGCCTGCGTGACAGAGTGAGACTCTGTCTAAAAAAAAAAAAAAAAGCCCCAAAGTATTAAATATTTCTAATTTTATTAGTGGCCTTAAAAAACTGTATGTTAGTCATTACACAATACATTATAAAGCTCAGTTTTCATTATTTAGTTAATTTATTTACTTATTTTTGAAACAGGGTCTCAACTCTGTTACCCAGGGTGGAGTGCAGTGGCATGATCACAGCTCACTGCAGGCTCAACCTCCTGGGCTCAAGTAATCCTTCTACCTCAGGTTCCAAAGTTGCTGGGACTACAGTCTAAAGCCACCATGCCTGGCTAATTAAAAAAAAAAATTATTAGTCTCAATATATTGCTCAGTCTGGTCTCCAACTCTTGGCCTCAGGCAGTCCTCCCACTTCAGCCTCCCAAAGTGTTGGGATTACAGGCATGAGCCACTGCACTCAGCCAAAGCTCAGCTTTTTTTTTTTTCCTGGAATAACATAAAATCTGGCTCTGCCAGGTGTGGTGGCACTAGCCCATAGTCCCAGCTACTCAGGAGGCTGAGGTGAGAGGATGGCTTGAGCCTAGGAGTTCAAGTTCAGCTTGGGCAACACAGTGAGATCCCATCTCTTAAAAAGAAAAAGAAATCCAGCTCCAAAAATGAAAAAGAAGAGGATGATAATAATGTGATAATAATGACAATATTTACTAGACAGTGAGTTTCTTGTCAAAAATAATTCTAGGCTCTAAAGGAATAAATCATAGCCTTCAGTGAAGCTATTAACAACTATTTGTGTAAATGAAAACAGTAAGGGTCAGAATAGGGGGCCTGAGTGGCTTTTGGGCTAGTGCAAAAGTACTCGACTGACTCTGGCTGACCAGCAGTTGTAAATAACGGGCACTTCAGCCACAAGACACTGCTATTGAGTGAAGAGGGTCAAATTCTGTCCAGCACAGGGATAGGTTTAAATGACCAAACAGGAAATTATTTATATATATTATTTCCTTTCACACAAAACCACCACCAGATGTGGCACTACCCAAAGCCCCAAGAGCAGAGAGATGAAAGACAAAGCTTGGAATTTGCAGTAAGTTCCTGGGGCTGTTAGGAGACTTTTTTCTTAGAATCAGGGGAGAGGTAGCTAAGTTTGCACTTTGACTAGGAACATTCATCCTGGTTCCAGCAATTTTGAGAAGATTAAATCCAAGTAAGCCTCCCCTCAACCCTGTAGTTATCAACAAAAAGATTTATAGGGAAAAAAAGAATGAAAAACAGTATTCTGGGAATGTTTACCTTTTATGCCCATTTTACCATTGTTCTTATTAGTCTATTGTGGTCCCTCCTCTCACTGCCAAATCATTACCCAGGAATTACCCCAAGCACGGTGCTACCCATCTAGTTTTCCCATTTGTTTCTCAGCAGTCGCTGTCTACATTTTACTGAAGTCAATGTCAATTAAAACAAGCAGCTTTCTGAGGACACGTAATCAACATCCTCTACATTTGGGAGGATGCTGAAGTGTGGACACATTGACCTAAATAACTGTAATTAGGGCAGGTCACTAAATGGCAAACTTTTGAGATAACATCACCTTTTATTCCTCGTTACCCACCAAACTGGTCTTTAGAGTCATTTCCAGATAAACATTATTCTGTAAATCAGTGACCAAATGCCTGACATTTAAAAACATAAAATTCTGCAGTGTTCATGGATGGACATATTTTGAGGCATGGGTGGAGACTTTCCCATTTCCACAACTCCGATTAGATTGAAAGAAATCCTCTGAAACGAATCTAGAGGACTCCTGTTCACCCACACCCTCTTTCTGGGTCATTCACTCAAAATATTAACTACAAGAGCTCCACTCTCATTGTACATGTGAACACACTCCTACTGATTCAGTTGATCTTCACTGAATTAACCTTGTTTTCTAGTTGATAAGTTAGGCAAAGGCTAGTTTTCAATTGAAGATGGCACTCATTTTCTTTCCTAAACTGCTAGTCTTTTGCCTCACACTTGTTGGATAGCTGATGCACAATACCATGAAATGAGTGCCCTTTGAAACACAAAGAGCCAGGTTCCATGGTTTGCGCCTGTAATCCAGCACTTTGGGAGGCTGAGGTGGGAGGATTGCTTGAGCCCAGGGAGCTATGATCTTGCCACTGTACTCCAGTGTGAGGAACACAGTGAGCCCTGTCTCTAAACAACAACAACAACAACAACACACACACACACACACATATCACACATACACAAAGAAATGCTTTGTAACTGGACAAGCTCTTTGGGATTACTGAGTGGTTTAGGCAGTGCACTGAAAAGAAAAAAAAGAGGACTATTGGCTTTTGGTCCTTTTCTCCAACTTTAGGACCCAACTGTCTATTTATACGAACAGTCTAGACTTGTTATCTTGCCACTTCATATCTCAGAAATGTAAGTGGAGGGAAACCAGTTTGGCAAGATAGTAAGGGAACAAGATAATGGGTTTAAATGACGAAATAGGAAATCCGTTCCTGGGTGGTGTTTGGCGGTGTAATGCTGCAAGTGGTGGGTGTGGGGAATATGGGATGGTGGCAAGGAACAATTTGCACATTCAGCTCATGAGTGAGAACAGAATGAGTAGAACTGTCATTGTGGATCAATTTCCCTTCACATTGCTTGCCTACTAAATAGTAGACATACTAATTTTCATTAGAAAAGTTATTTTAAAGACGTGCTGAAAAAATAATAAAATGTAGTACAAAGTCACATTTACAGATTAGGTTACTACTACCTTTATTCCCTGTATAAGTCTTAATATTTGGTTTTAGTTAACTATTTCCATGATACAATTTCTACCTCAAAGTCATTGGAGGTTTAACTATGTAATTGTGTTGTGCTTTTGTTTTTGTTCAAAATCCTTCATTAGATCTTGAAGTGTTAAGTGGAGCTTAAATAAGAGGTATTGCTTCCTGTCTCTTCTATGGTGTAGTCAGTCAGTAACTAATGGAGAGTGGAACAAAGTGGTGTTATTATGCAATAGAAATTGTCTAACAAGAGATTGGTATCAAAGACAGAGGCAGGTTCTAACAAAAAAGTTTCATAAAACTGTTGCCTTTTTGAACAAGTAAAATGAATACTACCTGTGAGATAGCATTTTTTATTTTTTGAGATGGAGTCTCGCTCTGTTGCCTAGGCTGGAGTGCAGTGGCATGATCTTGGCTCACCACAACCTCTGCCTCCCGGGTTCAAGCAATTCTCCTGCCTCAGCCTCCTGAGTAGCTGGGACTATCAGTGCATGCTATCGTGCCTGGCTAATTTTTGTATTTTTAGTAGAGATGGGGTTTCACTATGTTGGCCAGGCTGTTCTGGAACTCCTGACCTCGCGATCCGCCCACCTCAGCATCCTAAAGTGCTGGGATTACAGGCGTGAGCCACCGCGCCCGGCCAGTATTGATTTTTAAAAAGAATAGGTTGGGGCCAAGTGTGGTGGCTTACGCCCATAATCACAATAATTTGGGAGGCCAAGGTGGGCAGATTACCTGAGATCAGGAGTTTGAGATGCCTGGCCAACATGGTGAAACCCCGTCTCTACTAAAAACACAAAAATTAGCTGGGCATGGTGGCAGGCACCTGTAATCCCAGCTACTCAGTAGGCTGAGGCAGGAGAATTGCTTGAACCCAGAAGGCGGAGGTTGCGGTGAGCTGAGATCGTGCCACTGCACTCCAGCCTGGGTGACAGAGTGAGACTCTGTCTCAAAACAAAAAACAAAAAACAAAACAAAAAAAAATAGGTTGGGAAAACAAACTTAAAAATTTTTAAACATTTTCTTTGGTCTGCTAAGTTGGTAAAAATGTAAGTTTATTCTGAAGCCCTCATGCTTGTATTAGCTTGAAGAACTATTGAAGATGAAAAGTTTGGAGTCTTAGATTCATAAATAGATGTGATTATTCAATTATTTAAAAATATTATTATTGCTAGAACTCATTGTTACATAAAATATTTCCTGCTCCAAGTATTCATAATCTGTGTGAATGAGGCTAAATGAATCTCTATACCGGCTGTTAGTCTCTTTCTGAAATAAGAATCAAGCTAATGGGAAAATGCAGTCCATGTTCTTCTGTATTTTTCCTTCTTTTCATATATACTCCATTAAGACAGAATTGGAATATTCTGATGGTGTCACTTGTGATGCCTGATGTAGAAACTTGGACTAAAGTAGCAATATCACTAGTGTCTTTTTTTTTTTTTGAGATGGAGTCTTGCTCTGTTGCCAGGCTAGAGTACAGCGGCATGATCTCAGCTCACTGCAACCTCCACCTCCTGGATTCAAGCAATTCTCCTGCCTCAGCCTCCTGAGTAGCTGGGACTACAGGTGAGCACCACCACACCTAGCTAATTTTTGTATTTTTAGTAGAGACGGGGTTTCAACATGTTGGCCAAGATGGTCTCCATCTCTTGACCTTGTGATCCGCCCGCCTCGGCCTCCCAAAGTGTCAGGATTACAGGCGCGACCCACCGCGCCCGGCCAGGATTGTAAATCCTTAAAGTGTAGGGGCTTAACCTTAACTCATCTTTACAAACAGCTTTGATACAGAGCCTGGCACATAGAGAACTCAACAAATGCTATCTGGATAAAAGAAATGATTAGCAAGGCCAGAAGTCCTGTTGCCCAATACCTGCATTTTTTTGCAGGCTGGTCTTCACTCCAAGGCCTTTTTATCCATCTGCTTGCTTCTAGAAAGTCCTGCTTCCCCTTGCAGGCAGGTTTGTCCACAGGCTTGGCTCTCACACTACGCTGCACTTCAACTTACAATAAGCACTTGAAGAATGAGTGCTGCAGGCACAACAGCAATGGAGCATCATCTCTTTACAAGTGACGGATGAGGCATAAGATGTACTATACTGCTCAGGCTCAGAATAGAACCCCATGTCCACAATGGACTCCCAATTCTAAGAAGGAAACAGAAATGGAAACCACACATGGAAGGGTGCAAAATAGTTAAAGGATTGGCTTATGTTGGGTTAAATATTCTGTAAATTTTGGCCTCAGGAAAAATTATAGGAACTATTTGAAATATAAAAGAGTAATGTGTGAACTGAGATGCAGTAACTTGATTAAGCTGTGAATTTACACATTTATAACCTGAAACCACCATTACAACATATTTGTTTGAAAAAAAAATCAAAACTTGCTGACTTAGTTAACCCTTTATCTTTTTTTGCTGAGACTTAAAGTATGGTGCACGCATCCACCAAACCACCCTATGAAATGCAAATTAACTCAACCTCTGTATTTCAGCATTTCCTGAATCACCTAATATCACTGAGAATAGCTAAAATATTACTTTTGATACTTTTCCTTATTTGAAATTCCTAAAAAAGGTTGTGAGAATGGGAAGTAAGGTGGTGACCTTACTTCAAAATCAATAATTTTGAACTTACTGTTTATAGAGTGTAGTTTTCTGATTTTTCCCCCTCCTTCCAGGAGAATCAGGACACACATATATGTATATACATGTGTGTCTATTAGTATGTGTGTTACTATATTTCTTTTGCAAACCAGATAATATATAACCTTTAAGAAATATAGCTAATCAAGCCAAAAAGTGGAAAAGGTGTAAAAGACTCAAATGTCCATTAGCTGATGAATGGATAAATGGAAAGTGCCATATCCAAACAATGGAATATTATTCAGCCACAAAAAGGAATGAAGTCCTGATAAATGCTTCAGCATACATAAATGCCTCAGAAACATTATGCTAAGTAAAAGGAGCCGACACAAAAGGCCACATATTGTATGATTCCATTTATGTGAAATGTCCAGAACAGGCAAATCCATAGAGACAGAAAGTAGATTGGTGGCTGCCAGGAGCTAGAGGAAGGGGGAATAGGGAGTGACTGCTAATGAGCACAGCACTGCTTTTGCGGATGGTGATAATGTTCTGAAATAAGATAGTGGTGATGGTTGTACAACTTTGTGAATATACTAAAATTATTGAAATGTGCACTTTAAAAAGGTAAATTTTATAGCATGTGAGTTATATCTCAAGTTTTTGAAAATTAAAAAATATGACTAATCACAAAAACAACTAAAGTTCTGGTGAATTTTAAGTAGGTCACTGAATTTTGGGCGAGTCTCAGTCTTGTCACCTCTAAAATGAAGAAGTAGGGTCAGATGCTCTCTTTCATTCTAGCTTTAAATATTAGTGATTCTACTTGGAATATGATAGATTTCATAGCTTGGGAATCTCTTACAGTGAGAGCTTTGCCTATTGTCTGAAATACAGAACTGCAAGTAGAGATGCCTACATTCCGTCCTTGAGCGAGTACTGCCTGACTGCCATGAAGCATGCCACTTAAGATGTCAAAATCTTTCCTAGCAAGCAGACTCAGATAAAAGCAAAACAAAGAGAAGATGTCAAAACCCAAATATTAGGTTTTTCTTTTTATTTTATTATTATTGTTTTAGAGATGGTGTCTTGCTTTGTTGCCCAGGTTGGGCTTGAGCTCCTGGGCTCAAGCAATCCTCTTGCCTCAGCCTCCTCAGCAGCTAGGACTACAGGTGTGTACCACTGTGTATGACCTGTTTGTTTTTTATAAGGGGGTAAACATTTCTTTTTATTTGGATAAGCTTTATCCAAATAAGTTGGATTTCCTTTATCAAATTAGAAATCCAACTCCTTGATAAAACCAAAGATGCCATTAGGATAAAAAGCAGAAGCACTGCAAGCCATCAGAATTCAGTTGGCCAGCTCCTAACATCATGCAATAGGTTTTATCTAAAATAAAAGTTTCCTCTCACTCAAAATGAGGGCAGTTTAGGTAGTCATTTCTACTCCATTTTTCCTGAGTTTCACATTATTTCTGTCATCTTTTTGTAACTTTTCTGTTTTAGCCTATTCAAACTACTCAACTGCAACAATTGCTGTCAAACACTAAATCCCATGAGGGTTTGTACCTATTCTAAATAAGCAATTGGTTCAAGTTACCAAATAAAAATGTCAGACAACCCAAGCTGCAGAACCAGGCTGACAGCCAACTCAATGGGACAAAGGACAGCTGAAGAGATGTGACACAAAAAAGTTTCAGGCTGTTCCAACAAAGAATTAAAAGGAAATAAAACCACAATTGAGATATAGAAGAACATCTAGTGTTTCAACCAATTGCCAGTAGGCATCTAATTCAAATCACTGAATAAAACAAGGAATCCCCAAAGCCAAATAGAAGCATCACAATAAATCATATGAGTAGACAAGGATATAAATTGGGCCCTGTGCAAAGAAAATCCTTGTAGTTTTAATTGCCTCTTCCCTAGCCACTCCCCAACCTCCTCTACCCTCAATTTTTGCCATTTTTTGTAAACGACAACTCCACTCTTCATCAATCTGTTAGGAAATCTTGTTGACTCTACCTTTAAATATACAGAGAATTAGAATACTTCTCACCACCTCTACCACTAACAAGACATAATTTTCTCTTGCTTGAATTATTGCAATGGCCTCCTAACTGGACCCCCAATTTCCAACCTTGCCCCAAATACAATCTCTTCTCAAAAGCAAGTAGAGTGATTCTTTCAAATGAGAAGACCAATGATGTCACCTCTTTGTACAAAACCCTCTAAAGATTTTTAATTTCACTCAGAGTAAAAGCCAAAGCCTTTACAATGGCCTGCAAGGCCTGAGAAGATCTGGTTTCCCATTTCCTCTCTGGCTTCAGGTCCCATTACTCACTGTGTTCCAGACACACAGAACTACGTACACTTCTTCAAATTTGTGCCCCAGGGCCTTTGCTCTTGCTGTTCCCTAGTTATCTGCAGGGCTTACTCACCCTGTTAAGAAGTCTGTTAAAATGTTACCTCGTTGAAGCCTTCCCTGATTCTCACCCTCACTCCTCAGCAACTGCTTCATTTTTCTCAATAGCACTTACCACCCGCTAACCTTCCAACTTACAGTTTGCTCATTTACTTTCTTTATAATCTGTCTGCCCCCAGTAAAATATAAACTCCACGAGTCTTTTTACTTACTATTGTATCTCACCACCTAGGACAGCAGATGCTCACTAAACGTGTGTTGCGTGAACTCACCAGTGTCCCCTGGGTCAGTGCTCTGAAGAAATGTACGGCAGCGCTCCTTGTGCTCCTCAAGGGAACTTCTCTGCTTGTAACTCCTTCCACAAAACTCACATTTGTAGGGTTTCTCCACTAGAAGGAGAACATAAGGGGCACTCAGTGACCCTCAGGGGTTCCACACAGGTCAGGTATTGGGGCTCTGTGACAACTGTTCACTAGAAATGAGACTGCTGAGTGAAGCCAGAGTATTTGGATACTTTTGAATCTATATTTTAAATTTGGTAAGCTTAAATAAGGTTATGGTCTATGATTAATTATTACGTCAGAGTATTCTTCAAAAGGATCGCCTCCTATCACAAATGGAAGAATTTGGATTTAGTGATTACCATTTCGCATACTGTTTTGGCTCCAGGTCAAATTTTGTTTTCTTTGGGAAAAAGAAAATAGGGCCCTTTTATTCTTCAAGGAGGTTAATGTGGTATAAGCAATGAAATAGGAAAGGATTCTTTATTTTGGACATCCATCTGGCTGTAAGTAAAGATTGCTGTAGTTTGTGGGAGTTAGCCATTCGGCTAGAAACTGATGGCCTTTTCAGAACATTGACATATTTGGGTAAATTTAGCTCATCCTTGCCACGTGGCTATAGCAAAGTCTAGGCTAAAACAATAAAAACTGAGCTAATTAACTACGGATTTTTTTGTTTTTTTGTTTTTGAGACAGGGTCTCACTCTATCACCCAGGCTTGGGTGCAGTGGTGAAATCACAGCTCGCTACAGCCCCAATTTCATAGGCTCAGGTGAAGTCTGGGCCTCCCAAAGGCCACCTTGGCCTCCCAAAGTGAGAGGCTTACAGGTGTGAGCCATTGCACCCGGCCAGGATATTTTTGAATAATAGAAATAAAAATAGGCCGGGCGCAGTGGCTGACACCTGTAATCCCAGCACTTTGGGAGGCCGAAGTGGGAGGATCACCTGAGGTCAGGAGTTCGAGACCAGCCTGCCTAACATGGCAAAACCCCATCTCTACTAAAAATACAAAAATTAGCCAGGCACAGTGGCTCACGCCTGTAATCTCAGCACTTTCGGAGGCCGAGGCAGGCGGATCACGAGGTGAGGAGTTCGAGACCAGCCTGGCCAATGTGGTGAAACCCCATCTCTACTAAAAATACAAAAATTAGCCAGGCGTGATGGCGTGACCCTTTAGTCCCAGCTACTCAGGAGGCTGAGGCAGAAGAATCGCTTGAACCTGGGAGGTGGAGGTTGCAGTGGGCTGAGATTGCACCACTGCATCCCAGCCTGGGCGGCAGAGTGAGACTCCATCTCAAACAAACAAACAAAATTAGCCGGGCGTCGTGGTAGGCATCTATAATCCCAGCTACTAGGGAGGCTGAGGCAGGAGAATCGCTTGAACCTGGGAGGTAGAGGTTGCAGTGAGCTGAGATGGCGCCGCTGTACTCCAGCCTGGGTGACAGAGTGAGACACCATCTCAAACAAACAAACAAACAAACAAAATTAGCTGGGCGTTGTGGTAGGCATCTATAATCCCAGCTACTAGGGAGGCTGAGGCAGGAGAATCGCTTGAACCTGGGAGGCGGAGGTTGCAGTGAGCCAAGATCACGCCACTGCAACAGCCTAGGCAACAGAGCAAGACTCCGTCTCAAAAAAAAAAAAAAAAAGAGAGAAATAAAAATGAATTGTAAAAATGACTTCGTCTAAATGTCTAAGATGAAGGAAAGGTTTCACCCATACAATTCATGCAAACTTTATTCTGCCAACTCCCCAAATGCTTTATTGCTTGAAATATGTAAGTAATAACTTCAACTATCTGTGCAAGGCTGGTCTTTCTGATTGTTGATAGAATATACTCAATGAATTTGTCAGTTTTAGGGGCTAAAATTTTTATTTTCTAACTCTTGCTCTGTTTAAAACAGAGGCTTTGGGATTTAAAGCACTAAAAGATCCTTATGGAATCCTAAATTAAAACAAATGCAGGTTTGCTAGGGCTAAAAATGTTACGTTTCTGCATAAATTGGGTTCTCTGGAATCTGTCTTTAAAAAGCCTACTATTGTTTCTTACTTGAAAAAGGCAACAGTAGAGAACTATTCTAATTTTTTTCGAACCAAACTCATCCTTAATTCACTACTTTGAAAAATGAGCTGTAAAAGAGAGAAACCCTTCAATTGCCAATTATGATCTCTCATGGTGGGTTTTGTTGGGGCTGACTTGTTTAATCCTAGTGGCTGAATTATAACAAGTTTTGAGTTTGGGGCTAGGTTTTAATCAAAGCAGTAGATGTGAACTGACATAAAAACAAGCCTTTTTTTCCAATTAAAATTTTGCCAGATAACATCAAGAACATGAGGTCCCAAATTTGAAAATAAACTCAGTCTTATTTTTCTAGGACGGAAATTCTAAATCTTGAAAAAAAAGTATTATCTTGGTCAAAATAAGGAGTAAAAACATCACGACAGCACATAACTTTTACAAATCTTTACCGTTGTTCAATCTTTTAGAGATTTAAAATAAGTAGGCTGGCTGGGCATGGTGGCTCCTGCCTGTAATCCCAGCACTTTGGGAGGTCAAAGTGGGAGGAATGCCTGAGCTCAGAAGTTTGAGACCAGCCTGAGCAACATAGTGAGACCTCATGTTTATTTAAAAAAAAAAAAAAAAGTGGGCCAATCAAGAGGAAAGTTGGATTTAATAAATTTATCCCAAATGGCCAAAAAGTAGCCCCCAAACAATGATTTATATCCAGATCACAGTTTTTCATAATTTACAAACTGTACATCATTTGCTTGTCTCGTCTTTTGAATGGAAAGAGTGTGTGTGTTGGGAAAATAATCTTCTAATAAAGTTTACCAGAAGAAAATACTGATGGCTATAATTTTCTCACAAAAATTAAAAGGACATTTTTTATAGGGTGGGCTCTTCCTATCTGACTGTGTTGTTCTCCATGGGTGCAAGGATGGTGAGGAGATGATCATCTCCACTGAGGCAGACGGAGAGCAATTAGTGCCTTAATGGTCGTGTAATTAGCCCTAGAGGTCTCTGCTGTTGTAACCCTTCAGAACAAGAATGACAGATTGAAACCTTCCTACTTAACTCTTTCTAGTTTCCACACTGGGCTCTGAGGAATGCACTTCCTAGACAAGGAATGCTCATTTCTCTCACTTACCAGAATGTGTCCTAAGATGCCCCGTGAGCGCATCTCTTCTTTGGCATGCATAGTTGCAGAGGTGACACTTAAAAGGTTTTTCCCCTGTGTGCAGTTTAATGTGGCGGAGGAGGTTACCTTTCTGAGTAAAAGATGCCCCACACTGATTACACTGGAATGGGCGTTCACCTTTAAAAAGGACAAAAAAGGAGATTTCTGGTCACAGGCAAGTGGAGAAACATATGCACAGATTAGATGCCTAGGGGAAAAGCTCATCTTTTAGACAATTACTGTTCACATTGGGATCAGTTGGGAGCTGCATTTCAAGGCAAGCCTAAGACTTACTTATGAAATCTCCTCTGTAGAAGAGAAAAAGCACCCACTAGCAAGGCTATTTTAGGTATCATATTGAATCAGAGCAAAGAAACAAGAGCAGCTCTAGAAGTGCTTTCTAGATCTAAGTTTTTATATTACTATATTACTTGGTACTCCCTTTTTTTTTTTTTTTTTTTTTTAGACAGGGTCTTCTTGCTCTGTTGCTCAGGCTGGAGTGCAATGGTCCCATCATGGCTCACTGAAACCTTGACCTCCTGGGTTCAAGTGAGCCTGTCACCTCAGCCTTCAGAATAGCTGGGACTACCAGTGTTTGCCATTATGCCTGGCTAATTTTTTAGTATTCCTTTTGAATATAATCTCCTTTGAAAAAAGAGCCAGAAACTAAAGTCCTTACAAGGTGTTGAGGGCTAGAAATTCTCCTTTTTAAAGTCTTCATATGAGATATGGGATGGAATCGACTGGCTCAAGTGCGATGGTTGTGTTTGTATGCATTTCTATAGACTACCTGTTTATTGTCTGAAGATACATTATTTTAAGCTGGAAATAAAAACTATGTCCTTTCATTTACCAAATTTGAACCCAATACAATAAGAAGATCTGCTCTTATTAAAAATGTTATGCAAAAATATACAAAAGATGGCTAAGAAGCAAATCACACAATTCAACTCCTACTTAGAAACTGAAGAAAAAGTATTTGGCTGACCTAGAACACTGTGCTCTCTACAGTCTTTTTTTATTCATAGCATTTGCAATATGTTTGCCAAATGCATGGTGAGGCAGGAATAAAAAGCACTGAGTGAACAGCAATGCAGAGAGAGAGATACATCAGCATTATAGCAAAAATCAATGAAAGTAACCAAAAGTTCCAAATTCCACCACTTCATTTCTCACGTGGCTGCATTAGGAGAGTTTTCAGAAGAATGAAAAAAGCAGACTATTTACCAGTATGGCTTCGCTTATGAACCATTAAGACATTGAAGCTGATGCAGGATAATCCACACACATCGCAGTTCATCTTTCCACTGGTTGGCCTGCTACTATCGAATGAGACAACATGTCTCTCCAACTTAATGTTTTCATATTCATTATATTCTCTTGAATAGCTGTAAGGGATTTCAGGCTCTTCTGCATTTCCCATGGGTTCTGACTTTAAAACATTCTCATCTCTTTCACTGTATTCATCTTTCACTTTCATTGAATCATCTGCAGGGAAGAAAATGCAAGAAATGAACAACGACTATACTTGAAGCTATCAAAGCAGCTCAAACAGCAGAGACCCACAACTGACAATTAAATACCAATCGAAGCTAACAAAACACTGTACATCTACAAAACAAGAAAGCACCATTAGCGTGACCGCACGTTATTTAAATTCAGAACCACAGTCAGAGGAAAACACACATACTTACACACATAAAAATAGACGATAGTGTTTTAGGCTATCCAGAAAATTACAGATAATAGATTTTAGCTAAGTTTGCTCAAAGTGGCCATGAAACAAACATTGAGCAACTCTTCTCCAGTACTAGGGGAGAGGAAGGGTTCTCAGATCTAGTACTGTTTTTGGTGGCTGCAGTTAAAAAGGCAAGGTGATGTACTCTTAGGTTTCAAGGAGAAAATATTGTTTGAATCCTTCAGATGCATCCAGTGTAAGCCATTAAGATTAAGAGTTGACTAGTTAACATAGTTTTTCTAATTTTAAGCCATGCATTGCCTCTTCCCCTTCCACGTATATGAATTGCTAAAACACATCTTATCTCTGTCTCTCTTGGAGCTGATAAAGGCACAACATTGACTGTAGAGGAAGTTGTCAGTACTAATGAAAAAGTGTTGAGAAAGACAAAAGGAAAAGTAATTCTTTCATATAACCTAAGGAGTCACTTTCATCGACACAGGTAAGTGGGGCTCAATCTAAATAAGGGGAAGGACCATTAGGTCCCAAGTTAGGGAGAACTAAACTCAAGGACTCAAGGATTGTGTAATAGGACTGGATAGGAGAGGAGGGACTGGCTCAAGTGAGTTGGCTGACCAAGTACTATCTTAAGAACTGCAATGTAAATGAATGAAATTTAAAAGAAGAGCTGTAATACTCTTCATGAAGAGCATAAGAACATATGAAGAACGTGGGAAAAATATGAAGAACATAAGAAACAAAGAAGGCAAATTTATGTACTTGCACTGACACTAGTAAAACCTAAAAATTTGCCTGATGTAAGAATAATAAACATTTGTAAGGGATTTTGCATATATAAAATATGCTATATAAATGCTTACTTTTTCAACCATTGGTCCTTAGAAATCAAAAGTTGTACCTCCCCATGAGGAATCACAAATCAATGGAGTGTAGGGCTGGAAGGGAATTTAAAGGTCATCTAATCCAACCCTCTTGTTTCTCAGATGAGGAAATCTGGGAGCAGAGATGTTTTTGGTCATTTGTCGAAGGTTACACATCCAGTTACTGGCAGAGGTGTGATTAGAATGCAAAACTTAAGCTTGAACTATCAATTACTTGGATTTGACCTCATGCACTAGACATATAAGGCCTAAGTGGGTTCTTACCAACTGTATTACACACCCTCCCATCAATGGTGTAAATGTTAAAACCCAAAACAGTCTGAAAAAAGATATTTTAAAAAACTACATCCCTTCCAAAAAACATCAGTAAGTGTTGCTCCTCTTGCTGCATAGGAGGAAGTACAACTGCAGCTGTGCCTGGCTTGCTACCTTCAACCCAAGTTTCAATTTTCACTTCTATCAAGGTTACCTTTCATCTATATTAACTGTGTTTGCTTAATAGAGCAAGACAGGGCCTAACCACCATCAGAGGAGCCAGGGCTGCCACACAGTTCCACTGCTTCCTACCACAGTTCATGGTTCACAACTTTTCACTCTTTGACTAGCAAAGATGTAGGGCTGTAGGATAAGTCCAACATGTTTCAAATTTGCCCACCCTATGGATCTGGATTATATAAGAAATGATATCTGTTTCCTACTTGGAAAGAGGTTTACTTCTTTCTCTGGATAGGTCTTCCCTGCTTTCAAGTGGAATTTGTTTGCTTAAGTGTTTATTTTTTATTTTTTTAAGAGAAGGATGCACCTGAGGCTTGTACTTGCCTCCCTTCCTCCATCACTCCAGCTGTGGGTAATATCCCACCAAAGCTTGAGTGCTCTTCAGTTTGCATGTAGGCGTTTAAAAGAACCTCAACGGAAAATTTCAGCTACTTAAAACCAAAAACAGCAGATAGAAAAGGCCAGCAGAAAAGGATCCTTTCCATTTTGGTTAGAAAATGTGAACATGACCAGACTCAGGCCACTCCATGGTCACTGAACTTTAAAATGTAGTAAGATCAATGTGTTGAGTCTTTCTGAAAACAGAGGACATAAGAGAGCTGCTCCTTTCCCTCAGGATTTTGGCTTTAGTTGGCCTGACCTGGAATTCAATACGACACCATCCTGGCTCAAGAGCAGATCTTAGCTTTAGTCCTTTAGGAGTCAGCTATAGAGCAAGGAAGACAGTATTTGAGACCCAGGGACATAAGGACACAGGGACAGGGCATTAGAGAAGTCCTTTGGGCTTACATAGTTGCTGGTTTGCCTTTGGAGTCTTACCAGTTTTAGATGAATGACCTGGATGACCTCTCTGCATGGTTACTGGGGATTAGCAACTTATTTTTATTTTATTCTATTTTATTTTTTGAGACATAGTCTTGCTCTGTTGCCCAGCCTGGAGTGTAGTGGCACGATCAGCTCACTGCCACCTCTGCTTCCCAGGTTCAAGTGATTCTCCTGCCTCAGCCTCCCGAGTAGCTGGGATTACAGGCATGCACCACAATGCCTGGCTGATTTTTGTGTTTTTAGTAAAGACGGGGTTTCGCCATGTTGGCCAGGCTGGTCTCGAACTCCTGACCTCAAGTGATCCACCCTCCTTGGCCTCCCAAAGTGCTGGGATTACAGGCCTGAGCCACCGTGTCCAACCAGATTCTAATTTATTCTAATATTCAACTCTGTTACCTTCTCAAGGTAAGCCATAATAAATTGCTGGCTGGGCATAGTGGCTCATGCCTGTAATCTCAGCACTTTGGGAGGCCAAGGCAGGTGGATCACTTGAGGTCAGGAGTTTGAGACCAGCCTGGTCAACATAGCAAAACCCCGTCTCCACTAAAAATATAGAAAATTAGCTGGGCATGGTGGCTCCCAGCTACTGGGGAGGCTGAGGCAGGATAATCGCTTCAACCTGGGAGGTGGAGGTTGCAGTGACCCGAGATCGTACCACTGCACTCCAGCCTGGGCGACAGAGCGAGACGCCATCTCAAAAAAGATAAAATAAAATAAAATAAATTAGAATTTAAGGTATGAATGAGATTCCTGAGAGATATTAGGCTTAGTACTCAGCCTCCAAACACAGTCCACCAAAACCAGGAAAGGCATTAGCCTGCTCTAATGAAGAGATTCATCCCATTCCCTGGAAGACTTATTGAAGCAGAGAAAAGGGGTGTTCTACTTAGAAAAATTCTATTAGAAAATACTAATGAACATGTCTAAAATCAAACTTGTCATCTTTGAACCCAAACTTGCTTCTAATTTATGACTTATTTATGTTGACAAATGGCATCACCCTTCTTCCAGTCTCCAAGCCATCAAACTGTGGAACCTTTTCTCTTTCAATTTCTACATCAAGTCAGTCTCCAAGATCTATCAACTCTATGTCTTCAGGCTCTCTAGGTGCCAACTCCTCTTTTCCTTTCCTTTTGCAATTTGGTTTCACCTTTCATCACATCATACCTAAATTCATCCTCTCTCAACATTCCTTTCTTTTTTTTTTTTTTTTGAGTCAGAGTCTCACTCTGTTGCCCAGGCTGGAGAGCAGTGGTGTGATCTCGGCTCACTGCAACCTCTGCCTCCCTGGTTCAAGCGATTCTCCTGCCTCAGCCTCCTGAGTAGCTGGGATTACAGGTGCCCACCACCACACCTGGCTATTTTTTTAATTTTTTTTTTTTAGTAGAGACGGGGTTTCACCATCTTGGCCAGGCTGGTCTTGAACTCCTGACCTCGTGATCCACCCACCTCGGCCTCCCAAACTGCTGGGATTACAGGAGTGAGCCACTGCGCTCGGCCTCAACATTCCTTTCTAGACAGATTTAAGACACAGGTGGTCCAGGAGCGGTGGCTCACACCTGTAATTCCAGCACTTTGGGAGGCCGAGGCGGGTGGATCATGAGGTCAGGAGATCGAGACCATCCTGACTAACATGGTGAAACCCCATCTCTACTAAAAATACAAAAAAATTAGCCAGGCGTGGTGGTGTGCGCCTATAGTCCCAGCTACTCAAGAGGCTGAGGCAGGAGAATCGCTTGAACCTGGGAAGTGGAGGTTGCAGTGAGCTGAGATCCCACCACTGCACTCCAGCTTGGGTGACAAAGTGAGACTCCGTCTCAAGAAAAAAAAAAAAAGACATAGGTAAGCTATGCTTACTGCCTCTACAGCCTCAAAAAGGACTCAGAATTCTCTGTAATATGGCTTCCGCCTCCACAATTCACTTAATCTGCTCCCTTGAATATCACCAACCATAATCTCCTGATTCCTAGATTCAGAGCCTTTTTGTATGCCACTCTCTCCAACTTCTTTGTAATCCTCAACACTACTGACCACTCACCATTCCTTGTTCTTCTGCACTCCTATGTCTTTTCTTTCTTTCTTTTTTTTTTTTTTTGAGACAGAGTCTCACTCTGTTGCCCAGGCTAGAGTACAGTGGTGCGATCTCGGCTCACTGCAACCTCTGCTTCCCAGGTCCAAGCGATTCTCCTGCCTCAGCCTCCCGAGTAGCTGGGACTATAGGCACGTGCCACCACACCTGGCTAATTTCTGTATTTTTAGTAGAGACAGGGTTTTACCATGTTGGCCAGGCTGGTCTCGAACTCCTGACTTCAGGTGATCCACCTGTCTTGGCCTCCCAAAGTGTTGGGATTACAGGCATGAGCCACCGTGCCCGGCCCCTGCACTCCTATTTCTTCAATGAAAATGTACCTTCTTTCCTTGCCTTTCTGATTGCTTCCTTCTTGCCCCTTTTCTTCCCTCTGCATCCTAAATACTGTCCTTAACCTTCTTTTTTCTTCCCTCTACACCCCTCTTGTATGGCAATTTCATTCATTCTTAAGGCTTCGACTAACATCTTATATGATTAATTTCCATATATATAACTCCAGGTGTAACCTCTCTCCCTTTCTTTAGTCCTCTATTTCTGAAGGCTTCCTAGGTATCTTCCCAGTTACTCAGGCTAGAATCCTTAGAGTCATCTTTCCTTTCTCCTGATTGGGCCCCACATTCAATCATTCAGTGGTTCTATCTGTGTATCCAATCTCTAATCTGTTTCTCCACTCCTGTATTTTGCATGCCCATTACCTAATTCTCAGACCCTATGACTTTCCCACGATCTACTTATTGCTGTAGCCCCCGCACTGTTCTCTTTGGCTCCCTTCTTTCTCCTTTCCAGCCCGTCTTGTTTGTTGCTACAAGATTGCTCTTCCTAAATTCTACCTCTGGTCATGTCATAGCCCTGTCAAAATTCTTCAATATTTTCCACTGCCAACAAAATAAAGTCCAAACTCAGAAACAAATAATTTAAAAGGCCTTTCGGGATCTGGCCCCAACCTATCTTTGGCATATTAATTTTGACTAGTTAGATCTTTAACTAAAGAGCTTCTAAGTAGTCTTATTTCTACTGCCTAAAAGATCTTTCCCCAATATGGCCACAGGTCCAAGTCCTACACATCCTACGTATTTTTTTTTTTTTTTTGAGACGGAGTCTTTCTCTGTCTCTCAGGCTGGAGTGCAGTGGTGCGATCTCTGCTCACTGCAACTTCTGCCTCCCGGGTTCATGCCATTCTCTTGGCTCAGCCTCCTGAGTAGCTGGGACTACAGGCGCCCACCACCATACCCAGCTAATTTTTTGTATTTTTAGTAGAGACAGGGTTTCACTGTGTTAGCCAGGATGGTCTCAATCTCCTGACCTCGTGATCCGCCGGCCTCGGCCTCCCAAAGTGCTGGGATTACAGGCATGAGCCACTGCGCCTGGCCACTGTCCTACACATTTTTAAAGGTCAAACTAATATGCTGTCTCCTGGCTACTATGCCTTCTCTGATCAACCCAGCTGGAAAATAGCCTGCTCCTTCTTCCTGGGTTACTTATGAACTCACCTCCCCTAGTCTCCCCAATAAATATGTAAACTAGCTGAGGGCAGAAGCTATACAGATTGTGTGTGTGTGTGCGTGTGTGTGTGTGTGTGTGTGTGTTTAACTCAGTATTCCCTATGACACTGCTTAACCTGTATCTGTAAGACCAGAGGTTATGTGGTTTTAAAATAGAAAATTTGGGGCTCCTACCATAGATCTACTAATCTGGGGGTGGAGACTGGAAATGTTCATTTAAAACCATGCTCTCCAGATAAACCTTATGCACAATGGAGTTTGAGAGCCACTGCCTCGAGTTAGATGCAGTGCCCTACATAAAGTAGACATCCCATAAATTCCTGGTGTATGAATATATCATTGCATTAGCCTCCTAACTGGCCCACGGTACATGTGACCTCTGTTATACTGCATCCTATTGCCAGAATAATCATGCTGTAGCAAAGAAACTCTTATTTAAAACTTTCAATGATTTCATTTGCTTATAGAATAAAGTCCAAACTCCTTAATGAGGTATTCAAGCACCTGTCCAGAACTTGCCCCAGGACTACTTAATCATCTCATTTCTCAGTCTTCTTGAATCACCTTTCTCTCTATACTAGAACTTTACTATGCAAAGTGAGGTCCTTGGATAAGCAGTTCTGCAACCGCCTGGGAGCTTGTTAGAAATACAGGTGCTCAGGCCTCAACCTAGACCTACTGGACCAGAATTTGCATTTTAACAAGATCCTCAAGGATTCTTATGCACATTAAAGTCTGAGAAGCACAGCAGCAACATGACTAATCACAGTTCTTCAAGCCTCTTCTCCAGCCTTTCCCACACCTAAAATATCCTTCTACCATTTCAATAGTGTATTCAAACTTCCACATGCAGTTTAAATGCCACTTCTTCCATGAAGTCTTCCTTGATACCCTTAACTAGAAAAAAAATTATGTTTCTTTGTTCTCATACATCCGTCTTATTCTGCTTTATATTTAGTATGATATAATTACATTGCTACAGATCCGCTTTTATGTAGTTGATGTGTTCATAAAATGTTTCATGCAAAACCAATAACACTGTCCCGCTGATTAACATTCTACATTCAGAAATGTTTATTTTGCCCTGATTTCAGTTGTCAGTGACTGGCAACACCCGTTCATTTAATAAAGGCAGAAAATCTTAAAGACCTGGCAACAAATACTTGAATATATTTGGGGAACTGCCTGATAGTATCCTGAAGTCTTTTGTAAAGTGAATAAACCTTTTATAGTATGAATAATCTCATGTTTTGGTTTTGTAAATTCTAATCTTCTTATAATATATATCAGGTTTCTTAGACATACATCTTAAGTTGACACTTAGAAGACTATCAAGAAGCCTCATAGACACTGGTGAAAGTTTATTTCTTAAGTCAGGTGGTGGGTGTATGGATGTTTTCTTATTATTCTTTAATCTATACATGTAATTATACTTGCCTTTTTGTACATATGATCTATTTTATAATAAAAAAAGTTAAAGGCTTCCTGAATACCTTTTTTATAACTGAACTTGTGGAGAAAAGAATATACCAAACCACAAATTGCTGATAAAGGTAATTGCTATACATTCCCAGAGGCAGGGAAAAGATGTCTAAATTGAATCTAACCCATAGGAAATTAGATTAAACTAAACTTTCTAAAGGAGCTACTCTAGGGTACAATTGCTCCCATCTTTGTCTATGTTTTCAGGCCTCTTAGGAAGATGACACACACGAACACACACACACACCCCAGAGAGAATTTTGTAGGCTGAAGAGAACAAAGGTTTGGCTCACTGGGGCTGATGCACATGGTTTCATTTCCTGGGGTGATGGTTATCACATGAAAGGCTTGTACTCCAGAGCAGACATTTTTGGTTTCACCTGAGACACTGCAAAAACAATGGGTCCTGGAAAGGATCCAACATCTAAATCCTTCAGGGGCAATAGCAGTCTCAGCCAACTGTGCCTCAGTTTGTTTTTACAGGCACATAAAATGCTCAGTTGGAGAGAAGAACCTATCAAAGATGGCAAACAGAATAGACAACTTGGGTATCTTGGAGAGCATGTTGATACTAGGAATTTCCCAGTGGAAAAAAGAGATTCTGAATTTCCACCTTAAACTATGAGATCTCAGAATCCAACTCTACGAAGGACAAAGTTGGAAGTAATATCCTCAGGTCTGCCGGAGATATTGTGAGAAGGGACAAAACAAGATAGAGGCTGTTAGGGAAGGCACAAAAGGGTGATGTTATTTAAGTGTTTTACAAGGATCGGGGGTCATAACCATGAAATCTTCAGCAAATGCAAAAGTCAACTGGATAACAAAGAAGCTTAATCATCTTAATGTGGCATTTTAATGATGCCACTGATTTGCTATGCCAATTCAGAGATAATGAGGCCCTAATGCTACAGATGTTCAGCCAGGCTAAAAGAAAGGGGGTGGGGGGGGGCTTTTCTAGCACGCCATTTTCTAACTATCCAATTAAACAAATTGTGAAAGCATCTAAATAGTTTACCAGGTTTTGACAGCTGTTAATAGGATTTAGAAGCTTGAAGCACTAAAGAGCAAAATGGGAAATATATGTATTGTAGGTATTCAGTCTACAAAGTTTGTTACTGTCGCCCAATCTAGCACAAACAGATGAACTAGAACAGTTTTCCTTATAAAATTAATGTCTATACTTCTCTCCCACAATGACCTCTTTGTATTAGGAAGAAGAACACTGAAACGATGGGTCATTTTCATTTTCTAATTTACATTTTTGCATGTAAAGTAATGAGAGAGAGAAACCGATGATATTTTTAGAACTAAAGAGTAAGGAAAGTTTTAATATTTGCTAACCAGTAAAATTATAAAGCTTCAATGCAAACTAAACTTTTGGTCATTGATTTATAAAATCTATTATGTTTTCTTTTTTTCTCTTTTAAAATTTAAAATAATGGACGTCTGTTAATTTTGAAAATGCCTATTTTTAAATTAGGAAAAAACTGGAAAAGGTAAATCAGGCTAACAAGAGATGAAATACTGGCAGGGCGCAGTGGTTCACGCCTGTAATCCCAGCACTTTGGGAGGCTGAGGCAGGCGGATCACGAGATCAGGAGATCAAGACCATCAAGACATGGTGAAACCCTGTCTCTACTAAAAATATAAAAAATTAGCCGGGCATGGTGACGGGCACCTGTAGTCCCAGCTACTCGGGAGGCTGAGGCAGGAGAATGCTGTGAACCCGGGAGGCGGAGCTTGCAGTGAGCCAAGATCGCACCACTGCACTCCAGCCTGGGTGACAGAGTGAGACTCCATCTCAAAAAAAAAAAAAAAAAAAAAAAAAGAGAGATGAAATACTGATATCTCAATACAGGTTTGGATAAAATTCTATAGATTTAAGTTCTCATTGAAATACATTTTTGGCCAGGTGCAATAGCTTACATCTGTAACTCCAGCACTTCAGGAGGCAGAGGTGGGAGGATCGCTTGGGCCCAGAAGTTTGAGACCAGCCTAGGCAACAAAGTAAGACCCTGTCTCTACAAAAAATCAAAAAATTAGCCGGATGTGGTAGTGTGTGCCTGTTGTCCCAGCTACATAGGAGGCTAAGGCAGGAGATTCCCTTGAACTCAGGAGGTCAAGGCTGCAGTGAGCTGTGTTCATGCCATTGCACTCTAGCCTGGGAGACAGAGCGAGACCCTGTCTCAAAAAAAAAAAAAAGAAAAAAAATTAAAGTCATGAGAAAATAGCCAGGTATGGTAGAATACCTGGGAATAGCTGGGAATACAGCATGCCTGTAGTCCCAACTACTCAAGAGGCTGAGAAGGGAGGATCACCTGAGCCTGGAGAGGTCCAGGCTGCAGTGAGCTGTGATCATGCCACTGTACTCCAGCCAGCCTGGGCAACAGAATGAGACCTGTCTCAAAAAAAAAAAAAAAAAAGAATCTAAACTGGCCATCAGTAAATCACATCACTTCAAACACAAGAGCATTAGCATGTAAAAAGTTTCATTTGCAAAGGAACTACCCTCAATTTTACTAATAACATTAATTTTTGCCTTATCTGACTATCAAATAGCTCATTCATGGGCATAATAATAAAAATAATTTTGCTTAATAATTTCAGTGCAATTCTTTGCTTCCCCATTAGAAGAAGAGGAGATTTACTACTTTTACAACAGAAATACACTATACATCAGCAGTAGGTAAGGTTCCAGCTGCTCAGCTGGGCTAAGCTCTTCAAATGTCATGGGGCCAGGTATAATTCTTTATCTAGAATTGTGAGGACTGAAGGCCATGATGTATGAAAGGTCTTTCTAAACTATAAAGAGTCTACAAGTATATTGTTTCATTTCTGCCCATTATAACAATTACTTTTTCTATTGATTATTTTCATCTATGTATTAAACTCTTTTGTATTTATATTTTTGAGAAATAACTGCTACCCATCAAAAAACAATGGATGAAATACATTTAAAGAGGCTGAAGTTTTAGATGTTGCCTAAACAAGCATAGACTAAAGTAGTTACCTGGTAGAAACTTCATTTGTAAATCCGAAAGAAAAAAAACTTCCTTTTTCATTCAAAATTCCCTTGCATAGAATATTCACTCTATCTTTTTTTTTTTTTTTTGAGACAGAGTTTCGCTCTTGTTGCCCAGGCTGGAGTGCAATGGCGCGATCTCGGCTCACAGCAACCTCCACCTCCCGGGTTCAAGCCATTCTCCTGCCTCAGCCTCCGGAGTAGCTGGGATTACAGGCATGTACCACCATGCCCTGCTAATTTTGCATTTTTAGTAGAGGCAGGGTTTCTCCATGTTGGTCAGGCTGGTCTCGAACTCTGGACCTCAGATGATCCGCCCACCTCGGCCTCCCAAAGTGCTAGGATTACAGGCGTGAGCCACCGCGCCCAGCCACTCTATCTTTTTTAAAAACAGGAATGAAAAAGTTTAAAGCATGTTAAAATACAATTCTTAGTAAAATTCAAAAACTGTCATCCAAATACAATTGGCTAAAAAACATTCTGACTGTCACAATACCAAACTCAGGGTCACAGGTAAAGGAAGGAATGAAAAAGTCTTCTATATCCAGAGCATAAGTAGTTCTTGGTGTATATAGCATGTTTTGTGTTATATCACAATTAGTGTATTTATCTCCCATATAGACTAGGAGTATTTTCAAGGTGGGGACCAGGTTTAAATAATATTTGTGTCCCCAGAACCTAACAAGGGCCTCGTTACTTTAGAAATTGAATGAATGGGCCGGGTGTGGTGGCTCATGCCTGTAATCCCAACACTCCAGCACTTTGGGAGGCCAAGGCGGGCAGATTATTTGAGGCCAGCAGTTCGAGACCAGCCTGGCTGACATGGTGAATCCCTGTCTCTACTAAAAATACAAAACATTAGCTGGGCATAGTGGCACGCGCCTGTAATCCCAGCTACTCAGGAGGCTGAGGCAAGAGAATCGCTTGAACCCAGGAGGCAGAGGTTGCAGTGAGCCAAGATAGCTCCACTGCACTCCAGCCTGGGTGAGAGCGAGACTCTGTCTCAAAAAAAAAAAAAAAAGAAATTGAATGAATGAATGAATGAACTTCTTGGGCAGCCTGAACCAATTTAGTGATGATAACTAGGCCAGGCAGAGAAGAAGTAGTAGATCACAATAGACCCCTAACTTGTCTACAAGATTCTGATGCTGTCATGCAGTATGTAGTTTCTCTTAATGCATCAGAATAAGGTCCATGGCCCACAGTGATAGCCAGTCATCTAGTTGACTTCTTTGCCCATTGTGGTCTGGCTTCTGCCCTTCCTGCTCCACCATTTTGCAATAGGATGCCACTGGCCAGTCCCTGCTTTTTAAATCTCTTTCCTTGGCTTATTCTTTGCTGGTCCTACTCCTACCTCACTTATTTACTTATATCCTCTGTTTATTCCTCTTTCTCTATCTCCTAGATGTGAATTATTTCCTAGGGCCTATTTCTTGAAACTTTTGCCTTTTCACTTTACATACTCTGTCTCCTGATCCAAGTTTTTATTGCTGTTGACTCTCAAATTTTTATTTCCGGTAGACCTGGAAAGCCATAGACATATACTTCCTGACATGTACAATCACTTCCTGAATTTCCAACACTTATCTCACACTCAACAAGTTGCAAACAAGCTCCTTATCTCTCCCATTTCTTCTCCGCTTTTCCTATAATATTCCCCGTTGTCCTCTCTACATAGTGGCTGTTTGATGTCAACGTCTGTATATTATGCTGCTTCTATCAACATTTAGCACTGATACAGAGCTCAGTGACTACTTACCAAACAAACAAGGAAGTAAGGAAGGAAAGAAGATAAGAAGGAGGAAAGGAAAGCGTGAACAACTATACTATTATTTGCTTCAAGTACAAAATTAGGGTTGACAGTGTTTTTAAAAATTGTACAGATTGCAATTTTGCCTAAAGCTAGCATATTAGCCGAAGACAGAGGGAAAAAATAAATTGTTATTTCTAACTCAAGGTATAACAATCAGACCCAAAGCGTATAAAGGATTCTTGGATGAGAAGGAAATGAGTATAAGGATTAAGAATTAGAAGACTCTTGTTCTTTTTAGCATTACATTAAAATACAAAATAAAAATTAACATTTACCATCTGTAACATATTATTTAGACTTTTACCCATCTCTGGTTCTTCCCTTCCTTCTTCCCTGGTTCTCAAATAATGGAATTAGAGCACTGAGAAATAATAGAAGAAACTCAGCACTGACTTCTCCTGGGTGAATGTACAACATTAAAAGCACACAAGGGAATGAGCTATCTTGTCACTGGAACATGTTCATCCCTGGGGATAAAGTGTAACAACTGCTTAACAGCTGCCCAGTAACATACTTCAAGGCTGCAAGCAAAGATGCATCCTAGCTCTACTGGAAACTGCAGAGGGAATATTGTCTGGCAGAATAAAACTAGAATAGAATCTGGCCAACAAACTGCAATCTATGTCCTTTCTATTTCAAACAGCAGCTTCTAATGATCACAGAGAGGTTTCTACTAACAATATTCAAGTAATATTGGATGGGTATTGGTAATTACAGGGAAGGAACAATATGGTATTTAACTTATTTTTTTCCACTGAAAATAGAGTTGAATGACTTCTTTTTTTTTAAGTTTCTGATAAAAGAGCATGGGCTTTGGAGTAAGACAGAACCCAGGTTCAAGTTGTACTAACTAGCTGTGTGACCTCAGCAAGTAATTTGACTTCCGTGAATTTTCTCATTTGTGTTGCAGTAATGATAATATCTATACCTAATAGGGCTGTTACAGTAATGAAATTAAGCAAAATAATGTATATATAGGCGTAGCATAGTAGCTGGCACATAATATGTTCATGACCTTGAGACAGGCAAAGATTTCTTAGATACAGCACTGAAAACATGATTCATAAATGAAAATATCCTGCAACTCAGTAAGACAAATAATCCAATTTTAAAATGCACGAAAGTAGTCTTTAGCTTTTCTAAGGTAATAAATAAAATTTTTAAAACGCACAAAAGATGTGAATTAACATTTCACCAGGAAATTATATGAATGGACAACAGACCAATGAAAAGATGCTCATCATCCTCAGTCATTAGAGAAGTGTGAATTAAAACCATAATGAGATTCCACTTCACACCTGCTAGAATGGCTACTATAAAAAAGACACAATAAAGAGCGCTGGCAAGGATGTGAAGAAAATGGAACCCTCATCCGTTGCTGGTGGGAGTGTAAAATGATACAGTCATTTTGGAAAACAGTTTGGCAGTATGGTGGGCAGCCTTCTAAAACGGCTCCTAGCATTCACACCCTTGTGTAATATTCCCCTCCAGTGTGGGCTGGACCTAGGTGATTGCTTCTAATGAAAAAAACATGGAAAAGTGATGGAAGGTGTCTCTTCTGTGTTTAGGTTATAAAAGACTGTGACTTCCATCTCTCTCTCTCTTTCTCTCTGTGGTGTTTCTTGCAAGCTTCTCAGATGAAGTAAGCTGGAGAGCAAGGAGCTGAAGGCAGTGTCTGGCCAACCTCCAGTGAAGAAACGAGGCCTTCAGTCTAACAGCCTTCAGGAACTGAATCCTGACAACAACCACATGAGTGAGCTTGGAAACTGATCCTTCCCTAGTCAAGTCTTTAGATGAGACCACAGTTCAGGTCAGTATCTTGTTAGCAGCCTTGGGAGAGACTGAAGCAGAGGACCCAGATATGCTGTGCCTGTATTCCTGAGATAATATGTTTTAAGTTGCTAGGGTTTGGGGTCATTTGTCACACAGCAATCAATAACTAATATAGGGGTAGTTTCTTATAAAATTAAACATAAATTTACCATACAAGCCAACAATTCTAGGTATCTGCTCAAAAGCAGTGATAACCTATGTCCACATAAAGACTTGTACATAAATGTTCATAGAAGCTAAAAAATGCAAACAATTGAATGTCCACCAAACAGTGAATTGATAATCAAAATGTACTATATAAATACAATGATATTCTTTTTTTTTTTTTTTTTGACAGAGTCTCACTGTCACCCAGGCTGGAGTGCAGCGGCATGATCATGGCTCACTAGGCAGCCTCGACCTCCTAGGCTCAAGCAATCCTCCCACCTCAGTCTCCTGAGTAGCTGGGACTATTTAAATTTTTTTTTTTTTTTTTTTTTTTTTGTAGAGACGGGGCCTCTATATGTTTCCAGCTACTCGGGCGGCTGAGGTGGGAGGATCACTTGAGCCCAGGAGTTTGAGACCAGCCTAGGCAACACAGTGAGATCCCATCTCAAAAATTTTAAGAAAAAAGAAATAAAAGAAACAAACTACTGATACATGCAGCAACATAGATGAACTTCAAAAACATTATGCTAAGTAAAAGAAGCCAGAAACAAAATATTACATATGGTATTATTCCATTTATATGAAATACCCAGAAACAGTAAATCTTTAGAGACAGAAATAATTAGTGGTTGCCTGAGGCTGCAGGCAAGAATGGGGATCAACTACAAACAAGTACAAAGGGTTTTTTAGGGTGATGGAAATGTTCTAAAACATGGTGGTAGTTGTACAGCTCTGTAAATTTACTAGAAAAGTCATTGAATTGAACATTTAAAGTATGTAAATTATAACCACATTAAAGCTGTTTTAAAAAGAAATCTATACAGATAAACAAAACAAAATAAAATTGATAGCTCTGATACTGACTCTGATACTGACTCTGTCTCAAAATGGGAATGTTTAGCTACCCATTCACCAATGATTACAAGAAGCATCATGGTAAGTATAGTTTCTGAGCTATGATTACTTCCATATGACAAATGCTCAGAAGACTATTTTTAACTCCTTTTGTTCCTGTACAACTGATTTCATTCCCTTTCAACAAAATTAACAAGAATTAGCTTGTTGAAAAACACAAGGGCACCCGCTACTTGACAGTAGGAAAGGAAGGTTAAAAAATCAAGTATAAAAGAGTTGGCCTGATTGGACATTTCCCATACTTAGTTATTTTATTATCGATTTCAGACAAATACCTAACTACTGATTTTTGCTCTTTCTAAATTGGGCTAAAATTCATAAGGATCCAGATACATAAGGATATATTACTTCTTTGTTATATTTTGTGCTTTTATGGACCATACTGTCTCACTTTCTGTTCTGTTAATAATTTAGTGTGTTTTACTAGGCTGTGGTTATTAATTAGTTAATGAGCACTATCTCTGGACTGCAAAGCAGCAGTGATATAAATGCACCTGGGGAAGTTCACTGAGGGTTCATTCAGGAATGTGAGTTCTCTCGTAAGACAAAATAAGAAAATAAAGAATTATCTTTTCTTTACAGTCTGAGAGAGAGAGAGAACTAGTACAACCTGAAGGACTAGAACCGGAAAATCAAGCTGATGGTAAGTAAGGAATAGGTCATATAAAAATGCAAGAGAGAGTTCTGGGCTCCAAGTAATGAAAAGAGTAATAATGGACCATTAAGTAGTGTTTGTTCAAATGTCGGTGGATGGGAGGTATGACCACAGCCTAGGCTGACTTAACAGAAGTTAACAAAGAGCCTTTCCTATTTTCTCAAGGGCTGCTATGAAATTACTTAAGGAGTAAGAAAGGATAACAAAGGCCCTGGCTGAGATTTTTGCTTCTGTAGACGCAGGTGCAGAAAAGGCTGGTTCTAACACATCTTGTCAATGTCTTTAATGCCACCAGACTGATGAATATAGTGAAATATCTATCGTGATCCCATTTTTACTTATTCAGTTGACATAATTAGCAAATCTATTAAGGGTAAGGTCACAAATTATTTTTAGTTATTAAACCATAGGTCTCCATATGTTACTGTTTAGACAGTATCACCCAGTGCAGAATGTAGTTTTCAAGACTGTCATTCCTGCAACCTCAAATCTAGATCCAAATGCAGTCAGTTAAAGCAGATTTCAACCAGGCAGCTAAACGAGAAAACATCTGGACCTACCAGTCAAAATGAGAAAGGTCACATGTTAAACCCAGATAATCTTGTTTATTGGTGTTTGAAGGTTATACACCAAGGGCTGGATTACCAGGGTGCTCCTTTAGGCCTGGCTCTGACATCTTCATTCACCTGCTGTGTGTGTGACGCTTTAAAATCCAAAGCTTTGAAAGTACTGTGTTATTAGTCACTTCCAAATGTAATTTTCCTAATTCTAAGCCTGAATACTATGTCAACCTATTGCTAGACTGCTGATTAGATCCTGGAAGAAACCGCAAGACACAACTGTCAGGGGCAGATGATGTCTATTCTTTTAAAAACTGTTTTCCACATTTCCATTCAGCATTTTTCTATGGATGAAGCACCTGTAATTTTCTCCATCAAAATTAAGAAAAGAAAAGGCCTCTGAATAAGCAAGGAATAAAATTAAAAGATTGACATAGATTTCAGGATGATGATGAAGAAAGGGAGATTGAATCTTTCATTATTTTTCATAATTAGTATTATTTTATATACAAACAACTGAACCAAAATTGTTTATGTTGGAAGCAATTCCACATGCCAGTGCATATGAAACTATTATGAAAACAGCAAAGTCAAGTTTCTTAAGACTTTACATGCTTTGGTCAGATCTTTTTAATCTTTTTTAGGTTGTGAACATCTTTGAGAACTGTACTCTTTGCCCAGAAAAAGGTACACATGCCCATAAACACGAAATTTCACATACTATTGATTGATTTCTCAAACCCTGAGATCTCAGGTTGAGAATCTCTGCCTCAGGCCTTTAAATAGGCTCAGGCTTAAAGACACCTCTGTGTTATATTTTGTAAACTTCATATAATAGTGGTTGGCATTTTTCAAATTTTTTGCTCAAGCATCCTCAAAAGAATTTTGAAAAATTATATATCTCTCTTATACATAGTGGACATTAAGTACATACTAAGTTGACATCTATAATTTTTCATCATGAGTTTAACTATTTTTAAACAAAAGAATACAGTTTGTGTATTGTAAATAATGATAGTTTAAACCATTACCACACCCTTTCAAATGTATCTACTTAGGAATATATACATATTTGTGATTTAATTTACTCCATCATGAATTTAAAAATACATAAGTAAGCTTTTCAAGAAAGTCAGGAAATTTCTCTTTGAACTTCTATTTCCATTTCACTACCCCCATGGAATTTTCTCCTAATGTAGTACTCTTGTATGCTTGAGTCATCTATTGTTCATCCCATTATATGTATCTGCAGCAAAAAAAAAAAAAAAAACCCAATAAAATATAGTTACTTTTGTTAACATGAAGTGCTATGTGTCAAAATGTGTTTTCTTCTGGATTGAATTAGCATTACAATTATTAACATACAATTGAGTAAAACAATATAGGTATATTATAATTTGATCAATAATTACCAAATACAAAAAGTAAAATTTATTGGGACTGTATCTCCTAATGAGAAGGATAGAGAGGAAATAAGTTATGAAAATTTGATAAAAGAAATTATCTAATTGATCCTTTGTTTGGCATCTTGGAAGTACTTACACCTTAGAGGTGGGTGAGAAATGTTCTTTTCTTTTATAAAGTGGAGAAGGAAGGCTGGGCATGGTGGCTTATGCCTGTAATCTCAGCAATTTGGGAGACCAAGGCGAGAAGATCACTTGAGTCTAGGAGTTCAAGACCAGCCTGGGCAACACAGTGAGACCCCTCTACAAAAAGTTAAAAAATTAGCAGGGCATGGTGGTGGGTGCCTGTAGACCTAGTTACTCAGGAGGTTGAGGTGGAAGTATTGCTTGAGCCCACGAGGTCAAGGCTACAGTGAACTGTGATTACACCACTGCACTCCAGCCTGGACAGCAGAGCAAGACCCTGTCTGAAAGAAAGAAAGAAAGAGAGGGAGAGAAAGAAAAAGAGGGAGAAAGGGAGGAAATAAAAAAAGAGAAAGAGAAAGAGAGAAGGAAAGAAAGAAAGAAAGAAAGAAAGGGAAAGAAAGACAGAAAGGGAAAGAAAGAAGGAAGGAAGGAAGGAAGAAAGGACGGAAGGAAGAAAGGAAGGAAGAAAAGGAAGGAAGGAAAGGAAGGAAGGAAGAAAGAAAGAAAGGAAGAAAGAAAAGAAAAAGCAAGCAAGCTCAATGGCAGCAGTCTTCTAGGCAGATCAGTTTTAGGAAGAAGGGCAGAGAATATACTGAAGTTGCGGACCTGGAAATTGATTCTCTTAAAATTATCCCATGCAATCCTTGGAAAGTTTTCCCAGCATTTCAAGAACACTACTAAAATAAAAGACCCCAATGCCAAAATGTACTCACATGCTGTTCTTCACTTTAGTTAATGAACCAATAATTATTTAGTGAGCACTTGTGAACACTGCAGGGGATAAATGGATGAATGGATGGTTGGATGGAAAGGCAGAAAGAAAAATGGATAAACACTGAGCATTTACTATATTCCCAGAACTTTGGCACAAAAGAACACAACTATAAAAGACTGTTCTTGCCATGTCTTTGGGACACAATCAAGTACAATAACACCCTGCCACAATACAATGTGTACAAATTTGGATGTAAAAGGATTGCTGATTGCCTCCAGTTGTCTACCCTTGCCCACTTCTCAGACAAGAGCAAGCTAAAGTTCTTATGGGAATGGATAGGAAGTAATTGCTTCAAGATCATTTGGGTCTTTTAAGGTTTACAATTGTGTCCAGTTTAAACTTCACTGTCATTGCTTTGTGCTTTTTGTAACAGTATATTAAAAACAAAACAAAACACAAAACCACCTACTATATTTCATTTACTTGCAATAATATGACCCCCATATTTTACAAGATAAAATTTCGGGATCCCATCTACTATGTTGTGGAGAGAGCTCATGTACTCTTCTTGTCTCCGACACTATTCTCTTTCATGCAAACTACAACACAAAAACAAAAACAAAACAGAACACCCAAAACCCAAAATCCCTTTGGGCTGACAAATTACAAAAAATTTGATAGTTCTGATGAGCCAGGACAGGATTTTGTTCAGTCTTCAGTCCAGTGGTGTTCTGGTAATTGCTTAACAACCAGCTCAGGATCGGGGAAGGGCTTATTTGTGGCATTTGCTGATTTCAGTGGTATAAATACTCCACCATGGCCAATTTCAAGCTACCATCATGGAGTCAGCCAGCATACAAAATTGTTGAAAATTTAACAAGCAGCTATGAGCTGATTCTGGCACACCACTGGGACTCCTCATTTATCCCTCAGCAGGGTACCTTCCTCTAGCTATCAAATGGCACCAAGGTACACAATGGCTCGGGTCACCGTGCCTGGTGCCAAAGTTTATTTGAGAAGCAGAACTCACTTGGCAAGAAAAGCTGCTATGAAAGTTAGCAGGCACATAAGGGTGTTTCATGCGTTCTCTTAATCCAGCTGGAAGGAGGCACCAACACTACTGCTTAACAGACAAAGAATGCAAAAAGAGGCAGGGCGAAGTGGCTCACGCCTGTAATCCCAGAACTTTGGGAGGCCGAGGTGGGCAAATCACGAGGTCAGGAGATCAAGACCATCTTGGCTAACACGGTGAAACCCCGTGTCTACTAAAAATACAAAAATAAAATTAGCCGGGTGTGGTGGCGGGCGCCTGTAGTCCCAGCTACTTTAGAGGCTGAGGTGGAAGAATGGCGTGAACCCGGGAGGTGGAGCTTGCAGGGAGCCCAGTTCGCACCACTGCACTCCAGCCTGGGCGACAGGGCAAGACTCCATCTCAAAAAATAAATAAATAAATAAATAAATAAATAAATAAAAAGAATGCAAAAAGAAGGGAGAAAACTCTCCAGAGGATCCACTAAGGACAGTGGGCAGCCCCATTTTTCTGTTAACCATTGCAACTGTCTGTGGCTCTTTGGCAGATGTCAAATATCTTCCTACACATTCCTTTTAGTTTGCTGTGCTACGCAGCTTAGTTATGAAAAAAAAAAAAAAGAAGAAAAGAAAATCCAGAGATGTTTTCTGTTAAAAAGTTTCAAGGGCCAGGCACAGTGGCTCACACCTGTAATCCCAGCACTTTGGGAAGCCAAGGCAGGAGGATTGATTGAGTCCAAAAGTTTGAGACTAGCCTGGGCAACATAGCGAGACCCCGTATCTACAGAAAAAAAAAAATTAGCCATGCATGGTGGCATGCAACTGTAGTCACAGCTACTCTGGAGTCTCGGGTGGGAGGATCACTTGAGCCTGGGAGGTTGGGGCTGCAGTGAGCCGAGATCGTGCCACTGCACTCCAGCCTGGGTGACAGCGTGATTAAAAAAAAAAAAAGATTCAGGGAGAGATGTCTTGGTTTTATCATCAACAGAACTTACCCGTTTGACACAGTACAAGCTGTAAAGCTCTGCCCATGGTAAGCACTTACAGAAATCCCCTGTGAGTGAACTTCTGCAGCACAGCACTGCTGATTTTGTAAGATAACCCCTGCATCCCATGAGTGACAGGTCTTGATCTGGGCTTGAGAGATGTAATATTTTGATAAAAAACGGCACTTCCTTTTGAAGCATATATTTGCGTGTACTAAGCAGTACCGCGGGAGCCTCAGCGAGTGCCTAAGCGAGGCTGACGCGGTCTCTCCCAGCTCGCTCCAGCCACCCTTCTTCACACATCTAAATGTGGCGGTAATTAGCATCCATAAACCACACATGTGGCTTAATTTTTTTTCCCCTTTCAGAAGCATCAAAGTAGTTTGTACTTCTTCTAAGCACCAAAGAGTTGTACACCTCAAAAGGGACCGAGACTATGCCATGGGAAGCTACTGAAGATGGGAGTTATTTCTCCTAAGGGGAAGAAGAATTATTTTTTTCAGCAAGCTTTCTAATTAAAGTTCTTATCTTTGATCTAAGCATCTACACTGCACAAGATGTCACAATGGAGAAAATATAAGGCCTTTCAAAAGTGATCAAATTCAACTTTTCTCTTGGAATCAGGCAAGACCCATAGCTTGTACAGAATGGAAGTAATTAAATACATACACCGATTGATCACCACTGCACAATTAATTAAAAAAGAAATCTATTTCATGATGGGTATTGGGTCTATTTGATATTTAGTTACAGAGCCAGGAGATGAAGGGTGTACTGTGTTGAATAGTGTCCCTCCTAAATTCATGTCCTCCTGGAACCTCAGAATGTGACTTTATTTGGAAATATCGTCATAGTAGATGTAATTAGTTAAGATGAGGTCACACTGGATTAGGGTAGGCCCTAAATCCAATGACTAGTCTCCCTAGAGGAGGACAGAAACAGGAGATGCCCACAGAGATGAAGCCCACGTGACAATGGAGGCAGAGATTAGAGTTATGCTGCCATGACCAAGGAACACCAGGCATTGCTGGAAGTCACCAGAAGCCAGAAAGAGGCAAAAAAGAACTCTTCCCTAGGCCCTTCCCATGGTCCTGCTGACATCTTAATTTTGAACTTCTACCCTCCAGAATAGTAAAAAATTTCTGTTGCTTTGTGACAAACTGGTGTTTTGTCACCCAGTTTGTGGTAATTTATTATGGAAGCCCTGGAAAACTAAGACAGAGGGTAAATGTGCAACTCAGGCAGGGTAAACAGCTAGTGTTGATGGGTATCGAGGTATCGTGTGTACTTTTTACCCCTACAGCAGCTCCAGAACAAATGGCTTGTGTAAATAGAGATAGTGGATGATGGGGGCTGCTGAAAAATAGGGGGCCAGTAGAGTGTTAAATACAGGGGGTCAGTAGCCCAACTTTTATTCCTCAGCTATTCAAAGAGGAAAAAATACTATCGGCAAATGCATCATACCCTCATAACATATACATGCTCATGACAGAACCTTTCCTTCTATTTTCTAAGTGGGAAATGGCAAAGACGGGAATCCAATTTCAGAGGAAGAAGGACTGAAACAAAAAGTCGCAAGAGTTCTATTTCAGTCGTTCAGGCCTTAAGGCCATGTCTTTTCCACTAATTTAAGCACCTAATTACATTCTCTCTGAAATTGTTTGTGCATGACAATTGCCTTGCTGGGATGACATTCCACCATCTCGAGTCTTATCTCTACCTAGTTAATATCCCTCAGTACACTAGCATGAAACACATCTTCCCTCTAGCCTTGATACTCAGAGGTTTTTATTTTTTAGTTGCTCTGTGATCATAGGCCAAGATATAAGCAACAATAATATTCTTTCTCATGATATTTTATAAAATTGTTTTAACTCTTGCTTTTGACATCACAGTATCTTGCTGACATTTTAGATCCAAGTAGAAGGTCCCAAATCTTTTGTATTCAGTAAAGTGGCTGTGATATTCCCAGCACTCATTGGATGCTAAACAAAAATAAAGACTTGGGGATCTCTGGGTTATTTCCTATGGCTCAAGATCAGTCTGAAGATAGTTACAGTTGGTCACTAAGAGGAAGAGAAATAATAATTGTTCATAAGAGTGAATGAGCAGGCTAGAAAAAGAACTCTGAATTTCTTCATTTCTTCTGCTTTCCAAACTGGTTGGATTATATCACTTCATAGGTAAGTATTCTTAGAAAGATGTAAATATAGGTTAGGGCTTCTTTTTTCAAAAAGTTTATGATATAATGGGGTGAAACCTTGTCATGCACAAACAATTTCGAACAGAATATAATTACGTGTTTAAATAAGTACTAACTAAACATACTCTTAAAAATTCAGCTCTGAGACCACACTGTGGAAGGTGGGATAGTATAAAAAGGCCTCCTGGAGGAAATAAACTTGAGTTGATGTAAATATTTGCCAGTGCTTGTTAGATTTAAATTTTCAGGAATAAAGGAGAAAACCAACTAAATGGTAACACAACATTTAGTCTACATATGGTTTTATTTATGTCTAATTAATTTATGTAAATAGAGCTATATCAACTATACATGCATGTGATAAAAAGCTGTTAGTGATATATATTTTTCTGATTTTTAAAATAATAGTATTAGAATCCTCACTGATGCCCTTTTGAAATGGTTACACAAACACTGTTCCTTTCAAGTGCCAAATCTTTTCTTAACTCATCATACAATAAATGTATACACTAGGTTAGGAGTAAGGGAATTATGGCCTGCAGGTCAAATCCAACCCACTGCCTATTTTTGTAAATAAAGTTTTATTGGTACAAAGCCACTCACATTCATTTATGTATCTTCTACAGTTGTCTTACCTTGCAATGGCAGAGTTGAGAAGATGCAACAGAGATTGTATAGCCCACAAAGCCTAAGATATTTACTATCTGGTCCTTTACAGAAAAAGTTTGCCAATACCTGCACTAGGCTCCTGGGAATATACTGTAAAAAATTACCACAATGTCTGTGGGATCACAAGCAAGCGTATTTATGTTCAAAGTTAATACTTTTGTTTGTTTTGTTTTTGTTTTTTTGAGACAGAGTCTCACTCCGTCGCCCAGGCTTGAGCACGATCTCAGCTCATTGCTGGAACCTCTGCCTCCCAGGCTCAGAAGATTCTCCCACCTCAGCCTCCCGAGTAGCTGGGATTACAGGCATGCGCCACCACGCCCAGCTAATTTTTGTATTTTTAGTAGAGACGGGGTTTCACCATGTTGGCCAGGCTGGCCTTGAACTCCTAACCTCAGGCGATCTGCCTGCCTGGGCCTCCCAAAGTGCTGGGATTACAGGCCTGAGCCACCATGCCTGGCCAATATTAATAGTTTTTTAAAGTTTTTTCCAAGTATTTTTGTTTTGTTTTCCAAACTTACTCTAGTTGGGTAAAGCCTTTTCCCCTAGAAATTAGTCTGTCTTTCCGCAAGAGAAAAAATAAAGTGAGTGTTTCCATCAGGGTGTGAAATTTTCTACAAAACAATTTTCTAAGAACTGGAAGCTTATAAAGATGCACACGATATTTCATTTTTTAACATATACATTAAACATGATTGCAATTATTCTGAATTTTAAACACTCCAGACAAGTCTTTGGTTCCTAAAATCTTTCAAATGACATTAAAAAATAAATGCTGCCATTAAACTTAAACAGAATAGAATTCTCTAACATTTTAAAATAATTATTACATTGTAGCTAAATTCCCCTAATTACCTTTAAAAGTATAATTCTAATTCTAGTCTTCTTTTTTTATAGATGGAGTCTTGCTATATTGCCCAGGCTGGAGTGCACTGGCTATTCATAGGTGTAATCATGATGCACAACAGCTTCAAACGCCTGGGCTCAAGTGATCCTCCTGCCTCAGCCTCTTGAGTAGCTGGGACTACAGTCTTGTGTCACAGTACCGGGCCTAACTCTAGTCTTAAATGTTTTCCTGTGCTGCATATGGCAGTGGTACCTTATTATGCAGTAGGTATAACTTCTATCGGGCAATGCTGTTTTTACATTCTATTACTTTTATAATTTAGCATGTATAATTTATACATACTGATCATATTATATATTTTATAAAAGCAGGGTCCTGGTAACCACCTTTTCCAAACATATATGACCCAGATTAAGTGCCAGTGTTAATAGTACAGTAGAGTAGTCCCCCCTTATTCACAGAGGATACTTTCCAAGACCTCCAGCGGATGTCTGAAATTGCAGATGGTACCAAACCCTATATACAGTCACATGCTCCTTAATGATGGGATGCATTCTAAGCAGTGGATCATCAGGTGATTTCATCATTATGCAAACATTATAGAGCACACTGTATTTATACAAACCTAGACAGTATGGCCTACTACAAACCTCGGGTATATGGTACAGCCTATTGCTCTTAGACTGTACAGCATGTTATGGGTACAGCATGTTACTGTACTGAATACTGTAGGCAACTGTAACACAATGGTAAGTATTTGTATATCTAAACTTAGAAAAGATACAGTAAAAATAGGTCTTAACTTATGAGACCACCACTGTTTTTGCAGTTCATCATTGACCCAAACATTATGTGGTATATGACTGAATACTACGTTTTTTCCTATACATACATACCTATGATAAAGTTTTAATTTATAAATCTGGCATAGTAAGAAATTAGTAACAATAACAATAAAATAGAACAATTACAACACTATACTATAATAAAAGGTACATAATTGTTGACTCTCTCTCAAAATATTTTATTGTACTGAACTCACCTATTTTGGGATCATGGTTGACCATGGAACTGAAACTGCAGAAAGTGAAACCGCAGAGAAGGGGGACTACTATAATCTGTTTGCAGATTAATCACAAAATAATGGAATGATCTTTCAACGTTAAAATTAGCCTACTCAGGCCAGGAGTGGTGTAATCCTAGCACTTCGGGAGGCTGAGGTGGGCAGATCACTTGAGGTCAGGAGTTTGAGACCAGTCTGGCCATCTAGTAGAGATGGTAAAACCCCGTCTCTCCTAAAAATATAAAAATTAGCCAGGCATGATGGCACATGCCTGTAGTCCCAGCTACTCAGGAGGCTGAGGCACGAGAATCACTTGAAATTAGGAGGCGGAGTTTGCAGTGAGCTGAGCTCGCACCACCGCACTCCAGCCTGGGCAACAGAGCAACAACAAAAACAAAACAACAACAAAATTAGCGTATTCATTTCTTTCTGAATGAAGCTTAAAGTAAATAACTGTTTCTTTTCTCTTTCCCAAATTATTTAGAGTGATTGATCATATCTTCTCTATCAAGAACTGCATGACACTCCTAGACCCCTAGCAACTGAGAAAAATAATTTATTTACACAAACATCCTATTAACCCATTGACATGTAGTTGGAGGTAAGGCGATACTATTGTATGGGTTCCTAACAAGGTGCTTCACCACTTGGGTTTTTACAATATTTATTTTAAATTCCTATTGTTGAATGGAAATTATTGGTTTCTTGTTTATGTTTGAGTATTTAATCTGTTTTTTTTACCACAAACTATCTGAAAATATAAAACTCATAGGCTACCCCTGAACCCAAAGTAAATTTATAACATAAATTATAAATTCCCAAACCAACAGTGGCATAGGGATCACTATTTCAACTACAAATTTAATGGTATTACCTACCAGAACTCAGAAACTGTAACTCAGAAAAAAAACAAGCCACAGGCACAGCTATCATTTGCCTCATTCTGAGTGAGACTCCATGGATGTCACCTTCAAGAAGTTGCACGAAGCTGATACAACATCATATGCCTTTCCTCAGCACAAATGACCACATCCTGTGCCAGGCAGCATTTTTCTGTCTCTGTGGTTAAAAACTGGTACAAATTAATGTATAGCTCAGTACAGCTGGAATGTTAGTTGAAGCTGTGATTTGAATCTCAGAAGTTTTAGACAAATAACTCAATTTCTTGGTCTCTTAAGAAATTTAAGACAAAAGAAAAAGACTCTGAGAAATGATTTTCTTTTCTTGAAAAGGAGTCTCACTCTATTGTCCAGGCTGGAGTGCAGTGGTGCAATCTTGGCTCACTGCAACCTCTGCCTCCTGGGCTCAAGTGATCCTCCCACCTCAGCCTCCCAAGTAGCTGGGACTACAGGCACACACAAAGCTAATTAAAAAAAAATTTTTTTTTTGTAGAGATGGGGTTTTACCATGTTGCCCAGGCTGGTCTCGAACTCCTGACCTCCAGAAAAATCCGCCCACCTTGGCCTCTCAAAGTATTGGGATTACAGGCGTGAGCCAAGCCACTGCACCCAGCCTATTTTCTTTTCTTCCTTTAAGAAACTCATGTATACACACATATAACTGACCTAGGGCTTTCATTTAGTCACTTACTCAACAAATATTTATTGCACACCTACCACAGTAGGGCCAGGTACTGTTCTAGGTACTGTAAATATCTAGCAAGGAAAAAAATAGCCCAAGAAGGCTGGAAGGAGAGTAGACACTAAACAAAACTCCAAAGTTATCTGTGTTCAGTGTCATGCGATGAATTAAAACAGGGCTGTGTTAAAATAGTGACTGAATTGTCAGGAAAAGCTTTTCTGAAGAAATGACATTTAAGATGAGATCTGAGTAACAGAGTAACATTCATAAAGCAAAAGTGATTAGATTTATCAACATAAATATCACTATAAAATGTGAGCAATATTAATGTGAATATAATGCTCAAAACTCACAAAAAAGCCTGGAAGTAAGTACTCTGTAATGCTATTAGAGACTATCTTTGGGTGGTAGGATAGAGGTGGGGTTTTCTTTTTTCTTTCTATTTCAATGAACTTTCCAAACTGTGGTATAATACAAAAACATATTTGGTCTTTGTTCCTGCTCCCAGGATCAAGCACAGAACTTCTAAGCCCTTGGAATTTCCTAAGTGATAGGAGTATTGTTTTGCTTTGTTTTGTTTTGTTTTGTTTTTCTCACTAGATCCTCCTGCCTCAGCTTCTAAGTAGCAGGGGCAGGAGTGTCTTTTGTATTCATAACGAGCCCCTTTCAATAGCACCTTAGATTATGCTAACGAGGTAGCTGAGGCTGGGGCCACTAGACAGCCTCAGGATGGAGCTGTTCACCAGAAGGACCTGGTAATTAGAGCGTTGGACCTTTCAGCCCCACCCAGTGACCTCAGGGAAGAAGAGAGAGGAAAGGGAGCTGGAGATTGAGTCCTATAAACGTTCTTGAACAACAAGATTCAGAGAGCTTCAGGAGCTGGGGGTGTGGCATGCCCAGAGAAAGTATGGAAGCTCCACGTCACCCCTTCCTTGCTCTATGCCTCCCTTCCATTTGGCTGTTCCTGAGTTGTATCTTTTATAATAAACTGGTAATGATAAGTAAAGAAACTTTTTGAGCTCTGTGGGTCATTCCAGAAAATTACTAAACCTGAGGAAGGATGTGGGAACACTCAAATTTGCCCAAGTTGGAAGAAGTGTGGGTCACCTGAGGGCCTGGTACTTGAGACTGGTGTCTGAAGTAGGGGCGGTCTGTGGGACTGAGCCCTTAACCTGTGTGGTCTGTACTAATTCTCAGAGTTAGTATCAGAATTGAATTGAATTGTTGGACACCCAACAACGGAATGGCCTAGAGATTTGGTTGTGGATGGAAAACACCCCAGAATTGGAGTGGGATTTGCTAGATCAGCCCAGGCTCACAGAAACATATGGTTTGGAAGGATAAAATAAAAGGGTAGGGGATGAGGAAATTTTGATTCCTGAGTGGCCATATAGTCACCTAAGGAGCAGCAAAGGGGCTGTGATCAGTTACTAAAGGTAAAAGTTACCAGTGAAATTTAAAGATGAACCCAACTCCTGGGGAGCTGGTTCACTGAATGCTTAAGGAAATGCAAACTAATAAGAAAAAAGTGAAATACACAATCCAATGGTTATTGTTATCTGCAACAGCTAAAATGAAAGTTAAAAAGAGTGTTGGGTTGGACCTTGATGCTGAACCACGCTCAGATTCTGGTGGGCCTGAACTTCGGATGCTAGACCCAAAGCTGCCTCTAATGGAAAAAATATGTGGGAAAAACAGAAAATACCTCTAAGATCTCTGGTCACCAAAAAGAGAGTCCAGGTAGGGGAGGGCAAAACCAAGAAACTACTGAAACCAGGGGGTATAGTGTGAAAGAGTTACTTTATTTTGTAGATCAGTACCATCAGCTTCCTAAAGAATTTTGACTAAAATGAATTGTAAGAATAAATAATTTAGGGGCAGTATCTTGGCTTTTAAATGCTTCAGAGTGGAAGAGCATGTTTGGGTTTATATAGGATCCACAGCTCACTATGGAACAATCACAGATGGCTACACATGATCCAGACACAGAGCAGGTCATTCCTAAGGGAACAGCTGACCTGGTGGACCAGATAAGAGCCATTATAAGGTCTATTTACCCTGAGAAAGGGAACTATCTGACTTCCCCTTTCAATGCCAACTGGAATACCCCAGATGAAGCAGCTGATATGCTTCATATGCAAGCCATGTGGAACTGGCTTTGTGATAATCAAGATTCACACATTGAATATGCCCATTACCCAGGTGATATGGTTTGGCTGTGTCCCCACCCAAATCTCATCTTGAATTGTAAGCCCCATAATCCCATGTCATAGGAGGGACCCAGTGGGAGGTAAATGAATCATGGAGGTGGTTTCCCCCATGCTGTTCTCGTGACAGTGAGTGAGTTCTCACAAGATCTGATGGTTTAATGAGTATCCGATATTTCCCCTCTGGCACTCACTCTCTCTTCTGCCACCCTGTGAAGAGGTACTTTCTGCCATGATTGTAAGTTTCCTGAGGCCTCCCCAGCCATGCAGAACTGTGAGTCAATTAAACTTCTTTTCTTCTTTATAAATTACCCAGTCTTGGGTATTTCTTTCTTTTTTTTTTTTTTTTTTGAGATGGAGTCTTGCTCTGTTGCCCAGCCTGGAGTGCAGTGGCGCGATCTTGGCTCACTGCAAGCTCCGCCTCCTGGATTCACACCATTCTCCTGCCTCAGCCTCCTGAGTAGCTGGAACTACAGGTGCCCACCACCACGCCCAGCTAATTTTTTGTATTTTTAGTAGAGACAGGGTTTCACCATGTTAGCCAAGATGGTCTCGATCTCCTGACCTCATGATCTGCCTGCCTCAGCCTCCCAAAGTGCTGGGATTATAGGCATGAGCCACCGTGCCCAGCTGGGTATTTCTTCATAGCAGTGTGAGAGTGGACTAATTCAGTATATTGGCACCACAGAGAGTGGGGTGCTGCTATAAAGATACCCAAAAATGTGGAAGCAACTTTGGAACTGGGTAAAAGACAGAGGTTGGAACAGTTTGGAGGGCTCAGAAGAAGACAGAAAAATGTGGGAAAGTTTGGAACTTCCTAGAGACTTGGAGGGTTCAGAAGACAGGAAGATGTGGGAAAGCTTGGAACTTCCTAGAGACTTGTTGAATGGTTTCGACCAAAATGCTGACAGTGATATGGACAATGAAGTCCAGGCTGAGGTGGTCTCAGATGGAGATGAGGAACTGCTTGGGAACTGGAGCAAAGGTAACTTTTGCTATGCTTCAGCAAAGAGACTGGCAGTATTTTGCCCCTGCCCTAGAGATCTATGGAACTTTGAACTTGAGAGAGATGATTTAAGGTATCTGGTGGAAGAAATTTCTAAGCAGCAAAGCGTTCAAGAGGAAGCAGGGCATAAAAGTTTGGAAAATTTGCAGCCTGACAATGTGATAGAAAAGAAAAACCCATTTTGAGGAGAAATTCAAACCAGCTGCATAAATTTGCATAAGTAATGAGGTGCCTAATGTTAATTACAAAGACAATGGGGAAAATGGCTCCAAGGCATATCAGAGACCTTCACAGCGGCCCCTCCCATCACAGGCCCAAAGGTCTAGGAGGCAAAAATGGTTTCCTGGGCTGGGTCCAGGGTCACCCTGTTCTGTGCAGGCTCAGGACATGGTGCTCTGTGTCCCAGCTGCTCCAGCTGCATCTAAAAGGGGCAAAGGTACAGCTCAGGCTGTTGCTTCAGAGAGTACAAGCCCCAAGCCTTGGCAGCTTCCATGTGATGTTGAGCCTATGGGTGCATAGAAGTCAAGAATTGAGGTTTGGGAACCTCTGCTTAGATTTCAGAGGATGTATGAAAACATCGGATGTCCAGACAGAAGTTCGCTACAGGGGTGGAGCCCTCATGGAGAACCTCTGCTAGGGCAGTGCAGAAGGGATATGTAGGGTAAAACCCCCCATGCAGAGTCCCCACTGGAACACCGTGTAGTGGAGCTGTTAGAAGAGGGCCACCATCCTCCAGACCCCAGAAGGGTAGATCCATTGACAGCTTGTGTCGTGCACCTGGAAAAGCTGCAAGACACTCAACGCCAGCCCGTGAAAGCAGCTGGGAAGGGGACTGTACCCTGCAAAGCCACAGGGGCGGAGCTGCCCAAAGCCATGGGAGCCCACCTCTTGCATCAGCGTGACGTGGATGTGAGACATGGAGTCAAAGGAGATCATTTTGGAACTTTAAGGTTTAATGACTGCCCTATTGGATTCCGGACTTGCATGGGGCTTGTAGTCCCTTTGTTTTGGCCAATATCTCCCATTTGGAATGGGTATATTTACCCAGTGCCTGTACCTCCATTGTATCTGGGAAGTAACTAACTTGCTTTTGATTTTACAGACTTATAGGCAGAAGGGGCTTGCCTTGTCTCAGATGAGACTTTGGACTTGGACTTTTGGGTTGATGTTGGAATGAGTTAAGACTTTGGGGGACTGTTAGGGAGGCATGATTGTGTTTTGAAATATGAGGACATGCGATTTGAATGGGGGCCAGGGCAGAATGATATGGTTTAGCTGCGTCCCTACCCAAATCTCATCTTGAATTGTAACCCCCATTATCCCCACGTGTTGTGAGAAGGACCCGGTGGGATTGAATAATGGGGTAATTGAATTATGGAGGTGGTTTCCCCCATGTTGGTCTTGTGATAGTGAGTGAGTTCTCATAAGATCTGATGGCTTTTTTTTTTTTTTCCTTTTGAGACGGAGTCTCGCTTTGTCACCCAGGCTGGAGTGCAGTGGCGTGATCTTGGCTCACTGCAAGCTCTGCCTCCCAGGTTCACGCAATTCTCCTGCCTCAGCCTCCCAAGTAGCTGGGACTACAGGTGCCCACCACCACACCTGGCTAATTTTTTGTATTTTCAGTAGAGACAGGTTTTCACCATGTTAGCCAGGATGATCTCGATCTCCTGACCTCGTGATCCTCCCGCCTCGGCCTCCCAAAGAGCTGGGATTACGGGTGTGAGCCACCGCACCTGGCCAAGATCTGATGGTTTCATAAGTGTCTGGCATTTCCCTGCTGGCACTCGTTCTCTCCTGCCACCCTGTGAAAAGCTGCCTTCTGCCATGATTGTAAGTTTTCTGAGGCTTCCCCATCCATTTGGAAGTGTGAGTCAATTAAACCTCTTTTCTTTATAAATTGCCCAATCTTGGGTATTTCTTCATAGCAGCATGAGAACAGACTAATACACCAGGTCATGGTAAATGCCACGGTTAAGTGGTGTCTTAAGAATGTACATGTCAGATATGATATGGTAAAGTCAGTGTGGACACAAAGAAAATTAGAACAAGGCCCAGAAAGAAGTTTATCACATTCACAGGTCCCAGAGAGGTGGTTATTATGTGCTATGCAAGATCACAGGAGAAAGCACCAGTGTTGGTCAGGAGGCAGAAAAGAGGAATGAGGAAAAACCTTAGGTCAGAGCCTTAATTGGGGTTTCTGTGGAAAAGGCAAGGCAGGGCTGGGTAAACAGTTTAGGATTGGCTAGTTTTAATAATTCTGGTGGGCTCTAAAGCATAGAGATGGTCTCTGGTTGACTGGTATCTGGCCCTGGGATGACTTAGGGTAGGTGAAATATAGGCTTGGTGTGTGAGAATTGGGTAATGGCTTATGGCAAAAACCTGTGAGTACTTTCCAGCAATGACAACAATTGGATTTTGGACCAGAGAATTTCCATTTGAGGGGAAATTATTAGCCTGCTATTGAATATTAATTGAAATTGCTCTTATGATTGAAGGACAAAAAAATAATTTTAAAACCTAAAATATCAACGAAGTCTTGGGTGATGTCAGAGAAGTGTTCTAATGGGGAGAGCATTGCCCAGAAGAGTTCTATAATAACATAGAAATAGTTTATAGAGAATCATGGTACCTTAGGAATGAAAGGATGATATACTCAGGGGCAGGGATCCTCTTTTCCCCTACAATTGACTTTGGAACTATGTGAGGAGCTGCTGGATTCTATCATCACTTAGACAGTGCCCTATAAAGTAGTCTTTGACCAACAAAGAGATGCTTGATTTGTGGACGGTAGTTTTTTTGTTTGTTGAGACAGGGTCTCATTCTATCATCCAGCCTAGAGAGCAGTGACACGATCAGGGTTCACTACAGCCTCAACCTCCCAGGCTCAAACGATCCTACCACCTCAGTCCCCCAAGTAGCTGGGACCACAGGCATATGCCACCATGCCTAGCTAATTTTTAAATGTTTTGTAGAGACGAGGTCTCACTATATTGCCCAGGTTGGTCTTGAACTCCTGAGCTCAAGCAATCCTCCTGCCTTGGCCTCCCAAAGTGTTAGGATTACAGGCATAAGCCACCATGCCTGGCTGTGGATGGTAGTTTTAAGGTAAATGGACAACATCCTGTTTGGAACACCACAACTGTAATTAAAGAAGGTAAAAACAAATCAGCTTGGTGAGCTGAATAATCTGCTGTTTTCCTAGAAGTGATGGAAGAACTGAACAGTGATACATGCCCATATGTTTCAGTTTCTGATTCATGGGCAATGGCCAACAGCCTGGCCATGTGGTAAGGCAAGAGTGCAATGGAAACTTGGCATATTAAAGGGACTCTCATATGGGACAAAGCCCTGTGGAAATCACTATGGGAATTTGAGGGGTGCATTAAAGTAGGACATGTCAATGCTCGGTAAAAGACCCCCCTTCCAGATTTGGAAGCTGATCAGAACCAATTAGTAGGTATCACAGTGTGCGTGTTTGAGGTGAGCACGTGGGTCCATAAAATGAGTAGACAGGATGGGGGATGCTACAGCCACTGCAGAAGATGGGCTGAATTTGGACATATTTCCCTTGGACCTCCTGAGGCACAAAATAGCAACAAACTATTATGTCTGCCAATAAGAGAGACAGTTACTATAGGTGACTATGGGGAAGATTCCCCAGGGGGAAGACCCCACACATAGTTGGCAAGTGGATTGCATTGAAGAGCCAATGCTGGTAGTCCCAAGGGCTACAAATCATTTTTGTTTTTGTTCTTTTTTTGAGATGGAGTCTTACTGTGTCACCCAGGCTGGAGTGCAGTGGTGCAATCTTGGCTCACTGCAACTTCTGCCTCCCGAGTCCAAGCAATTCTCCTGCCTCAGCCTCCCCAGTAGCTGGGATTACACGTGAGTACCGCCACACCTGGCTAATTTTTGTATTTTTAGTAGAGATGGGGTTTAACCAGTTGGTCAGGCTGGTCTCGAACTCCCAACCTCAAATGATCTACCTGCCTCAGCCTCTCAAAGTGCTGGGATTACAGGTGTGAGTCACCACGGCCGGCCTGTTGTTGTTCTTTTGAGACAGGATCTCACTGTGTTGCCCAGGCTGGAGTGCAGTAGCAGGATCACAGCTCACTGCAGCCTCAACCTCCCAGGCTCAAGTGATCCTCCAGCCTTAGCCTCCTGAGTAGCTGGGACTACAGGCACACACCACCACACCTGGCTAATTTATTTGTATTATTATAATTTTTTTTTATAGAGATGAGGCCTCACCATGTTGCCCAGGCTGGGCCCAAATTCCTGGGCTCAAGAGATCCTCCTGCTTCAGCCTCTCAAAGTGCTGGGATTACAGGTGTGAGCCACTGCACCCAACCTATAAATTGTTTTTGACGGGGATAAACACAGACTCTGGAAGGGGCTTTGCTTACCTGGTTGTATACACAAATGGTCAGTACCACGAAAGAACCAGAACAGAAGATATTGCACCAATTTGAATGGCTGAGCCACATTTCTTTAGACTAAGGAGCACTCTACTTACAGCCCATAATGTCAAACAATGGGCAAAGAGCTATCCTCCTCAGAGTAGTAGTTTGATAGATATCTAAAATAGGGTAAGGTATAGGTGTGAAGGGTTGGTTTATGCATTTGCACAAGTGTGAGGTCACATTGAAATGAGCTAAGGGAGTGTTCCCACTAGGTAGATTCCTCTGTTTTTCTGGTGGATTAGGGAAGAGGAGGTGGGGGAGGATGCTGATATGACTATACAATTCTTGCCAAAGAGGAGGATATTGGTGTGATGACTATTCTTTTTTTCCTTCCCTACATTGTCACATCAGCTTTCTCTTTCCTACCAGATGCAGTGGTTGCAATACCAGCACTGTAATTACAAGTGCCAGAAACAGAGATGATTTCTAAAGCAAGAAAGTGTAACCGTAGCTTTAAACCTTTATGTCAGAACTCCTAAGGGCCTGATGAGGCAGGCTGTGCCTTTACCCCATCTGGCAAAATTGGGGTTAACATTGAATGCAGATGTATTGCCTAGTGGTAGAAATAGCCCACTAGTTCCGTACCTGTGTAACCCTATCCTGTATGTATGGGAGTTGACTGAGGGAGAGGTGCTTGCTAGACTAGTATTGCTGCCTACGATCTAGACCAGTGCAGTGGTCAAACCTAATATTCCTCCCAAAGGTGGGAAAGTTTGGGCATAAACAGTAAGAAGGAGGAAGAGTAGCTGAGAGTAAAGGAATGAATAAATGAGTTATGTAACAAGTCCTGTGAGTCATCCTAGCAAATTATTAAACATGTGGAGGGGAGTCCCCGATTTTGTAGCTAAGTCAGACAAAAGTGCAGGTAACCTGGGGACCTGGTACTTGAGACTGTTGTCTAAAGTAGGGAGAGTACTGTGCAGTACTGTGAGACTGAGCCTGTAACCTGTGCGGTCTACGCAAACATCAGGAATTACAATCAGAATTGAATTGAAGTGGGCTGGGTATGGTGGTTCATGCCTGTAATCCCAGGACTTTGGAAGGCTGAGTTTGGCAATCACTTGAGGTCAGGAGTTCCTGGCCAGCCTGGCCAACATGGTAAAACTCCGTCTCTATTAAAAAAAATACAAAAATTAGCCGGGCATGGTGGTGGGCGCCTGTAATCTCGGCTATTTGGGAGACTGAGGCAGGAGAATCACTAAAACATGGGAGGCGGAGGTTGCAGTGAGCCGAGATTGCGCCACTGCACTCTGGCCTGGGCGACAAAGTGAAACTCCGTCTCAAAAAAAAATAATAATAATAATTGAATTGAATTGTTGGACACCAAGTCATTGTCGGAAAACCAGAAAATTGGTTTGTTGGTGTCAGAAAACACCCCAGACAAACTTTCTACAATAAACATGTATTACTTTTATAATGGAAAATAGTCAAACATCATGTTTTAAGTGAAGTTAATATAATTGGAACACTGGATAAGCACCTTAAATTCTCAAAATTTGCTGATAACCTACAACTATGAAATGCAAATATTTGTGAAATTAACAAAACAGAATCACTCCTAACTAAACCTACAATTGCAAGTTTTCCTTGGAGAGCTGATTTCTTCTCTACACTAAGCCTAAGCAATATCTACAGGCATCAGTGTTTAGTCTGCACACTACGGCTCACCTCCTATGTCTTCATCTTCATTGGCTGGGCCTTCTCCACTGTCCACATTTTCCATTTCATGAGATTTGGTTAAACTGTAGTCATTCAAAACCGCTGCACTTTCTAAAAGATAAAAGGAATTTTAAGTATGTGGTTCAACGTTAAAGGATTTTTATAAATATATATTAAGTAGACCCCCATTTAACTTTCAGCTTCACACAATCCTTTAGTGACAGATAGTACCCCTTCACACATACCCAAAAGGGATGTATACATGAAAACTCTTGAGGTTTAGAAATAAGCCCAGGGTTCGCAGTGGCTCACGCCTGTAATCCCAGCACTTTGGGAGGCCGAGATGGGCAGATCACCTGAGGTCAGGAGTTCGAGACCAGCCTGGCCAACATGGTGAAACCCCATCTCTACTAAAAATACAAAAATTAGTTGGGCATGGCGGTGCATGCCTGTAATCCCAGCTACTCGGGAGGCTGAGGCAGGAGAATCACTTGAACTCGGGAGGTGGAGGTTGCAGTGAGCCAAGATAGCACCACTGCACTCCAGCCTGGGTGACAGAGTGAGACTTCGTCTCAAACAAAAAAAAAAGAGAAAAGAAATATGCCCAGGGTTCATGTACCCTCTGAATACACACAACTTTCTTGAATATTTCTTTCATCTGAGTTAAAGGGCACTCATGTTCCTTCTGGAGAAAAACTATCTCTCCATTGGTATATCTCACGATATTCAGTAGGATGCCATTGCTATTTATGACAAAGTAGTGACCAGAAATACTAAGCGTGCAAACACTGGCATAACCTAATTTGGGAAAGATGCTTTCCTAGGAGGAAGATCTGTAAGCTTTCTGTATGCCAAATTCTGTTTTTCCCTTCTGTTCACATTATAAATGTGATTCTGTGGAAAACATATTGGACCCCAAGTTTCTTTATTTGTTTGAACATTTACTGAATGTTGACAAGGCTACAGATATGAATAAGTCATTATGTCTTCAAGGAGCTCATACTTTGAGATATAGATAAGAGAAGCCCACAACTCTAACACATGGTAGGCTCAGACAAAGGATTAAATAAAGGAAATACAAAGTGTTATTAAAGTTCATAAGTGAAAGGGAGCAGACATAATAAAGACATGCTTAAACAAACAGCAAACTTGTTACAAAATAAGTTTAAGAGAAATGTATAATAAATATTGATAATACTAGAAGAAAAAGGAACAATGCAACTGGAATTATTTTCACATATAGGCATAGTAGCTTAACAAAAAGATGATAGCAGAAGAAATGAACTGAAAAGTTACCCTCTTTTTATCTAACTCCTTCCCAATCTTCAATAAAATATTTGCTGAGTTCCCATTAATATAAAAAATAGTCAAAGACACTGAATCCTGTGGCACTGAGGCTGGGCTGAAGTAGGGAGGTAACTAGAAGCTCTGCAGTGGCACTCCTTTCAGCTGAGCCATGACCAAACACACGCGGGAGCGAAAGAGAAACACGTTTCACAAAACCCATCACTAAGAGCCCCTGAAAATGTGGTCACCATGGACTCAGTGTTTGATTTATGAATATCTGAAGTTTCTAATTTCTGCATATTATGATGTATACTCTGTGAACTCTAAGATACCATTCTAAACAATGGTTCACTTTTCTCAAGCCTGAAATGACTAAAATATAGTGGACACCTAAACAATTAATATGAGATTTAGGTTCAGTTAAAAGATGTGATTGGCCGGGTGCGGTGGCTCATGCCTGTAATCCCAGCACTTTGGGAGGCCGAGGCGGGCGGATCACCTGAGGTTGGGAGTTCGAGACCAGCCTGACCAACGTGGTGAAACCCCGCCTCTACTAAAAATACACCAGGCATGGTGGTGCATGCCTGTAATCTCAGCTACTCAGGAGGCTGAGGCAGGAGAATGGCTTGAACCCGGGAGGCTAAGGTTGTGGTGAGCCGAGATCACACCATCGTACTTCAGCCTGGGCAACAAGAGCGAAATTCCGTCTCAAAAAAAAAAGAAAGAAAGAAAGATGTGATTACAAGTTACAGTAACACAAAAAGGCATTTCAGTGATAAATTAAATTTTGTAATATAATGTAAGCTTTGATTCACACAGTGAGTTAATCAATGGAGGACACAGAAGTTATTTTCAGGAAATAAATTATTGTAAATGTTTATAATTTATTCTAGAGCAGGGATCAGTAAACTATGGCCTGAGGTACAAGTCTGACCATAGCCTGCTTCTGTGTGGGCCCAAGAGGTAGGAATGGTTTTTACATTTTTTAAGGGTTGTAAGAAATACAAAAAATAATACGTGACAGAGACCATATGTGGCCTGCAAAGTCTAAATATTTACTATCTGGCCCTTTACAAAAAAGTTTGCAGACCACTGTTCTACAGTAAAAATCGCAAGTCATTCAAATACAAGCTACTATATTATTCAACAAAAACTGTCTTCAGAGCAATGAGCTGAAAAATCAAAAACAAACAAACAAACAAACAAACAGTGATCAACATTAGGTAGTGTATGTTTGGCCCTAAGATGCTAAAGAACTTACATGATCTAAATGGATGAGTTATTTTTTCATCAGCAACAGACAACCATATTTAAAAAAAAACACACACACATTTCCATAGCATTTTTACTGCAACCAGAATAAGCACATTCCTCTCTCTTTGGTATTTTTTTTAGTAAAGGTATATTTCCAGAGAGGAAAGACCTGATGTTACCTGCGGGCACAGACTGCTCCTGAGTGCTTTTCAGTTCCGCATTTGTTTGTATATCTGAAAAGAAAGAGGTTATAAATATTAGCTACTTAGGGTACATTTCTACAGGTTTGAGCATTCCAAATTTAATAAGGGATACCATTTCGGAAAACTTAACAGCAGAATTCCTCTTTCAGAGCAAGATTACTCTTTCTCTATATTCTCCCTAAAAGCCTTTCAAGGAGCATGAAAAAAAAATATTGATGCAGCAATGTTACTCTAAGAACTTTCTGCCAGAGATCTACTTACACCAAGAACAATATGCAAAAAGTGGGTTCCATTAGAAATAATTTCATATATTCTTTATTCTTCCCCAATATTTTATTATGAACACATAGAAAAAAAGAGTTCAAAGTGGTATATATATATATATGTACATATATATGTACATATATATAATGAAATACTATTCAGCAATTAAAAAGAATAAAATCATGTCATTTGCAGCAATATGGATGGAGCTGGAAGTCACTATGTTAAGTGAAATAAGTCAGGCACAGAAAGACAAATATCACATGTTCTCATTCATATATGACAGTAAACACGTTGATCTCATGGAGGTGGAAAGTAGAATGATAGACAGGGTGTGTGGGTGGGAATGGGGGATGAAGAGAGATTAGTTAATGGGTAAAACATATAGTTACATAGAAGGCATAAGCTCTAATGTTTGACAGCAGAGTAGGGTGACTATAGTTAACAACGACGTATTATATATTTCAAAATAGCTAGAAGAGAGGACTTGAATTGTTTCCAACACATAGAAATGATAAATACTCAAGGTGATAAACATTCCAAATTCCCTGACTTGATTATTATATATTCTATGCATGTAACAAAATATCACATGTGCCCCATAAATATGTAAAATATTATGTATCAATAAAAAATTTTAAAAAAAGAACTGCACAGTTGAACATCCATTACTCACCCTCTGGATTCTACAATTAACATTTTGCTATTTTTGCTTTCTCACATATGTTTCCACCCATTCATCTCTCAATCCATTCATCGATCCAGCTTTTTCAACGCATTGCAAAATAAGTTGCAGATATCAGTATACCTCAGTCCTAACATTTCAGCATGATTATTATTAACTAAAATTCAATATCTGTTTACAAGATTTTAAAAAGTAAATTTTACATACAGTGATATGCATGGATCTTAAGTGTACCATTCAATGAGTTTTTAAAAATGCATATCCTCATGTAATGCAAACCCCTATCAAGATACAGAACATTACCATCATCCCAGAAAAGCTCCCTCACATCTCTTCCTAGTCAATTCCCACCCACATACTCCAGAGACAACTACTGTTTTGACTTTTTCCACCATAGATTAGTTTAGCCTATTTTAGAACTTCATAAAAACAGAATCACACAGACATATGGTATAAATTATTTTGCCCGAGGCTTCTTTCACTCAACATAATGTTTTGAGATACATCCATTCTGTGGTGTTTATCAGTAGTTCATTCTTTTTTATTGCTAAGTAGTATTCCATATGAATATCCCAGTTTGTTTATCCATTCTCCTATTGATGGACACCTAGACTGTTTCCAGTTTGGGCTATTTATAAGTCAAACTACTATGATATTCCTTTTTAAAATAATAAACTTTTAAATTTTAGAGTAGTTTTAAATTTATGGAAAAATTGCAAAGATAGCACAGAGAGTTCCCATATACCCCACACCCAATTTCCCCTATTATTAACATCTTATATTAGTATGGTACATCAGTTATAATTAATGAATATATATTCATACATTATTACTATCTAAGTATTCAGATTTCCTTAGTTTTCATCTAATGTCCTTTTTCTGTTGCAGGATCCCTTCCAGGATCCCACATTACATTTAGTCATCTTGTCTCCTTAGGCTCCTCTTGGTTGGGACAGTTTCTCAGACTTTCCTTGTTTTGATGATCTTGACAGTTTTGAGTACTGGTCAGGTATTTTGTAGAATGTCCCTCAACTGGGATGTGTTTGTTTTTCTCATGATTAGACTGGAGCATGATCATCCTTGCACAAGTATTTCTGTGGTCATATGCTTTCATGTCTCTTGAGTCAATACCTAGGTGTGGAATTACTGGGTTATAGGGTAGGAGGCATATATCTAGTTTCAACACAGTGAAACTAGAACTTGTTCAAAAGTGCTTCTTCCCTCTACTTTGGGCTTAACTTACTCTGCTTCTGCCCTCTTAAGGTGAAATTTTAGTGACTGACTTTATTCCTTTCTTCTTTTCTAATTGTAAACATTTAAAGCTATAAGTTTTCCTGTAAGCATTGCTTTAGCTGCATCTCATAAATGCTGATGTTTTGATTATAATTCAGTTCTAATTTCCCTCGAGTCTTCTGTGATCCACTGGTTATTTATAAGTGTTTAATTTCCAGATATTTGGGGGAATTCGGGAATTCTTTAGCTAACTTGTTATTGAAGTCAAATTCCATTGCACTACAGTCAGAGAACACAGTCTGTGTGACTGTAGTCCTTTTAAAAGTATTAAGACTGGTGTTCTTGGTGAATGTGCCATGTGTAGTTGAGACATATGTATGTTCTGGTTTTTGTTGGTTTTCTTTGTTTGTTTTGTTTTGCTTTGCAGATCTGGCTGAGGCTTTATTTTGGAGGAAAAAAAAATGATGTAATTGTTTTGTAGCTGGAGGCATGGGCAAGGGGGGTATCCCAGGCAGTAAACTCCCCATGGGTGGGCTGAGGGTTAGGGCTGAGCCTCAGGTGGGTCTCCTGTTCCCTATACTCCCCTGCACAGTGGCCTCCTCCACAGGCTCTGGAGAAGCCATGGGAGGGGGTAGGCTGGGAGGGGCTGCTATGGCCTTTCACCTGGGCAGGACATCAGAGGACTGGGACACCAGCTTCCCATCGTGGTCTTGATCTTCTTCACAACCACAGCCCTAGAGAAGCAGGCACAGCCAAAGGAGCTGGAGCCCCCGCCAGAGCCAAAGCTGGATCCCAAGCCATAGCTGAGGCCAGGGCTTGTAAGGCCCCTGTAGGCTGAGCTCAGCCCACCTGAGTAGCCCCTGGTGGTCTTCATATGGATACTCATGCTCTGCATCCCAGACTTCAGCTGGCTCTCCTTGCCCTCCAGCAACTTCCTGTAGGTGGCGATCTCAATGTCCAGGGCCAGCTTGATGGTCATCAGCTCCTGGTACTTGAGCAGCTGACGCGCCACGTCCTGCTTGGCCCACTGTAGGGCGGCCTCCAGCTTGGACCCCCTGGCATTGGCATCCTTAATGGACCGCTCCCCACACATACACAATGGCGGCCTCCAGGGAAGCCCTCTGGCCTTTGAGGCCCTCTGTCTCAGACTGGAGCCGGCTGATGTTCCAGTTTATCTTGGAGATCTCCGTCTTTGTACAACGCAGGTCATCCTGTGCTTCCCAGGCAGGGTCTGCAGCTCCTCATACTTGATCTGGTGCATGCTGTCAGCCTTGGCCTGGCTGCGGTTGGCGATCTTCTCATACTGGGCCTCGACCTCAGCAATGATGCCGTCCGTGTCCAGGGAGCAGCTGTTATGCGTGGACAGCCCCACAGATGTGTCCAAGATCTGGGACTGGAGCTCCCAGATCTCCTCTTCATACAGCTGCCTGAGGAAGCTGATCTTGTAAGCTTGCCATCCAGGTAAGACTCCATCCAGCTCCACCCTATTCATGTATGCCTCATCCACATCCTTCTTGATGAGGACAATTTTATTCTCCATCTCTGTATGCTTACTGATCTCATCCTCGTACTTGTTCTTGAAGTCCTCCACCAGCCCCTGCATGTTGCCAAGATCTGCCTCCAGTTTCAGCTTCTCCTGGCCTAGAGTGTCCAGCTGCCACGGAGGTTTGTTGATGTAGCTCTTGGACATGTTGTCCATGCTGCTCCAAGCTGTCTTCTGCTGCCGCAGGAGGCTCTACTTGGTCTCCAGCATCTTGTTCTGCTGCTTCAGGAACCGCGATGAAGGGGGCAAACTTGTTGAGGGTCTTAATCTGCTCCTTCTCCTGAGTGCACACGGCCTGGATGTTGGGGTCCACCTCCAGCTTAAGGGGGCTCAGCAGGCTCTGGTTGACCATGATGGCTGTGATGCCTCCTATAACCACCAGCTCGGCCATAGCCTCCACCCAGACCCATGCTGGCACCCAGGACACCCTGGACACTGCTGCTGCTGCCCACTTGGGAGAAGCTCGAGGAACTGACGCAGGCACCAGGCCTACTCATGTTGGAGTGGCTGCTGAAGGTCCGGGGCCAGAGGTGGACACCCTGTAGAACTTCTGGGTCACCCTGATGGACATGGTGGAGGCGGGAGTGGAGGCAGGTGGGCAGAAACAGGGGGAGATTCAATAAGTAGTGGAGAAACTGCTTCTAGGTATTCTGCAGTTCTCAAGTGTACTGTTTAATAAATGTTAATTAAATCAAGGTAGTTGACAATGTCATTCAGATCTATGGATATACTAATTTTTGACTAGTTGTTTAGTTGCTGAAAAAGGAGTATTAAAATCTCCAAATATGACTGTTGATTTGTCTATTTCTCTCTGTTCTAGGGACTATAAAATATATCTTTAATTTTCCAGGCTTCTTAGAGTTAAAATTATACACTTCACATAAAATGTAAAAAGCTTGCAACCATTTAGGCCCATTTCCTACCCTCCAACCTTTATACTATAGTTGTCATATGTATCACATCTGCATATACTTTAAACCTTACCATACAATGCTAATTCTTGCTTTGAATAGTCATATTGTATTTTAAAGATTAAAATGAAAAAATAGTACTTTCTAATTACCCACATATTTAACATTTCTGGTGCCTTTTTTTTCTTTTTTTGAGATAGGGTCTCACTGTGTTGCCAGGCTGGAGTGCAGTGGCACAATCATGGTTCACTGCAGCCTCGACCTCCTGGGCTCAAGCAATCCTCCCACCTCAGCCTCCCAAGTAACTAGGACTACAGAAGCACCACCATGCCTGGCTAATTTAAAAAAAATTCTTTTGTAGGGACGGGGGTCTCACTGTGTTGCCCAGGTTGGTCTCAAACTCCTGGGCTCAAATGATCCTCCCACCTCAGCCTCCCAAAGTGTTAGGATTACAGGTGTGAGCCACTGTGCCTGGCCTGGTGCTTTTCATTTTTTCATAAAGATTTGAGTTCTGATCTGGTATCACGTCCCTACAGTCTAAAGAACTTTAGCATTTTTAATAGTGCAATTATCTGAGGGACTTTTCTTGTTTTCAATTATTTGCAAATGTCTTTACTTTGTCTTCAATCTTATAGGATATTTTTACTAGATATAGAATTCTGAGTTTACAGGGTTTTTTTCTTAAAACTTTTTTTTTTTTTTTAGAGACAGGGTCTTGCTTTGTTGCCAAGGCTGATCTCAAACTCCTGGCCTCAAGCCATCCTCTCACCTCAGCCTCCCAAAATGGGATTAGAGGATAAACCACCACACCTGGCCCAGTTTTTTTTTCCTTCCAGCTCTTTTAAGATGGCATTCCACTGTCTTCTGTCTTCTATTGTTTCTTTTTCTTTTTTTTTTTTGAGACGGAGTCTCACTGTGTTGCCCAGGCTGAAGTGCAGTGGTGCAATCTTGGCTCACTGCAAGCTCTGCCTCCCAGGTTCATGCCATTCTCCTGCCTCAGCCTCCCGAGTAGCTGGGACTACAGGCGCCCACCACCATGCCTGGCTAATTTTTGTATTTTTTTTTTAGTAGAGACGGGGTTTCACCTTGTTAGCCAGGATGGTCTCGGTCTTCTGACCTCATAAACTGCCTGCCTCAGCCTCCCAAAGTGCTGGGATTACAGGCGTGAGCCACCACGCCTGGCCTGTCTTCTATTGTTTCTGATGAGAAGTCAGTGATATCTTGTGTTGTTGTTTTCCTATAGGTAATGTGTTCCTTTTCTCTAAGTGCTTTCAAGATTTTTCTCTTTACTTTTGGCTTTCAGCAGTTTGACCATAATATTCCTAGCTGTAATTTTATTTGCATATATCCCACTTGGGTTCATGGAACTTCTTAAATCTGTACAGTTACGTTTTTCACCAAACTTAAGAAATTTTCAGCCATTATTTCTTCAAATATTTTTTCTGTTCCATTCTCCTCCCCTTTTCCTTCTATAAGTTCAATTATATGTGTGTTAGATCTTTTCATATTTTCCCACAGTTCCCTGAGACATTGTTGTTTTATCTCCCCACAATGCTTTTTTCTCTGATATTCAGAAGGAATAATTTCTATTTTCATATCTTCAAGTTCATTTACTCTTTCTTCTGTCATCTTAATTTGCTGTTAAGCCTATCTAATGAGTTTTCTTTTTCAGATATTGTAATTTTTAGTTCTAGAATTTCCATTTAGTTCATTTTAATTTCTCTGCTGAGGTTTTCTATTTGTTTATTAAAAGCATATTTTCCTTTATATCCTTTTCATTTTTCTCTAAATGCTTTCAAATATTTTTTCTGTTCCATTCTCCCACGCTTTTCCTTCTATAACTTCAATTACAGAAGTGTAATTACTATAGTTTATACAAGTTCTTGTCTGCCAGTTCCATTATGTATGCCATCTTGAGGTCAGTTACCATTGATTTCCTTTTCTCTTGAGTATGGGTCATATTTTCCTGCTTCTTCATATGACCACATAATTTTGGATTGTATGCTGGACCTTGTGAATGATATATTACATAAATTGTGAATTCTATATGTTCCTCTGAAGCATGTAGGAATCTTTGTTTTACTTTTTTTTTAAGAGATAGGATTTTGCTCTGTGGCCCAGGCTTGAGTGCAGTGGCATGATCATAGCTCACTGTAACCTTAAACTCCTGGGCTCAAGCAGTCCTCCTGCCTGAGTCTACTGAGTACCTAGGACTACAGGTGTGTGCCACCACATCTGGCTCTTAAAGTTTTTTGTAGTGACAGAGTCTCACTATGTTGCCCAGGCTTGTCTTGAACTCCTGGCCTCAAGGAATCCTCTTGCCTTAGCTTCCCAAAGAGCTGGGATTATAGGCATGAGCCACCATGCCCAGTCCTTTTTGTTTTAATTTTTCTTCTTTTTTTTTTTCGTATTTTTTGAAATGAAAGGTCTCATATATTTATTACTGAATGCAGTCAACCAACACGTTCATAAGAGATTCAGAGAGAAAAAATATATTCCCAATAAAACATGTTCAACTCTCCAGACAGTGGTGACATTTTCAGCTTGATATGGTAACATGATTGTGACCTTGAGACAGCATAAATATGTGTGCCATCTCATGTGCAATTCCTTACAGACTCAGCTTGGTTCTTTTCCAATGTCTCCTTTTGGAGTTGTACCTGATTTTATTACCAGTTTTCATCTAAATCCACTGCGGAATGGGAAGATTTTCCTTTTGTTTCTTGGCCAGGAATCACTTAATCCTGAAAGTCTTGTGAGAAGACATGGTGAGAAGTGGAGGCAAGCACACACCACGATGGCGGAGAAAGGAAGAGAGGACTGTTTCTTTATTTTTATTTTTTTTAGACAGGGTCTGACTCTGTTGCCCAGGCTGGAGTGCAGTGGTATGATTTGAGCCCTCTTCATCCCAGGCTCAAGCAATCCTCCCACTTCTGCCTCCTGAGTAGCCGGGACTATAGGTGCAATCACAGCTCACTGCAACCTTGACCTCCCTGGGCTCAGGTGATCCTCCCACCTTAGCCTCTCGAGTAGCTGGGACTACAGGTAGGTGTCACCATGTCCAGCTAATTTTTCTATTTTCTGTAGAGTGGGGGTCTCGCCATGTTGCCCAGGCTGGTCTCAAACTCCTGGCCTTAAGGTAATCTTCCCGCCTTGGCCTCCCAAAGTGCTAGGGTTACAGACTTGAGCCACAATGCCTGACCAGACTTTTTACTTTTTAAACCTTGCAACTAACTTGCCTTGGCTTAAACTCAAACTCCGTCTCACCTGTTGTGGGCAGCAGCTGGGGTGACCAAATGTCCCAATATGCCTGGATTGAGGGGTTTCCTAGAACACAGAACTTTCAGAGTCCCAAAGAAACTGGGATGAGTTAGTCACCTTTGCAGAAGTATAAATCTGTTTAGTTATTTTAGCCTCAGTTGGGCTATTTAGAGTGTAACTCTACACATTAGTGGATCAGCCAGAGAATTTATATCCAAAAAAGCCCTCTCTGGCTTTCTCCACTGCAGAATGTCTCCCTTCACTTCCCAGTTGCTGTGGTTGTTATGGTTTGTCAAAACTGTGGATTTTCTATCCACTCTGAGGCTGAAATGGGGCCTGCCCTTGTATAAAAGGCCATAAAACAGGCTGCTTTTGGTCATTTTTCCAGTGCTTTCAGGTGATAATTTTTTTAATATTTTGTCCAGAATCTATCATTCTTATCCGTGGAAAGGTTGGTTCAATAGGAGGTACTATTCCATTACAGAAATTAAAACTCTCCTTTGTTCTTTATTTTGACTGTGATCATTTACTCAAAACTATTTAGAAAAGTACTGATTTAAAATGGTCTATAATCAGGTCATATTCCAATTTTTAGTTTAAAAAATACAGTCACTATAGTCATATTGTATTCTAATTTAAAACTTTTAATATGTTAGCCATTAGAGGTTAGCAACAAAGCATAAAGGCAGGGGAAATACACATAGTTTAAAAATACGCAAAGGAGCAGCTTGGCATGGGATGTCAAAATCCAAGCTGGATGAGAAAAATGTCCATGCAATGAATAGGGGTAGCCCAGGGTGGGCTGCTGGAGACCAGCCAGCATGAAGAGTGTGTCCATGCAGGGTAGGCAGTGTGAATGAGGTAAGGAGGGTTTCAGGCCAGGTGTGGTGGCTCATGCCTGTAGTCCCAACATTTTGGGAGGCCAAGGTGGGCAGGTTGCTTGAGCCCAGGAGTTCAAGACCAGCCTGGGCAACATGGCGAAACCCCATCTCTACGAAAAATACAAAAATTAGCCAGGCATGTTGGCATGAGCCTGTAGTCCCAGTCACTCGGGAGGCTGAGGTGGGAGGATCACTTGAGCCCTGGAAGTCGAGGCTGCAGTGAGATGAGACAGTGCCACTGCAGTCCAGCCTGGGCAACAGAGAGATTCTGTCTGGAACAAAAAAAAAAAGGCAAGTTTCCACATGGAGGGACAGACAGCATGAAAAGTCAGAGCTCAAACAGTATAAGAGGACATGCAGGGAGGAGGACTGCCTGGCCTGGACTGCTGGAGCCTGAGAGGGAATGAAGAGGGGAATGAAGAGGGAATGAAGTGGCTGGCAGCCCCCACTAGAGGCTAAATGGAATGAGGAGAACTTCAATGCCAGGAGTAGTCCAGTGCAAAGTACCAAAACTCGAGTGGGGTGAAGAGGGCATCTACATTTTAGGGGCAGTCCTGCATGGGGCTGTCAGAGCTCAAGCAGTTGAGAAGAATGTCCACACAGAGTGGAGGCCACAGTACGGGATTATCAAAACCAAATGAGTCAAGCAGAGCAACTGTGCTGAGTAGGAGATGCCAAGTGCCAATGGGAGACTGGTTGTATTACATAGTGGAGGAATGGTCAAATAAGTAAATATAATAAGGATAATGAGAGCCAGGTTTTTCTGTGAGAGAAGGGAGTTACAAATATGGAAGCCTGTGGTCCTGTATTGGAAGTGGATGTACTGGCATGAACTCATGGCTTCTACTATATATAAAAAGATAGGCCAGGCGAGGTGACTCATGCCTGTAATCCCAGCACTTTGGGAGGCCAAGGCAGGAGGATTGCTTGATACCAGGAGTTCAAGACTAGCCTGGGCAACATAGTGAGACCCTGTCTCTACAAAAAAATATTAAAATTAGAAGGGTGTGGTGAAGTGTGCCTGTAGTCCTAGCTACTCAGGAGGCTGAAGCAGGAGAATCACTTGAACTCACAAGTTCAAGGCTACAGTGAGCTATGAAGGTGCCACTGCACTCCAGCCTGGATGACAACAAAGCAAAAAAAAAAAAAAAAAAAAAAAACCAGATAAAATATAGATGTAAATGTGTGTATATGGGTATACATAAATACAGTCCCTTTCCCCGTTCACTGAGAGCACCTAGGAACAGTGAAACTACAATAGCGTCTAGATATTAACTTCTAAATATTATTCTCCATTTAAAGGAATGAGGCTCCCTGAAGAAATGGTTTACTCCAAGATGGGCATAGTGGCTCACTCCTATAATCCCAACACTTTGGGAGGCTGAGGCAGGTGGATCATTTGAGGCCCGCCTCAGCCTCAAGTGTTTGAGACAAGACTGGCCAACATGGCGAAACCCCATCTCTACCAGAAATACAAAAATTAGCCAGGCATGGTGGCGCATGCCTGTAGTACTAGCTACTGGGGTGGCTAAGGCATGAGAATTGAAAGTATAAGTCGGGAACATTTTGCTGTGCCAGAAAGCAAGGAAGTGCTCACAGAATGAAGTGGATATCTTAAAAGTATAGAGCAGTCATCCTGAAGGGGTTTCCATTGGCCAAATCTGGGACAAGGGAGCATAAAATAATAATAGTATTAGACTATAACTCATTGGGAAAAAAACAGAAATTCATGAGTACATTCTGAGTACATTATTCATGAGTACATTATTCATGTACAAATTCATGAGTATATTATTAACATTCTGATGTTAATAAATGAATAAATTAAAAGTGTGGTGACAGATGGGATATTTATATAGTTTCAAAGTGCTTCTCTCCAAAAATACTTATTAATTACAAGGTTGAAAGAAAAGAGCACCTATATAATGGAAAAGCCTGTTCGATATCACTGTAACTGAGCAAAGTTACATGTGGTCATCATCAGTAATGGGACAAACAAAAATTATGTGCCTTCTGATAGTGAGTAGAACACAGCATCACTTCTGTGATATTCCTGCCAAATATGCAAAACACAAATCAAACCATAAAGAAACAACCAAACTCGAATTTGCAGGGATAGTTTACAAAGCAGCTGGCTTATAATCCTCAAAAGTTTCAAGGTCATGAAAGACTGAAGAACTGTTCCAGACTGAAGGAGAGGAAAGAGACATGACAACGAAAAGCAATGTGTGATCCTGAACCGAAATATCTTGTGGTAAAGAACATCACAGAAGCAACTGGAGAAACTTGAATGGGGTCTGAGGATTGAATGGTAGTAATGTTGATTTCCTGGTTTTGATGATTTTATTGTGAAGGCAGGGCACATACTCTAAAGCATAGGACAGGGATAGAGCACCGTGTCAGCAACTTACTTTAAAAACTTGCAGAAAAAAAGTTTTTTTGTGCTGTATTGCAACTTTTCTGTAAGTTCGATAGTGTTTTTTAAAAACGCTAACTATGAAACTTTCAACTGCATGCTGAAAAGATTCTTAACGGAGGGAAAAAAAAAAAGAAAGAACGAAAACTAGCTCAAAGCTTTCACATGAGCAACCTTCATGTGGGAACATCTTTTAGTCACTACACAGAAAGATGGCTTTTGATTTGGTGAACTAAAGGCAAAAGGTCTTGGTCCCCTGAATATTTTAAACCCTCTGACATTTAAATAGCTCTCAATATTTTTAAAGTGTCCTTTGTGTACTGTAAATAGCACCAGAAGTAACTGAGTGTAGTTTCGAAGAGAAAAATGAGATTCTGACTACCTTAGCATTCATAACAGGAAAATCGCTTGAACACGGGGGGCAGAGGTTACAGTGAGCCGAGATGGCACCACTGCACTCCAGCCTGGGCGACAGAGTGAGACTCCGTCTTTTAAAAAAAAAAAAAAAAAGAGATAGGAAAACCATCTGTGATCAGGTCACATGAATGTTCTTATTAGCTACTAAATTAAAACACAACAACAAGATAGATTGAAGTGTATTTCCCCCCTAAACTTCAAGGTATTTATAAGAACATGAAGCCCATTCAAAGACAGGAGTGGACAGATGGTGAAGGAACTCCCAAATGAAGACCAGAAACTTGTTAAATATTTCTAAATGCAGCAAAAACATCTTAGTTTTTAATTAATCATTTTGTAACTTCTTTACACTTCAGTCCCCCCTAACAAATCCACAAAAAGTTTCCATTTGATGGGGTCTACTGTGGTCTTTTTAATGTGTAGGCAGTCAACATAGCTTTGAAATATTTTCCAAAAGAATGCTCTACAAAGTTAAGTAGGAAGAGTCCCTATATTGCTTTTGATAGAAATATAGTTTCCTGTACTGATGTTTATACATATCTGGGGCAAATGATGGAAGAATCTTGGAGTGGGTTAATTTTGTTGAAATATAAATCTCATCAATTGTCTACATTTCTCCTGTTATTTGAACAGGGAAAGCATGCTCCTGCCTCAAGGCCTTTGCATTTACCCTTCCCCCTGACTATAATGCTTTCCTCTTAGAAGCCACTTGGCTCAATTTCTCTTTTCATTCAAGTATCTGCTTAAAAGTCACCTATTCAAACAAGGTTTACCTAATTACCCTACATAAAATGTCATCTTCCATTGTCATTTTCTTTCCTCTTACCTGCTTTATTTTTCTTTATAAAATTTTTTCATTATCACCATCATTCATTTTTTTGGGGGGGACAGAGTCTTGTTTTTTTATTTTTTATTTTTTTGCTCTTGTTGCCCAGGCTGGAGTGCAATGGTGCGATCTCGGTTCACGGCAACCTCCGCCTGCCCAGTTCAAGCGATTCTCCTGCCTTAGCCTCCCAAGTAGCTGGGATTACAGGCATGCGACACCATGCTCAACTAATTTTGTATTTTTAGTAGAGATGGGGTTTCTCCATGTTGGTCAGGCTGGTCTCGAACTCCTGACCTCAGGTAATCCGCCTGCCTCAGGCTCCCAGATCACCATCACTCATTTTTTTAAATCTGTCTTTTCCCACAAGAATGTAAGCTCCATGAGAACAGTGATGTTGTCTGTTTTGTATTGCTGTATCTTCAGCCCCTACACTAGTGTCTGCTCATGATGGACACTGAATAAATACTTGTTGAATGAACAAGTGAAGTTTTATATCTCTATTGTTGATCCCTATGAACGCACTAGATGGTTTTGCAAACTATGGCTCACTGCCTGTTATTGTACTGCCTGTGAACTAAGAATGGTTTTTACATCTTTAAATGGTTTTTAAAAATCAGAAGAATACACTTGAACATTTTACAAAATTCAAATTGCAGTGTTCATCAATAAAGTTTTATTGGAGGCCAGGCACGGTGGCTCATGCCTGTAATCCCAGCACTTCGGAAGGCTGAGGCAGGTGGATCACTTAGTCAGGAGGTCGAGACCAGCCTGGTCAACATGGCAAAACCCCGTCTTTATAAAAAAATACAAAAAAAAATTAGCCAGGCTTGGTAGCAGGTGCCTATAATCCAGCTACTCAGGAGGGGGAGGCAGGAGAATCACTTGAACCTGGGAGGCAGAGGTTTCAATGAGCTGAGATTGCCCCGTTGCACTCCAGCCTGGGCAACAGGCCAAGGCTCTGTCTCCAAAAAAGAAAAAAAAAAAAAAAGGTTTTATTGGAACACAGCTAAACCCATTCATTTGTATATTGTCTATGGCTGCTTTTGTACTCCATCAGCCAACTAAGTAGTTGTGACAGAGACCATATGACCTGCAAAGCCTAAAACATTCACTATCTGGTCCTTTACAGAAAAAGCTTATGGAGCCCTGTTCTAGGTCTATTACTAATACTTCTATGTTTACTTTCAAAACCCTGCAATTGGAATTTCAAGAGAAAGTTGCGGTTTTCACTGACGCAGTAATCAAAGAAATAAAACATTTAGACAGCACCTTTCATACAAAGCACTTTACAAATGTCACTGATTGAAAAATTAATGCGACTTTTCAGAGGGTAAAAATATCGACCACAGGATATCCAAATATCCAGATAAAATATTTTTAAATGAACATACATGTATGTATACAAATATATACTTAGCATCATGTTTTCATCAGGATTTTTGGGTATCATTAGATAAAACCATTTTCTTATTTCATTTAAAAGCCAGAGTTGTAATCTAGCAGAAAACTCTAGTTAATACCTATTTCATTTGTCTTTTTGCTCTTTCCACAACTAAATAACCAATCTCCTGATATGTTTTAAGGTTTAATTAAAACATAAGTGTTTTCCATTAACACCTTATCTCTTAAATAACACATCTTCTAAAGGACACAACTAGTCTACTACTGAGATACTGACATATATATTAGACTGTAAAAGTTAAAGCTTATTTCTTTTGCAGTGTTCCACAGCACTCTCCCATTCATAGCTACTCATAGCCATTCTAGCAATCTCAAATTGTTTTCTACCAGTATAGAAAACAAGACTTCATCACATGCTTACTAAGAGATGATAATTTCAAATTCGTTTTTGGCTTTTTAGATTCTCTTTTCATTGACGATGACACTATATAAATTTTCTCACCGGTTAGTTTTTTTAAGATACCAAGGTTTTTTTTTTTTTTTTTTTCAGAGTTTCTAACATTTCATGTGCTGTAAAACGAAAGGGGGCAGATTATAAATAAAATTTAAACTTGGAAATGGCAGGAGTCTAGTTAATTGAGATTTCATGGAAGTTCACATATGAATGCTTTACCTATTAGTTCAAGTATAAATTAGCTATGAAGAAAATCAAATATTTACATTAGCAACAAAAATGTACAATCATGTTTTTAATTCTAATGGTTATAAACTTGCCTTTATTTCTAATACTGTACTATTAAATAATTACCATTGAATTAAGAATATTAGCTAACAAAATTTTCCTCTTAATTTCAGAGATCATATTTCTACTCCATGGTCTGTTTTCCCAGTAGGAAGTATAAGCACTAAAGGAAAGCAAAATGTCAAATCTCAGAAAGAATCCTGTATTGAGTTTGCCAGCTGTCAGGCACCAGAGGTGCCTGGCAGCTGCCAGAAAGCTATCTCTGAATGTTGATATTCCATTCCTTCTTTATAATAGTAAATGGAGTCCTTTATACCCATACCTCTTTTTTAAAAAGAAAAAGTTTATCTTATCTAAAATGTTCACTTTTACTTTATAATTAAAAGTTTTAGAAATTGAGGCACTGATTATAAGAATGTTTTCAGAATTGCAACATTAACACCTGGGACTGTAAATGTGGCAGAGAAGCGTTCGCTGTCATTTCTGCAAAATCCTTTACCAGTTCTCCGTATCACCATCATATATAATCATTCCTCAAATTCCATCAGTACAAGAACAGTTCTGTAGGATGAAAAATGATCCCTATAACCGATGAAATTAGCATATTAGAATCGAAATTATTATCATAACTAGCTTACCTCTCCTTCCTCTGCCATCTGATGTTTGAATGTCCTCTAATATCCCCCTACTTGGGTTATACAGCCTCTGCTTGAACACTTCGAATAATACAGAAGTTATTCCTTTCCATTTCAGAAAAACTCTAGTAGTTAAAAGCATTCTTTCTTAAATGTAGCTGAACTCAAATTTACTGAAATGTCTATTTCAGGTCCTAGTTCAGCTTTCTGGGAACATACAGGATAAGTTATAGCTCAGATGTTACCACCCAGTTTCCTGACCATGGTGAGAGCTGTCTTCTGAACCCGTTTTTGTTTGCCTGTGGCTCTCCAAAAACGTGGCATCAAGCACTCAGCCTAATAGTGCAATGAGATTTCTTTTTTTCTCATAACAATTCTGGAAGATAAATAGGGGCAATGGCATTTATTATTTTCCCCATTTTACAGACAAAATCCAAGATACAAATAATGACAAAAAACATAAAGGCCAGTAATCGCCCAAGGGCACAAAGTCAGTGACACATTAAGAAGAGAAGCAGGATTTGTCTCTTGAGTTTTACTGTTGCTTCAGAGAATTTAAATCGTGTTTTAAATGCCTTCCTATACAGATTACAGATTTTAGAAGGCCAGAACTAGAAGAAATTTTAGATCCAATTAATTTCAAACACCCTAACTGACTGTGCATTATTGCTGATTGAGGGGAAAGGAAGATAACAAAAACAAAGACATGCATTAAAGTGAGAGTAATCCCTCCAATCATGAAATACTTCCTTCCCTATTTCCTTGGGCTAAGGTAAATGTTAAGAAACATCAAGACTGCTTGCTTAAAAACACCAGATCAAATACAACCAAGTTACTGTTCCAGTTCTTCCTACCCTCCCCCTTTAAAAAAAAATAAAGCATTCCATTTTTTCTCCTAGATTAAGTGTTTAATGAGGAAACTGTAGACCGTGGGGCACAGGTGAACTGCTGACAACTGTTGTTAAAACAACAAAGTCAGTGTCTAGTGTTATTTTCCTTCAAAGGTCAGTTACCCTTAAGTTGTAGACAAAAACATACATTCCAATTTTACCTTGTATATCACATGCTACCAAATGAACATGCAGAGAGAAAAGGAAAAATGGGCATTTCATGTCATTGCTACTTTAAAAAGATGTTTCTGGTAAAATGATTGAATCTAACATATTGAAATGAAGACTTGTTTTATAACTGTAAAATGCCTAGTTTTATAACTGTAAAATAGCTGGAGCCAAAAATAGAATCATTAATTTGAAGTGGGTAACAGAGCTAAATATGAAAGTTGAAACAATCAAACTTCTAGAGGAAAACAGAATATTCTCATGACCCTGGAGTAGGTAAAGATTTATTTTTCTTTTTTTCTTAGAGACAGGGTCTCACTCTGTTGCACAGGCTGGAATGCAGTGACATGACGTAGCTCACTGCAGCCCGGAACTCCTGGGCTTAAGCAATCTGCCCACCTCAGCTTCCTGAGTAGCTGAGACTACAGGTGTGCATCACTACACTCAGCTAATTTTTAAAAAAATGTTTGGAGAGATGGGGTCTCATTATGTTGCCCAGGCTGGTTTTAAACTCTTGGCCTTGAATGATCCTCCCGCTTTACCCTCCCAAAGTGGTAGGATTACAGGTGGGAGCCAACGTGCCTGGCAAAGAATTCTTTAGCAAGATATAAGCAGCACTTAGTCACAAAAAAGAAGCTGATAAATTAATCTTCATTAAAATTAAGAATTCTATTCATCAAATAGATTAAGAAAAATAAACAAGTTACAGACTGGGATAAAGTATTTGTATTACACATCTGACAAAGTACACATTACTGGCTGGGTGCAGTGGCTCAAGCCTGTAATCCCAGCACTTTGGGAGGCCAAGGCAGACAAACCACCTGAGGTCAGGAGTTTGAGACCAGCCTGGCCAACATGCTAAAACCCTGTCTCTACTAAAACAATACAAAAATTAGCCAGGTGTGATAGCACCTGGAAAAAAAAAAAAAAAGCCCACAAAATCAGTATGAAAAAAGACAACCCAATTAAAAAAAAAAAATCCAGCCAGGCGTGGTGGCTCATGCCTGTAATCCCAGCACTTTGGGAGGCCAAGGCAGGCGGATCACCTGAGGTCAGGAGTTTGAGACCAGCCTGGCCAACATGGTGAAACTCCACCTCTACTAAAAACACAAAAATTAGCCAGGTGGGGCGGTAGTCACCTGTAATCCCAGCTACTCAGGAGGCTGAGGCAGGAGAATCGCTGGGAGGTGGAGGTTGCAGTAAGCCGAGATTGCACCACTGAACTTCAACCTGGGCAACAGAGCGAGACTCCGTCTCAGGAAAAAAAACAAAACAAACAAACAAAAAAACGTGAATGACCAGAAAACCTTAGACGCTTCAGGAAAGAGGATCCAAAATGGCCGATAAACATAAGAAAAGACACTCAATGTAATTACTCATCAGGAAAATGCAAATTAAATTAAAACCACAATGAAATACCACTCACTACACACCCAAAAGAATGGTAAAAATTAAAAAGACTGATAATAGCAAGTGTTAACAAAAAGATGTGGAACAAGTATAACTCTCAGACATTGCTAGTGGGAGGGTAAACTGATCCAACCACTTTGGAAACTCTTTGGCAATATGTATCAAACCTAAACATACACCTATATTAGAACCCAGAAATGGTATTCCTGGGGGTGTGTGTGTGTGTGTGTATATATATAATATATAGTATATTATATATGTATATATACTATATGCATATATACTATATAGCATATTATATATGTATATATACTATATGTATATATACTATATAGCATATTATATATGTATATATACTATATGTATATATACTATATAGCATATTATGTATGTATATATACTATATAACATATTATGTATGTATATATAATATATAGTATATACAATATATAGCATATTATGTATGTATATATAATATATAGTATATACAATATATAGCATATTATACATGTACATATAATATATAGCATATTATACATGTACATATAATATATAGCATATTATATATGTATATATAATATATAGCATATTGTATGTATATATAATATATAGCATATTGTATGTATATATAATATATAGTATAAATATATAGCATATTATACATGTACATATAATATATAGCATATTATACATGTACATATAATATATAGCATATTATACATATTATACATGTACATATTATAGCATATTATACATGTACATATAGTATATAGCATATTATACATGTACATATAATATATAGCCTATTATATATGTATATATAATATATAGCATAAATAACATATAGTATATATACTATATATGTATATGTATATATACACATATTATATATACATTATATATAATACATTATATATATACATATATAATAGGCTATATAGTATATATACTATATATTATATATAATATATAGTATATATACATATCTAATATGCTATATAGTATATATACATATATAATATGCTATATAGTATATATAATATATAATATGCTCTATAGTATATATACATATATAATATACTCTATAGTATATATTATATACGTATATTATATATACATATATTATATATACGTGTATATATTATATACACGTATATTATATACGTGTATATATTATATATGTGTATATTATATACATGTATATATTATATACACGTATGTTATATACACGTATATATTATATATACTATGTGTATATATATATATAGAGAGAGAGGGAGGGTCTTGCTCTGCAACTCAGGCTGGAGTGCAGTAGTGTGATCATGGCTCATTGCAGACTTGACCTCCCAGTATTGGGACTACAGGAGCACATGACTAGGCCTGGCTGATTTTTGTACTTTTTCTTGTAGAGATGGGGTTTCACCATGTTGCTCAGGGTGGTCTTGAACTCCTGGGCTCAAGTGATCTGCCCGCCTCGGTCTCCCAAAGTGCTGGAATTACAGGCGTGAGCCAGCGTGCCTGGCCACCTAGGTATATATTCAAGAGACATGAATACATATAGGCCCACCAAAAGACATGCAAAAGAATGTCTGTAATACAGCCAAACACTGGAAACAATCAATTGTCCATCAACATCAGAAGGTATAAATTGTGGTATATCCATACTATTCGATCATAAAACAGAGTGAACTACTAATAAATATAACAACTTGGATGGATCTCAAAAATCTATTGAGGAAAAGAAGCTAGACCCCAGAAAAGCATATATTGTAAAATTAATTTATATGAAATTCAACAACAGGGAAACTATCTATGAGGATACAAGTCTGAATAGTGATTAATTTGGGGCAAAGGGGGAAATTAACAATAAATGGACAGAAGGAAACCTTCTAAGGTGATGCAAGTGTTCCATATATTGATCTGGAAGGTTGTATAAAGGTGAAAAATAATCAAGCTATATACAAAAGATATGTGCACTTTAATTATATGTTATTCCTTAATTTAAAGAAAATCCATTGAATACTCACACATCTCCAAATATCTAAATCCTAAACCTAAGAAATGCAATTATAACAGTATCTTCTTGCTTTTGAAAAAAACTTTGAATCTCAAGAGTTTCTCATGATTTTGCTACAGAATTTTTATAAGTTGCATCTACACCAACCACTCACTGAATGGGCTCCATATATAGCTTAAAACTCACGTGGTACAGAAATTTATTTACATGTCATGCATAAACTAAATATGAAGATATTTTCAGTGATCACTAATTTCCCAAACTTCCCTGCAAATTGGGATTTCAAAATGTTTCAATATTGGCATTTTTCTCTCAATAAACTTACACTACAGATAGTGTAAATGTCACTCATCTTTGAAAAACAAAACAAACACAAAACCTCTCTTAATCCACATTTCCCTCCAGCAACATCCCACTGATTTCTCTTCTTCACCCTCATAGCTAAACTTCTGGAAAAACTGGTCTGTAATCAACGTTTCTACTTCTTCTACTCCCATTCCCACTCTACCCACTTCGATTTGGTTTCCATCCCCACCACTCCACAGAAACCACTTTTGTCAAGGTCACTAGCAAGTGTTATGTTGCCAAAACCAACCACACTCTTTGTCCTTATCTTGCTTGATTTCTCAGCCACATTCAACATAGCTGACCACCCACTCCTTCATGAAATACTCCCCTTTCTTGAATTCCGTTACACCACACTCTGCTGGTTTTCTTCCTGTCTCACTGACTGCTCTTTCTCTTTTGCTGGCTTCTCCTCTACCTGACCAAATGAGGTATGTCTCCAGGCACTATCCTGAGAGCCCTTCTCTCAATATATTCTCTGTTTAGGTGATCCCATTCATTCCCTTGGCTTTAAATATCACTGGCTGGGCGCAGTGGCTCACACCCATAGTCTCCAGCACTTTGGGAGGCCGGGGCGGACAGATCAAGAGGTCAGGAGTTCGAGACCAGCCTGACCAACAAGGTGAAACCCTGTTCTCTACGAAAAATACAAAAACTAGCCAGGCATGGTGGTGCGTGCCTATAATCTCAGCTACTCAGGAGGCTGAGGGAGGAGAATCGCTTGAACCCCAGAGGCAGAGGTTGCAGTGAGCCAAGATCACACCACTGCACTCCAGCCTGGGTGACAGAGTGAGACTACATCTCAAAAAAAACAAAATATCATCCATGTGCTGAAGAAAACAGCCAAAGCCACATTCCTATCACTAGCCAGACCTCTTCTTTAGAGGAGAGGTCCCTGACCCTGCCTCCTTCCATTACTCTCCAAATTAGCATTCTTTTTATTTCCTTCATAGCACTTAGCATAAATTTAATTATTTCAATTGTTATTACTTGTTCTTTGGTCTGTCTTCCTTACCTTACCAAATTCCATAAGGGCCAAAGCTTTGTCTGCCTTTTTTACCACTGTATTGCCAGTATTTTGCATATGTGACACAAAAAAGGTATTCAATAAATAGTTTTAGAACGAAGAATGAAGATTTCTGACTTTTGAATTATATTGTATAATAAATGTATTACAAGATTCATCAAAATTAAACTTTATAAAACTGTCGTTCTTCAACTATCTTTTAAAATCTTTTAAACAATAAAAAACATACGTTAAGTACATATGTGAAGATGACCCACCACTGATGCAATGTATGCTATCAGAGTGATGATAGGTTTTGCTGATACTGTTTAAACTGTAGGCAATGCTTGTCAAAATTTTTTTTATTTTAAAAAAATAACAGGCCAGGAGCGGTGGTTCACACCTGTAATTCCAGCACTTTGGGAGGCCAAGGCAGGTGGATCACCTGAGGTCAGGAGTTCAAGACTAGCCTGACCATCATGGAGAAACTCTGTCTCTACTAAAAATACAAAATTAGCCAGGCGTGGTGGCACATGCCTGTAACCCCAGCTACTCGGGAGGCTGAGGTAGGAGAATCGCTTGGACCTGAGAGGTGAAGGTTGTAGTGAGCCAAGATCGCACCATTCCACTCCAGCCTGGCAACAAGAGCGAAACTCCGTCTAAAAAAAAAAAAAAGGAAGAACACGGTGGCTCACGCCTGTAATCCCAGCACTTTGGGAGGCCGAGGAAGGTGGATCACGAGGTCTGGAGTTGGAGACCAGCCTGACCAATATGGTGAAACCTGTCTCTACTAAAAATACAAAATTAGCTGGGCGTGGTGGCACATGCCTGTAATCCCAGCTACTCAGGAGGCTGAGGCAGGAGAATCACTTGAACCTGGGAGGCGGAGGTTGCAGTGAGCCGAGATCACGCCACTGCATTCCGGCCTGGGTGACAGAGCAAGACTCCGTCTCAAACAAAAAAACAAAGTCCCAATTGTAATATAAAGGTGAAATAAATGACAGTAAATAATATTCTATATTTCAAAATGTAAATGCACCAGCACAATTATTCCAGAAGACAGAATAAGGTAGATAGACGTATTTGTAGAATCACCATGAATGCAACAGCTAAATGCAGAAGGATGCATGCTGCATCAATTTAAAAAAAAAAACAAGCAAGGAAATAAAATTTAAAAAACAAGGAAATAAAGCCATGGATCAAATGAAAAACAGTAATAATAATGGTAAAAGTGGCTAAGCTCTAAACTAAACAAAAAAAATCATCCTCTCTCAATGTAGGTGGTAATTCCAATCCTAGATAAATTTGAGTGTACTAAAACCATGCAAAAATGCTTCATGTTTGAACATAAAATGGAGTTACAGTCTAGAAGTCATTAGACAGCAAAAAATGTCACTACGTTTCAGAAAAGGAAGGTATTCCTCTTAGAATGAGGGATGGCTTCCTAAAGGAGATGGCATTTAGGATAGACCATAATGGATGAGTGAGGATTTCAGTTGGCATGATTGTGGTGCTATTAACAGTGTTGGGAAGTCAGGAGAAGTTGGTTTGGATTGGAGAGAAAATTAGTTCATTTTTGGACTTGTTGAGTTGGAAGAACAGCATTAGAAAAATGGGGAGTGAGGGAAAGCAATGCCTGAACAGGGAACACTAAGCAGCAGTCCAGAGTCACATTACAGGACAGAAGATACCACTGGAAAGGTACTGAAGCTGTGTTGTGGAGTATCTTAAATGTCCAACCAAAAAATATTTAAAATGGTGTCTGAGTAGGAGAATAACTTTATGTTTTAGGAAGATCATTCTGGCAGCAATCCTCAAAACAGATTAAAAGAGGCAAGTCTAGATACAGGGTTACTAGTAGGAAAAACATGTAACGGTCTAAATCAGTCATTTTCAAAATGTGTTTTATGGAATCCAGGGTTGCAGAGGGCTGCCACAGGGCTGATCTATGGCAAGAGGAAGATAGGCTTAGCAGTGGTCTCTTGCTCCTTCTCCAATCTCTCATTTGGAACATTACACTTGCATCTGATCCCACATAAGATTTTGGTATAAACGGTGTCCTGTTGCAAAAAAAACAAGTTTTTGTCTTGTTTTTGTGTCTAATCCTAACTCTTGTTGAAATGTGAGACTAACAGTGAAATACCTCAAGGTCATCGTGTAATCATCAAGTCTCATTGTGTAGAGTAGTAGTTATAAAATCTATAAGCACTACATGAATTCCTAATATCAACTTGTTCAGTCATTATTTGTCCTATTATATAGATTGGATCTCCCTCCCCAAATTGGATTACGTGTAAAAATGTTCTAGTTGTTTAGGTCTGGGGCAACTAAGTCCATACTAGGTCATTGATGTTTGCAATGGATATCTATAGAGTCCTTTGAGAATCTCCAAATTCCTTTTATTGAGATGTGCATACTATGCTATTGGCTTGGCACACTTAGAAGCTGTTACTTGTTTGTGCATTCTGGTCTCCTAGCCCTACTAATTCAAATCTGAAAAATTAGTCGGGCAGTATTGGCACATGCCTGTAATCCCAGCTACTCAGGAGGCTGAGGCAGGAGTGCTTCACCTTATTATTTCAGAACAGTTTTTAATTAAACTACTCCCAGAAACTTGAGAAAGGATGATAAGTAATCTTTGCTTCAAAGTTGAATCACAAAAATATTTAACATTCATTTTATTTCATTCTGAACATAAAAATCAAACAAGAAATGCCCCAACTTTATTATAAGTATTTAAGATTTATAATATACGATGATGATGTAACATGTATTATAATATACAATGTATATTGTATATGTACAATATAACATGTATATTGTATATGTACAATATAACATGTATATTGTATATGTACAATATAACATGTATATTGTATATGTACAATATAACATGTATATTGTATATGTACAATATAACATGTATATTGTATATGTACAATATAACATGTATATAATAACTCTTTTAAATGCTTGTAAGGTTACATGTTACATGTCTTTGTTAGTGAGTAGTTGATTACTATACTGTGACAGAAGCATGTCCCAAGCAGCTGAGCCTTAGCCTTTACAGGCACTTAATAAAGTACAGGGAATAAGACAGTTAGTAATATTCTTTTTTATTTATTTATTTTTTTGAGACGGAGTCTGGCTCTGTCACCCAGGTTGGAGTGCAGTGGTGCAATCTCCACTCACTGCAACCTCGGCCTCGCAGGTTCAAGCAATTCTCCTGCCTTGCTGGTGGTGGCACGTGCCACCACACCCAGCTAATTTTCATATTTTTAGTAGAGATAAGGTTTCACCATGTTGGCCAGCTGGTCACAAACTGTTAATAATATTCTTACTTAAATAACTTTTACAGCGTGGTGGCTCATGCCTGTAATCCCAACACTTTGGGATGCCAAGGCGGGCGGATCATCTGAGATCAGGAGTTCGAGATCAGCCTGGCCAACATGGTGAAATACTGTCTCTACTAAAAATACAAAAATTAGCCGGGCGTGGTAGCGGGAGCCTGTAATCCCAGCTGCTCGGGAGGCTGAGGCAGGAGAATTGCTTGAACCTGGGAGGCAGAGGTTGCAATGAGCCAAGATTGCACCACTGCACTCCAGCCTGGGCAACAAGAGCGAGACTCCATCTCAAAATAATAATAATAATAATAATAATTTTACATGAGAAAATATGCACAGGAGAAAAAAGACCAGCAGCACCATGATTTTACTCATCATGTTTATAAAATTTTAATATTTGGAAAAAAAAGCCTCATTTTGAGGTCAGAGGATAAATTTATACACTGATCATCTTCAATACTTTAAAGTCTGGAATTTTATGTGAAATTCAAATGAAATTTAAATCAAGTTAGCCCGTGAAGCACCTTTGTGGAACTGCCTACACTGTATGTAAGCATATAAATCAACTATTAGTGATTTTTAGCAGTCTAGGTCAAGGGATTTCTTAACTAAGAGATAGAGGTAGATGACAGCAAAAATGACTAGTTGTTATATATTATAAAAATTAGTTACTTCCAGTTTTCATACTGGACAATATTTTCCATCAGTTATGATGTAATTCCATATCCATAAAAATGTTATAGGTTTGTGAGAGTGATCTTTTTCTCATATCCACAAACTCCTAGAGGAAATTGTTCTGATGTGCCAAATATTCTGGTAAATTAATAGTCTCTCTAATATACATTACTTCTTAAATGAACTGATGTTGCTGTGATAGAGTATTCAAATTAAGTGATGTTCAACAATTTTAAGAATCAAAACATCTATTGTGAAGAAAAGGTTTATAGTGGAAACTGCAGTGCTTCACTGAAATAAAAAATGTACCAAAATTATTAAATAAAGCCAAAAGTTAGAAGGCATTGTATTTTGTGGGGGGCATGGATTAGAAAAATGGCCGTATTCACGCATTGGATTTAGCCAATACTTCAATCTCTTCTACCAAACCTTTAACAGTACCTTTAACAAATTAGCCAGCAAAATTTACCAATTTCAATGTCTCTATTTTCCTTCCCCCCTTTACTATAAAAGCTGGGCAAGAAAAGAGTCAAATGATCAAACACACAGGCAACTCATTCATTAATTTATTAAACAAATATGACTACAGGCCTACTATGTGCTGGGGACTGGGTTGGGTACTAGTTACCACCGATTATAAAAAGATCCCCAGCTACGCATGGTGGCACATGCCTCTAGTCCCAGCTACTCAAGAGGATGAGGTGGGAGGATCGCTTGAGCCCAGGAGTTTGAGACCAGCCTGCAATGTAGAGAGACCTCATCTCAAAAATTAAAAAAAAAAAAAAAGAGAGAGAGAGAGATCCCTAAACTTTGGAAAATAACAGTCTAGAAGGGGCTATAGGTGTATTAATCAACAAAATAAACAAGAAACTTAGTTGCATAATCCTTAGATAATTCAGAGTAGAAAAATAATAGTTTTGTTCTGTTTCATGAGTGACAGTATTGAAATGTTTTCCATTTCTTATTTTAAAAGTTTCCTTCATTGGCTGGGCATTGGTGGCTCACATCTGTAATCCTAGCACTTTGGGAGGCCAAGGCAGGAGAATCTTTTGTGCTCACGAGTTCAAGACCAGCCTGGGTAACATAGCAAGACTATGTCTCTATTAAAAAAAAGGAAAGAAAGAAAAGTTTCCTTTGTAAACCCACAATAACCTAATCTGCCAAAAATTTCATCTCTAAGAACACTACTAAGTACAATTTGTGACATATTGCCAATTCCACTGTTATAAAAAATCACTCAGTAAGCTGATTTTAAGTACTGACAATAAGTAAAGAGTAATGCACTTTGTTTCATATCCATTACCAAGTACCTAGTTTTTTGTTTGTTTGTTTGTTTTGAGATGGGGTCTCACACTGTCACCCAGGCTGGAGTGCAGTGGCGCGATCTTGGCTCACTGCAACCTCCACCTCCCAGGTTCAACCAGTTCTCCTGTCTCAGCCTCCCGAGTAGCTGGGACTACAGGCGCCTGTAACCATCAAGTACCCAGTTTTTAAATATCTCCTGGATTGGACACATATCTAACATAATATTTTCATATGGTATTGGTATTTAATATAATACGGTAATTCCATATTATTTTCATTTACTGTATACCACTTTGGACTTACATTTTTTGTTGTTGTTGTTGAGATGGGTTCTCACTCTGTTGCCCAAGCTGGAGTGCAGTGGCGTCATTACAGCCCACTGAAGCCTCAAACTCCCAGGTCAAGCCATCCTCCCACCTCAGCCTCCCAAGTAGCTGGGACAAGTGCACACCACCACACCAGGCCAATTTACTTTTATTTTATTATTATTTTTTATGAAACAGGGCCTCACCATGTTGCCCAGGCTGGTCTCAAATTCCTGGCCTCAAGAAATCCTCCCACCTTGGCCTCCCAAAGTGCTGGGATTACAGGTGTGAGCCACTGTGCCCAGCCCTTAAATTTTTTAAGTAACTTTTTAATTAAAAAAAAAACTTTTAATTTTGGATGCAAAAACCAGATTTCAATTAGACTGAAAAAATAACCTCATTCAGAATCACTAGGGATAAAAGTATTTTGATGAGTTATATAGTAATATTAATTAATAAAGTTATACACAGATTACTTTTCAAACAATCTATATATATTATAAATAAATTATAATTATTGTTTCATTATTGCATCTTTTTTTTAGTGATCCAAAAGGCCTTGGTGTCATCCTTATGATTTTTTTTTTTTTTGAGACAGGGTCTTGCTCTGTTGCCCAGGCTGTGGCATGCTCATGTCAGTGCAGTGGCATGCTCATGGCTCACGGTAGCCTCGACCTCCCAGGCTCAAGCCATCTTCCTACCTCAGCCTTCCAAGTAGCTGTTACTACAGGCATGTGCTACCACACCTGGCTAATTTTTGTAGTTTTTGTAGAGTCAGGGTTTTACCATGTTGCCCAGGCTGGTCTTGAAGTCCCAGGCTCAAGCAATCTGCCCGCCTCAGCCTCCCAAAGTGCTAGGATTACAGGCGTGAGCCACCACTCCTGGCCTCATCCTTATAATTTCTAATTATCATAAATATACCAGTTAATATGGAGCTAAATTTAATAAAGGCTAAATAGCAGAGTACATTCTATGGCCTTGTGATGTGTAGGGTCTCTTTTCAAAATAATTAATGAATCCTTAGGACAAAAGACATTTATTGAGCACCTACTATAGGCAAGTTTCTGTGTTAATCACTCAGTTCTTCTCATACATGGTCTGGAACTATAGCTTGACATATGAGCCAATTATCATTGGACATCTATCTAGGCCAGGTGCAGTGGCTCACTCCTGTAATCCCAGCACTTGGGAAGGTTGAGGCGGAAGGATCACTTGTGGCCAAGAATTCAAGACCAACCTGACCAACATAGTGAGACCCCCATTTCTACAAAAAATGAAAGATAATAAATCAGCAGGTCATGGCGGTTTGTACAATAAATTACCAGGTTATGGTGGTGGATGCCTGTAGTCCTAGCTACTCAGAAGGTTGAGGCAGGAGGATCGTCTGAGCCTAGGAGTTTGTGGTAGCCTGGGCAACAGAGCAAGGACTATCTCTTTAAAAATAATAATAAAAAAAAAAAACTGGATGTCTGATAAAAGATCTACCAATAATCAATAATCTTTTAGTCCTAAATAAGTGTAAGTATATACATTTATATATGAATGAAAAGTTTATAACAATGTATTTTTAAAGTATCACTTGAAAGCGTATGCTATTTTTATGGCATCATCTATATCTTACTGACTGAGAAAACAAATTTCTGCTCATATTCAATGGATATTTTAATGGACTAATTGCGATCCTGAAATCTGCTTATGTAAATTTAACAGTTAAAATTTGGCTTTACACAAAAAAGAATGAAATCATATCCTTTGCAACAACATGGATGCAGCTGGAGGCCATTATTCTTAGTGAATTAACACAGAAACAGAAAACCAAATACCGCATGTTCTCACTTATGACGGGGAGCTAAACACTGGGTACACATGGACTGTTATGAATTAATGTGACCCCCAAATTAGACACTGATGACCCCAAAATGGGGAAGGGTGGGAGGAGGGCAAGGGTTGAAAAACTACCTATAGGACACTATGCTCATTATTTGGGTGACAGGATCAATAGAAGCCCAATCCTCAGCATCACATAATATACTTATGTAAGAAACCTGCACATGTACCCCCTAAATCTAATTTTGTTAAAATTGGCTTTAAGTGACAGTCTAGCAAAAAATATCCAATAACATTTTTGTTTTCCAAGCTTTCTTTTTCAATTATACAGTTTAAGTGCTTAAAAAATTACTGAGCTTTATCAAAGAATTACTAGCCCCAATCTCCTACTTTAAAAATTTATTTAAATAAAATGCATCACAATAAACATAATAAAAAGTACTTTTTCAGCACTATTTTAATTGAATGCAACAAATTCTGAGGGCCTTCTATGAACCAGAAACTGTCCTTCGCATTCAGTGTACAAAAACAAGACACAGTCTCTGTTCTCCAGAAGCTTAAAGACCAGAGGGGGAATAAACACCTACATCAATAAATAATTTCAACACAATGTGGTAGAAGTATACACAGAAAGGAGAGGCCCTTAGCTGAGGTGAAGGAACATGAGAGACTGGGTAGGGGTGATCACCAGAAGGCACTAGGAGGAGGTCATCAGAAGAAGGTCATCAGAGAGCCTTCATGGCGATGATGCCTGAGCAGAGTCTTGAAAGATGAGTAGGCATAAGCAAGTAGAGAATGGGTGAACATAATAGCAAAGACATGGAAGCATGAAATAGCATACTGGATTAAAGGAAGTACAAACAGGAATTTTGAAAAATTATGTTCTACCAGGACGCCACGGCCTTTCTGTGGCTTTTGTTTCTTAAAACCTTCGCATTTCATCCTCCATACGCTCACAATGGAGGGCAAACAGATTCCATCATCTACAGGCTTTATCTCTGTTAATCTCAGCCATCCAGAACATGGAAAGGGACCTGAAACAAAACCCTACTACCACAAAATCTATGTGGTAAGAAATATAAGCTGACATCAAGAAGGAGACAAAAATTGTACAATATCCTAGGTATGTTTGGTGTAGGGGCATTCAGCTCAAAACCCCTGTGAGAATATATTATGGAATAATATATGATCTGATGGTGAGAACAGTAACTCAGAGTTGCCGAGATAAACTTATCTCTTATGTACCTTGCTTATAAAGCAGGGAGCTGTGTAATAAATATACTTAGAAAAATCTTTACTCAATATTGTTAAAAATAAAAATGTTTTACATTAAATAAGAAGTCTGCCATTACCTGTGAAATTCATGTTTGTGAACCACCTCATTTCCCGACCATAACAGACAGAAGAGATGTTATAGTACAAATAATAAAATTTAGTGATTCATAAACAGTCTTTGGGTAGAAAATATTTAAGGTCACAGATTGTGAGAAAATTAAAAAGTTATAGCTTCTGATTTTAGTATATTCATTAAATCTTCATTTCTACAAGATTTCTATTTCAAAAGCTTATTCATCTGACATCTTCATACATAGAAAGTCTCAATAAATTAATTAAAAGATAAATGAATTTGTTAAATGACTTTATATGCTGAAGGAATGATATACAGTATTGCATTGTACAATAAACTGTTATGAATCAATGTGACCCCCAAATTGGGCAGAAAATAAAGGTATTCCATGAAGTATTCTACTTTCTTACATTGCCAAGAGAGGTATACACTATAGACCAAATCTCTAATCTAGACTGAGATCAAAACCACAAGATGATATAAAAATTTTTTAAATATCAAAAACATGGGCCAGATTAGTCTATTTTGGGTAGCTATAATGAACCAGATATTTTACCACATCAAATACTCTATACGCAAGGACCTGACATTAAAATAGCCAAATTCATATAATTAACCTCTTTTTAAAATTTAAATGTTAAAGTTTTTTCATTAAGCATAATCTATACTATCTATCTCCATGGACCTATAGATTTAATCTAATCATGTAAACACAACTTTAAAAAGTTATTGATCTACATTCTCTTTCCATTTATAGTCTACACACTCTAAATTAAATTCTACACAAGTTTTCATTCTTTTCTTCTTAAGGGAGTCTTCAGGCTTATTAAACATCTGTGTTAGTACACCAATAACCTAAGATATGCTATTTAGTTTCTTTATTGCACATTAAATAAATGAATTTGGAAGTATTAACATTTATAGAGAAATACTCCAGTTTCTATGGATTTACATGATTCTGTACATTATCCTTGATACGTGGTATGGTTACGGCTAGGAAAAATAGTGTTGGAGTACTGATTTATAATTTCATAAAAACAAATTAATCATTTGTAATAATTAAAGCATATGAGCTTTTCAAAAATTATTTTTCCCATAGTATACAACAGCCCAACTTTTTTTCCTTGTTATTGGCCAATAAAACCTTTGTTAAAAATTACACTTCAATAAACCATTATTTAAATGTTAAAAATGCAAAATTTTTAAAGTTTTCAAGCCCTAATTAAAAAAATTAAAAGCATAAAGTTTTTGATATTTTAACAACTTTATATACTCTAGAAATAAAGCTGCCAAAGATCAGTTCATTGTTAATTAGAGATTCTTCCATTATTATGAAGAAAATACCCACGATCTTCATATTTATCAAAGTAACATTTTAGTTAGGTGTCAATATCTCATTTTTAATAGAATGAAATTCTGAATTTCTTAATCCCACCATCCCCCCCCGAGTTGAGATGCATTTGCCATTTTCAAGGTTTTAGAAACACTTGTTGAAAAGACCATTGAAGAGTTTACAGTAGCAGTGTGAAATTTTAGGTATCCCAAGGAAGTACAGAATGAAAAATGTTTGAGAAGCAAGGATAGTGTTACGACTTTCAAAATTAATTCATATGAAACTCCTAATGTGAACCTGATTTTTTGCGCTGGGTAAAGAAGACTCATTAGAAGATCGAGTTCCAAGGGAACTGCAAATGCCAACCGCTTTAAAATGTACCTTTCCCATATGACACCATTTACCCTTGGAAGAAAACAAGTTACTCAGATTAGTCTAATTCCAATAAACACTGAGGCCATGAAGGAAAAAATATCCAAAAGGGTTGATTATTCCACCCCAGATTTGCAGCCATTTCAGGGACACCCCTTAAGTGCTCTTCCTCTGCAGATGTAGGGTAGACCCCCCATGTCTGACAACTCTTTAGAAATAAAATTGCGAAGAAGTTATCACTTTCCAAAGGGCGGGGGAAGGACAAGTGAGAGACGTTAAGAGAACCGACGCGCTTTGTCCTCTGAAATACCTCATATTTACTTTTGACAAAAGAAGTAAATAGAAGCAAAACTGAGATTCAGAAGAAACTCTTTCTACTGCTTGCACAGGTTAAGTTTCTCAAAGACCCCGGAGAAAAGAAGCGGGCTGGAGGCTCACCTTCCATGTCGCTGCCGGGCCGGGCTGGAGCTGCCGCTGTGGCTACTCGGCCTCTCCACGTGCTCCTGCCGTCGCCTGGACTCAGCGCGCAGCTGGCGGGAGATTCCCGGCGCGGGGAGTCCCCGGGATCCGGCAGCCGCGTCGGCGCAGACTGAAAAGGGCAGGAGCCGGCGACCTGCCGGTGCGCGGGGTTACAGCGGCGCTGGCTGGCGGCGGCTTTAAAGGACGCTGGCCGCGGAGTGCCGCGGGTTCCGCGCCTCCAGCCCCCTTTCGAATGTCAAACCCAAGGAACCCCGACAGGATGGAAATGTCGCATCACTAAATTGTCTCAAAATGTCTATTTTAGAAGGATAATGGATGAGAAAAGTGACATCACACGGAGGGTCGGGGGTCAGCCTTGCTTTCTTGGCAAGCTGAAGTTCAAAGACGTTTATCTTAAATTGAGGAAGATCTGGAACTTTTTGTCTAGATTCAGTGATAACAGCCGTGGAAAGTATCAATGAGAACCCCCTTCTTTCAAAGTATTTTTTTTTCCTTCCTCACTTTTTCATTTCACATGGTAAAAGTTTTTGGTCCAAGTTTTCAGACAGTTGGAAAGGATTTTGGCACTTCTATCAATTCAACTTTTTAATTTTTGGAAGCATTTATCTCACTTTTGTTTTCCCTCTGGGAACTGCTTGATTTATTTGCCACCACTCACGCAATACTACCCACTCTATATAAATAGAGGGAGTGTTTTATAGAGTGTGTTTATTTTCTCCCAGCCTGCCTTCTTCTAAATACACACCTTACAAAAATACATATATGATGTACCAGAAAATTAAGCAAAGAAAGTAGAGCTAAGGGTGGAAGGTGGGGGCAGTAAGATTGTAAAATTAACTTAAAGATGTTAGTATACAGATATGTATCAGTCAACATCTTCTCCCAACACCCTCCCTACTGTCCAGAGGTAAAGCACACATTTGACTGCAGAGAGAGGAAAGGGGAAGTGACCACAAAACTGTTTTTCAAAGCAGAACTTTTCTTCACATTGAGGTCTAAGGGACATTGTTCAGGTGAGCCCTTCTAAAGATATCCAGCGTGTGGGACAATATACGAATGAGTCTCAAAAGGCCACTGTCACCGCTATTAGAAAATTATATTAGTGCATACAAATATATTTGAGACTTAAGGCTGAGGGTTTGTGCATCAGCTGTCCATATCAGAAGAAACCCACACTTACAAGTTAAAGTATACATGCTGTAATTTTATGAATTGTAGCTTTAAACAATAGTATGTCGTTGGTATAGGCAGTCTATGTGATGTGTGTATATATATTCAAGTGGGTGAAAAACTACACTGGCTTTAAGCACCACAGTAGCATCTCTATAACTGTATGAGTTGGGAGTTCTGCAGGATGTCAATTTTGGAGAAATACTCTAAACACTAGGTCTAATTTTAGTACTGAAAGGGGAAATTTGTTGTTTGTTAGTTTCTAAAAGCAAAAATAGCACATCAAAAGTAGCAGAAGAGGAACTGTAAAATTTCACAGGGATGGTATGAGGATGAAAAGTTATTTGGTTATGAAAAAGTTGTAGGCCAGGCGCAGTGGCTCACGCCTGTAATCCCAGCACTTTGGGAGGCCAAGGCAGGTGGATCACGAGGTCAGGAGTTCGAGACCAGCCTGGCCAACATGGCAAAATACTGTCTCTACTAAAAATACAAAAATTAGCTGGGCGTGGTGGCGCATGCCTCTAATCCTAGCTACTCAGGAGGCTGAGGCAGGAGAATCGCTTGAACCCAGCAGGCAGAGGTTGCAGTGAGCCGAGATCTTGCCACTGAACTCCAGCCTGGGCAACAGAGTGAGACTTCGTCTCAAAAAAAAAAAAAAAAAGTTGTAAGGAAACTTTATGATTTTCCATTACAATGTTCTTCTGTATATTTGACAGTGGAACGTGTTAGTACTCTGTAAATAGTTCAATACTGAGTATTTCGGACTCCCGAGAGTGATACCTAAGGGGATTAAAAGTGAATTGGTAAAATAACTTATGTAGCTACTCCACCTTCAAGGAGATGCAGCATAAATCCCCACTCTTTAAGTGTGGGTGCACAAAGTGACTTCCTTCCGAAGAGTATAGTATGAAAGCAGGGGAATAAGTTGACAGTGGAGAAACCTGACAAACAGTACCTCAGCCAGCAGACCAAGGTTAACATCAAGTGATAAGGCATGTTGATAGTATGTCCCCTTGATATGATGTGATGAGAATGTCATTTTATCTCTGTAATCTTCCTCCTAAGAATCCATAATTCTAGTCTAATATGGAGAAAGACACCAAATTCCAGTAGAGAGGCATTCTACAAAATACCTCACCAATTAAAGCCAGGTCAAGACCTTCAAACACAAGAAAAGTCTGACACAGCCAAGGGGAATCTAAGGAGATACGATGACTATAGGTAATGTGGGATCCCGCATGAGATCCTGGAGCAAAAAAACAAACGAGGTAGGGAGGACATTGAGTAAAAAACTAAGGAAATCTGAATAAAGTTTGGACTTCAGTTAATAGTAATATATCAATATCCGTTCATTAATTGTAAGAAATGTACCATACCAATGTAAGATGTCAATAATAGGGAAAATCGGGAGGGAGTATGTAAAAACTCTCTGTACTGTTTTTGCAAATTTTCTGCAAATCTAAAACTCTTCTAAAATAAAAAGTTTATATAAAAAGAGTGGATGGGTACTTTTGACAACTATTACTCATTTGGTTAAGTCTCCTCTCATAGGATTTAGTTTATCACACAGGATTTACAACTATCAATTACTTACAGTAACCAAAAAGTCAATAAAACACACTGTGGATATATAATGTACTTTGACTAAAACTGGAATGAAGAACTTGTAGGGAATCAAAGATAATGCCTAAATCTGTCTTCATTATCATCACCTTAAGAAGAGAACAGTTGAGACCAGACCATGTATCCAGACATGGTAACTGAAAATGGGTGGATCTGACTCACTGAGTCACATTTCATGGCTTATGCTATATAGGTAAAATTAACAGTGACTAAAAATGAAATTACTGACAAAGTTTGCTCCTGGACCATATGAGAGAGTCCAAGTACTGACTCGGCTCAAAGGAAATAAAACCGAAAACTCTTGATCTCACCCAAAATAACCATTCTGCACCCTGTCTGAACCTTGGGCTCTCTCTACTAACCAGCCTACTCAAAACCACTACTGAGAGTGGTGTCCCGCTGCTAAGAAACAGACAACACACAGGGCCTTTCGGGCCACCAAACTAGTAGCCAAGAAGGAACCATCAAAGACGCGGGCATGATCCCCTTTGGAGCTCCCCGATCTTGACTAGTCATCCATCCCTACAGAAAAGGCCAATCGGGCTCCATCCCTACAGAAAAGGCCAATGGGCCTTACAATTGGGCCCATTTTTAAAGCAAGGTCACTTCATCAACCTAGATACGTTTGCACTGGGGGAGGTCTCTCACATCGCCTCATACTTGAAGTGAAAATGAAGATTCAACGTTCCTCTAGAGTGGGAAGGCCCGGAAGCGCCTTCTTGGCTCAGTAGTGGCTCTTCTGGGTCTTGGTCTTGCTGGTAAAGAATGCAATTAGGTAAAAATCGCGTGTCAGTTTGAAAGAGATTCGACACCCAGTTTCAGCGTTCATGAGAAGAGAGGCGTAGGAAATCCCCACGCGGGCCTTTCTGCTTCACGTGAGGAGGAAATTGTCACAAGTCTCTGCCTTCCTCAGGTCCCCTTCCTAGGGGATTCCTCATCGCATCCCCTAGCCGCCCTACCCCACCACGGTCCTTGGGACCTCGCGGTGTTCTCTCCTTGATCCCTTCGGCCCCTAGACTGGGGAATCCCCGGAACGCGACACCGTGGCTTCTTTTCCTTTATTCTCTTCCTGCCTTCCGCTCCGCTCAGAGAGCAAGGGGCCAGGAGCGCGGGAAAATGGCGCCGGACGCGAGGCGCGAAAAGTTCGCATGCCTGCTGCCGCGTGGGCGCCAGAGGATCTGGCGATCGCCTGCAGCGCCGTCGCCCCGCCCCCGCGCGCGAGAATCGAAGCACGCACGCGTTCTCCTGCGCGTCCGCTCCCGCCGTTGCGACGGACGGGTAGGGGAGGCGACCCCGGCGTTCTGCTCCGCACTGTGGAGGAGGTGGGGAGGTGTTGGGCCAGGGCTGAGGTAGGAGGGAGTCTGTCCCTCGACGCCTCCTGCGACGCCAGCCCCTGAGCGATGATGCGAACGTGCGTCCTACTCTCCGCGGTGCTCTGGTGCCTCACAGGAGGTGGGGCTCCCTCCACCCGGTCCCCAGGCCTCTCCCTCTGCCCGAGCTTCCCGGTCCTGCCTCCTTCGCCTCGCCCTGCCCTGCCCGACTCTGAACCCTGCTCCTCTTCTAACTAAAAGTCAGTGTTTTATTTCCTCCGCAGTCCAATGCCCGCGTTTTACCTTATTCAATAAGAAGGGCTTCATTTATGGCAAGACAGGACAGCCAGGTAATAAGGGCCTCTGCACACGCGGGCCCATTGGAGGGGCCGGAACTGCGAAGCTCTTCCCGGAAGAGCTTCCTGGAGAGAAGGGGAACGAGCCAGCGTTTATTGAGCATCTATTATACTAAGCATCTGCTTGGCAGTTCACGACGGTCGCATTTTTTCATCCTTACAGCGATCCCTATTGTGTCGCCTTGCTTTAAAGCCTTACAGCTCACAAAGGGCTGGGATTTATTCCAGATCTCTCTCTCAGATGCCATCTCACTTCCAGGTGTCTCTGCTGCTTTGCAACGCGGGAAACCCACGCAAAGGAGTGATTTCCAAGGCCTTCTGTTTGGAATATCTTTAATCCTCCCCTTATTAACTGGAAAAACTCCCACGCATCCTTCAGGGCTCAGCTCAAATGTCCTTTATCTCTGCAGTGAAACTTTCCCAAGGAAAATTAGTTACACAGCTAATTTTAGATAAATTGAGCCAGTTGATAGAATTTGTCATGTTTAGACTCCTTCTGTGTTTGAGTTCTCTCCCCGACCCCCAACCAAATTGTAGGACGTTGTCTTTATGAGCCTGGCATTCAGTAGGCTTTAAAATTAATATCTTTCTGGGTTGCAGTGATTCCAAGCATACCATCGTTCTGTCCACCAAACCAGAAACAAGAAGTAATCACACATCTTCCTAATATGCCCAGATAGGCTTAATTATTGTTCCCAATGGAGAAAATTTACAGTTAAACATCAGGTTTCCCTTAGGGTGATCATGATCATCTATCTTTCTTTCTTTCTTTCCTTCCTTCCTTCTTTTTTTTTTTTTTTTTTTTTGACAGTCTCACTCTGTCACCCAGGCTGGAGTGCAATGGCACAATCTTGGCTCACTGGAACCTCCGCCTCCTGGGTTCAAGAGATTCTCCTGCCTCAGCCTCCCTAGTGGCTGGGATTACAGGCGTGCGCCACCACGCCTGGCTAATTTCTGTATTTTTAGTAGAGACAGGGTTTCACCATGTTGGCCAGGCTGGTCTCGAACTTCTGACCTCAGGTGATCCGCACGTCTTAGCCTCCCAAAGTGCTGGGATTACAGGCATGAGCCACAGCACCAGCCAATCTTTTTTTTTTTTTTTTTTTTTTAAAGACAGCATCTCGCTCCATTGCCCAGGCTGGAGTGCAGTGGTGTGATCTCGGGTCGCTGCAACCTCCGCCTCCTGGATTCAAGCAATTCTTCTGCCTCAGCCTCCCAAGTGGCTGGGATTACAGGGGCCCACCACCATGCCTGGCAAATTTTTTTGTATTTTTAGTAGAGATGGGGTTTCACCACGTTGGTCAGGCTGGTATTGAACTCCTGAGCTAGGTGACCCACCCACCTTGGCCTCCCAAAGTGCTGGGATTACAGGCATGAGCCACCGCTCCCAGCTGATCATCTTTAGAATAGTTATGCTGAAGTCTTTTTCTGAACTTTCTTTGAGAGGGAGTCTTGCTCTGTTGCCCAGGTGGGAGTGCAGTGGTGCACTCTCGGCTCACTGCAGCCTCTGCCTCCCGGGTTCAAGCAAGTCTCCTCCCTCAGCCTCCCGGGTAGCTGGGATTATAGGCCCACATTACCACGCCAAGCTAAGTTTTGTATTTTTAGTAGAGAGGGGGTTTTGCCGTTTTCTTCAGGCTGGTCTCAAACTCCTGGACTCAAGCGATCCGCTCCCTCGGCCTTCCAAAATGCTGGGATTACAGGCGTGAGCCACCGTGCCCAGGCCTTTTCTGAACTTTTAATTGCTTCCACCAACCCTCCAAAAAATTATGATTTGAGTGAGTTCTGAATCTGTACATTAAAATGAACTTTAAATATATCATGTGTATTTTTATAAACAAAAGTGTAATATGGAAAAATATCATGACTCGTGACTAACAGTGTAGAGTTTTAAAAAACTTACTATGAGAAGCAAAAAGGACTTCAGACGAGCGTTCTAAATGTTATATATTGATTTTTAAAATAGTGAAATCCAACAAGAACTAATTCGTGTCTTCAGCACAAAATGGTAGGAGTATATTTCTTAATTTAATTTTGCTATATAATGTAGTTATACATTATTTTATTTCATCACAGACAAAATATATGTAGAGTTACATCAAAATAGTCCAGTCCTTATCTGTATGGATTTTAAGCTTTCTAAAAAAGAAATAGTGGACCCCACCTACTTATGGATTGGGCCTAATGAAAAGACGTTAACAGGTAAATTTGATTTTAATATGTACTTTTTTAATGATGTGAACATATTTTTAGAAAATCACTGTTACTTATTGGAAAGAACAAATTGAAATTTAATTTTAATGGCAGTTTCTCTTGCTCCCTACTTAGAAAAATCATGTTATATTTTGGCCACTTCCTTATTTTCTCCTTATGCAAAAACTGAAGCAGTAATTTTTGTGCCCTGCTTCTCAGAGCTGTATTAATTCAAAGGTCTTTATAAAACCTAAAATTTATCATTGTAGTACCAGTAATAGGAGATGAAATAACTAATATATAATTTTTCATCATGTTAGAGTGCCTTGGAACATAAGTATTATTAATTAGTTTCTTGTCTGAAGAAATTGTATAGTAGTACAGAGCAGTGCAATCTCTTTTTCTGAATTACTGGGATGAACCAATTGAAACTAGATGCCAAGAAACAAAGAAAACCAAAATATATTTCAAAAGTGTACTTATCTCATGTAGTCTTCCACAGAGTAATATGACAGAATTAAGATTTTGTGGGATCCTTAAAGTTGAGATAGTTCATTAATTTTTAAAATTTTTGTATCTATTTGTAACTCCAAGTGTACTAAATAATGCTTGATATGTTATATGTTAAATAAGTAATTTACTATTCTGTTTAGGAAATAATAGAATAAATATAACTGAAACTGGACAGCTGATGGTGAAAGATTTTTTGGAGCCTTTGTCTGGACTTTACACATGTACTCTTTCTTATAAGACTGTTAAAGCAGAAACTCAAGAAGAAAAAACAGTCAAAAAGAGATATGACTTTATGGTCTTTGGTAAGAATTTAGGCACATTTTAACTTATACATTTAGTTTGGATCGTAATTAAGTGTATGGTTTCTTCATTTAATGAAAATGAGTCTGTAATAGGTGACTGTCACCAATTATGACTTACAAAATATTTTGGGATGTATTTGACTAAGCAAACTCTTAAGTTGACATCAAGATAGTTTATCCTAAATAATCTTCTTTCAGCTCCCTACTTGCCTCTATCTAGATATGTAAGCGCATCTACTTTATCACAATTTAGCAGGTAATTTAAAAACTGATCTTTAATTCTATAAAAGCAAGTTAATGATCCTTTCACTGGGTTGTGCTGACAGCAATGACAATTTCTGTGAATTAAGGCCCTCCCCAAAAAGTCTTTCTTTTTCTTGATACTGTTATCTGTATAGCCAACCCACAGAAGCCATTTCTCTTGTTGTACCAAGTAGATAATGTATCAGATGAAAATAACATTTTTCATTAAAGTTAATAGTTTTATGTATTTTTGTGAGGACTAACTGATAAAACGTTATGTTTCTATGCTGACTGCAAGATTGATGGGATTTAGTATTACATAGTATTTGAAAATTGTTTGGTAGAGGAAATTAATGCTAGGTACGATTGTTTTCACTCTCATCTTTCTTTTTTTTTTAAAGCCTATCGGGAACCTGATTATTCATATCAGATGGCTGTACGTTTTACCACAAGGTCTTGTATAGGGAGATACAATGATGTATTCTTTAGAGTGCTGAAGAAAATCTTGGATAGTCTAATTTCTGATTTGTCATGCCATGTCATAGAGCCATCATATAAATGCCATTCTGTTGAAATTCCAGAACATGGCCTCATACATGAGCTATTTATAGCATTTCAAGGTAAAATTTTTAAAATTTCTTTAATTTTGAATTTAGTCCTGAACCATAATAGATTACAAAATTACCATATTAATATAAGATATTTTAAAAGTAATAGGTCTTACATGTTTGTTAAGCACTAAAGTATGTAGTTGACCTTAGCCTGTTTATGGTTTTAAAACTTAACACACTAATTAATTACTTTCAAATATGACATATTGTTGCTTCTTAAAAATCAATATTTTATTAATACAGCCTTTATGCAGCTAATATTTCACTTATAACTTCTTACAGAATTTTAAATTGTATTTTTGAAAACTTAGTAAAAGTGAATAATCAAACCAAATTTATTTCTATTCATTTTAAAGCCTTGTAGTTACTTACATTAGCCCCCAGATGCAGTGAAACCATCAAGTATAAATTATTCAAATTGTGCACCTTGTTTTATTACTAGGATTAGATAGCTGGACTAAACATGTGCCTGCATGCACATGGAATTCAGCACTTGGACCTTTATTGAAATGTTTGGAACTTTTCAGAATCCCTTTGTGAGTCTATCATTTTTTTTCTCTTCAGTTAATCCTTTTGCGCCGGGGTGGAAAGGTGCTTGCAATGGATCTGTTGACTGTGAAGATACCACTAATCATAATATCCTCCAGGTGAGAATTTCATGGTAAGGAAGAAGTATTTGTCTTTTTCTTTTTTTAGAGACAGGGTGTCACCCAGGCTGGAGTGCAGTGGTGCGACCATAGCTCACTGCAGCCTCAAACTCCTGGGCTCAAGTGATCTTCCTCCCTCAGCCAAGGAGGAAGTATTTGAAAATCAATAAAGCTATTTAAAACATTTTTGTAAATACTTCGTTATATTGAAACGTTTCTTTAAAAACCTATTTCTCCATCTTGTGAATATTTATCAATAATAAAATCATTTCTAAGGAGGAAAAATTATTTTTTAAAAAACGAATATAAAGTATTAATAATATTGATTTTTTAAGTATTATTGATTTTTGGTTTCAGTTTTTTAAACTGAGATTATGAGATTCTTAGTTATTTCAAGATGTGATTTTTTTTTCTTTCTCAAAAGAGAGCTGGAGTATCAAGATGTGTTATTTTGGAGTAGCACATCTGTAATATTAGATAGTTCCCAAGGTTAGTATTATGTATTTTATCTATGACAGAAGGATAGATCCCTGGTCTTTGTTCCCCAAATGATGATTAAATAGTGGCTTAAAGAACAACTTCACAAACATGTCACCCTACGTTAAGCCAATGGTGCTTCCAAAATTATATCTATATTGGTCATACTAGTTGCTCTCCCCTCTACCATCCTCAGAGGCAAAGGACATAGTCTTAAAAATCCCTTCACTCTCTGGTCTAGTTCCTGAGCTCATGTCCTTAATTGTTATTGTGCATGGCTTATGAGAAGCACTTAGTTAAAATTAGTTATTATTAAATTCTGTGCTCAAAAACCCAAAATTTACATCATCGGTTTATAATGCTGATTAAAGAAAAGTCTTTTTTTTTTTTTTTTTTTTTGAGACGGAGTCTTGCTCTGTTGCCCAGGCTGGAGTGCAGTGGTGGCCATCTCAGCTCACTGCAACCTCCACCTCCCAGGTTCAAGCAATTCTCCTGCCTCAGCCTCCCAAGTAACTGGGACTAAAGGTGCACACCACCACACCCACACCCGGCTAATTTTTTGTGTTTTTATCAGAGACGGGGTTTCACCATGTTGGCTAGGTTGGTCTCAAACTCCTGACCTCAAGTCATCTGCACATATCTGCCTCCCAAAGTGCTGGGATCACAGGTGTGAGCCACCACGCCCAGCCAAGAAAAGTCTTGCTTTCCATTTTGCTTGGCTCTTTTTCTTTGATGATCATGGAAATTAGATATAATGAACGCCCAATTATCTACATATGGGATAGACATTGCAAATAATTCAAAACAAGTTTTTTAATCTTATTTTTTCTTTTCATTTTATTTTGTTTTGTTTTTGAGATGGAGTCTCATTCTGTCACCCAGGCTGCTGTGCAATCTCAGCTCACTGCAACCTCTGCCTCTGGATTCAAGTGATTCTTGTGCCTCAGCTTCCCGAGTAGCTGGGATTACAGGTGCCTGCCACTACCCCTGGCTAAGTTTTGTATTTTTTATTAGAGACGAGGTTTCACCATGTTGGCCAGGCTAGTCTCGAACTCGTGGCCTCAAGTGATCCGCCCACCTCTGCCTCCCAAAGTGCTGGGATCACAGGCGTGAGCCACCACGCCCAGCCTAATCTTAATTTTAATTTTTATTTATTTATTTTTTCTGAGACGGGGTCTCGCTCTGTCGCCAGGCTGGAGTGCAGTGGCACGATCTCGGCTCACTGCAACCTCCGCCTCCGAGGTTCAAGCAATTCTCCTGCCTCAGCCTCCTGAGTAGCTGAGACTACAGGCACATGCCACCACACCTAGCTAATTTTTGTATTTTTAATAGAGATGGAGTTTTACCATGTTGGCCAGGATGGTCTCGAACTCTTGACCTCGCGATCTGCCCGCCTTGGCCTCCCAAAGTGCTGGGTTTACAGGCATGAGCCACCGCTCCCAGCCAATTTTTCTTAACCATTGCACATATTAATTGACAACAGTTGATAAGGTCAAAGCTAACTAATTTTGGTGTTAACACACACCTTTTCAGGAATTTATCTACGTTAAGTATGGCATGCTTACAGTACATTATTGCCTGTGATACTGGAGGATAAATTTGGTTCATGGTTTAGTAATTGTACCTTTCTCTGGTATTTTTCAACCTTAGGCAAGAGATCGAATAGAAGACTTTTTTCGGAGCCAAGCATATATTTTCTACCATAACTTTAATAAAACTCTACCAGCAATGCATTTTGTGGACCACAGTTTGCAAGTAGTACGTCTGGATAGCTGTCGACCAGGCTTTGGAAAAAATGAACGTCTACACAGTAATTGCGCTAGCTGTTGTGGTAACTATAAAATATAAATATCTAAACATTTAGGTTATAGAGTCAGAAGAATATATAAGTAATTCACTTGGCATAACTGAATAGAATCTTTACAGTGATTCTCTTACCAAAAAATATATATATATTTAGCTAAAAGGAAGTAAAAATTCAAAGCCCCAATTTTTTTTTTTTTTGTTTTTTTTGAGATAGAGTCTCACTCTTTCACCCATGCTGGAGTGCAGTGGCGTCATCTGAGCTCACCACAACCTTCGTCTCCAGGGTTCAAGTGATTCTTCTGCCTCAGCCTCCCCAGTAGCTACCACAGCTGGCTAATTTTTGTAAAAAGTAGAGACAGAGTTTCACCATGTTGGCCAGGCTGGTCTCGACTGAACTCCTGACCTCAAAGGATCCGTCTGCCTTGGCTTCCGAAAGTGCTGGGATTATAGGTGTGGGCTACCATGCTTGGCCCCTTTTTTTTTTTTTTTTTTTTTTTTTTTTTTTGAGATGGAGTCTGGCTCTGTTACCCAGGCTGCAGTGCAGTGTGCAGTGTGGCGCAGTCTCAGCTTATGGCAACTCTGCCTCCCAAGCTCAAACCATCCTTCAACCTCAGCCTCCTGAGTAGCCAGGATTACAGGTGTGCAATCTGTAATTTTTGTATTTTTACTGACTAATTTTTGTATTTTTAGTAGAGACAGAGTTTCGCCCTGTTGCCCAGACTGGTCTTGGAATTCCTGGGCTCAAGCAATCTGCCCGCCTTGGCCTCCCAAAGTGCTGGGATTACAGGCATGAGCCACTGCGCCCAGCCAAAGCCCAAATTTCTAAATATAGTTATTTTAATGTATATTAACTCTTCCTGATGTACTCTCTTGTATTATAAACATTTCTATAATGTTCTGTCTTAAGCTACTGTACAATGAAGGAAAACAGAATGGTCCTACCTGGAAAGCAGAGAACTAGGAAATAGGAACTAGAAAACTAGAAATAGGAACTCATAAATGGGGCACTGCAGAAGATACTGTAAAATGCTGATAGTAAAAGAAAAAATAGGATTCTCACTTTCTCCTATCTTTAAGATCATCAAATTATAAAGTTTGAAACTCACATAATCTTCCACAACTTAAATGGGCTGAACATTACCTGGTATAATATAGGTACTGAAATGGTATGATATTAAAGGCAGATTTATATTGTTGGTATAGAATACCTCCAAGTAGTAGAGGCATAAAATATCTCTAAATTATAATTACTCCCTGTGTTTTCCTCTGCAGTGGTTTGTAGTCCTGCGACTTTTAGTCCTGATGTTAATGTAACTTGTCAGACCTGCGTTTCCGTCCTTACCTATGGAGCTAAATCTTGCCCACAAACTTCAAACAAAAATCAGCAATATGAAGATTAGAGGTGAAAGCATTGTTACTTACTTGTGGAAGTCGGGGACATAAGATGATTTTCACATCCCAGAGCATCATAGATAGTTCCATTAAGTAAAATCAGTAAGACCAAACCACTGGAAAACATGCATTTTGGAAACTTTAAAATAAATGGTTAACATGGCATTTCTAAGAAGGCATTTAATCCAGTATCTCTAGTGTACAAAGGAAACTTGAAGTTTTAATGGATTATTTTTAATGAAATGTTTTATTGTTTACAAACGGTATGTTGCTGTGTACCTAAGAGTATAGTAAGGTCAAGAAGAGTATCAAAGTATAATAAAATAAAAATTGTATACTCTCCATATATTTATTTGTTTGGAATCACTCTTGTGTGATATAAAGGCGTGTATATTATCTTTGTATTAGAACCAAAAAAGTTATTTATTTTGGTCCCTATGATTTTATTTTTTAAGATAAATTAATATACTGTATTTTTTAAAGTATAGGTTTAGGTTTACAGAATAATAGAGCAGATAATATATAGAGTTCCATACACCCACTGCACCCCATACCCTCATTCCTCCTTACACAATTTCTCCTATTATTAAGATGGTGCATTAGTGTGGCACATTTGTTACAAATGATGAACCAATATTAATTTATTATTAATTATAGCCCATAGTTCACATTAAGATTCATTGTGTTGTAAGGTTATGTGGGTTTTGACAAATTCATAATGGCATGTGTGCACCATTGCAGTCTCATACAGAATAGTTTCACCACCCTCAAAATCCTGTGCTTCACTTATTTATCCCTCCCGCCGTGCCCTGGCAACCACTGATCTTTTTACTGTCTCTACAGTTTTGCCTTTTCCAAAATGTCATGTAGTTGGTTGGAGTTATGCAGTATGTAGACTTTTTAGACTGGCTTCTTTCACTTAGCAATATGCATTTAAGGTTCCTCCATGTCTTTTTGTGACTTGATAGCTCATTTTTTATTGCTGAATAATGTTCATTGTATGGATATAGCATAGTATGTTTATCCATTCGCCCATTAAAGGAAATCTTGATTGCTTCCAGTTTTCAGTGATTAAAAATAAAGCCGCTATAAACATTTGTGTGCAGGTTTTTGTATGAACATAAGTTTTCAACCCAATTGTGTAAATAACCTAGGAATATGACTGCCGGAGTGTGACTATGTGTAGTTTTATGAGAAACTGCCATACTGTCTCCCAAAGTGGCTTACCGTTTTGCATTCACCAGAAATGAAAAAGTATTCCTGTTATCCTTATCTTTCCCAGCATTTGGTATTGTTAGTTTTTTTTTATTTTGACCATTCTAATAGGTGTATGGTGGTATTTTATTGTTTTAATTTGCAATTCCCTAATGGCATCTGATGTTGAACATCTTTTCATATGGTTATTTGCCATCTGTGTATCTTTTTGGTGAGGTGTCTGTTCATATCCTTTGCCCATTATTTAATTGGGTTCTTAATTCTCTTATTGTTGAATTCTAAGAGTTCTTTGCATATATATATATATAGTTGTTGTTGTTGTTGTTCTTGTTGTTGTTGTTGTTGTTTTTGAAACAGAGTCTTGCTCCATCGCCCAGGCTGGACTTCGTATATTTTGGATACAAATTTTTTTTTAGTTAATCTTCCGATTTATTTTCTTAGTAATTTTAAAAGACATTAAGTTCATTAACACAATAAATTAAAGACTATATTAATAGATTGCAACATATATGCGTGTAATATATATGATAATAAAATTACAAAAGACAAGAAAGAAAGTGAAGCAATGTTGAAGGCAAGGTTCTGTATTTTCCTAGAACTAAGTTTTACGTATTATTCTGAAGTAGACTGTGATAGGATAATACGCATATTGCAATCACTGGCACTACCACTTAGAAAACAACTGAAATAATACAACTCAAAAACAGAAAAACTGAAAATCTACACTGGAAAACATTATTTAACAAAAAAGCCAGTTAAAGATAAAATAAAGAACAACAACAACAACAAAAAGACAGAAGAAATACAGAAAACAATTAGCAAAATGGTAAATTTAAGTACAACCATGTCAACAATTGTATTAAATGTTATAGTTCTAATGCAATCAAAAGGCAGAAATTGTCAGACAGACTGAGTAAAAAGAAAAATTCAACCATCACTACCTGCAAAAGAAATGCATCAGATTCAAAGACACTAATAGTCCCAAAGTAAAAATAAAAAATATAGACACTATATAAGCAGTAACCATAATATAGGTCAAATGAATATATCTATATCAGGCAAAATAGATGTTAAAGCAAGTACTACTCAGCATGAAAGGGGTATTTCATAATGAACACAGGTTAAATACATCAAGAAGAAATAATGTATCTGCACCTAACAGAGCTTCAAAATATTCAAGTCAAAATGTAAAGAATTAAAAAAAGGAAAATAGATAACTTGATAACAATAATTGAATATTTCAATAATGTACTCTCAATAATTGATAGAACAGCTGGTACAAAAACCAAAAGGATGTAGAAGACATAGACAACATTATCAACCAGCTTGAGCTGACTGACATCTGACAAGGTGACATCTTTTTTTTTCTTTTTTTCCAAATTTTTAATTAAATACAAGTTTGCAAAGATTTTTTCACATTCTTTGTGAAAATTTGCGAAAAAAATTCTTTCGCTTTATTCCTTCAGCTTTTCATTCCTTCAACAATGCCTTTCACAGAGAAGAAGTTTTTAATTTTAATAAAATCCAACTTGATAATTTTTCTTTCATGGCATGCCTTTGTTGTCATATCTGAAAACTCATTGCCAAACCTAAGGTAACTAGATATTCCTGTTATCTTCTAGAAGTTATATAGTTTTATGTTTTATATGTAAGTCTAAGATCCATTTGGAGTTAATTTTTATGAAAAGTATAAATTGTATGTCTAGATTCATTTTTTTGCATATTGATATCCAATTGTTCCAGCACCATTTGTTGAACAGACTGTTCTTTCTCCATTGAATAACATTTGCTCCTTTGCTCCTTTGTCAAAGATTAGTTGACTACATTTGTAAGGGTCTATGTGTGGGCTCTTTATTCTGCTCCATTATCATTTTGTCTATTATTTTGTCAATACCACACTGTCTTGATTACTGTATAGTAAGTCTCACATTTGAGTAGCGTCAGTCCTCTGACTTTGCTCTTTAGTTTGGTGTTATTCTGAGTCTTTTGCTGCTCCATGTAAACCTTAGAATCATTTTGTTGATAACCACAAAATAACTTGCTTGGAGCTTGTTTAGGATTACAGTGAATCTATACGTCAAGTTGGGGAGAATTAACATGATAACAATACTAGGTCTTCCCATCTATGAATGGAATATCTCTCCATTTGTTTAGATATTCTTTGATTTATTGGAGTTTTGTGGTTTTCCTCATATACATCCTGTACATTTATTATTATATTTATGCCTTAATATTTAATTTTTTCATGCTAATATAAATGATACTGTGCTTTTAATTTCAAAGTCCAAATGTTCATTGCTGTTATATAGAAAGGCAATAGACTTTTGTATATTAACCTTATATCCTGTGACTTTACTATAATTACTTAGTTCCAGGAATTTTTTGCCTATTCTTTGGGATTTTCTACATTGACAATCATATCATCTGTGAACAAAGACAGTTTTATTTCTTCTTTTCCAATCTGTATACCTTTTATTTTCCTTCTTATCTTATCGCATCAGCTAGGACTTTGAGTATAATGTCGAATAAGAGTGGTGAGAGGGGATATCCTTGCCTCATGCCCAGTCTAAAAGAAAGGGAAAACATCTAGTTTCTCACCATTAAGTGTGATGTTAGTTATAGACTTTTTGTAGACTTTCTTTGTTAAGTTAAAAAATCCCCTCTATTCCTAGTTTGCTGAGAATTTTTATCACAAATGGGTAGTAGATTTTGTCAAATGCATTTTCTGCATTTATTGATATGGTCATATGATTTTTCTTTAGCCTGTTAATGTTATGGATTACATTAATTAATTTTTAAATGTTGGACCAGCATTGCATATTTGGAATAAATCCTTCTCGGCTATGTGAATAAATATTTTTATACATTGTTGGATTTAATTTGCTAATATTCTGTTAGGGATTTTTGCATTTATGTTCATGAGATATATTAGTCTGGAGTTTTACTTTTTGTAATATCTTTATCTGGTTTTAGTATTAGAGTAATGCTGGCCTCATAGGATATGAGTTAGGAAGTATTCCCTTTGCTTCAGTTTTTATGGAAGAGATTATAGAGAATACGTATCATTTATTTCTTAAATGTTTGGTGGAATTCACCAGTAAAGCTGTCTGGGCCTCTAACAAATACTAGAATGTACTTAAAAATCATAGTGAAGGGGCTGGAATAGTGTAGCAGGCAGAATAAGGGCCTCTCAAGGATGTCCACATCTTCATCCACAAAACCTGTGAATATGTTAAATTACATGTAAAGGTGAATTAAATAAAGTTACGCAGAATTAAGGTGGCTAAACATTAAAATAGGGAGATTATATTTGATTATCTTGGTGGGTACAATGTAAACACAAGGGTCTTTATGAAACAGGAAGAAGGAAACAAATGAGAAAGAGAAAGAGGTGGGGATGGCAGAAGCAGAGTCAGAGAGATGTTATGTTGTTGGCTTTGAACACAGAGGAAGACAGCCATGAGCCAAGGAGTGCAGGTGGCCTCTAGAAGCTGGAAAAGGCAAGGAAATGGTTTCTGTAGAACCTCCAAACAGGAACAAAGTCCTGCAAACACCTTGTGTTTAGCCCAGTGCGACTCATATTGTATTTCTGGCCTACACAATTGTAAGATGGCAAATTTTTGTGATTTTGTTTTGTTTTGTTTTTTAGAGACAGGGTCTCACTATATTGCCCAGGCTGATCTTGAACTCCTGGGGAATTTGTGTTGTTTTAAGCCACTAAAAACCAAAACAACAACAACAACAACAACAAAACTATCTGGGCCTGATGCTTTCTGTCTTGGAAGGTTATTAATTATTGATTCAATTTCTGGCTGGACATGGTGGTGCACACCTGTAATCCCAGTACTTTGGGAGGCCGAGGCTGGCAGATCACTTGAGCTCAGTTGTTGGAGACCAGCCTGGCCAACACGGTGAAACCCCGTCTCTACTAAAAATACAAAAATTAGCCATGCGTGGTGGAGGGCACCTGTAATCCCAGCCACTCAGGAGGCTGAGGCACGAGAATTGCTTGAACCCAGGAGGCAGAGGTTGCAGTGAGCCGAGATCACGCCACTGCACTCCAGCCTGGGCAACAGAGCAAGACTCTGTCTCAAAAAAAATAAATAAAAATAAAAAATTAAAAAAAAAATTCAATTTCTTTAATAGATCTAGACCTATTCAGAGTATCTGTTTCTTCTTGTATACATTTTGGTAGGTTTTGTCCTTTAAGTAATTTGTTCATTTCATCTCAATTATCAAATTATAGAATTATTTATAATATTCCTTTATTATCTTTTTAATGTCATTAATGACATTAATGTTTAGTAGTGATAATCCCTCTTTTATTTCTGATATTAGTAATTTGTGTCTTCCCCTTTTTTTTCTTGGTTAGCCTGGCCAGAGTTTTATCAATTTTACTGATGTTTTCTAAGAACCAGCTTTTGGTTTCCTTGATTTTCTCTGTTGATTCCCTGCTTTCAATTTAATTGATTGTTGCTCTAATTCTTATTAGTTCTTTTTTTCTGCCTGCTTTAGGTTTATGTTGCTCTTCTTCCTGTAGTTTCCAGAAACTTGTACCTCTAATCTAAGGCACATGCTTAGATTATTGATTTTATATTTTTCCTATTTTCTGATATGTGCATTCAATGCTATCAATTTCCCTCTAAACATTTGCTGAATCCTACAAGTTTTTATAAGTTGTATTTTCATTTTTGTTTAGTTTAAAATATTTTAAAATTTCTTTTGAGATTTCTTTGACCCATGTGTTATTTAGATGCCTATTGTTTAATCTCCAAATATCTTTTAATTTTCCAGCTATCTTTCCATTATTGATTTTTAGTCTAATTCCATTGTGGTCTTCAGGCTTACTGTGTATGGATTTTTTTTTTTTTTTTTTTTTGAGACGGAGTCTCACTCTGTCGCCCACAGGGAGTGCAGTGGTGCAATCTCAGCTCACTGCAACCTCTGCCTCCCGGGTTCAAGCGAGTCTCCTGCCTCAGCCTCCCAAGTAGCTAGGACTACAGGCGCCCGCCATCATGCCTGGCTAATATTTTTATGTATTTTTAGTAGAGACAGGGTTTCACCATACTGGCCAGGCTGGTCTTGAACTCCTGACCTTGCAATCCGCCCGCCTCGGCCTCCCAAAATGCTGGGATTACAGGCATGAGCCACCAGGCCCGGCTTGCTTTTATTGTTTTAAATGTGATCAGTACTCGGGAGGCTGAGGTAGGAGGATCGCTTAAGGCCAGGAGTTTGAGACCAGCCTGGGCAACATAAGCATCTCTTAAAAATTTTTTGCTCAGGTACTCTGTTAACAATGTCCAGAATGTTGTTTATCTTGGTGAATGTTTCATGTGAGCTTTAGGAGAATATGTATTCTGCTATTGGTGGATGGAGATTCTGTAAATGTCAATTAGATCCAGTTGATTGATGATGCCATAATTCAACTATATCTTTACCGATTTTCTGCCTGCTGCATTTGTCCGTCACTGATAGAAGAGTGTTGATGTTTCCAAGGATAATAATGGGTTTGTCTATTTCTCTTTGCAGTTCTGTTAGTTTTTAACCCACCTATTTTGATGCTCTGTTGTTAGGCACCTATAAACGACTGTTATGTCTTCCTGGAGAATTGACCCCTTTATCATTATGTAATACCATTCTTCATCCCTGATAATTTTCCTTGTTCAGAAATCTACTTTGTCCAAAATTAATATAGCTACTCGAGCTTTCCTTTGATCAGTGTTAGCATGGTATACTTTTTTTTCTTCCTTTAACCTAATGATAACCAGTTGCTGATAGGTAGCTATTCTGAAATGAGGACTTTCTGTCAAGATAGTGATGTTTTATTTTCACTGTGAGCTGGCTTTGTTTCCTGCATAACTATAACAGATTGCTAATTAACATTGATAAATATATCTCATTACTTTTTCCAATCACCATACAGGTTGAGTATCCCTTATTCAAAATACTTGGGGCCAAGCATGGTGGCTAACATCTGTAGTCCCAGCACTTCAGGAGGCTGAAGCAGGAGGATCACTTGAGGCCAGGAGTTTGAGACCTGCCTGAGCAACATAGTGAGACCCCGTCTCTACAAAAAAAAAAAAATTAAATAGCTAGGTATGGTGGCATGTACCTGTAGTCTCAGCTACTCACAGGCTGAGCTATGATTATGCCACTTCACTTCATCCTCAGTGACAGAGCAAGACCCTCTTTAAAAAAAAAAGACAAAAAACCTTGGGGCCAGCAGTGTTTCAGATTTCAGATTTTGGAATATTTGCATTATATCTACTGGTTGAGCATCCCTAATGCAAAAATCAAAAATGCATCCCTAATCCGAAATCAAAAGTGCTCCAATGAGTATTTCCTTTGAACATCATGTTGACACTTAGAAAAGTTTCAAATCTTAGATTTTCAAATTAGGGATACTCAAACTGTATCTTTCCAAAATAAAGCAGTTCTAATTCCACCGCATATTGGGGGCTAAATTTTACCAGTACTGCTTATGTATCCTGCCGTGGTTTTCTAAGTGTGTTATATATTTACAGTTTTGTCTCTTGAAATAGACAATTTTACTCTGGCATAGAGCTATTTATTACTTCTAATGACATGTTGATGCTACTTTTAGGCATTTTATTTTAATTTTATTGCAATAGGTTTAGGGGTACAAGTGGTTTTGGTTTCATGGTTGAATTGTATAGTGGTGAAGTCTGAAATTTTAGGGCACCCCTCACCCAAGTAGTGTACATTGTACCCAATATGTAGTTTTTTATCCCTCATCCCCCTTCCACTTTCCCCTCTTCTGAGTCTCCAATACTCATACGCATTATACCACTCTGTATGCCTTTGCATACTCATTATTTAGCTCATACTTATGAGAACATATGGTATTTTGTTTTGTTTTGTTTTGTTTTTTTTGTTTCGAGACAGGGTCTTGCTCTGTTACCCAGGCCAGAGTGCAGTGGTACGATCTCGGCTCACTGCAGCCTTCACCTCCTGGGCTCAAGCAATCGTCTTACCTCAGCCTCCTGAGTAGCTGAGACCACAGGCATGCACCATCACACCCAGCTAATTTTTTTTTTCTTTGGTAGAGCCAGGTTTTGCCATGTTGCCCAGGCTGGTCTCGAACTTCTGAGCTCTAGTGATCCACCTACATTGGGCTCCCAGATTTCTGGGATTACAGGTGTGAGCCACCACACTCAGCCAGTATTTGGGTTTTTTTTTTTTTTTTTGGTTTTGGTTTTTTAAGACAGAGTCTCACTTGCCCAGGCTGGAGTGCAGTAGTGCAATATCGGCTCACTGCAACCTCTGCCTCTCTGGTTCAAGTGATTCTCGTGCCTCAGCCTCCCAAGTAGCTGGGATTACAGGCATGCGCCACCATGCCCAGTTAATTTTTGTAGTTTTAGTAGAGACAGTGTTCTGCCATGTTGGCCAGGCTGGTCTCAAACTCCTGACCTCAAGTGATCTGCCTGCCTTCGCCTCCCAAAGTGCTGGGATTACAACCATGATCCACTGTGTCCAGCCTGGTTTTTTACTTCTGAGTTACTTCACTTAGAATAGTGACCTCCAATTCCATCCAAGTTACTGCAAAATACATTATTTTGTTCTTTCCTATAGCTGAGTAGTATTCTATGGTGTATACATGCCACATTTTATTTATCTACTTGTCAGTTGAGGGGCACTTAGGTTGGTTCCATATCTTTGCAACTGTGAATTGTGCTGCAATAAACATATGCATGCTGGCTGGATGCAGTGGCTCACCCTGTAATCCCAGCACTTTGGGAGACCAAGGCTGGTGGATTGCTTGAGCTCAGGAGTTCAAGACCAGCCTGGGCAATGTGGCAAACCCCCGTCTCTACCAAAAATACAAAAAATTATCCAGGCTTGGTGGCTTACACCTGTAGTCCCAGCTCCTTCTAGGGGGCTGAGGTGGGAGGATCACTTGAGTCTGGGAGGCAGAGGCTGAAGTGAGCCATGATCATGCCACTGCACTCCAGTCTGGATGACAGAGTGAGACCCCATCTCCAAACAAACAAACAAACAACATATGCGTGCAGGTGTCTTTTTCATATAATGACTTCTTTTCCTTTGGGTAGATACCCAGTAGTGGGATTGCTGGATTGAATGGTTGGTCTACTTTTAGTTCTTTGAGAAATCTGCTATTGTTTTCCATAGAGGTTGTACTAATTTACATTCCCACCAGCGGTGTATAAGTGTTCCCTTTTCAACACATCCACACTGACATCTATTGTCTTTTGACTTTCTAATAATGACCATTCTGGCTGGGGTAAGGTGTTATCTCATTGTGGTTTTAATTTGCATTTCCCTGATGATTAGTGACGTTGAGCATTTTTTCATATGTTTGTGGCTCTTCAAAGGGTCACACGAGTCTGGACACAATGGCTCATGCCTGTAATCAGAGCACTTTGGGAGGCCAAGGCGGGCAGATCACCTGAGATCAGGAGTTTGAGACTAGCCTGGCCAACGTGGTGAAACCCTGTCTCTACTAAAAATACAAAAACTAGCTGGGCTTGGTGGCGCACACCTGTAATCCCAGCTACTTGGGAGGCTGAGGCAAGAGAGTCACTTGAACTCGGCAGGTGGAGGTTGCAGTGAGCCAAGATTGTGCCACTGCACTCCAGCCTGGTCAACAGGGAGACTCTGTCACACACACAAAAAAAGGATCACACGTTACACAAGCAGATACACAGTTTATCTGTGGTATTAAAATTTCATGGGAAGGCAATTGTGGGGGGAAGTCTTAAAAAAAAAGCTTCCTAAAGGAGGGGAAAAGAGGCTGGCAACCCCTGGCATAAAAGATTAAACCCAAAATTGGCATCCAAAGCCTTCTACGGTCTGGTTTCCATTGACCTTTCCACCTTGATTCCTATCATTCTACACTGGGGGACAGATTGGACTAAATCTCTTAAGTTCTCTTCCAGCTCTAAGAATGTAAAGGTCTTTTCAGTTTGAACCCTTTTCTGTAACAAGACTCATCTTGCTTTCTCCTAGACAGACTACACTTATTCCTCATATGTAGAATGCCCTTCCATCTTTGTTTCCACGTTATTCACAACACTTCTACCCACACTGATCAGTTTCTTCCATAAATGTATTGTCTGCTACTGCTAATTTTAGCATGGAACCACATTTTTGTTACAATTTACTTTTTTTCTTTTTTCTTTTTCTTTTTCTTTTTTTTTTTTTTTTTGAGACAGGATCTTGCTGCCTTGCCCAGGCTGGAGTGCAGTGGTGTGATCACAGCCCACTGCAGCCTTGACCTCCTGGGCTCAAGCAATCCACCTGCCTCAGCTTCTGGAGTAGCTGGGACTATAGGCATGTGCCACTACACCTGGCTGATTAAAAAAATTTTTTTTGTAGAGATGAGGCCTCACTATGTTGCCCAGACTGGTCATTTAACATTTTTAAGCCTCTTTCATTATTTGTAAAATGAAAGGATTATATTAAATCCATAATATCTCTTCCAGCACTGAATCTAGGTTTAATGTCTTTTCTATCTTCTGTATCCTTTCCCCACCATCCCCTACTAGAATAAACTCCTGTGAGCAGGAACTTCCTCATACTAACCTTTGAATGCCCCCCACATTTCTATGCATTATAGCTGTAATAAGTAATTGAACTGATTAAATTGAATCTGCATTCAGAGGTAAACTTGTGGTTATATCCTACTTGCTACTTATTTTGAATCTTGAGAATATTTGCAGCCAGGCATGGTGGCTCATGCTTGTACTCCCAGCACTTTTGGAGGCTGAGGCAGGCAGATTGTTTGAACCCAGGAGTTCAGAACCAGCCTGGGCAACATGATGAAACCCTGTCTCTACAAAAAAATTCAAAAATTAGCTGGGTGTGATAGCACACACCTGTAGTCCCAGCTACTTGGGAGGCTAAGGTAGGAGGATCGCTTGAGCCCAGGAGGCAGAGGTTGCGATGAGCCAAGCCAAGATCACACCACTGCACTCCAGCCTGGGCGACAGAGTGAGACCCTGTCTCAAAAAAAAAAAAAAAAAAGCCAGACATGGTGCCTCACGCTTGTAATCTTAGCACTTTGGGAGGCCAAGGTGGGCGGATCACATGAGGCCAGGAGTTTGAGACTAGCCTGGCCAACATGGCGAAGCCCCATCTCTACTAAAAAAAAAAAAAAAAAAAAAAAAAAATTAGCTAGATGTGGTGGCACACACCTGTAATCCCAGCTACTTGGGAGGCTAAGTCATGAGAATTGCTTGAACCTGGGAGGCTGAGGTTGCAGTGAACTGACATCCTCGCACCGCTGCACTCCAGCCTGGGTGACAAAATGAAACTCTGTCTCAAAAAAGAGAGAGAGAGAGAGATAATATTTGCCCCTTGATACATTGATTCACACTTTTTCCATCCCCTAACCCCGATCCATAGTAAACTATTTAAATATTATAACACAGTAGAATTAAAAGCTTGTGTTGAATTAATATTTTGCAAATGTTAACCCATTAACAACAAAATTAAATGAATGTAATATTCTTTATCTCATTAGCAGAGACACAAAGCCCTAAAATGGCAACAAAGTTATTATATCTTCTGACTTATTCAATGGAAACAGAAGTTGTAACAGCATTCCTACAATTTGCTGCTGAAAAAAATCCCACCCTTTCCCTTTTTTTTTTTTTTTTTTGAGATGGAGTCTCCCTCTGTTGCCCAGGCTGAAGTGCAGTGGCACAATCTCGGCTCACTGCAACCTCCACCTCCCGGGTTCAAGCGATTCTCCTGTCTCAGCCTCCCGAGTAGCTGGGATTACAGGCGCACGCCGCCATGCCTGGCTAATTTTTTGTATTTTAGTAGAGTTGGGGTTTCACCGTGTTGCCCAGGCTGGTCTCAAACTCCTGAGCTCAGGCAATCCACCCACGTTGGCCTCCCAAATTGCTGGGATTACAGGCATGAGCCACCGCACCTGGCCTCCCTCTTTTTCATCTTGATTCTGTATGTGTACATTTGTAGTACTTAGAAGTCACATTTCACAGGATTGTACCTACCAAAAGAGTCAGTATTGAGAATTTTGTATTTTGTACTTCTGCAAGAGTATTTTCCAACACTAGTGTATTATTAATAAACTAATGAACATTTGGTTTTCATTTGCTTGTTTCAACAACCATTTTGGCATGTATGTGGTGTTAATAGCTTAATGCTTTGAACTGCAGGTGCCATATCTTCATGTATTGTAAATGTTTCTGTCTGAAGCAGTTAGAAAAACTAATGGATCTACTTAGTTCAGATTTAGTAAAATTTTCTGGTCGTATGTGAAAGCATTAGTTTATTGAAGTATAAGAAAATCACTGATTACAAACTTTCAAGAGCACAAACATTTAGCCTCTATGGACATATTAGCTAGCCTATCAGAGGTATTATTGGGGAATAAAAGGCTAACAGTTTATGTACCTTTCTAATCAATGATTAATAAAATCTCTTGTAAGAGCCTGTGTGTTGTCACCGGACATTTTTATCTTACCTTAGGCTTTCTTATCAGCTGCAAAGCAGACTATCCTGAAATTCTTACCAAGATATGTGTTCTTAGGTTACCTGTGTATTAACCTGCTCAGAATATCCAGAAGAGAAGATGTCCAAATGTAATCTAGGCTGACCTTTTTCTGCCAAATTGTTTCAGTTGCAGATTATGGACTCTTGCCTTTCATTTTCATTATATTCTTACAGTTTTTTGTTTACTTCACATCTTTAAAAACAAAACATTACAGGTTCATTTAAAGCCTCTTTATACTTTTCTTCTACCACTATTCTCTTATCCCCCCCAAGAATTAATCACCACTCTGAAATTGGTAGGTATCCCTCCCATGTAAGTTTTTTGTTGTTGTTGGGTGGGGGTTGTCTTTGTTTTTGTTTTTGTTTTTTCTGAGACTGAGTTTTGCTCTTGTTGCCCAGGTTGGAGTGCAGTGGTATGATTTCAGTTCACTGCAGCCTCCGCCTCCCAAGTTCAAGCGATTCTCCTGCCTCAGCCTCCTGAGTAGCTGGGATTACAGGGGGCGCACCACCATGCCCAGCCAATTTTTGTATTGCCCAGGCTGGTCTCGAACTCCTGACCTCAGGTGATCTGCCACCTCGGCCTCTCAAAGTGCTGGGGATTATAGACATGAGCCACCACGCCCGGCCTTAAGTTTTGTAATCATTTAATTTTTACATCAAAGGTGTAATGCGTATGCTTTGCAACTTTCTTTACCCATATTTTAAAAAATTCTGTTAACACATGAAGATTTGATTCCATTCCTCCTCTATTCCACTACATTAATATGGCAATATGTATTATTTTCCATCTATTAACTGTATGTGCATCAGTCAGGGTCCAATCTCGAGACAGAAAATACACAGTAATTTGATTAGAGGAAGTTTAATATGAGGAATTATTAAATGTAACAAGGGATTGGAATAATAAGGAATTGCCTAGTAAGATGTAAGGAGAACTCTAAAGAATAGAGGAATAACAGATATACATATATTTTTAAGGCAATACCACTAGGACTGAGAGTGTCTAAGAAAATCCACCATCCCCTAGGGCTGAGGTCCAGCTTGTTAAAATGAGCATAACCATGGGTCACCAGATGGAAGAAAAGTCATTGTCGTGCTAAAAATACACTCTCTAGAACTTGTCAGAGACCCACCCTCTGCGGTGCCAGGAAAAGCTGTACATAGGGAAGTTTCTCACTAGAGACACTCTGCTATAAAACCACAGAAGGAGGCCAGGCGTGGTGGCTCATGCCTGTAATCCTAGCACTTTGGGAGGCCAAAGTGGGCAGATCACTTGAGGTCAGGAGTTCGAGACCAGCCTGGCCAACATAGTGAAACCCTGTCTCTACTAAAAATACAAAAATTAGCTGGGTGTGGTGGTGGGTGCCTGTAATCCCAGCTACTTGGGAGGCTGAGGCAGGAGAATCGCTTGAACCCAGGAGACAGAGATGGCAGTGAGCCAGATTGTGCCTCTGCACTCCAGGGCAACAGTGACACATCATCTCTAAATAAATAAATAAATCCACAGAAGGAGGAGGAGTTGTCAGTGGTGCTGCTAGCCACCAGGCACTGCAGGGTATGGACAATGGAGAAGTTGAACATGCTACCAGAGCCTGCCAAAGCAAGAACTCAGAACCTACAGTGTCTCTCCAGCACCCCTTTCTGACAGTTCATTGTTGTGCCAGCTGGCAAAGGAAAAATATTATCAGAGCCCAGATTCATTTTCATAGAGCAGGCAAAAAGGATGAATTTGGAGCTGAGAGACAATAAGTTGCTAACTGTCACAGTCTAACCTTTTGGCTATTTGACGTCCACATGCACCTTTCTATACACATTTGAACTCTTGTTCATGGACAAAACAATTTTTATTTTTTGAGACAAGGTCTCTGTTGCTCCCGCTAAAGTGCGGTGGCACAATCATAGCTTACTGCAGGCTTTGAACTCCTGGGCTCAAGCGATCCTCCTGCCTCAGCCTCACAAGTATCTGGGACTACAGGCACGTGCCACCACACCCAGTTAATTTTTAAAATTTTTTTGTGGAGACAAGTTCTCTCTCTAGAACTCAGGCTGATCTCAAACTCCTGGGCTCAAGTGATCCTCCCGCCTCAGCCTCTGAAAGTGCTGGGATTACAGGCGTGAGCCACCTCACCTGGCCACAATTTTATATTCTAAGAAGATACATCTATCCATCTTAAAAGTACTTGCTGTTTCCCCAAAATGTAAAGATATGTAGTCCCAACAGTCATTGTTTCTATTGCTATTTTAAATACTTCTCAAATTCAGTCACAGTTCCACTGAATATTCTTACCTAAAGACTAAACTGTAAAATTATCTACCAACAATCTGTATATTAAAAACTGGAAAGGAGAGAGAAGAAGGATAGCATATTAAAATAAAGGTATTGGCTGGGCACAGTGGCTCACACCTGTAATCCCAGCACTTCAGGAGGCTAAGGCGGGTGGATCACCTGAGGTCAGGAGTTAGAGACCAGCCTGGCCAACATGGTGAAATCCCGTCTCTACTAATAATACAAAAATTAGCCAGGTGTGGTGGCACACACCTGTAATCCCAGCTACTCAGGAGGCTGAGGCAGAAGAATCGCTTGAGCCCAGGAGGCAGAGGTTGCAGTGTGCTGAGATTGTGCCACTGTGCTCCAGCCTGGGCGACAGAGCAAGACTTTGTCTCAAAATAAATAAATAAATAAATAAAGGTGTGAATACAAGAAGCAAAGAGAAAATATGCAAAGCTACTTTGTTTCTGTGATTGGTCATTAAGGTTGTAGTTTATACCTATGGCTTCCTTCTGCGGGAAGCCAATTCCGTGTTATTCTTGCCCTCAGTCAGAACTTCAGTTGCTGTGGGTTCTTTATGTGGTGGAATGACTGAAATTTTATTGCCAAAGTGTCTGAATCTTTATTGTTCTTACCCCTTCTCCTCCCCACACCTGTTTTTTGGTTGCTACGTAGTTTTCCATCAACCTTTACTATTGAAGATGGAAGAACTAGAGGTACCTCAGAGAATCTGGGTTCCAGACATAGTCCTCCTTTCTACCCTTGTGTAGCAACTCAGTTTCCCATTGGTCATCAGGATCATTCTCTCCAGCCAGATTAACTCTCCTTTCTCACCTCATCCCCTTTTTTCCCTGCTTAGTTCAACAACATATGGAGCCCAAAATGTCCAGGTGACAGTCTCATCTTCCAAACCAGGGAAGAACCATTGTGGTGTCTCCTTGTGGAAGCATCCCCCTCTTGGGAACAAAGATCTCCAAACCATCAAAGCTCAAAGTTACCAGGATAGAGAGCGAACATTCTTCTAGTGGGTTATTGGGTGGAATAGTGAGAGGAGCCACTCCTACACCCACTCTTTGATTCCTGGACTATCCTGGCTATGAGGGAGACAGCACTAGATAGTGGCCTCTGATTCAAAACCTAAACTGCATCCTGTAAAGCAGAACCCATTTCTTTCAGGGTGTTGTCTCCCAGTTGACACTGTAACAGATTTTAGTGAGCCATTTCACCTTTCCGTTAAGCTAATTGCTTCTAGGTGATGGGGAGTGGAGTAAGACCAGCGAATTCTACGGCCATGAGCCCACTGCTTCACTTCCTTTGCAGTGAAGTGAGTTCCCTGATCAGACACAATGCAGTGTGGAATGCCATGATGGTCGATAAGGCATTCTGTGAGTTCACAGGTGGCAGCGCTGGCTGAAGCATTATGAGCAGGGAAGGCAAACCCACATCCAGAATATGTGTCTATTCCAGTGAGGATGAATCTCTGTTGTTTGGATAGTTTTATTCTGTCGGCATAAAAAAAACTGGGCACACAGGTTAATGACTAGGTTACCCTGAAATAGGCTAATGCATTATTCTTTTCCATAATAGCACATCTCATTTTGAAACAGTAGAACTTCATAAAAGTGAGAAAGAGAGTATGAACATTTTAGTGGTAGGATTCTAAAGTGATTATGTCCCCCTAAGAAGGAAATGTTTCCCTCTTGAAGGTAGAACTACCACCCCAACCATCCTAAAGAGACAGATGCCTGGCCGGACACAGTGGCTCACGCCTGTAATCCCAGCACTTTGGGAGGCTGAGGCAGGTGGATCATCTGAGGTCAGGAGTTTAAGACCAGCCTGGCTAACATGGTGAAACCCTGTTTCTACTAAAAATACAAAAAAAAATTAGCTGGGCCTGGTGGCAGGCACCTGTAATCCCAGCTACTCAGGAGGCTTAGGCAAGAGAATCACTTGAACCCGGGAGGTGGAGATTGCAGTGAGCTGAGATCACTCATTGCACTCAGCTTGGGCAACAAGAGCGAAACTCCGTCTCAAAAAAAAAAAAAAAAAAAAAGAGAGACATGCCTATGGAGTTCAAAAAGAAACGCTGCATGTACTCCCACGTTATAATGAACACGTGTACATATAGAACTACACGCCAGGAACTGCACAGAGTGTTTCCGATGTATTCAGTAGTTCTCATATTCATCATAGGAGGCAGATACTCTTATTATTCACATTTGATACACATCAAAACGGAGGCATAATAGGGAAGTAATTTGCCCAAAAAGTCACATAGCTGGTATGTGGCAGACTTGACATTGAATATTCCAGTATCTACGCTCTCTTCATTACCAACTATTCTGTCTTTCATAGTAAGTTTTATCTTAAACACCAGTAATTATTTCTAACATTTCACATGAGCTCCTCAAACAAAGCAGTTTAATGGGAAGTGGCTGTTAGGCAAATAAGATACAACCAAATACAAAATTTAACCACCCCTTGAGGGAAAACTTACAGTGTAGGTCAAAGGGTAAACTACTGATGGTGTTGCATTCCGAAAGATTGCCACCTGCTCCTGTCTGATGCTATTCTTTTTTCTTTTCTTTTTTTTTTTTTTAGATGGAGTCTCGCTCTGTCATCCAGGCTGGAGTGCAGTGGCACAATCTTGGCTCACTGCAACCTCCGCCTCCCGAGTTCAAGTGATTCTCCTGCCTCAGCCTCCTGAGTAGCTGGGATTACAGGTGCCTGCCACCACATGGCTAATTTTTGTATTTTTAATAGACATGGAGTTTCACCATGTTGGCCAGGCTGGTCTCAAACTCCTGACCTTAGGTGATCTGCCCACCTTGGGCTCCCAAAGTGCTGGGATTACAGGCAGGAGCCGCCGCGCCTGGCCTCTGTCTGATGTTATTCTGCTTTGACTTTTCTTCCCCTCTCCTTAGAAAATCCCACAGAATGTAGGCACTGCTGTTGAGTTTGTGAAATTCTCTTTTTCCTAAGCCAGGAAGCTGTTTTCTCCTTCTATCTTTTGTTTTTCATCCTCCAGTTTCCTTTTACTCTTTAAATTGCTGCTTTATTTGCACCTGAGCTGTGTTCCCCTTTGGCAAGCTTTCCTTACCCCACAACCCATGCATCTGATAAATGTGTCTCAAGGTCCTTCCTGCCTTCTTCCTCCTTTTGTTTCATAAGCTTCTTCAGTCCCTCAGAAAGAAGAGCACAGATAAACTGACAGATTAGTGTGATTACCTTTAGCTCTGTGAGTGGAAAGCTTGACAGTCAAAACAAAAACCTGATCTCAAGAAAAAATATTTGTAACGTTATAAATAGGGAAAAACGTTTATATCACTGCCAGGTTTGTGCAGATGTCAGTGGCCTAGAGTGGAAATTCTGGGTCTCACTGTAGCAAGCTGCTTATTTCACCAGTCATCCGTTACTCAGAATTGAACATTAATTAGTCAAAAAAAGAACTTTTATGTTTCTCCCTAAGTCAGAGAATTGTAGCTGCCAGGAGGTAATATAGCTTTAGACAGCTATGGCACAATAAGGAGTTTTGCAGGTCTGAAGGCCCCTGCAGTTGTAGAAACATGGTTGGTGTAAAAGTAAAGTTCCAGGCTGGGCGTGGTGGCTCATGCCTATAATCCCAGAACTTTGGGAGGCTGAGGTGGATGGACCATTTGTTGTTAGGAGTTCGAGACCAGCCTGGCCAACAAGGTGAAACCCCACCTCTACTAAAAATAAAATAAAATAAATTTTAAAAATAATAATAAATAAATAAAATAGCCAGGCGTGGTGGCAGGAGCTTGTAATTCCAGCTACTCAGAAGGCTGAGGCAGGAGAATCGCTTGCACCCAGGAACCCAGGAGGCGAAGGTTGCGGTGAGCCGAGATTGCGCTACTGCACTCCAGCCTGGGTGACAGAGCAAGACTCCATCTCAAAAAAATAAAATAAAATAATAAAAAAGAAAGTACAGTTCCAGAGTGATCTCATGTTACAAAGACTGCTTGCAATGGGCTCAGCTATGAGGTGGAGTTTGATAAACAGATGCTATGCTATCACTTTGGATCATCCCAGGGTAACAACACATTGATATCTGGTATCAGAATCTAGAATCAAATAAAGAGCAATGAAGCTGTTTAGAAAATAAGGAAACAGGAAGCAAAAATAAAAAAAAATTTTAAAGTAGCTTTTTTTTTTTTTTTTTTTTTTTTTGAGATGGAGTCTCGCTTTGTCACCAGGCTGGATGGAGTGCAGTGATGCGATCTCGGCTCACTGCAACCTCCTGCCTCAGCCTCCCGAGTAGCTGGGATTACAGGCAGTAGCCACCACACCCAGCTATTTTTTTTTGTATTTTTAGTAGAGACGGATTTTCACCATGTTAGCCAGGATGGTCTCAATCTCCTGACCTCCTGATCCGCCCACCTCGGCTTCCCAAACTGCTGGGATTACAGGCGTGAGCCACCGCGGCCAGCCAAAAGTAGCTTTGTAACACCAATCATTCAGGTTTTGCATGCAGTGCAGACAGCAGAGGAAGCACACTTCAGTCCAAATGAGCTTGAAGTCCTTTTTCTGCAGATGTAGTTCGCACAGCTTTGACTGAACAGCTCCAATTTAGATTCCTGGACCCTACCTCATTTCTGAGGTTTCCTGGAGTGTGGCTCACTTAGAAGGAAGTCAACCAAATTTCAAATGGAGAGGAAAGACTAAATTGAATCTGGAGATATGTGCATGTGCCTCCCTTTTCTTTCCTTATGGCCCAGCTTTGTTTGAGCCTACTATCAAATGTTTTTGTTTCGTTTTGTTTTCTTGTTTTGTTTTTGAGATACAGTCTCGCTCTGTCACCAGGCTGGAGTGCTGTGGTGCGATCTCAGATCACTGCAACCTCCAACTCCCTAGTTCAAGCGATTCTCCTGCCTCAGCCTCCCTAACAGCTGGGATTACAGGCGCGCACCACCACACCCAGTTAATTTTTGTATTTGTAGTAGAGACAGGGTTTCACCATGTTGGCCAGGCTGGCCTTGATCTCCTGACCTCAAGATCTGCCTGCCTCGGCCTCCCAAAGTGCTGGGATTACAGGCATGAGCCACCGCGCCCGGCCCCAATGGTTTCTAAAGCATCTCCCAAAGCATGTCTACCCTGAGTGACAGAAAGCAAGTGAGGAAGACATCTGCAACACACAATGGAAGGCGAAGGCCTCTGGCTTTCTGATTCTGGTCCTGGCTCCATCATTTTCTTTTTATTTTTTTTCTTTTTGAGACAAGGTCTCACTCTGTCACTCAGGCAGAGTACAGTGGCATGATCTCGGCTCACTGCAGCCTCTGCCCCCCTGGTTCAAGCTATTCTCCTGCCTTAGCCTCCTGCCTCCAAGAAGCTGGGACTACAGGCGTATGCCACCATGCCTGGCTAAGTCTTGTATTTTTAGTATTTTTAGTAGAGATGGGGTTTCATCATTTTGCCCAGGCTGGTCTTGAACTCCTGGCCTGAAGTAATCCACCTGCCTGAGCTTCCCAAAGTGCTGGGATTACAGACGTGAGCCACCATGCCTGGCCCTGGCTCTTATCATTTTCTAGTACAGTACATCTTTAGCAAAGACCATTTTCTCATCCCTTTTGTCAGTACAGCACAATACTGTACTGTTTCATTAGATGCCACTGTAACCTAGACGGCAGCTTAGGACTCTGTCCCTTGGAGATATGGGTGGTAGACTTGAGAAAAGATTTCAGAAAGCAGAGGGAGGAGGGGTTTACACTGCCACAACACACAAAAAAACTTCAAATAGAACAGTAAGCATTACCATTCTCTTGTTTTTTCACCTTTTATATTGTGAAGTACATCATGGATACAGAAAAGTGTATTTAATATAAAACCGTAGCTTAATGAATAATTACCAAATAAACTCCTGAGCTACCCGCCACCCAGGTGAAGAAATAAAATATTGTTAGCATTCTTGAAACCCACCCCTTTCAGATGCTCAACCCCTTTCAGATATGATTCTCCTAATCATATCACTTTTCCACCAAAAAGGATGATTTCATAATAGTTATTTCCTTACCTTTCTTGGAATTTTACCGCCAAAGTGTAGATCCCTAAACAATATAGTTACTGTTTTTGAATGTTGTGTGGAGATAATAATATTGAATATATTCTTTTGTACTTTCTTTCCAAAGATTAATCTCCTATGGTTTTAATTCATTTATATCAATTGCTGTATAGTATTCCATTGTATGAATATACCTTAGTTTGTTTATCCATATTCAACTGTTGGTGAATATTCAAGTTGTTTCCAGTTTTTGGCTGTTAATGACATTCTACTAAAGAACTTTCTTAAGAGTGTATCCCACTGATCGACATGTGCATATGTTTCTCTAGGGTCTGTACCTCAACGTTGAATTTCTGGAACACAGGGTAGGCAAATCTTTGATTTGTAATGCCAAACTGTTATTCAAAGTGGCTGTACTAGTTTACCTTCCTAGCAGTAGTGTATGAAAGTTCCCATTTGTCCAGGTGCTCACCAACACTTGATATTGTCAGACTTTTAGCTTTTACGGTGAGGGAATAATGTTATTTCATAGTGGTTTTAATTTGTATTTCCCTGATTAGTAATGGAGTCAAGCATCAGTTTATACATTTGTTAGCCATTTGGTTTTTCCTTTATGGAAAGTGCCGTTCAAATATTTTGTCTGTTTTTCTAATGGGTCATCTTTTTGTTATTGATTTGTATTAGTTCCTTATACATTCTGGATACTAGCCCTTTGTAAGTTGCATGTATTTTAAATATCTTCTCCCACTCCGTGGGCTTTTTACCCTCTTTATCATATATCTTGTGAACAGAAGTTTTTAATGTTAATATAATTATCATTTTACCTTTCACATTTAGATCTATAACCCATCTGGAATTTAATTTTTATGTATACTGTGTGATAGGGATCCTTTTTTTTTTTTTTTTCTGAGACGGAGTCTCAACCTGTTGCCCAGGCTGGAGTGCAATGGCGTGATCTCAGCTCACTGCAACCTTCACCTCCCAGGTTCAAGCGATTCTCCTGCCTCAGCCTCCTGAATAGCCGGGATTACATGCGCCTGCCACCACACCCAGCTAATTTTTGTATTTTTAGTAGAGATGGGGTTTCACCACGTTGGCCAGGCTGGTCTCAAACTCCTGACCTCAGGTGATCTGCCCACCTCGGCCTCCCAAAGTGCTGGAATTACATGCATGAGCCACCACACCTGGCTCATTTTTTTTTTTTTTTCTTTTTAGAGACAGGGTTTCACTCTGTCACCCAGAATGGAGTGCAGTAGCAGTCATAGCTCACTGTAACCTCAAACTTCTGGCTCAAATTAACCTCCTACTTCAGCCTCCCAAAATGCTGGAATTACAGGTGTGAGCCACCATGCCCAGCCAAATTTCATTTTTTATCTACATGCTTATCCAGTTGTCTTGGCACCGTTTATTGAAAAGTCTAGCCTTTCTTAACTAATCTTCAGTGACACTTTTCTCATATATCAAATGTCCATTTTTACATGGGGATCCATTTCTGAGATCTCTATTTCATTGTTTTTCTGTCTATCCCTGTTCAGTGCCACACTGAAATAATATAGCTTTCAAAATCAGTCTTGGATCTGGTAGAACAAGTCTTTCCACCTTGTTCTTCTTCAAGAGCCTCATAGCTGTTTTTGCCCTTTGCATTTTAGAATCAGCTTTTTAAATTACACACCTACATAAACACACACACACAAACACACACACTCACTCATTCACTCAACTGTTAGGATTTTTATTGGGATTGTACTGAATCCATAAATCAATCTGAGAAGAATTAACATTTTTACAATATTGTGTCTCCTAATCCTTCAATGTAGTATCTCTTCTTTTGTTTAAGTCTTTTCTAAGGTCTCTCAGTAAGATTTTTTTTTTTTTTGAACAGAGTCTCGATCTGTCACCAGGCTGGAGTGCAATGGCGCGATCTCGGCTCACCACAACCTCTGCCTCTCGGGTTCAAGCGATTCTCCTGCCTCAGCCTCCCAAGTAGCTGAGATTACAGGTGTGCGCCACCACGCCCAGCTAATTCTGTATTTTTAGTAGAGATGGGGTTTCTCCATGTTGGTCAGGCTGGACTTGAACTCCCAGCCTCAGGTGATCCGCCCACCTCAGCCTCCCAAAGTGTTGGGATTGCAGGTGTGAGCCACCACACCTGGCTTCAGTAAGATTTTATAACAATGTATTTCAGCTCTTTCGGACCTTCAGTTCAACATTTTCCTAAATATTTCATATTTTTGGTGCCATTATCATTGTATTTTTCAAATTTCATTTTGTACTTGTTAGTGGTATATATAGGATTACAACTGGTCCATATATTGATTTTACAAAATTGTTAAATTATTAATTTCATAATTTATCTGTAAATCTTCTGGATTTTCAATGTACACATTAGATCATCTGTAAGTAATGCAATATTTTATAATTCTTACATATTTTGTTGCTTTTTCTTGTTTAACTGCATTTGCTAGATCTTCTGTACAATGTCAAATAGACAGTGATAGTGAATATCCTTGTCTTATTACTGATTTCAGAGAGAAAGCTTACAACATTTTACCATAAATATGATATTTACTATAAATATTTTGTATATACTCTTATCAGATTAAAGAAGTTTCCTCCTGTTCCTAGTTTTCTTTTCTTTTTTTTCTTTTTTTTTTTTTGAGACGGAGTCTGGCTCTGTCCCCCAGGCTGGAGTGCAATGGCGTGATCTTGGTTCATTGCAACCTACACCTCCCGGGTTCAAACGACTCTCCCACCTCAGCCTCCCAAGTAGCTGGGGTTACAGGAACCCACTACCAAGCCTGGCTAATTTTTGTATTTTTGTAGAGATGGGGTTTCACCATGTTGGCCAGGCTGGTCTTGAACCCCTGACGTCAAGTGATGCGCCCACCTCGGCCTCCCAAAGTGCTGGGATTACAGGTGTAAGCCACCACACCTGGCCCTGTTCCTAGTTTTCTTGGAATTTTAATCATGAATGGACATTGAATTTTATCAGATGCATTTTTGTCTTTATTGAAATGATCCCATCATTTTTCTTCTTAAATTGCTAGTGTGGTAAATTACATTAATTTTTCAATGTTAAGCCAGCCTTGAAATCCCAGATAAATCCAGTTTATATTATTATTTTTCTACGGTGATTTGGTTTGCTGATTTGTTTTTCTGTTTTTTCATCTAAGCTCACGAATGAGACTGGCCTGCATTTTCCTTTCTCTTATTGTTCTTGTTAAGTTTTGCTAGTGTTGTGGATGAATTGGAAAGTGTCTCTGAAAAAGTTTGTGTGAAATTAGAGTTACTTATTCTTAAATGCTTAATTGTATAACTGAAGAAACCATCTGGGCTTGGAATTTTCTTTGTGGGAATATTTTGTTTGTTTGTTTTTGAGAAAGAGTCTCACTCTGTCACCCAGGCTGGAGTGCAGTGTCGTGATCTCGGCTCACTGCAACCTCTGTCTCCCAGATTCAAGCAATTTTCATGCCTCAGCCTCCTAAGTAGCTGGGATTACAGGCATGCGCCATCATGCCCAGCTAATTTTTGTATTTTTAGTAGACACGGGCTTCACCATGTTGCCCAGATTGGTCTCGAATTCTTGACCTCAAGTGATCCACCCACCTCAGTCTCCCAAAGTGCTAGGATTACAGGTGTGAGCCACCGTGCTTGGCCAATATTTTGTTCTTGATAGAGTATCCTTTGTTCTTAGAGGATTATTCATGTTTTCTGGTTTTTCTTGTTGTTGTTGTTGTTGTTGTTTTTTGAGACAGAGTCTCGCTCTGTCGCTCAGGGTGGAGTGCAGTGGCACAATCTCTGCTCACTGCAAGCTCTGCTTCCCTGGTTCACACCATTCTCCTGCCTCAGCCTCCTGAGTAGCTGGGACTACAGGTGCCTGCCACCATGCCCGGCTAATTTTTTGTATTTTTAGTAGAGATGGGGTTTCACCGTGTCAGCCAGGATGGACTCGATCTCCTGACCTCGTGATCTGCCCACCTTGGCCTCCCGAAGTGCTGGGATTACAGGCGTGAGCCACCGCGCCAGGCCCATGTTTTCTATTTTTTTCTGGGACAACTTTGGGAAATTGTATTTTTTTAGGATAACACCCATTTCACCTAAAATTTCAAATTTATTGGCATAAAGTCGTTTCTAATATCCTCCTGTCTTTTAAATGCCTGTAACATCTTTAGAACTGTTCCCTTTTCACTCTTAAAACTGATGATATTTGCTCCCTCTCTCTTTTTATCACTCTTGTCAAGCTGGGCACGGTGGCTCACACCTATAATCCCAGCACTTTGGGAGGCTGAGGTGGGTGGATTACCTGAAGTCAGGAGTTCAAGATCAGCCTGGCCAACATGGCAAAACTCTTGTCTTTACTAAAAAATACAAAAATTAAACAGGTGTGGTGGTGTGCACCTGTAGTCCCAGCTACTCAAGAGGCTGAGGCAAGAGAATTGTTTGAATCCAGGCAGTGAAGGTTGCAGTGCGCCAAGATTGCACCACTGCACTCCAGCCTGGGAGACAGAGTGAGACTCCATCTCAAAAACAAAAACAAATAAATAAATTAAATTAAATATCACTCTTGTCAGAGATCTGTGAGTCATTTTAAAGGTCCAATGTCTGTCTTTATTGATCCTCTTAATGTTTTTGTTTCTTATTTTGTCAATTTGTGTGCTTTTTCTCCTCTTTTTCCTGGATTTATTTTGCTGGGCTTTTTTGGAGGGGAAGGGAGCGGCTTGTTGTTGGGTTTGTTTTGGAGTTTTCTTTGTTAGCTTTTTGACATGAATACTTAGCTTTTTGATTTTTTTAGCTTTTTTTCTTTTCTAAAACAAACAAGGTGAAACATATATTTTCTCTAAAAACAAAAGACTTTAGCTTAATTCCACAAGTTTGATATGTATATTTTTATTATCACTAAGTAGAAAAAAAAATCTTATAACTTCCATTAGGATTTCTCCCTTGACTTTTGAGTTACTTGACAGTATGTGCCTTAGGCCGGCATAGTGGCTCACTCCTATAATTCCAACACTTCAGGAGGCTGAGGAGGGAGGACCACTTGAGCCTAAGAGTTCAACACCAGCCCTGGCAACATAGTGAGGCCCTGGCAACATAGTGAGACCCCATCTCTACAAAAAATAAAAATAAAAAATTAGATGGGGCATGGTGGTGCGTACCTGTGGTCCCAGCTACTCAGGGGGCTGAAATGGGAGGATCACTTGAGCCCAGGAGGTAGAGGCTGCAGTGAGCCATGATTGCACCACTGCACTCTAGCCTGGGCAACAGAGCAATACCACATCTCTCAAAAGGAAAACATATGTGCCTTAGCCAGCCAAGCACAGTGACTCACACCTGTAATCCCAACACTTTGGGAGGCCAAGGCAGAAGGATCGCTTGAACCCAGAAATTCAAGACCAGCCTGGGCAATACAGGGAGACGCCATCTCTACAAAAAAAATTTTTTAAATTAGCCAGGCATGATGGTGCACACCTGTAGTCCCAGCTACTCAAGAGGCTGAGGTGGGAGGATCGCTTGAGCCTGGGAAGTGGAGGCTGTAGTGAGCTGTGATTGCTCCACTGCACTCCAACCTGGGTGACAGAGCATGACTCTGTCTCAAATATATATATTTGTGGAAGATTACTTCCTCCAGAGATAATTTGTGTTTGGTTCTGACAGGCATCTGGGGGTACATTCAGTCCAAGACCCCCAAAAACCAAGTTCACAATTTCAGATTCTCTGGAATTCTCAAGAGGATACAAATGCAGGCTAAGTTCTGAGAAAAGACTGGGCTGTGGTTTTCTCAGAATTTTTTTTCCTTTCCTTTCGCTAACCTCTTCCTCACTCAGTACCAAGAGAGTCTTCCCTGCAGTCCCCTGGGGGTGGAGTAAGAACAGTAAGTTTACTGCTGATTCACCCTAACACTTACAGTGTAGCCTTTGAGATTAGTCTAATATGGTAGGGCAGGTTTCCTTGTACTAGACTCCCAAACTTGGATAGGCCCTTGGCCTTGGCTTCTGGAGCCATCAGTCCAGGAGGCTAGCCAAACCCAAACTTAGTTTGCCTGGATTTGCAAATATCAATCCCCCTTACCTGAGGCAAAATTACTTTAATGTTCTGATATTTCACTTACCTCTCTGGGTCTCTAGAAAGAAAGGGTAGGTCACAGAGTAACTTCACCTGCTAATTTATATTTGGGAAATGTTTGAATGTTTTATAACAAGCATACATTTCTTTAACTTTTAATTACAGTTTCTTTAAAAATATCAAATAGAACTAAAAAGCTGGCCAGGCGCGGTGGCTCACCGCTGTAATCCCAGTACTTTGGGAGGCCGAGGGGGGTGGATCACTGGAGCTCAGGAGTTCGAGACCAGCCTGGCCAACAAGGGTTAAACCCCATCTCTACTAAAAATACAAAAATTAGCTGGGCATCATTGTGGGCACCTGTAATCCCAGGTATTCTGGAGACTGAGGCAGGAGAATCGCTTGAACCCAGGAGGCAGAGGTTGCAGTGAGCCGAGATCACGCCATTGCACTCCAGCCTAGGCAACAAGCTGTCTCAAAAATAAATAAATAAATAAATAAATAAGTAAATAAATAAATAAATAAATAAAAGCCTGATGATAAAAACAGCAATCTCCTGTCTACCCCTCAGTCCCACACCTGCCAGCCTGCACTCCTTTCATTGCTTTCTAGCTTCCAAAGATGTGTTAAAGTTTCTTATCTGCTGCTGCATTCTTTCTATCCTTGTAGGTTTATACAAAGTTTTTCTATTGCTTTACTGTCATTTAGTGAGGCTTCAAAAGACAAAATTAACATGCACAACCTGCCACTTTTAATCAGAAGTCCATGTATGAAATCCAGGCTGGTTTTGGATGTTAACATGGAGCGAATGGGATACATCAAAGAATGGTTGGCTGCTTGTTTTAAAGAGGTCCCACTGGTGACAGGATGGTAGTGGCGATGGCAGTGAGGACAGACTGGTAAAGGGAAAACCCAGAGGCTTGTGGGGAGAAAGGGCTTTTGTAGTTAGGAAGAGACAGAGGTAGGCCCCTCAGCCAGCTCCAGCAGGATAGAGACAACAACATACAGCGCACAGAGAATTCGTGCCTCAGGGTCATAGTCCATGTCAGGAGGACTGCTGGCCAGCTCATCCCAGTTCTGCTCCATGACAGATTTCACCTGGAAGGAAACCCCCCAGATTGTAACAGCTAGGAACAACGATATACCAGAAATGGCAAATATTTGGCCACACTCCTTGCTGCTGAGCTGATAGGCAGACGTAATAATCCATCATGGCACTCTTTCCTGCAGAGCCCGGAGAGCTTCATACTCTCTCAACATAGTGGCAGGCTCTGCTAGTCAGTCTGCATGGGAACTCAAGATCATACCAGCTGCTGTCCTGGGACTAACCAATTTGCAGCCCTCTCTTGCCCACAGATAAAAAACAGAGCCTAAAGAACCCACCACAAATTGTTCTGGCAACTCTCTGTCCAGGGAATTGTCACAAACCAGCTGCATGGATGTGAGCCGGCAGAAAACTATGGAATAAGAAGGGGCTGTACCCTGGGACTTCTGGGTCCCTTGAGAATATGGGCATTCCCTTCCACTATGACCATGGCCCTCAGCCCAGGCTGTCTCACCTGGTCCTTCAACAGAGGAAGGGTCCCCTTCTCCAGGGCCTCAGCCACAAACTGCTGCTCTTCAGACAGCTCTGGGGGCAAAGAAAGAGTGGTAAAAAGGAGAGATATATGGTGGGACAGGGCCTCAGTGGCTGATCACACCCAGAACATGTATCATCAAAAGGTTCCAGAGAGCCCCTGGGAGTGCTAGATGAGACTTACTCCAAACAGGCCTCTGCTGTGACTCCTGCTTCCCTCTTGGCCTGCAGGAGTCACAGACGAGGAACCAGCCCCTCAATGCCTGGCCTGAGGAAGACATGAAGGAGTGCCCCCCATAAACTGTGAAGAGCAACATGCAGCCCCTCCTCCCAAGATGTGACTCCCCACAGGCCTCTCTGCTCACACTTCCTCCACCCCAGCCTACAGCGAGACCCTTCCTCACCTAGCAGGGCATCCAGGAAGTCCAGAATGGCTTTTGCACGCGCTTCTACCAAGACCCCAGCAGCATTAAAAAGGCTGCTTAGGAGAGGCTTGTCTGGGTCCTCCATGTGTAGCTCCCCGGAAATCAGGACCTCAGATACCTAGGGCCAGGAAGTGTGGGAGATGAGCAGCAGTCTCACCATAGCAGATTATCCTCACTGTGCCAACTGCCATCCCCTCTGGCTCCTATCTCTCTCTGCCCCAAGGCTTTCTTAGGGTCCCTTACTCTTTGCTCTAGATCCTGCCGAATATCCTCCTTGCCGAGGCACTTAGCGAGGGAGTTTAGCACATCTTTTCTCTTCTCCTCTGTCAGGTCCTTGAGGACACTCTCCATGTCCTCCAACTTCTCCTTCATGTTTCTGGAATCCTCCGAACCCAAAGACTTTCCTGTAGAGGCAGCAATTGAGAACCTGGGCCACCCAGCCCAAAAGGTTTTATTTCTAAGGCTCTGTTATTTGTCTGACTGTCTTCTGGAGACCACCTCTTTGTATCTTCCCTTCTTCCAGTCTTTCCGTGTTAAAATTAAGCATCCTTCTTCCAAGATACCTACCATCATTGCCTCCCACTGACCCCACTTCCATCTTCCATCTCCCCAGCTCACCCCCAGTCTAGTCCCAACCCCAAATTCTTCTCCACTTCCTGGAAAAAAACAAAAACTTGGTTATTTGGCCCTTGCCATTCAAAGTGCAGTCCTCAGGCCACACTAGAAGTAATTAGGATTTGGAGAAAGTTAAAGCAGTGGTTCTCAACCTTGACTACATGAGAATCACCTGAGGAGTTATTACAAATCCTGATGTCCAGGCCACACCCCCACAATTAAGTCAGAGTTTCTGGAGACGGGACTCAGTCGTCACTAGTTTTAAAGTTTCCTGGTGTGATTTTGGGGTATAACCAATGAGAACCACTGTGTTTAGAGGAGACAGATGCAGCCTCCAGACTAAAGTTGAAACCTGCTAGGCAGTGCCTCCCGACTTCCTACCCACTCAGCTGACCCCACCTGAGCAGCAGTCTTGAGCCACATGGACTCAGGGTGGGTTGGTGCAGCCACCCTGAACACACTTGGCTATCACCCTTACCTAAACAGGATGAAGCACCATCCTTCTCTGCAGAGAGAGGAAGAGTTATTTCAGAATCTTCAGATCACCTCCAGTCCCCTGCAGACTTCTCTTCCCAGTGATGGAAGTTTTTACTCTTGCAATCTGAGCCCTCACTGCTGGTGCCAGGGAGCCTGCATCCTCACCAGCGTGTGTCAATGGGAAAGCACTGTATTTGCAGACCCTTCCCACATCCTCAAAAACAGGCAGTCATAGGACTGTGCCTAGATGATTGAGGAAGAAGCCAAGGCCCAGAAAGGGGGCAGCATACACTCAGTCGCTCCGCAAATTTGGGTCAGACTTCTCTATCCCTTTCCAAGCTCTCTTAGGCAGTACAACCCTGCTGGGATCAAGGGGAAAACCTAGAAATTCCAGAGGAAGCCACATAATTCAGAATCACAGGGACCTTCTAGTCTCACTCCTTTAGTTTAAAGTCAGGAAAGGCTGGGCATGGTGGCTCACGCCTGTAATCCCAGCACTTTGGGAGGCTGCAGTGGGTGGATCACCTGAGTTCAGGAGTTTGAGAGCAGCCTGCCAACATATAGTGAAACCCTGTCTCTACTAAAAATACAAAAAAAAGAAAAACAAAAAAAACCAAACTTAACTTGGCGTGGTGGAGGGCACCTGTATTCCCAGCTACTTGGGAGGCTGAGGCAGGAGAATCGCTTGAACCCAGGAGGTAGAGGTTGCAGTGAGCTGAGATCACACCACTGCACTCCAGCCTGGGCGACAGAGCAAGACTCTGTCTCAAAAAAATTAAATTAAATTAAATTAAAATAAAGTCAGGAAAACTGTGACTTGGGAGGCTGTAGAGCTAGTGAGTGGCAGGGTGGGACTAGACCCTGAGACTGCCTGACTCCAGTCCAGGACCCTTTTCACAGCCAGTGCTGTCCTGCTGGAACTGGCCAAGTCATTTAATTGTGCTTCCTAGGCCAACAAGACTTCAGGGAGGGCTGTAAGCTCAGGATCCAGCTGACTGCCAGCACGAAGTTGTCCTAGGAGCAGCCTGGAAACCCTAGTCCGATGTGCAATCCAGACTCTTCAACAGGCTAATTTTTCCCCTGCGCTTGCCATGGTTCCCACCTGTGGGTGCGTCTTACCACATCCTCGGACCTAACCACTCTGTAATTCCATTTTTAAAAATAGTGTCTTTGCCCATTCTGAAATGACGAACGGGAAGCCCAGCAGCTCACTCACCTTCTGGAAAGGATTTTGTTTTGCCCCTGAAATGAATATCTAAACCAGCACCAAAAAGGGAGGAAAAAACAAGTTATTGGAGAGACCAGTTATCACTCTGTAAGTTCCCTTTCTCCAGTCCCTCTCAATCCCTATACCAGCCTCCAATCAAAAAAAAAAAAAAAAAAAGACAACTGTTTTTTGTTTTTGTTTTTGTTTTTTGTTTTTTGTTTTTTGTTTTTGAGATGGAGTTTTGCTCTTGTTGCCTAGGCTGGAGTGCAATGGTGAGATCTCGGCTCACTGCAACCTCCACTTCCCAGGTTCAAGCAATTCTCCTGCCTCAGCCTCCCAAGTAGCTGGGATTACAGGCGCATACCACCACACCCAGCTAATATTTATATTTTTAGTAGAGACAGGGTTTCACCATGTTGGCTAGGCTGGTCTCGAACTCCTGATCTCAGGTGATCCGCCCACCTTGGCCTCCCAAAGTGCTGGGATTACAGGCGTGAGCCACCACGTCCAGCCAAAAAAGACAATTATTCTATTTGGAGACTGGGAGAGGAGTTAATGACTCTTATGTCATGTTCAGGCAAATCCTGGGTCAGCGGGTCCAGGTCCCCAGGTCAGAGCATGGAGCCTCAGTCCTTCCTAGTGCTGAACCCACCCTTTTCCCTGGACCCCTCCCCAACCTCCAAGCTCACCAGCCACCCACCCTAGGCTGACAGAGCCTGGTTGAATCCCACCCCCCACCTCACTGGTGTGTTTAGGGCCCCCCATCCTGTTCTCCATCTGCCTTTGCTTACTCATCGTCTCCTTGTTGGGGAAGACAAGCTGCTTTACTCGATAGCTCAGGACCCGATTTGGGGGGATGGTCACTTCCCTTTGGCCCTAGAAAAAGGAGCTCACATTGACGGATCCCCAGGTGTTTCTACATCATTATCTTGCCTGATCTCCCAAACAATCCTGTGAGGCAGTCATTTGTATCCCCATTTTATAGACGAGAAAACTGAGGCTCTCAGAGGTCAGCAGGTGAGACAGTCTCACAGCTAAAAACAGTGGCAGAGCTGAAATTTGAACCCACGTCTGATGCCAAAACTCATCTTGTTGCCACTGTTCATTCAACAAATGTTTACTGAGGAGCTGCTTTGTTCTAGGCACCATGGCTCCTGTCCTCCTACCTCCTAGAAAGGAGACAGACAATAAACAAGCAAAAATACACCTGTGTAATGATGAACCATGGGAAATGTACAAAGAAAATGAAGGCTGGGTGCGTGGCTCACACCTGTAATCCCAGCACTTTGGGAGGCCGAGGTGGGTGGATTGCTTGAGCCCAGGAGTTTGAGACCAGCCTGGACAACATGCAAGACCTCATCTCTATTTAAAAAAGAAAGAAAGAAAATGCAAATGAAAAGAGGGCACCGCTAGAGAGTAACAAGGGAAGGACTGGGCAATGCCACCCACCCTTTCTTGGGGCAAGGTGGCCAAGAGCAGCAGGGCTGCTCGGAGAGGAGTGAAGGAAGAGTCTAAGGCTGGCATCGCCTTGACCTGCGGGGTGTGGGCCAACACTGGCCTCCACAGTCCCTGCCTCCCAGGATCCTAACCTTGTGTTTATAGCTGAGATGGCCCTGAGAGATCTGGCTCCAAAATTTATATTGCCGGTCGCTTTTCAGGGTTTCCTCCTTTACCGTCTCCAGAGTTTCTGTCACCAGATACAGGTTTTCTCTCGTATTAATTGATCGGAATGAAAAGGGTAGTTCCCTCTTCAGCTTCCTGGAGAGAGTGGAGAGAGATGAGAGTTAAGGATCTCAGGGCCTTACCTCCCACTGACTCTTTTCCCTCTCTGTGAGCCAGCTCCTATTGAAGATTAATCGCTTCTGAGACTGGAAAACCAAGGAACACAGCACCCCATCGCAGTTCACTTTACCCACCTCGGGGTGGAGGTAGGGGTGGGGTACAAAGTAGGGTGAGAGGCCAGGTACGGTGGCTATCGCCTGTAATCCCAGCATTTTGGGAGGCTGAGGTGAGTGGATCACCAGGCACACATCTGTAATCCCAGCTACTCAGGAGGCTGAGACAGGAGAATCACTTGAACCCGGGAGGCGGAGGTTGCAGTGAGCCAAGACTGCACCATTGCACTCCAGCCTGGGCAACAGAGCAAGACTCCACCTCAAAACAAATAAATAAAAACAAAGTGGGGCAAGAATTCACCAGCATTTATGGAAGATTACAATGTGCCAGCTGTGAGCCACGCTTTTCCACTTAACCTTCACAATCCTATGATGGTAGGCAGAATTACGTCCACTTTCCATGTAAAGATACTGAGGCTTAGTGACAGGTTGTGAGTGGTCCAAGGTCACACAGCTAGTAAGTGTAGAGCTGGGATTCAAACCCTGGTCAGTGTAAGTCCAAAGAGAGTGCCCTTCCCGTGACACTGAGATAGGCATCTGTGAAGCCCAAGACACCCTCTTCTCTGACAAGGGGCTCCAGCTCCTTGCGCTGGTCCCTGGAGCCAGCTGCATCATCTGCCCTTAGGCTCATGAAGCATCAGATTCCATTCCCGCTGGGGGAAACTCATGTTGAGACCTAAAACAGTCTGATGGAGTTTCTATTTGCAATCAAAAGGCCCTCAAGACATGGGTCCCTGCCTCCGATGACTTTCCCCTACCTATCCAGTGCCCCACCCCACATACAGATACCAATACCCTCACCTGACAAACAAGCATTCTATAATAGAAAACACCGAGCTCTCTTAGAACAATTCTGAAGGCCTCTCCCCAGCAATACTGTGGTAGGGAGGGGTAATTCAAAGGACCAGTAAAATTTTATTGTAAGCCTTTGTTTTTAATTTATTAATAAAAAAGGGTGGCATGGGCATGGTGGCTCACACCTGTAATCCCAGCACTTTGGGAGGCCAAGGCAGGTGGATCACCTGAGGTCAGGAGTTCGAGACCAGATCTCTCTCCAAAAAACCCTGGCCAATAGGGTGAATGAAACCCTGTCTCTACCAAAAATACAAAAATTAGCTAGGCGTGGTGGCGGGCACCTGTAGTCCCAGCTCCTCGGGAGGTTGAGGCAGAAGAATCTCTTGAATCCAGGAGGCAGAGGTTGCAGTGAGCCAAGAATGTACCATTGCACTCCAGCCTGGGCAACAAAAGTGAAACTCCATCTCAAAAAAAAAAAAAGGAAAAGGAAAAGAAAAAAGGTACCCGCTCCACTCAAGGAGAGCAAGGCCAGGAAAACTGTGGGTCACCTTCCCCTGAGCTACTCCTCAATCTCCAACAATCCCAGCTGAAGAAAACAACAACAGAACTATTGCTGAGGGGATGGCTAGTGATGTCCTCTTGAATTGGAAGCACCTGCCCACCAGCTACCAGAACCTCTGTGGCACTGGATCGGTGCCACCCTGCTGGGGTGGGGTGGCTGTACTCCATGCAGGAAACATCCTCCAAGGGGTTCTTTGCTTTCCTCGTGCTTCACTTCAGCTCTCTTTCACTCAGTACCTACTGTGTGCTTGGGGTCAATACAGAGAGGTTAGTAAAGTCAGTCCCTTGTCACAAGTTGCTTCCAGTCCAGTGGGAAAGACGAACATGGAAGCCACTGGCTTGCCCACAAGGCAGAGGGAAACAAGCACAAAATACTGATGTGGGCAGCTCAGTGCAGGAGAGCAGAGGAGAGCAAAGGAGAGTGCCTCTTAAACCACCAGGTTTGGAGGTGGAGGTTGCAGTGAGCCGAGATCATGCCATTGCACTCTAGCCTGGCCGACAGAGCGAGACTCCGTCTCAAAAAAAAACAAAACAAAAACCAAACAAAAAAAAAACAACCAGGTTTGTCCAAGTCAGAGGAATTAACCATCCTGGGGGACAGCAGGGATATGAGTGAATTGGGGGCATCAGAAGGCTTCCTGGAGACTGCTCCTGGGTGAATGAGAAGGCTTCTGGAGGCAGAGAAGAGGAAGGCGTGCTTGCGTAAAGGGGAGGGCTGAGGGAATCCTGGAAGTAGAGAGCGAGAGGCTGCCCTAGAGAGCCAGTCCCCCACAAAGCTCATGAAAAGCAGGGAAAAGAAAAATAAAAATAAATAAATTTTAAAAAGAGCCGGTCTGCCACCCTTGAATCCCTTGGTGCCCAAGATGGGCTTCTTCCCCTCCTTCCCTGCTGCCCAACTCCAACCTCACCTGTTTTCAAGGGTAGCCAGATACTGCTGGGATATCCGGTTCTCCGATATCTTGATTTTCTGATGGTGGAAGCCCTGGAAACTGCCTGAAATTGTTATTTCTTTGGGTAATCTCACTATCAACTCTCCCGTTGAGTCTACATTATCCAGAATTTGAAACTCAGCCTTTTGACCTGGAAAGAGAATGATAAAGGTCACTCTGGAGCAGACCCCCAAAAGATCTCTCTCCAAAACACCCTCCCTGGGGCAGCCCCATCCTGGGTTCCGTGCCACCATCCCCCTCCCTTCTGAGGGAGCGCCACAGCTGTGGCTGTCCAGGAAATGCTGTTCTCACCAGAAGCACAGTTACCTTGGGGTCACAGGATCCCAGATTTGAGCCCACTCCTCCACCTTCTTACCACATGACCTTGGGTAAGTCACTTAACCTCTTTGAATCTGTTTCTTCATCTATAGTAGGAGAATATTACTAATGTCTACTTCCTATATTTAGGGAAATTAGGGCTGGGCACAGTGGCTCACGCCTGTAATCCCAGAACTTTGGGAGGCTGTGGCAGGCAGATCACTTGAGGTCAGGAGTTCGAGACCAGCCTGGCCAATATGGTGAAACCCCGTCTCTACTAAAAAATACAAAAAGTAGCCAGGCCTGGTGGTGTGTGCCTGTAATCACAGCTACTTGAGAGGCTGAGGCATGAGAATCGCTTGAACCCAGGAGGCGGAGGTTGCAGTGAGCTGAGATCACACCACTGCACTCCAGCCTGGAGGAGAGTGACACTCTGCCTCTCTGCCTCAAAACAAAACAAAACAAAACAAGAAAAAGAAAAGGAAAGGAAAAGAAAAGAAATGAAGAAATTAAATATAATGATGTAGTTAAGCACTTAACCAAGTGCCTGGCATACATTCTAACTGCTTAATAATTGTAAGCCAGTCTTGTAGGCTGAAACAAGACAAAGAAAAGTAAAGCTAAAGAAGTAGGAGCCCCAGCCAATTGGGAAATAAAAATTAAGCAGTTCTGGGTGGGCACGGTGGGGTGGCTCACGCCTGTAATCCCAGCACTTTGGGAGGCTGAGGTGGGTAGATCACTTGAGGTCAGGAGTTGGAGACCAACCTGGCCAACATGGTGAAACCCCATCTCTACCAAATTAGTCGGGGGTGGTGGCACATGCCTGTAATTCCAGCTACTTGGGAGGCCGAGGCAGGAGAATCGCTTGAACCTGGGAGGCAGAAGCAAAGACTGCAGTGAGCCAAGATCAAGCCACTGCACTCCAGCCTGGGCGACAGCGAGACTCCATCTCCAATAAAAGCAGTTCTGTCGCTGTTGTTTGTATGAACCACACAAGTATGAAGTGAGGCAACCCTGGAAAGTCACAAACACGCATGGACTCGGCCCTGATTGATCAGGCACTAATAAGGGCCTTGGTTCTGAGTCAGTTGCCACCCCAGGTTCGTGGAGGATGTGTGGGCATGCCGAAGGGGCTGCGTGCCTTTGTCTCCAACCTCCCAGATGGGAACCTACAGGGGAGGGAGAGCTCCCACTGCTAGGTTTTGGAGGCAGGGCTGGATTTCCAAAGACAAATCCATTTTGGAACTGGTGGAAATGTGACAGAATTAGAAACAGTGACTGAAATCACTATTTGTGTGTACATGAGACACTAATGTCTTAGGGACCATTTGCTTCTTGAGCAGTGTAAAAGAAAAGAAAAATATCAGAGAGAAAAAGAAAAATAAAAACTATGTGCACAAAGAGTACTATATGAAGAAGAGGAAAAAGAGTAACTTCTGGTAGAGAAACCTGACAAACATTACCTCAGCCAAGTGATCAAGGTCAACATCAACAGTGATAGGTCATGTTGACAGTACGTACCCCTGATGTGATGTAATAGGAATGGTCCTTTACCTCTGTGGTCTTCCTCCCCGAGACCCAGAACCCAGTCTAACCATGAGAAAAAACATCAGCCAAATTCCAACAGAGGGACGTTCTACAGTATCCCTGACCAGTACTGCTCAAAACTGCTAAGATTATCCCAAACAGGTAAAGTCTGAGAAACTGTCACAGCCAAGAGGAGCCTAAGGAGACATGACAACGAAATGTAATGTAGGATCCTGGATGGGATTCTGGAATAGAAAAAGGACACTAGGTCAAAACTAAGATAACATGGGCTGGGTGCAGCGGCTCACACCTGTAATCCCAGCACTTTGGGAGGCCAAGGCGGGCGGATCACCTGAGGTCAGGAGTTCAAGACCAGCCTGGCCAACATGGTGAAACCTTGTCTCTACTAAAAATACAAAAAATTTGCCAGGTGTGGTGGCAGGCACCTATAATCCCAGCTACTCGGGAGGCTGAGGCAGGAGAACCACTTGAACCTAGAGGTGAAGGTTGCAGTGAGCCGAGATCGCGCCACTGCTCTCCAGCCTGGGCAATAGAGCGACACTCCATCTCAAAAAAAAAAAAAAAAAAGTTAATGTGAATAAAGTATGGACTTTAATAACAAACACAAAATCCTATGCACACTTTTTTTTTTGTTTTTTTTTGAGACGGAGTCTTGCTTTGTCGCCAGGCTGGAGTGCAGTGGTATAATCATGGCTCACTGTGCAACCTCCACCTCCCAGGTTCAAGCAATTCTCCTGCCTCAGCCTCCCGAGTAGCTGGGATTACAGGCATGCGACACCACGCCCAGCTAATTTTTGTATTTTTAGTAAAGACAGGGTTTTGCCATGTTGGCCAGGCTGGTCTCGAACTCCTGGCCTCAAGTGATCCGCCCGCCTCAGCCTCCCAAAGTGCTGGGATTACAGGCATGCGCCATCATGCCCAGCTAATTTTTGTATTTTTAGTAGAGACAGGGTTTCGCCATGTTGGCCAGGCCAGACTTGAACTCCTGACCTCAAGTGATCCACCCGCCTCAGTCTCCCAAAGTGCTGGGATTACAGGCGCGAGCCACTGTGCCCAGCCCTATGCACACTTTAACTGCACCATCAGCATTATACAGTTACAAAATAACCCATTTAAATAGGGAGCAGACCAAGCTAAAAATCAATTCAAATTACCAATTCCCATCATTGTAAGGATTTTCTTTTTAAGTTTGGTTTCACCTCTGCCTCCGAATTTTGTATGCACACAGATGAGCTTTTCCTTAAAGGAAGTTGACTGACTTAGTCAATTTTTTTTTCCCAGACTTAAACTTTGCCCTGTCCCTGGGGAGTAATATTATTGTGGCAAAACATCCTAGTTCTGGGTTAAAGTATTTTTCCATTTTCAGTGAATTGATCATTTGGCAAACTGATTTTTTTTTTTTTTTTTGAGAGCTGACTTTTAGCAAATTGGCTCTTAGCAATTTACTTTTCAGAGAATTGACTCAGTCTTTGAAAGATGCGAATCTGAAATTTCTCCAAAAGCCCCTTGCTTGCTTAACGAAACTCTGCTTGTGGAAAGGTCCACCACCTCCAAGTAATCTGGGTACTGCTCTTGGTCACTTAAAGCAGTTCCTGGCACACTGTAATACTCTAAAGCTGCTCAGGGCTGTTAGAGCTCTTTTCCGTCTCTTGGCATGAGACCTCATAAAAAGAAATGGACTGTATCAGAGAGGTCTGAGCTATGAGCGCCTTGCTATTGTTCATATTATGAAATATTTTTTCACATTATGAAATATAATGAACTCCTCACCATATTCCACTTTGGGCTCCAAGTGAGAGTTCAACACTTAACCCTGGGGCTTCTGAAACCCAAGTACCCCAGGAATAACTGAGATCAGAGGCAGGGGGTTGGAATAATTGACTCTTCCATAAATTCCCTCAATACCTTAGGGATTTCTGCTCATCAGAAACTTCCCCTTCAGTCTTGATAGCCAAGGAACATGAAAGGATAATAAGAATCACCACCGACCTGGGAGATAACTTTTATTGGGTGCTCCTTTTGTGGCAGGCACTGTGATAAATGATTCACGTAATTTGTTCTCATTTGATTTTTTTTTTTTTTTTTTTTGAGACAGAGGCTTGCTTTGTCTCCCAGGCTGGAGTGCAGTGGCGTGATCTCAGCTCACGGCAACCTGCACCTCCCGGGTTCAAGCAATTCTCTTGCCTCAGCCTCCTGAGTAGCCAGGACTACAGGCGCATGCCACCACGCCTGGCTAATTTTTTGTATTTTTTTTTTTTAAGCAGAGACGGGGTTTCACTGTGTTAGCCAGGATGGTCTCGATCTCCTGACCTCGTGATCCGCCCACCTCGGCCTCCCAAAGTGCTGGGATTACAGGAGTGAGCCACCGCACCCATCCCTCACTTGATTCTTACAACAGTCCTCTAGAGTTGACACAGGAGGAAACTGAAACTTAGAGCAATAAAACAACTTGTCCAAAGGTTACGCAGCTGATAAGAGGCAGAGCCAGGCTTTGAAACCAGGTGCTTCCAGCCCTAAAGCCTGCATCCTTTCTTAACCAGTAAGCAAACTGCCCTCATTTACTTATTCATTTAAATGATAAACACATGAGAAGAGCTCGCTAAATTAAAAGCAGATTATTTTACAAGGGAAAAAATGGAAAAGGAAGACCATTTAGGAACGGTTTCCAGTGGAAATAAATCTCCACTTCTCCCACTCTCCTCCCACCATGCAGCTCTTCCGTGCATTTCTTAAATTAAGGTGTGTGGATGTGTACAAATCCCACAGTTTCGTTGTTGATTGGTTGATAACAATGGGGAATTGAGAAGGAGATGGAGTACAAACGGTCAAGGCCTCCTGGCTGGCCACCTGTCATCTACCTTATACTGACCTTGGAGCCCAGAATCCAGTTCATCTAACCACTTGTCCCCATCTGTGTCCAGAATGTCCATCAGGGTGAGGCCTGTTGTGTAGTGCCGGCATCCAAAGAAAGTTCTCTTCTCCCCCACCAGATGGAAGCAGCGGAATCTATCAGCATCAACAAGGCTTCTAACGGCAATCATATCCCCTCCAGCATCCATCTCCTTAACTACAATTCTTGTGATTTCCTCAAATACGCTGAACATTGCGCCTGGACCAACTCAGAAACAGAAGCCAATTTCAGTTTTTGGGAGGAGGGTATTGGTTCAAGTATTTAAATCTTCCACATTTGGCAGCCTGAGGTGTCAGGCCTCTGAACCCAAGCTAAGCCATCATATTCCCTGTGACCTGCATGTATACATCCAGATGGCCTGAAGCAACTGAAGATCCACAAAAGAAATGAAAATAGCCTTAACTGATGACATTCCACCATTGTGATTTGTTCCTGCCCCACCCTGATACAATATAGTCTCCCCGCCGCCGCCCTTAAGAAGGTACTTTGTAATATTCTCCCCTGCCCTTAAGAAGGTACTTTGTAATATTTCTCCACCCTTGAGAATGTACTTTGTAAGCCTATCCCAAACATATAAGAACTAATGATAATGCCACCACCCTTTGCTGACCCCTTTTTTGGACTCAGCTTGCCTGCACCCAGCCTTGTTGCTCATATAAAGCCCGTTTCGTGGACTCTCTTCACATGGACGCACGTGACATGAGGTCAAGGAAGAGCCAAAGGTTCCAGGACAATCAGTACCTGGAATGATTTGCCTGCCTTACTTCTAGAACGTGAGGCAGCCATGACTCAGTAAAGAGGGCTAAACATCACAGATCCCAGATTCTCCTCTGCCCCTCATGGTACCCATCTGGAGGAAAAAAGTAGCAGCTATTGCCCCAAATAGAGAAAGTGAGACCCATTTTCTACATCTCCCACAGCAGAGTTGCCCCCTTGTTCCAAGGGGCCCAAGGGATGGAAAGGCAGGCCCACCATGCCCCAGCCAGACTAGCCCCAACGTTGATGAACAGAGGAACCAGGGAGGAATGACGGGCACGGTTGCCAGACTTCACATTACTAACCTCAACTGGTCGTTTCTTCCCTTGGCTCTGATTCTTGGGCTCCCTGCCTTGCTGTATTCTGCAAGGCAATTGGATGGGTGCCTCCCTACCAACAATTTCCCAATGAGGTGGTGGTAAATTGGCCTCAGAAGAAACAAAAGCTTCCTGGGATCCACTTCCCCATCCTACCTTTGGCCACCTTCCCCTATATCCCTTCTGCCCAGCACAGGCACTTATCCACTCACTGCTTCCTCCTCTGTCTCTGGCCCCATCATGGTGGTTGACTCTCAGTTCACTACCAACCTGGGAATTCTAGGTGTCTGGAAAGACAGTACCCGGGAACCACAGGCCCATCTCAAGTGGTACCCACCTCCTCTCTGACCTCAGCTGTTCACCAGAAATGGAAGTTGTGAGAATCCCCACAGATCTCTGCACAGTTCCTGGCCTCTGAATCTCAGGAAGCTAAAATAATGAAACTGAAAGTTGTCCAGGTGTGGAACTTCCTGGACGGGTGGGTAGGGCTGGGTGCCCCACCTCCCAAGCCTTTAGATAAGCCACCTTATAACTGAGCTGGAGGCAGATTAAGGCCAGAACCCCCCTTTTTTTTTTTTTTTTGAGACGGAGTCTTGCTCTATCGCCGAGGCTGGAGTGCAATGGCGCAATCTCGGCTCACTGCAAGCTCCGCCTCCCAAGTTCACGCCATTCTCCTGCCTCAGCCTCCCGAGTAGCTGGGACTACAGGTGCCTGCCACCACGCCCAGCTAATTTTTTTGTGTGTGTTTTTTAGTAGAGACGGGGTTTCACCGTGTTAGCCAGGATGGTCTCAATCTCCTGACCTTGTGACCCACCCACCTCGGCCTCTCAAAGTGCTGGGATTACAGGTGTGAGCCACCATGCCCGGCCAGAACCCCTTCTTCTTCTTGTACCTAAGGAGTGGGTAGGAGATCCTGGTATGTATTCTAGGTGAGTGTGGGCCAGACAATGGTGCACACCGTGGCGCCCTGGGCCATGCAATCCAGTGTGTTTGGAATAGAGAAATGGAATATGAGTAGGTATCAAGTGCCAGCAGGCAATGGCTGTGTCTGTGCCAGGGACATGAGGACCATAACCCAGCAGAACCAGCTGCCCAAATGCCATGCGACGGTCAACACTGAAGACCCAGGACAACAGCAGCTAACACCTGGAGGCAACAGGGTGGGCCTGTAAGGAGCACTCAGCCTCCCTCCCCATCTCGTGCTCCCGTGTACACTCTCAAGGAGATGCTGGTCTTCCTTATCTGGATGCCATCTGGCTTCTCCACCTACCTCCTTCTCCAGGGAGAGGCCTCTGACCTCACCCATGTCCTCTCTCAGAGATAACCACCCCGGTGAGCCCAGCCTGTCTTCCAGCCTCTGCATGCCTCAGTTCTGAAAGAACATTTGAAGGGATGACAGGCCAGGCGTGGTGGTTCATGCCTGTAATCCCAACACTTTCAGAGGCCGAAGCAGGCAGATCACTTGAGGCCAGGAGTTCAAGACCAGCCTGGCCAACATGGCGAAACCCCGTCTCTACCAAAAAAAAAAAAAAAAAAAAAATTAGCCAGATGTTTTGGCACACACCTGTAATCCCAGCTACTCAGGAGGCTGAGGCATGAGAATTGCTTGAACCTGGGAGGCGGAGGTTGCAGTGAGCCAAGATGGTGCCACTGCACTCCAGCCTGGGCAACAGAGCAAGACTCAGTCTCAAAAAAATAAATAAATAAATAAATAAATAGACGACAGTGGTGGTAGTAACAATTACAATTATAATAATATGGCTACCATATATTGAGTATTTACTATATGCCAGGCACTGTGCTAATGCTCACAACAGCCCTAAGAGGCATTATCTTTACACAACAGTGGAATAAACTGAAGCTCAGAGAAGTTGACACAGCAACATGGCTAATAAGTGGCAAAGCTGGGATTTGAACCCAGATCGTTGTTGATGTTCTCCAGCACCTCACCCTGACTATACTCTTGCAGGCTGGTGAAAGCAACCAGGGCACCCCTACTCCCAGGAGTGAAAGCAGTGGCTATATTTCTCTTTCCAATACTGTGTGGGCTCTACTCGGACAGGGGTGGTGGCTGGACTTGGGCAAATATCCCACACTCCCTGACACTCACTCCAAGGGTGCTGTGATGGTGGACCGGGGCTAGAGACCCCAGGCTGCTGGGGACAGCTCCTCCCTTCTACCTGGGACTTTGTGCCTCTCCTGGGAATAGCAGCTGATACTCCCCAGAACACGCTGGAAGGTCAGTGCCCTCGTGAGATAAGGATTCCTTGCTATAGGACTCCTCTCTCTCCTAGCCATGTTGGCCTCAGAAAGTCCCCAGAACCTCTTCCCCTGCCACTCAGGCTTATGGTGGGAGGAGGAAGTATGAAAAGTCCCCTCCACTGAAAGGCCAGAAGGAAACGCAGCGCTCCCAAGGGAGAGGTGACTGGGGAAAGGCCTTGGGGAGAGAAGTGAGAAACTGGAGAAGGGCTGGGGATTCACTGGGAAGGACTGAGCACCACTTGGGACCCTGGCTCCACGTGTAAACCATTGCTGGAGTGTCCCCCTCCTTGGCCATGGCACAGGTCACCCCAGCCTCTGGGGCCAAGGCGCAAGACCTGTCGGAGAACAGCCAGGCAAAAGCACAGAGAATTTTGCTCTCTGACTACCGCTGCCGCCGCCAGTTCCCTCACAGCCCCCTTGGGGGATTTCCCTGCTGAAGCCAGCAGAAAGCCCAGCAGTCCCAGCGCCCCTCCTGCCACCGTCAGAGCTGCACTGATGCCCCACCAGCACCTCAGCGGGAGCCGCTGCCCACACCCCTGCCCCCTCCCCTCAGCCTTCCAGGAAGCGAAGGCCAGACACAGGGAAACAGAAACATGTTGCCCTTTTATTTGCGTTTCTCAGAATACTGTACAAAGGGAGTAAAAATCCTATTCACACTTTGCTTAGAAAGATTTTAAGGTGAAAGTTCCCTATGATACACGGGGTGGGAGATGCAGGGTCAGGAGGGAGAAAACAGGCCCAGTGACCTCTCCCGTTCCCTTGGACCCCTGGAAGAGGACACAGGGACCCACACCTTTTCAAAATTAACACTGCCCCTAGTCCAACTGGGGAGGGGAGAAGGCTCCAGCCCAGGCTCAGGCTCCCGGCCTCACTTTCTTCTCTGCAGGCTGAGACAGTGCCTACAGGCCACGTCTTGCCCCTTCCTCTGTGCTGCTTGAGCAGGGATCCTACAGGACTCTCACCACAGACCCCACATGGGGTGGCCTCACAACGCCACATGTGGCTGCCACATGAGAGGCCCTGCCCAGTGCCAGTCTGTATGAGGAAGTTAAGGGGTGAGGGCCTGCAGAGGACCACAGCACCCATCGTTTCTGTCACAGCTTCCCCATACCCCCGCAGGAGTCAGGGCCAAGTTGGACCTGTGCTTACAATGACTCACGGGCCTTTTCCCCACCTGTCTACCCAACAGCCAACCCAGGAGTTAAACCCACAGCAGCCTCCCTCCCCTATTACTATCACATTCTGTGGGTAAATTAACCCTCCAAGCCTGCTTCCCTCCCTGCCCACATCCCAAAGGAGATTGGGTCTAGCTTCTGTCCCTACCCCTCCCTCCCTTACACCAGTCCTCTGCTGCTATGTGGCCCCATTCTTCTAAGTCTCGACTCACTAGCTCTCCTACAGCTCCCCAACCTCCACCAGGCCAGGATGGCAGCAGCCCTGGCCCCCTCACCTCTGGAACCAAGCCATCTACACTCTACCCCATCTTTCCCCAACCTGACCCTCCCCACTCCCAACCAGGACCCACGGTGGGTTGCAGAGAAGCTGCCAAAAGCCTGGGACTTGGATTAGACAGCTCCCTACCCAGAAAGGCAAAGACCCATCCCACACTTGCTTCCATACACAAAAGCACACACTGCGTGGCATCGAAAAAACCTAGGAATCACAGTGAAACAATCCAGAAGCCGTACCGCCCTCTGCTCCCTATGCAGGGGTTAAAGTGCTTTGGCTGCCTGAGGGCAAACAAGTGAGCAGGGGTTTTTCCCCTGGCCTCCTGTCGCAACTGCGTGGTCCATGTTCAGCCCAGGAGCCCAGCCCATTCCATGACCAACTCCATGGAGTCTCTATTCAAAAAGCAAAAGGAAAAGATCAAAAAATTCAGAAAAGGTCAGAGCCCAGGGGGCCTACCCCAACCCCACTACAAGCTACTCCAAGTTGGCTACTGGGGGAAGCGAGGGGGGAAATTAGGCCAGAGGCTCAACCCCCATCTCTGGCAGTGTCCAGAGGCTTCTTCTTTCTGTCTTCAGTGTTGCAGCACATGCCTTTTACCCTACCCCTCCCCTGCCACCCTGGGCAGGGGAAGGGGCTGCACTCTCAGTACTTATTGATTCCAAAAATCCGGACTCCGTGGAGCTGGGGCAGCTTGGGGATAAGCACGCTCATCAGGGACACGGTGTTGAGCACAAAATGGATCTGGTCGTACTTAGTGTAGAAGCTGGTGAGGAAGTACCTGGGAGGGGAAGGGTGGGGAGAGATATAAAAGACTGTTGGGAGGACCCCTTCCTCCCTCACTTCCTGGGAGGGGAAAGGCAGAATCCCAACAGCTAAGGAGTTACAGAAGAGGTTCCCAGACCAGCGTAAGAAGCAAGAGCTCTCAGGCTAAAGGGGCCCCTCCTGGCCCAGTACCGCCCCCACCTCCCAGCTTCACCCCAAGCCTGTAGGCCTATCTCACTAGCAGGAAGGAAGCTCCAATGGAGGAAAGATGGGGCCAGGGAGGCCCAAAGCCTGAGTCCAGTGTAAGACCCAGGAATATTCCAACTTCCTCTGTTCATCCCTACACCAGGAGCCACGGCAGGGTTAATAAGCATGGCTGGGCCCTGGGGTCCTCCAGGCCTTGCCCTGCCTGCTGGTGTCTTCCTGTAGCCCAGGCACTCACAGCACGATGGGTGTGATGGTCAAGAACTTCCGAGAGGCCGTGAACTGGACCCCATAATCCATCTGCTCCCAGTGGGTTAGCAGCCTCGCCTTGCCCTGGTCCGGGGTCTCAAAGGGTGTCCCCTTCACCGTGTGCAGGAAGATATACATGCCCTGGAGGAAGAAGTCTTTGTTAGAGGATACAAAAGGGAAAGGCCCCCCTGCCCAGCTCCTCCACCCAGTCACAGACACAAGTAACTCCCAGTGATCTGGAGCCTCCCTCTGCTGGGCAGGGGGATATGGGCTGGAGGTCAGGATGGAGCAGCTGGGAGTATGGCAGGAGAAGAACAAGGGGACTCCCTGGGGGACGGGCTAGGCCTGGCATGAGAATGCACGGTGGAAGTTGGCCACAAGATAGGCACCGAGATGCTGCCCCCCTCCAGGCCACTCATAGCCCCCTGTGCCTGTTGGGAGGAGGCAAGCGATGGGACTAAGCCCTGCTTACCCGACAAAGAGTGCAAGGTAGCAAGTGGTGAGGGAGCAGAGAAGGGCAAAAGTGGAAGACGGTTCGAGAAGCTAACTTGAGAAAGGGGCATTTCTGTATCAGCCTAGGCACCAGGACTCTCGGGTCCTGGGAACTCTCTGGAGCCCTTTGTTCAGCTCTCAGGAGCACATCTTCCAGGCCAACAGCCACCCCACCCTAGAGATGTGGAAAAATCTGCAGATTTGATTCCTGTCATGGTACACAGGGCAGGAACCCAGAAGGGGGAGCAAGGCAGAGAGGTAAGGGCTAGGCCTGGGCTCTGGAGGCAGATGTCGTCAGTACATCACCCTGACACCTGGGCCAGGCCCGACAGGCTCCTCCTATCCCTCAGCCCTGCCAAAGGGCAGCCCACAGGGCAGGGGCAGGGGCAGGGGCAGGCAGCAGACAGGCTCTCACCATGTTGTGAATGAGGTTGGTGAGGGTCCAGACGACAGGGACACTCACAAACGGGATGCTCAGCAGCACGATGTGGAGGAGACCGATGGCCAGCACGTAGGAGAGCCAGATGCCACGGCTGTTCATCACCCGCGTGTTGGGGTTCACCTCGCTGTGCGCTGTGCCCACATTCATCCTGCTGCCCCTCTCTGCTGTTCTGCAAACAAGCAGCACAGGTCAGACAGGTCACACTGCTTTCCCTGCCCCCTCTCACCCTCGGATCCCGCTGGGAGGCAGGCCCTTGTTTCCCTGAGAACTCCAGGCAGTTCCACTCTTTTGATTCTGAAGCATGGAAAGTGGAGAAAGTCCATGTGGACTTAGCTCTACTCATTTCCTGCTGCTGGGCTGGGATAAACAACAGGCTGCCCCATGCATCATCCCATTGGGACAGGGCCCTGGCAGGGCATCGGAGGACAGGTCATCAAGAGGCACGCAGCCCCAGGGCAGAGAAGTCAAGGCCCATCCCCCAGCCTCACCCCCTATGGCACTCCCATGAGGACCCTCTGCCGACAAAGCCCCAGGGAGAGAATTCTCACTCAGCACAACCCCTGCTGGACTGTGTCTCACTGAAGGCCTAATGTGGGACATCTGCTCTTAAGCTCTTCCCATCAGGAGGGAAAGGAAGTGAGGCCTGTGGGTACAGGCAGCAGTGGATGAACTATTTTGAGGTCACTGCATCCACTCACCTCCTCTGATTTTTTCAATTCTGGATCTCCCCAAACCCCAACTTAGGAGGACTGATCAGGTAGAAAGAGGGAAGTGGGGAGGGAGGAAGGGAGGAAGAAAGGAGAAAACAACAGACTAGGGACAACCTTTGCCCAGACCTAGAAGGCACCCCTCCTGGGTGACACAAAACAACCCATCCGGATGTTTTCTCCATTTGGCAGCCACTCAGGCCAACCCTTGTGATGCTACCCACTCCACTGCCAAACCACCAGGGCCCTTTTCCCCACAAGAGAGGCGAGGATAGAGAACGTGGCCAACACCTGTAACTCCCATAGAGAGCTGGAATCCACCTCAACATATGTCTCCTAAGGGCACAGACTCGAACCTGTGGCCTCCCTCCTGCCCCCGTTCTTCTCTGTCCTGCCCATCCTCACCTCAGTCTCCCCTCTCAGCACCTGTTTCCAGGTGTATATTAGCACCATGCCTTCCCCTGCCCAGCACCAACGGTAGGAGTCCTGCAGCAGGAGGAACCAGGAGGTGGCCGCAACCCACAGTGAGCAGAGGGAAGTAGAGAAGGAAGGGGTGGAATGATCTGCCCCTTATCCAGAGTTTGGCTGTCCCCAGATCCCTGAGGGCCCTGTGACCAGGAGAAAGTGGAGACAGATGGCACCTGTGTACTGGCTCACCTCCCTATCTGAGATAGGGTCCTGCTTGCTAAAGACCGTAAGGTCATCACCATGGTAACAGCCCCATCTTTCCTGGGAATGCAGAAAAGAGTCCCAGATGGAGATATTCTAGAAGTACCCAGAAGGCCACCTCCCTCACGCCCCTGCAGCAACCCCGTCAGACCCAGATGCTATCTATCTCTGACTAGGATCCTAGCCAAACCTGCACAGGAGACTGAGTCCTCAGGGGCCAGTTATTTACTTCCAGGATAACAGGAGCAAGTTTCCTCTTCTCAGACAGCTCCAAGCTTAGAGACCTCAGAGAAAATGTGACCCACAACACGCCATCCCAACAAGCAAACACCCGTGCGCCAGCCTGGGGCGCATTCTGATTGAAGAGATGCTCCTGGGACCCATCAGCGCAGCCCACTAGGCTGGATAATTGAGCCTAACAGAAATTCAAGTATCTAGAAAGCCAGAGCTGGCTCAGATTGTTTATCTTCCCAGGGCCTTGGGGCTTCAGTTACTCTAGCAGCCCCTGGGACAGCTGCTACGCAAAAGCCTCCACCTGAGAGGGGAGGGCGGCATGTGGCTGACAAGTGAGGGCTCTGAAGGACTTAACTCTGACTAAGGAGAGGGAAAGAGCTTCCCAAGTCTGACCTGAAACTGCCACCCCATCACCTCTCTGTAACCCGCACCTACAGGGGTGCTGGTATAGAAAGTCCACTAACCCTTCCTAGTATTTGTCCAGGAGTGCCAAAAGCCTTGGGGAATCCCAGATCACAGGACCCCATACGCCTTTCTGGCTTTCACAGGGCAGCCAACAAAACTTGATGAGCCTAGGAAAAGCCTAGACCTAGGTCCTAGCCAACACCCTCAGAAGCTTCTTCCTGAAGCCTAAACACTAGGTGCCCTGAGAGCAGGAAACCACCAGAGACCCCTGAAAAAGAAGAGATCAATAAACTAACAAAAAGACTGGCAATGAGGAAACACTCTTGAGACTTTCGTGTGACTATGGATACATATCACTTCCATTAGTAAAACAACCAACTGGCCCCTACCCTAGATGGGGAGAAACAGAGAGAAGAGGCTGGCAGAGGTCGACTAGGTCTACAGGAGTTGAGCCGAAAACTTCTGCTGCCATAGCTGGCAGGTGGCTGCTTAGTGCTGGGCCCTGATGTGGTTTCATAACCTGCCTCAAACCAGAGCCTGCAGCAACTCTGTTGTGTTAACCACTTTTTTGCTGGTAGCTCTTTCCCCCTCCTTCCCGCCCCACCCTCTTGGCTCCACATACAAATATCCGGGCCCAGCCAGTATGCCAGACACTCAAGCCAAGGCTGAGCACCACCAGGGCAGCCACCAGGTGAGCCCTTCCCATTCCCTCCCCCAGGAAAGAGCAGCCCTCACAACAGCAAACCTCCTGTCTTCTGGAAGAGGAGCACAAAACATCCAGGCCTGGATGGGGACCCCAACGGGGAGTCCGGGGCAGCACGTCACAATGCCATGTCCATTCCGCCCACCCCCCAAGCTGCAGGACCACAGCTGATAACCTCTCAACTTTGGCCCAGCCACCCCGACTGGGGGAGGGCGGTAGGAGCGGAAAGCGAGTGCCCAGGCGAACCCGCACTAAGCACAGGAGAGGAGGAGCGAAGAGGCGGAGTCCTCACTGTTGTTGGGGTTTTCTGAGTGAGACCTCGGGTGCGGGGCCGGGGGGAGGGGTCCCGCTCTGTTCCCCAGCCTGGGTCTTCGCACTCGGAACCCGGTCCGGTCCGGGACCCCACAGCCATCTCCACGCGTTCACCCAGCCCTGGAGGCAGCCAAACGTTTATCCCCGAAGCCGAGCCGCTCCCCGCCTCCCACCCCTAGCCGAGGCGCTCCTCCCGACGTTCCACCCCCGGCCTCCCGCTCGCACTTTATTCCTTGGCCACCTCCCCAGCCGATGCACCCCCTCGGCTGATGCACTCCCTCCACCCCCCACTCCCTCTGCCCCCGTCTCTCCAGCCCGGGGCGCCTCCCCAGCAGCCCCCACCTTCTCTCCCGCCCCTCCCGTAGCCCTGGGGCCTCTTGGTTCCTTCCGGGCTCACCGTGTGGGGCCGAAGATCAACGGCCCGGGAACGGTTCCCGGGAGCGGGGGCCGCTGCTGCTCCAGCAGCTGTAACAACCCGCGGCTGCAGCCTCCCCGCTGGCAGCTCCGGCCGAATCAGCGCTCCGCGCCGGTCCCCGTACGTCACCGCCCCGCGCCGGCACGCCCGACGCCTTCTGGGAGTTGTAGTTTCTTCCGCTGGCTCCGGGCCGGCCCTCCCGACGCCTCCTGGGAGTTGTAGTTTTTCCTGGGCTCCGTTCCCGGCCTCTTCGGGGACGCACGGTTGGAAGTTGTACCGTGACGTGATGGTCAGATCGGATGATAGAATTTTGGTGCGTAACAATTCCAACTTTTGCTTCTGTGCCCTTCAAGTGTATTTTATCCGTGCCCCAGTTTTGCAGATGAGGAGACTCGGACTTGTAAGTAACTTTCTGTAGGTCTTTGCTGGGTCCTAGACTGGATCGAAACCCAAATATTCTGACCCCAACTGCAGGATTTTTCCACTGCACCTGGCTGCCTCCGCCCTGGCCCCAGATTGGCTCCTCCAGAAACAGACTAGCCCGGCCCTTTGCCCTGCTGGGCCCTCCTGGGAGAGCGCTTTTCACAACATTGGCTGGGATGAGGGTCTGGAGGGCCCGGAACGGAGCCTGCCTTCTCCTTCTCAGTCACGCTTGGCCCAGGCTGCCCCGGACCGGGCCACATCCTTGGCCGCCCCGCACCTGACGTGAGAAGAGGCTACGTATCATAGATTCCTCCATCAGTAGTAAGGAGCCTGAGTTTCTGTCTCAGGTCAGCTTGTGTGGCTTTGAATGAGAGGCTCTGGTCTGCAGTTTTCACATCTGCATCGTCTAAAGGCAAGGGCACAGACTTTACTGCCTGGTAGACATGGGGTAGGCCCTCCTTTATTGGCAGTGTGACCCTGGGCAAATTACTTGTCTTAATCTCCAATTCCACACCTGTGAAACCCCACCTCCAAGGTTGTGGGAACCCAAAAGAATGTATGTAAAGCACCTGTTGCATTGTAGGAATCTACTTAATATTACTGTAGGAGGTTGAACTAAATGGCTCTTGAGGTCTCCTCGGTTACTCCCATTCTCCATGTCACCAAGAGGTCTTGTCTGGGTAGTTTCAACTCCTTACCCAGCTTCTTTCTAAGTCCACTCTATGCAGGGCAGGGCTGGAATAGCAAGGTCAGATGATGTCATGGCATGCCAACCTGACTCTGAATGGCAGTTCATGGCACCCTGAACTGAAAGTGAGGGAACAGGAAGGAAAAGGCTAGCCCAGGGAAACTGCGGAGCACTTTACTCGGACTACACCTACCTTTCCTTCCCCAGGGGGCTGCCAGGAAACAGTTGTCACACAGCTGGAGTGGGACCCCCAGAGGCACTTAGTGGTCACCAGGCAGGTGGGTATTTGAACCACCCAGAGCAGAACAGGCAGCTTCTTCAATATTTCCAGGGCCAATGGCCCCAAAAGGGCTCATTCCAAGATCGAAATAATCATCTGAGTCTGAAATAGCTCTGCCTATGTCCTGTGGAAGTTTCTCCTGGTTTGTGGAGGTGCCTTTCCTTATAGTCATCTTTCTGCAGACATAAGCAAACCCAGTGTTGTTCTTTTCACAGAAACCTCCCCAGCATTAAGGCAAGAAAGGTGTCTCTGTTTTTTCCGAAGTGTGCCTGCTTGACTCCTTTGATTTTTCTCTGGGATTCTTCATCCTCCATCAAGTTGATCGATCCCTCTGGATCTTGGTCAGTTTCCTGACATCTCTATGAAGTTCAGTGACCCAGACTGAGTCCACGTCTCAAATAAGGTTCTGACTAATGCAGAGTCTAACAGAAAGATTACTGAACATGTCATGCACTATTAATAACTCCTGTTATCGAGGATTTTTTTTTCACAATAGGAATGAACAGAGTTCTGACTCACTCTAGGTTTGTGGTAAATTGCAGATCACTTTCTGCTTTATTTAGCGGGAGTCCCTGTTGTCATCTTTCTCCTTCTCTCTTGGCCCTCATAATTATCATATCTTCCCCAAACGTTCTTCAGCTGTGAATAGCCCTAAGCACTATTCAGAGTGAGTGACAGCTCTCTTATTTCGTGCTGGGGGACATACAAACCCTTGGACAAACACTTGTCACTGTGTGCCAAGAAGCTGAAAAATTCTTCTTGCCTCAGAGCCATAATTACACTTTTGGTAGCATATTCTAAGGAAGTCATCCCATGTACAGGAAAAGCTGCAATGTGTCAGGATGTTCATTCCAGCAATATTTATAGTAGTGAAAAACTGAAAGCAACCAAATGCCCAAGAAAAAAATTACAGTATATCCACTGGATGGAATAGTATGAAGCCATTTAGGACAGATTGTGAAAACCCTGTGGCAGTATGGGGAATGTTTGCTAAGTTATATGAAAAGATGAGGACACAAAATAGCATAACATACATTCCCCAGGGATATAGTCAGCAAAGTCTAGAATGAAGAAAATTAGGACAAACACCCAATTCCCTTAACAAATAAAACTGGGGCCAGGTATGGTGACTCACGCCTGTAATCCCAGCACTTTGAGAGGCCAAGGCTTGTGTCCAGGAGTTCGAGACCAACCTGGACAACATGGTAAAACCCCGTGGTCTACAAAAAATACAAAAATTAGTTGGGCATGGTGGTGTGTCTATAGTCCCAGCTACTCAGGAGGCTGAGGTGGGAGGATCAATTGAGCCCGGGAGGTCAAGGCTGCAGTGAGCTGTGATCGTGCCAGTGCATTCCAGTCTGGGCAGCAGAGTGAGATCCTGTCTCAAAAAAAAAAAAAAAAAAAAAGGAAAAAAAAGAGGGGGAGAGACTTACAGATTAAAATAAATTAAATGATATATCAACTAAAAGTCTTATTTGGATCCTGATTCAAGCAAACTGACTTTAAAAAAAAAAAAAAAAAAAAAAAAAAAAAGGCCGGGCATGGTCACGCATGCCTGTAACCCCAGTACTTTGGGAGGCCAAGGTAGGCGGATCACCTGAGGTCAGGAGTTTGACACCAGCCTGGCCAACGTGGTGAAACTCCGTCTCTACTAAAACTACAAAAACTAGCTGGGTGTGGTGATGGGCGCCTGTAATCCCAGCTACTCAGGAGGCTGAAGCAAGAGAATTGCTTGAACCCAGGAGGCAGAGGTTGTAGTGAGCCAAGATTGCACCATTGGCACTCCAGCCTGGGTGACTGAGCAAGGCTCTGTCTCAAAAAAAAAAAAAAAAAAAAAAAGATTTTATTAAGTTATCAGGCAAATTTGAATACTGACAAGGTATTCAACGATATTAAGGAATTCTAAATGTTTAGGCGTGATATGGAATTGTGGTAAGGTTGTTTTTTTAATTTAAAAAGTCCTCCATGGCTGGGCGTGGTAGCTCATGCCTGTAATCCCAGCACTTTGGGAGGCTCAGGCAGACAGATCACCTGAGGTCAGGAGTTCGAGACCAGCCTGGCCAACATGGTGAAACCCCGCCTCTACTAAAAATACAAAAATTAGCCAGGCGTGGTGACAGGCGCCTATAATCCCAGCTACTTGAGAGGCTGAGGCAGGAGAATCGCTTGAACCCAGGAGGTGGAGGATGCAGTGAGCCGAGATCGTGCCATTGCACTCCAGCCTGGGAGACAAGAGTGAAACTTCATCTCAAAAAAAAAAAAAGTCTTCCTTGGCTGGGTGCGTTGGATCACACCTGTAATCCCAGCACTTTGGGAGGTGAGGCAGGCAGATCACAAGGTCAGGAGTTTGAGACCAGCCTGGCCAGCATGGTGAAATCCCGTCTCTACTAAAAATAGAAAAAAATTAGCCAGGCATGGTGGCACGTGCCTGTAATCCCAGCTACTCGGGAGGCTGAGGCAGGAGAATTACTTGAAACTGGGAGGCAGAGGTTGCAGTGAGCCGAGATCATACCACTGTACTCCACCCCGGGTGACAGAGAGAGACTTCGTCTCAAAAAAAAAAAAAAAAAAAAAGTCCTCCTTTCAGACATACATACATACTAAAATATCTGTGGATGAAATGATACAGTGATTGCATTTGCTTCGAAATAATCTGGACTGGGAACCATAGGGAAATAATAAGATGAGCCATGAGGTGATAATTATGGAAGCTGTGTGATGAGGACATGAAGTTCCTTATATTATTTTCTATACTTTTTTTTTTTTTTTTTTTTTGAGACAGAGTCTCACTCTGTCACCCAGGCTGGAGCACAGTGGTGCAGTTTCGGCTCACTGCAACCTCCGCCTCCCTAGTTCAAGAGATTTTCCTGCCTCAGCCTCCCGAGTGGGCTGGGATTACAGGTGCACGCCACCACATCCAGGTAATTTTTGTATTTTTAGTTGAGACAGGGTTTCACCATGTTGGCCAGGCTGGTTTTGAACTCCTGACTTCAAGTGATCTGCCCACCTTGGCCTCCCAAAGTGCTGGGATTACAGGCATGAGCCACCACGCCTGGGCTATTTTCTCTACTTTTTTAATGTTTAAAACTGTTCATAATAAAAAGTCTAAACCTGCATATACGTTAATGATTAAGATAAGCCAAAATAGAGCAGCACTGGTAACATCCTCTGGCACCAGACTGCCAGGGTTCAACTCGCAGCTCCTCTAGTTACCAGCTGTGTAACCTTAAGCAAGTTACTGAACCTCTCTGTGCTTCAGTTACCTCGTTGCTAAAAGAATTGGCAAGTGACACTGGTGTTCGGAAAAAATAAAGTAAATGAAGATGGCGATGATCATGATAATACCCTCCTCATGTTGTGGATATTAAATGGGTCAGTAAATGTGAAATGAAACACTCAAAACAATTCCTGGCACATAATTAAGTGCTCAGTATGTGTTGCCTTTTATTAATTCATTCCACATTTGAATGATATTTGAGCATCTACTTTACTAGGTTATGGAAATTCAACAAAATAAAAACAGACCTTGGGCCGGGCACTGTGGCTCAAGCCTGTAATCCCAGCACTTTGGGAAGCTGAGGCGGGAGGATTGCTTGAGGCCAGGAGTTCAAGACCAGCCTGGCAACGTAATGAGACCCCCCCCCCACCCAACCACCATCTCTATAAAAAACAAAAATAAATTAGCCGGGCATGGTGGCATGTTCCCGTAGTCCCAGCTACTCAGGAGGCTAAGGCGGGAGGATCGCTTGAGCCCAAGGAATTCGAGGCTGCAGTGAGTTATGATCTCGCTAGGAATTCGAGGCTGCAGTGAGTTATGATCTCGCTATTTCACTCCAGCCTGGGCAATAAAGCAAGCCCTGTCTCTTAAAACAACAACAACCGGGCATGGTGGCTAGCGCCTGTAATCCCAGCACTTTGGGAGGCCGAGGCAGGTGGATCATCTGAGGTCAGGAGTTCGAGACCAGCCTGGCCAACATGGTGAAACCCCGTCTCTACTAAAAATGCAAAAATTAGCCAGGCATGGTGGCGCGCCCCTGTAATCCCAGTTACTAGGAAGACTGAGGTGGGAGAATTGCTTGAACCCGGGAGGCGGAGGCTGCAGAGAGCAGAGATGGCGCCATTTTACTCCAGCCTGGGCAACAAGAGTGGAACTTTGTCTCAAAAAATAAAGAAAGGAAGGAAGGAAGGAAGAAAGACAACAACAAAAAAACCTTGAATCAGGATGAAGGGATTTAGGGTGATCTTTTTCATTCTCTAGTTTCAAACTTCACGTAATGTGGTATTACTTTTAAATTTTTTATTAAAATTGTTTAAAAACAAAATGAGTCTGCCACAGGCTCTTTCTGCCCTCTGGGAGTTCCTTAGGCTGCTGAGGTAGACACATTCCCCAGCCTCAGTGTGCTTTCATCTGGTGATCTGGGAGTGGTGATCGGGCCTCTGCTTGTGAGACATACACCGTCTTGTGGGCTGAGATAGGTTGATAAACAAGGAACATGTTCCTGGGATGCTGCTGGCCGTGTTCAGAAGCTGGGAGAAGGGATGTCAAGAAACAGTGCCTCGAGCTGGGTGCGATGGCTCACGCCTGTAATCCCAGCACTTTGGGAGGCCGAGGCGGGCAGATCACGAGGTCAGGAGATCGAGACCATCCTGGCTAACACAGTGAAACCCCATCTCCACTAAAAATACAAAAATTAGCCGGGCGTGGTGGCGGGCGCCTGTAATCCCAGCTACTCAGGAGGCTGAGGCAGGAGAATGGCGTGAACCCGGGAGGCGGAGCTTGCAGTGAGCCGAGATGGCGCCACAGCACTCCAGCCTGGGCGACAGAGCAAGACTCCGTCTCAAAAAAAAAGAAAAGAAAAAAGAAACAGAGCCCCTTCCCCTGGGGGAAAGAATACCACCTCTCCACTCCTACTCCTCCCCTCCTCCCCCACCTGCTTCCTGAAGGGAGGGTGGTGAGGTCCTGTCCAGAGCAAGTGCAAGGAAGGAAAGAACTGCTTATTTCATTGACAGTTGTGTTTTTATTTTTGTTTGGGTGGGGGATACCCCAGGCATGTGGTGGGAAGAAGGAGGGGGAGGGGAAGGCAGATGTTAAGCAGACAAAGGAGCAGCGAATGACCCTCCTGAGAACTACTGAGCCAGTCAGAAGCCAGGAGTGGGTGCGGGACTGGCAGCATCGCCAGCGGGCACTCTGTTCTGCCTCCCTCGCCCAGTCCTGTAGTTGGCTATTTTGGGCTGTGGAGAGAAAGGGCTGAACTGGTCAGGGCCACTGGGTCCCCATCCCCCAGCCTGTGCCTGGGAACAAGAACCTCCCTGGGGAACCAAGTGCAGGGAGGTACCTTAGGAACCCTTCAACCTGCATATTCTTTGATATGGACAATTGACACTCTCCCATGAACAAAAGCAGTTAGAAAACTGAAAATATTTCAGATCAAAAGGGCAATGGATATAAAAACAGTAAGTTCAAGACAAGACCCCCTAGCTCCCTACCAACTGAGTTCCTACTCCTAGCCTCACCTGTCTAGAAATCTGGGTGGCCACCGTTCCCAGATCACCTTCTTCTGCCTAAGGCCAGCTCCTCCCTCAGTAACAATCACAGCAAACATTATTGTTTGCTATGTTCCAGGCACTGGGCAAAGGGCTTTATTTGTCTGTTACAGAACCACCTCCCCCTGGGCTGCTAGACTTGCTCCCTGTCTCACATTTGCATTTCCCGAACAGAGTGAATTCTCAATAAATGTTAACTGAACTATGTAACGGAACTGTTACCAGAAAGGGGTCCCGATCCAGACACCAAGAGAGGGTTCTTGGATCTCACGCAAGAAAGAATTCAGGGTGAGTCCACAGTGCAAAGTAAAAGCAAGTTTATTAAGTAAAGGAATAAAATAATGGCTACTCAACAGACAGAGCAGCCCCGAGGGCTGCTGGTTGCCCATTTTTATGGTTATTTCTTGATGATGTGCTAAACACGGGGTGGGTTATTCGTGCTCCCCTTTTTAGACCATTTAAGGTAACTTCCTGACGTTGCCATGATATTTGTAAACTGTCATGGCGCGGCTGAAAGTGTAGCAGTGAGGACCACCAGCGGTCACTCTCATTGCCATTTTGGTTTTGATGGGTTTTGGCCAGCTCCTTTACTGCAACCTGGTTTATCAGCAAGGTCTTTATGACCTGTATTTTATGCCGACCTCCTATCTCATCCTGTGACTTAGAATGCCTTAACTGTAGGGTTCAGCCTCATTTTACCCAGCTTCTATTTAAGACGGAGTTGCTCTGGTTCACACGCCTCTGACAGAACTGCACGTCCCAGACCACAGCCACACAGCTCTCCCTTGTTCTTGCCTCAGCCTCGTACCCTTTTCCATCTGATGGACTCCTATACACCCCTCAAGGCCTACCTCACCTGTCACCTTCTCGGTGCAGCCTTCCCCAGTGTCCAAGCAGAGTCCACTGCTTCATCCTCCAGGCTGCTGTGACCCTGGCGGATCCCTCAACCCAAGCCTTCCCTTAGGTGATCGGAGGGCTATATTTGTGCACACACCAGTCTTCCCTCATTGGCTGGGGGACATTTAGTTCTCAGCCAGGCGCGGTGGCTCTACACAAAAATACAAAAGTTAGCTGGGTGTGGTGGTGTGCGCCTGTAGTCCCAGCTACTTGGGAGGGTGAGGTGGGAAGACGGCTTGAACCCAGGAGGTTGAGGCTGCAAGTGAGCTGTGATCATGCCACTGTGGTCCAGCCTGGATGACAGAACGAGACCTGTCTCAAACAAAAGAAAAAAACAACTCTGAATCCCCAATGCCTAAGAGGCCCTGGTACACAGTACATGCTCAGATATGTGTTAAGTAAATGAGACAGTATCTCCAAGCATGGCAGCATGAAGTGTATGTATACACCCCTTGCTCTTTTCTACAGGGAACAACAATAGCAGAGGCCTTTGTTGCCCTCTCCGCGAAACTGCCCAGTAACCTGGCATTAGACGGGTCCCTGGCTGACCTGATAAAGAAGGTAGCCCTTCCTTATCTATCTTCTCTATCTATCTATCTACCTACCTATCTATCTATCTTTTTCCTTTCAGTTATCCCCCCATCCAGGCTGGACCTGGAGGTCTCCAACATCAGGGAGGGAAGGGGATGGAGGCCTGCTGAACTTCTTTCCCCTGTGGTCACATATTGGGGATATAGAGTTACCACCCTTGGAGGGAGGAGCTGTGACTCAGACTGCCGAGGGTGGGAGGCTAAGAGGCTCACTTTCCTGAGCCCTGAACTTGGGAGCCAGGGCCCTGCCATGCCTCAGTCTCTTCCCTGCCTGCCATTCTAGACACGTGGAGCATCAGGCTAGAAGGGATCTCAGAGACTGTGAGGGTCCAGAAAACAGAAAGGATGTGCCCCGTGGCATAAACATCTGCTGGTCTTGGGCCTAGCCCGAGAATTTTCCCAGGCACTTCACAGGCCAAGACAGAGCGTGAGACTCCCCGGTGATGGCTTTTCCAGACCCATGCCATGTGTCCCTCAGGTCTTTATCATCTCACACCTAGACCTTTGCCATAACTGGTTTTCCTGCCACCAATACATCCCCGACACAACCAACAGAGTGATCCAGACATCAAATCTAATTTTAAAACCTTTCAATCCGACCAGATGCGGTGGCTCACGCTTGTAATCCCAACACTTTGGGAAGTCGAGGAGGGTGGATCACTTGAACCCAGGAGTTTGAAACCAGCCTGCTCAATATGACCAAACCTCATCTCTACACAAAAATACAAAAAAAAAAAAAAAAAATATCTGGGCATGGTGGCATGCACCTCTGGTTGTAATCCCTTGGGAGGCTGAGGTGGAAGGATCTCCTGAGCCTGGGGAGGTTGAAGTTACCGTGAGCTGTGATGCCACCACTGCACTCCAGGCTGGGAGACAGAGTGGGACCCCGTCTCGAAAAAAATAAAAATAAAAATTTGGCCTGGCACAGCGGCTCACACCTGTAATCCCAGCGCTTTGGGAGGCTGAGGTTGGAGGATCACTTGCGGTCAGGAGTTCAAGACTAGCCTGGACAACATGGTAAAACCCCGTCTCTATTAAAAAAATAATAACATTAATAAAAAAAATTGGCTGGGCATGGTGGTGCACGCCTGTAATCCCAGCTACTCAGGAGGCTGAGGTAGGAGAATTGCTTGAACCCAGGAGGCAGAGATTGCAGTGAGCCGAGATCAAGCCACTGCACTCCAGCCTGGGTGACAGAGTGAGACTCTGTCTAAAAAAAATAAATAAATAGGCCGGGCGCAGTGGCTCACGCCTGTAATCCCAGCACCTTGGGAGGCCAAGGCAGGCAGATAACCTGAGGTCAGAAGTTCAAGCCCAGCTTGGTCAACATGGTGAAACCCCGTATCTACTGAAAATACAAAAATTATCCGGGTGTGGTGACGGGTGCCTGTAATCCCAGCTACTCCGGAGGCTGAGGCAGGAGAATCGCCTGAACCTGGGAGGCAGAGGTTTCAGTGAGCTGAGATCATGCCATTGCACTCCAGCCTGGGCAACAAGAGTGAAACTCCGTCTCAAAAAAATAAATAAATAAAATAATAAAAACTAAATAAAACCTTTTTAATCCATAAGCCACGGAATCAAGTCCCAATGCATCCATGGCGTGCAAGCCACAAGGATCTGCTCCCTTTTTACTTCTTTACCCCTGGCCTTTGCCACCACCCCCTCCATCCACGCAGTGATCTGGAAGCCAAGCCATTTCATGCTCCCTTGCTCTTGCACATTCTGCTTCTCCACCTGATTAACCCAGCCTTGAAAGCCCAGATCAAATGTCACTCCTTGGTGAAGCCTTCCTTGATTATACCCTGGAAAAGCTAGTGTACAGTTAAGGATGCTCTCAGCAGAAATCAACAGAAAACCCAAATAATGATTCTTACCCTAGGTTGCCATTAGAATCACCTGAGGAGCTTTTGAAAATTCCCATCACCTGGCCAGGCACGGTGGCTCACTCCTGTGATCCCAGCACTTTGGGAGGCTGAGGCAAGTGGATCACCTGAGGTCAAGAGTTCGAGACTGGCCTGGCCAACATGGAGAAAACCCGTCTCTACTAAAAATACAAAAATTAGCTGGGCATAGTGGCGTGTGCCTGTAATCCCAGCTTCTTGGGAGGCTGAGGCAGGAGAATCTCTTGAACCCAGGAGGCAGAGGCTACTGTGAGCCGAGATGGTGCCACTGCACTCCAGCCTGGGCGACAGAGTGAGACTCTGTCTCAACAAGAAAAAAAAATCTCCATTACCAGACACATGCCACATGGGTGTACCCAGGCATCAGCAGTTTTCAAAACTGCCTATATACCAGTGTGCAGCCAAGTTGAGAAGCACTGAAGTTAGGGGGTTTTCTTTCTCACGTATTGAGTCTAGAGGTGGCAGTTGCTGGTGTTGGTTGAGTAGCTCAGCGATTTCCAGGCCAACATCTCAGTAATACTCAACCCTCCCTTTATGCTTTGTTGTCTCATGGCCACGAGATGGCCTGAGTTGACCCTTTCATGTTCAAAGTAGGGGCCAGGCACGGTGGCTCACGCATGTAATCCCCAGCACTTTTTGCAGGGGGCCAAGGCAGGAGCCTTAGGAGTTTGAGACCAGCCTAGGCAACAAAGTGAGACCCTCATCTCTACAAAAAAAAAAAAAAAAATTGGCTGGTTGTGGTGGCACATGTCTGTGGTCCCAGCTACATAGAAGGCTGAGGCAGGAAGATTGCTTGAGTTTGGTAGGGGGTCAAGGCTGCAGTGAGCTGTGTTTGCATTCCAGCCCGGGCAACACAGTGAGACCCTCTCTCAAAAAAAAAGGCTGGTGCACTGGCTCACACCTGTAATCCCAGCACTTTCAGAGGCCAAGGAAGGTGGATCACCTGAGGTCAGGCGTTCAAGACCAGCCTGGCCAACATGGCGAAACCTCATCTCTGCTAAAAATACAAAAATTACCTGGGTGTGGTGATGCAGGCCTGTAATCCCAGCTACTCAGGAGGCTGAGGCAGGAGAATCACTTGAATCTGGGAAGTGAAGGTTGTAGTGAAGCGAGATCATGCAATTGCACTCCAGCCTGGGTGCACTCAGAGAGAGACTCCAGACTCTGCACTCCAGAGAGAGACTCCATCTCAAAGAAAAAAAAAAAAAAAAAGGTAGGGAGAGGAGCAGAGCCCAGCCCTATCCTCTCTTACCAGCAAATCAAAGACTGTCCCACAAACCTATTCTGCGGACTTCTGCTTAGATGTCATTGACCAGAATTGGGCCACCCTCAGCTGCAAAGGAGATTGAAGAAGTAGGCAACAGGATTTCTGATGGGCTGAGATCAATCAGGTTGAATCATCAAGGACTGAGTGCATTGCCACTCCCAAAGCCATGTGTGTTAATCTGGTAGTAGGAGGGAAGGGATGATTCTGCCATGTTATTAATACTTATTCTCTCTCTGTGCTTCACAGCTCCCTGTACAAACATCAATTAATGCAGGCAGCACATCAAAGCATTGTGGAGACATGTCTGTGCCTCCCTCCAGACCATCAATTCTCAACTCAGGCTGCTCGTTAGACATACCTGAGGAGCTTTCGAAAGAAACCAGTGCCTAGACCCCATGCACAGAGATTTTAATGTAATTGGTCCAGATGAAGCCCCAGCATAACTAATCTGTAAAAGCTCCCCAAGTGATTTGAATGTGCAGGGTGTTTTGAGAACCCTGCCATAGACCCAGCACCTTAAGAACCCTGTCTATGTCCCCTTCAACTAGCACATAAGGCTCACAGGAAATCCTCACTGAATGAATAAACAAATAAATGGATGGCAGAGAATTTCTGCTCCAATTCTGCAGCCCCTAGTGGGCAGTGTGCACTGTCCTAAGTGTGGTTCCTCCTTCCCCCCAGATCTCCCTCCTTCACCGAGTTTGCACTCAGACTCCCTTAATTAACCACATCTGCAGCTCCAGCTGGGCTCCTGCTTCTCCCACAGCTGCTGTGCTGGACACCCTAGTTCCACTCTTTTCCTGGAAGCTGCCCTAGTCTTAGAAGGAAATAACCCTCCATCAACAGCCAGGCTCAATTCTTGTGCCTCAGTTAAAGCCCCTGCCCAGTGTGAGAGAGGAACAGGGGGAAAGGGAGGATTGCTCAGCTTTCTGTCCCACATTCAGCTACAGTCCCGAAATGGACACCAAGTAGCCAGCAGCAGAGTGTCCGGCCCTCAGAGAAAAGGTTTGCTTGTTGCTTCTCCTGCCTAAGTGTAGAAAGTTATCTGATTCCTTAGACAAATGTGAGTCTGCAAAATTCCCCTGTTGACATCACAGGAATAAGTCTGTGGTGAGTACATCCTCAGAGATGATATCATCTGGCATCCTACCATCTGGTCTGGTCCCCATCATGCTTCTGAAACTGCTTGTTCAAAGGTAACCTACAGGGCCAGCCTCACAGGCATGCGGCTGACGAGGTCCCACAAGACCTCATGCCCTGTGCTCACAAGAGCTCTGCACTTGGTTTTACACTCTGCTGCTGTCGTCATCTTAAAATTCTTTTTTATTTTTATTTTTTAGAGACAGAGTCGCACTCTGTCACCCAGGCTAGAGTGCAGTGGTGCAATCACAGCTCACTGCAGCCTCCACTTCCCAGGCTCAAGCCATCCTCCTACCTCAGCCTCCCGAGTAGCTAGGACTAAAGTATGCACCACCATGGTCTGCTAATTTATTTTTCTTTTTGTAGAAAGTGCATTTGGACAATTTTTTTTTTTTTTCTGGAGAGACGAGGTTTCACTATGTTGCACAGGCCAGTCTCAAACTCATGAGGCTCCTTGGTCCTTGGCCTCCGAAAGTGCTGAGATTATAGGCATGAGCCACTGCACCCAGCCTTGAAATTCTTTTTTTTGAGACAGGGTCTTAATGCGTCACCTAGGCTGGAGTCAAGTGGCACGACCCAGGCTCGGTGAAACCTCTGCTTCCTGGGTTCAAGTGATTCTCGTGCCTCAGCCTCCCAAATAGCTGGGATTACAGGTGTGTGCCACCTCAGCCCAGTTAATTTTTTGTATTTTTAGTAGAGATGGTGTTTCGCCACATTGGCCAGGCTGGTCTCAAATTCCTGGCCTCAAGTGATCCACCCACCTCGGCCTCCCGAAGAGCTAGGATTACAGGCGTGAGCCACCATACCTGGCAAGGCCTTGAAATTCTTAAGTTTTCACCTGGGTGTGGTGGCTCACATCTGTAATCCCAGCACTTTGGGAGGCCGAAGTGGGTGGATCACTAGAGGTCGGGAGTTCAAGACCAGCCTGGCCAATATGGTGAAACCCTGTCTCTACTAAAAATACAAAAATTAGCCGGGTTTGGTCGGCAGGCACCTGTAGTCTCAGCTACTCGGGAGACTAAGGCAGGAGAGTCGTTTTAACCTGGGAGGCAGAGGTTGCAGTGAGCCAAGGTTGTGGCACTGCACTCCAGCCTGGGCCACAGAGTGAGACTTTATCTAAAAAAAAAAAAAAAAAAAAAGGAAGAAATTCTTAACAGGTTTTTGAAACAAGGGACCCCCCCACACACACCCCATTTTTATTTTGCACTCAGCTCTACAATTCCGTGTCCAGTCCTGGTCACCCATAGTCTTCCAAAATCCAGCAAGAAAAATCCTTCTCAGAAAGGTCTCCAATGCGTATGACCTCATCTTCCTTCGTGTAAGTATATCCACCCCTAGTCTCTGTGACACCCCACTCTCCTGTTCTCTTCCACCTCTCTGACCTGGCAGGAGGGCTTCCAGGTTCCGTACAATACAATACCGTGGGTACCATCAGGCTCAACGTGCAAGGATGTAGGGTATTGGTATGTGTGGCAGAGAGGCACAGAGGTAAGAGCTGCTAGCAGGCAATGGAAAGTGGTTGGACAAGGAGTTAGAAAACTGGGCTCTGGTCTTTGGCCACTGACTCATTGTGTAACTCTGGTCACATTCTGGGCCTCAGTTTACCGGTCTGCAAACTAAGGAGGGATCAACTGGCTGGTCCCTTCCTTTGAGCTCTATCAATCATTGAGGCTCTGAATCCCAGCACCGAACTGGAGATAGTGTGGGTAGGATGGTGCCATAGGAGGCACCATGTGGTTGGACTTGAGGGTCAAGGGAGTTGCAGGGGATAAGCCACCATGGGCTAAGGAATGAGATGGGTCATCCACATGGATCACATCTATGACCCTTTGTCACCTCTGCCCCTGCACAGCATACGAGAGGAGGTGAAGGGGAAAAGCCTGGCGTGGGTAATGAAATCATGGAGGAAGACCATGATGTGTTCTGGAAGTCAGTAATCCTAACAACTAGCCTTTGCACAGCACTTCACAAAGTACCTTCACATCCACTCAACCCTGGCGGGTCCTCCCAACCCTGCAGCAGTGTCAGGTGACATGCCCAGGTCACACACTAATCTCATCTTCTGCCTTGAAATCCTTCCTTCCCACTACCCAGTGAACATTAGGAGAGGGTGGTATCACGGAGTGGCGTGGCCTGCAAATGATGCCTGGGATAGGGACACCCTGGGGGAACAAGTCATCCAAGCCATCTTTGGTGCCCAGGCCTGAGGGAGAGTTCAAAGTGCCAACCTGAGAGTCCAGGGCTCTAGCAAACTGAGAGAACCTGAGTCAGTTCTCATCCAGATCATAAAATCAGCAGGAAAACTCAGAGATGACCACATCAGGCTTCAGGTGCCTTAAAGAACTCCTTCCAACTCCTAGAGAAGCAATCAATCTACCACGCAGAGAACAAACTGAAATTGAACCACAGCACCCCTGGCAGGCAGGAGGTCTGGGCACTGCGAGGAGCCAGGAAATGAGGAACCCTGGACAGACATGTTTTCCAAGGAAAGACTAGGGGAAGTTTGCTCACCGTGGAAGAAGGGGCCACCGAGCATGGAAGAATGTGCCATGGCGTGAAAGAATGGCAGAAGGGAGTAGGGAGAGGAATGGAGTTGGGGGAATACAGGTTGCTGGAGACACTGGATGTGAGATGGGGCCCACCCAGTTCTGCCCGCCAGGCCTGCCAAGCAGGGATCCTTCTGCCCAGCCAGGTTCTGGGTAAGGAAGAGGAGTTCTGGGAAGCAGTTTCAGCCTTGGGGAGTGAGGGAAGATGGCAGCATCAAGGCCTTGGGAGGGGAGCCTGGTGCAGGGAATGGAATTGGGTCCTGGTCTCCCCACAACAGAGTTCATCAGGGTCCAGGATCTGCCCTCTCTTGGCATTGCCTGGCCACACCATGGCTCAGGTATCCGACACCTGGGCCCAGAGTCACATGCCAGGAAACCCAACACTCTTGGGTCCCAGCCCCCAACTTCCAGCAGCTACGAGCAAACAGGGCTTCTGGAGGAGGAAGCGGGTCTCCAGAGCCCAGCAGCAGGGAGCCTACGTCCAGGGACAGGGCATCTGCACTGGAGAAGGCTCTGCCACCAACAGGGGTGAGAGGAATGGAGGAGGACGGGGAGGAGGAGGGAGGAAGTACAGAGCAGAGAGGACAGAGCTGGGGCAGGCAGAGGGGTGGATGCTCCCGGAAAAGGGGTAGATGGGCATAGAAGGTGGGGCCAGAGGTCTATTTTACCTAGTCACCTGGCCTAGCTGGATGCCCTGACACCCTGTCGCTCATCCGTCCCCTTGTCTCCATCACGCGAGTGCCAACCAGACCCTCTGGTGCCTACCTAGCCCACTTGGCAGCCACCCAGGTAGGTAGGGGAAGAAGACTTTATTCCAATGAGAGAAATCAACACATGGACAGAGGCAGAAACTTAGAAACCCCCAGACCCAGAATGACCAACAAGGCCTCACAGATTAACCTTCTAGAATCAACAGACCCTAAAAGAGTTTCAAGTGCAAGAGACCCTTTACCCAAAAGACCCTATTGAGGAGACTTAAATCAAGAGAGACCCCAATAAGGAAGTGAAAAAGTCACCCAGGCTTGAGAGAAGCCCCCAGAGAAGAGGCCCCAGCCCAAAAAGACTCCCCAGAGGGACCTCGGGAGGAGAAAGCTGGCAGTGGGGCATGCGATTCTCTTGACTCACTCCTCCTTTATGTGGCCTTTCCTTCCCCAGATCCTACTGCACTCCAGGACTATGCCAATTTATGGCCATGCTCCCAACAGCAGGTCACCTCCTGCCCCTCCTGCTGGTGATAGGCACAGGGGGTACTGTGCCCAGCCCCCAGGTGCCTCCCCGGGGCTGTTATGTGGCAAAGGAAGCAGGTGAACGGACGTTCCGCTGCAGCCAGGCAGGCCTCAGTGCTGTGCCCTCCGGCATCCCCAATGACACCCGCAAGCTCTACCTGGATGCCAACCAGCTGGCATCGGTGCCTGCTGGTGCCTTCCAGCACCTGCCTGTCCTGGAGGAGTTGGATCTGTCCCATAATGCCCTTGCCCACCTCTCAGGGGCGGCTTTCCAGGGCCTGGAGGGCACATTGCGCCACCTCGACCTCTCTGCCAACCAGCTGGCCTCAGTGCCCGTGGAGGCCTTTGTGGGGCTACAGATCCAAGTGAACCTATCCGCAAACCCATGGCACTGTGACTGCGCCCTCCAGGAAGTGCTCCGGCAGGTGAGGCTGGTGCCGGGCACTGGGACAGGCATCGTGTGTGGCTCAGGAGCCCGACCGGACCTCGTGGGGCAGGAGTTCCTGCTGCTGGCAGGGGAGGAAGAGCTGTGTGGGTCGGGGTGGGGTGGGGCCCGGAGGAGCACCGATGTGGCCCTGCTGGTCACCATGGGGGGCTGGCTGACACTCATGGTGGCTTATCTGGTGCATTATGTGTGGCAGAACCGAGATGAGACCAGGCGCTCCCTCAAGCGGGCCCCAGTGCTGCCCGTGCGTTCCGAGGACTCCTCCATCCTCAGCACAGTGGTCTGATGACCCAGGATGCTCCTCCAGCCACACCCCACACTCCTGCCCCTATGCCCTCTCCTTTGCTCTGACCCCCTCTGCCTCCTGTGCAGCTTCACCCCTGCCCCCAAGCCCATCCCACCCCTCCCTCCTTTATTCCCCCTAAATACCTGTGCTGGTTCTCTCTCTCTCTCTCTGTGTCGTCTTAACCAACACCATCTTTGGTGCCTGGAGTTTTTTGGTGCCTACTCTGTGCCTGGATTGTGCTAGACTCAGAAAACCCATAACAGAGAATGACAGCAGGTGGGGTGGGAGCAAGGGAGGAGGGGCTGTGGGGGGGCAGGTTGAGGAGGGAGCCTGCACCTGGCCCAGGGCGATTTCAAAGGCTTCGCTGTAGGATGTTTGAACTGATTCTTTTTTTTTTGAGATGGAGTCTCACTGTGTCAGCAGACTGGAGTGCAGTGGCAGGATCTCCGCTCACTGCAACCTCTGCCTCCCAGGTTCAAGTGATTCTCCTGCCTCAGCCTCCTGAGTAGCTGGGACTACAGGCGCGCGCCACCACGCCCAGCTAATTTTTGTATTTTTTAGTAGAGTTGGGGTTTCACCATGTTGGCCAGGATGGTCTTGATCTCTTGACCTCGTGATCTGCCCGCCTTGGCCTCCCAAAGTGCTAGGATTACAGGCGTGAGCGCGCCAGGCCCGAACTGACTCAGGTGGGTGGATCACCCAAGGCAGCACGCAACGTGAACCCCTTGGGCGATTACAGGCCCACACAGCCCGTCCACCACCAGCTTCTTCCTGCCCTACAGAGCTGAGGCCTGGAGTGGCAGAGAAAGCCAAGGGTACCCTGAGGGAGCCCCCAGCTGAGGGGGAGTGAAGCCCCACCCTTTCCTGAATTGGGCTCACAAACAGAGGCTTCGAGAGCGCAACTCTAAGACTGAGGTCTCCTACAGAGTGAGGGGCATCAAAGCGAGAGGCAACCCGGGGAGCTTATTCCAAAGGGAGGGACTGCCTCCCCCATTGGACTAAAGGGAGTTCAAACTGCTAGAAATGATTTTGCCTTAGGTCTCTGAGAATCTGCCATCATCAACCTCTCTTACCTCCAAGGAACCCATCTCTACTAAAAATACAAAAAATCAGCCGGGCGTGGTGGCAGGCACCTGTAATCCCAGCTACTCATGAGGCTGAGGCAGGAGAATCACTTGATCCCAGGAGGTTGAGGTTGCAGTGAGCTGAGATCACACCACTGCACTCCAGCCTGGGCCACAGATCGAGACCTTCTCTAAAAAAAAAAAAAAAAAGAACAGGGAGAGCTTTGGACAGAAAAGCAAGAGCAGAGAAGGCCCCTAGATGAAAGGTGTGGACAAGGCAAGGAAGATGTGCAACAACTCAGAATGTCTGGGCAGCAGCAAGACTCACCCTGGGGCTGGAAGAGAGGGTGCAAAGAGGGGCAAGGGGAAGGTGGGTGGAACCAAGCTGGAGGCGAGGTCAAAAGCCAGGCTGTGGCCAGATTTAAAAGGACACTGTGGGCTCCTCCTGTCTTCTCCCTCCGCCTCTACTGAGAGCCTCCCCTGGCTTCTTGCTTCTCTTGTCCCCAGGCTCCTCTTCCTCCTGTGCCCTCTACTGAGGATCCCCTCCTCCGACTCAAGGTCCCTAACCAGAGACTCCCTATTTCTCTCCGTCCTCTCCTTTATACACTGATTAGTTTCCTGAGCTCCTTCTTCTGGGGGGAAGGTGGTCTCCTCTATGACTGAGCTGGGGATGGGTGACTGCAGAGCTGGGGGAAGTAAGGAGACCCTGGACAACTCAATAAAGTCACTTTTATCAATGCTCCGATCTCGTATTGCTCATTTTCCTGGGCACCTGTGGCCTGTTGGTGAAGAGAACGGGTGCTGAGCTTGTCTTCAGCCCCTCCACCACCCCTTTGGTCGGGGGTGCTCCTGCTGGGCTGGAGGCCAGCTTCCCATCTCCCCTTCTGCTCCCCAGCCCCTGCCACCAGAGTCCATCTGCTGGACTGGCCAGGACTGTGCCGACACACTCAGAGCGGCTCCTGCATGGAACGACTGCCCCAGAATCCCGGACTGCTCCCTCTGCATCCTGACCCCGGGCTTGTGCTTGTCCACTGGGCAGGCAGGAGGGGGTGACGTAACTGGCTTCACTCCCATCCTCACCTCTGCCATGGACCAGGGATCACAGGACCCTGGGTTTTGAGAAACCACGGAAGCCTGGTGAGGCAGCTGGACAGCCTCGGTGATGTTGCCCGCATCTGCCCTTCTGCCTGGGACAGAGGGAGAGAAAAGGCACGCTCTTCTGGGAGACACACTGTGTCAGTCCCAAACTCTCCCACCAGGAAATGCTGGAACCTGGCTCAGGAACCAAGACAGCCCAGCCTACAGCTAACCCAGGCCTGAGGCAAGAGTTCCCGCGGCCTGGGCCCAGGTCCCAACTTGTCACCACATGCAGCATCAGGGAGCCAGTGGGCTGTGATGAGAGGAGAGGGAGAGGCCTAAAACTGCCTTTGCAAAATGATGACTGAGACAGTGAAAGAGATTTAACTTAACTGATTCCATCTTGCTTTTAACCTCCAAGCTGTCCCCGCTCATTCCTAGGCATAGGCTGAACTAACTTTGGGAAAAACTTAGTTTATAGTTTAAACAAAGACAGTAACAGCCCTTTCCCAAAGCAGACCTCCTTCTTGCCTGGGGACTAGATTGCCTTTGTAGAACTAACATTAGCCACAAGATCAGAAATTATGGTTTAGGAGTCGTGCCGCTGGAGGCTCCCTAAACTGCTCCGAAGATCAGGGCTTGAGATATTTTGCAGACCCTGCACTTGATGGATCAGCTGGCCCCACCCAGATCAATAAACTGGCTCCTCTGATCTTGTGGCCCCCACCCAGGAACTGACTGAGCACAAGAAGACAGCTTTGACTCCCTGTGATTTCATCTCTGACCAATCAGCACACCTGGTTCACTGGCTTCCCCGCAACCCACCAAGTTATCCTTAAAAACTCTGCCCCCGACGTGCTCATAGAGACTGATTTGAGTAATAATAAAGCTCTGGTCTCCACACAGCCGGCTCTGCATGAATTACTCTTTCTCTATTGCAATTCCCCCGTCTTGATAAATCGGCTCTGTCTAGGCAGCACGCAACCTGAACCCCTTGGACGATTACAGGCCCACACAGCCCTTCCGCCACCAGCTTCTTCCTGCCCTACAGAGCTGAGGCCTGGAGTGGCAGAGAAAGCCAAGGGTACCCTGAGGGAGCACCCAGCTGAGGGGGAGTGAAGCTCCACCCCTTCCTGAATTGGGCTCACAAACAGAGGCTTCGAGAGCACAACCCTAAGACTGAGGTCTCCTACAGAGTGAGGGGCATCAAAGCCAGAGGAACCCGGGGAGCTTATTCCAAAGGGAGGGACTGCCTCCCCCATTGGACTAAAGGGAGTTCGAACTGCTAGAAATGGTTTCGCCTTAGCTCTCTGAGAATCTGCCATCATCAACCTCTCTTACCTCCAAGGAACAGTCACCCCAAACCAGGAAGGCAAAGGGAAAGCAGAACAAGGCCCCCAAGCTGCCAAATGGATGCCACCACAAGCCCACCCCTTCATTCGACAAGAATCTGTTGGTCGGGCGCGGTGGCTCCAGCCAGTAATCCCAGCACTTTGGGAGACCAAGGTGGGCCCTGAGCTCAGGAGTTCGAGACCAGCCTGGCCAAGATGGTGAAACCCCGTCTCTACTAAAAATACAAAAATTAGCCGGGTGTGGTGGTGCGGGCCTGTAATCCTAGCTACTCAAGAGGCTGAGGCAGGAGGATCGCTTGAACCCAGGAGGCAGAGGTTGCAGTGAGCCAAGACCGTGCCACTACACTCCAGCCTGGGTGACAGAATGAGACTCTGTCTCAAAACAAACAAACAAACACCATCCGTTGAGTTCCTGTGCATGGCAGGCGCTGCAACTACAAAGATCAGGAAGTTGTGCCTGACCCTGGGGACCTGACAGGCTAGTGTATCAGTGATGACAGTCCAGGAAGACAGGGCTGTGCACAGGGGCCCTGTGAACCCATAAGGAGCATCTCAATCAAACACCGACAAAGGGTCATGTACTTTGCTCACAGGAACCCTCGCTCAGAACTCATTTATTCTTAGTTTACAAGAGTTCTAATAATTTCAGAACTGTGGCTTCCTGCTTATATCAAGTTAGAAACAGTATTTCTGAAGTAGCAAAAATTATATTACAGAGGGTCAGAATAACAGCAGTGAGAAAGTACACCCTAACGACGGGGAGGGACATGATTAAAAGTCTAAGAACTCAAAAGGCATTGTCACAGGGCATTTTAGTGTCTCTTAAATGGCCCTGTGTGGAAAACTGACTCCCCCTGCCTCACAGGGGCCTATGGGCATTGGCAAAATGCATGAGATCAGTACATTGACTTCGGGTTACCTGCAGAAAAGTTCAAATCTTGGAGTGTCCATTCTCAGAAGCAGGGAGCTGGTGATGCACTTGAGAAAGAATTTCCATCAAGGACTGAAGTAAATAAGGCAGAATGACTATTGGAAAATGCTACTTCAACCTCAACTACTTCCTTGTTCCTTCTTCCCACTGGTCGAAGATCTGCCCCTGGGGCCATGCAAAACAAACCAGCCTAAAAGCCTAGTCTTTTTTTTTCTTTTTTCTTTTTTTTTTTATTTAGAGACAGGGTCTCACTCTTTCTCCCAGGCTGGAGTGCAGTGGCGTGATCACAGCTTTTATGTCCCACTACCACCACACACGCATATGTGAGCACACACACACGTATCTGCCTCGGGCCCCTGTAATGCAGTTGATCTTCCCCAATCATAATATATATTTCAGCCGGGCACAGTGGCTCACGCCTGTAATCCCAGCACTTCGGGAGGCCGAGGCTGGTGGATCACCTGAGGTTGGGAGTTCAAGACCAGCCTGGCCAACCTGGCAAAAACCCGTCTCCACTAAAAATACAAAAATTAGCTGGGCATGGTGGCGGGCGCCTGTAATCCCAGCTACTCAGGAGGCTGAGGCAGAAGAATCACTTGAACCCGGGAGGCAGAGGTTGCAGTGAGCTGAGATCACGCCGTTGCACTCCAGCCTGAGTGACAGAGTGAGAATCCGTCTCAAAAAAAAAATATATATATATATATGTTTCTACACTTATGACAACTGCCATCTTCCTCTTTTAGAACACCAAACAAAACTTAAGCCCCCACACTAATACTAATGTCTAAGGTCAGCCCTCACTTCTCATTCACTTTTGGGGCCAAGGCAATTTATCAGGGAATGTTTCCAGCAGAGGGTGTATGGGAACGAGCACAGGGCACATCTGTCCTGTAGAACTAAGAAAAGACTCAAGATCACCAAGACTGCAGTCACAGGGGTCCTGGTGAATGCCTCTGTCACTGTCGAAGGCAAATGTCAAAACTCCCTGGACATCCAAAACCTCAGCCATCATCGTGAATGATCTGGAAAACCTGAGGAAGAGGCGAGCTTGCAGGGTGGGGTGAGGAGGCAGGTTGAGGATTCCAGGCCAGATGCTAGAGGCTGGTACAGAGGAATAGCACCCACCCAGAATAGCACGGACTGCTCAAGTTGGCAGGGATCTCTATTTTACAAAAGGGCCCAAAGAGAGGCAGCGAGTTATCCAAGGTCACATAGGGAGGGAAGGAAAGAACCAGGACTAGAATCCACAGGGCCCTGTCCCTCTGGGACATACACATACTCCCCTTCCAGGGGAATGAAATAAGGGAGAGATAGGGAGAGACAACCATGAGCCCAGGGTGCAGCTGAAATGGGCAGAGGGTCTACCCACTCGCAACCTCTGACAGCCTCTGAGTCTAGCCCCACCCCTTCCACAAAGCTGAAGTAGGCAGAGCAGTCCTTCCTCCAGAAGCTTCCGGAGGATGGGGAGAATCTATACGTGGTGACCAAGACCATGGAGATGCTGAAGAAGGGGGGTAAGGCCAGAGGGGCAGTTCCATCCCCGACCTCACTGCTGTGGGGCTCAAGGTTGGGAATCTCTGAGATGCCTTCTCTGCCCCATCCCTTCCATGCACACTTGCCCCTCTCCTTCCCCCACGCAGCCCCTACTCTCCTCTGCATTCTATGCCATTTCCCTTCACACTTTTATCTTTTCTAAGGACTTTTTCATCTATCATCTCACAGGAATCCCCTGAGGAAGGCAAAATTGCTATTGCAATCACCATTTCGTACAGTTTAGGAAACTGGACTTTGGAAAAGTCCAGGGACTGACCCAAGGTCAATCTGTGAGCAAAGCCCAGGTTTTGAGATTCCCAGCTGGCTCTTTCGCCAGGCAGCTCCACTGCAGCCAGGGTTCTCCCACCATCTGCCAGGGTTCCCTTCTTTCATTCTCTCCCATCTCCTCCCCTCCCCTCCCCTCCCTGCCCTGTGGACAGCTGCATTTCCCAGGGCTCTCTGTTTCCACACGGGAGCATCATCATGGCCTTTCTCCCCAAGCAGTGGGTCACTGGGGAGGAGAGCTGGAGTCACAGAGTACAGTGTGAGGGAGGGAAGGGGAGGGGAGGCGGCCTCCCAAGGGACGGTTCCTACTCTGAGCCAAGCCCTCAGAGCTGAGCTGAAGTCTGGAAGTTTGGAGTCTTCCATTTCTGTTTGGGCTCTGCCCCCCAAACCAGCTGGCGACTCCACCCCCTCCTGGGTCCCTCCCAATCCCTATTCCACATCCCCTGCTGTGTGGCTCCCTAATGCCTGCACCTACGTGTCCCCTCCTGGAGGCAACACTATATATATTGGGTGCAGGGGCGGGTGGGGGTGGGAAGGGACAGAGAAGTCAGAGACAGCCAGTGCCCAGTGCCCCATTTCTTCTTTTTTTTGAGACAGAGTCTCGCCCTTGTTGCCCAGACTGGAGTGCAATGGTGCGATCTTGGCTCACTGCAATCTCCGCCTCCTGGGTTCAAGCAATTCTCCTGCCTCAGCCTCCTGAGTAGCTGGGACTACAGGCGCACACCACCACACCTAGCTAATTTTGTGTTTTTAGTAGAGATGGGAGAGAATCCACGGGGCCCTGTCCCTCTGGGACACACACACACTCCCCTTCCAGTGGAATGAAATAGGAGAGATAGGGAGAGACAGTTTCACCATGTTGGCCAGGCTGGTCTCAAACTCCTGTTCTCATGTGATCCACCTGCCTCAGCCTCCCAAAGTGTTGGGATTACAGGCGTGAGCCACCACACCTGGCCACAGTGCCCCATTTCTGACCTTCACAGACATCCCCCATCCAAGAACAAGAAGCTGAAAATGCCCTCAGAAGGTCAGAGAAGCAGAGGGCTCTTCTCCCCATCCCCAACCCAAAGGTGGACAAAACCTTAGAAGGTGAGAGGGACACAGAGACCCCTTTCCTAAGCAAAGGAAAGAAATCTGTCAAGTCAGCAGCTGAAGCCCAGAGCCCCTTCGCAAGGGAAAGACTTTGGGGTGATGGTGGGTGGGATGCAGAGGGGTCCCCTGGACATTGGCGGGACGTAGTGCTGACTGTGATGGCAGCCACGGGTTTCTTGGGCCTTTTCGGTGCATCCTCCCCGCAAGCCTCCACCACGCTGTTCCAGGTAGGCTGAGGTTAGGCCCACTCAGGGCGGCACCTTGGCGCAGGACACCTCTTCCGTTTGGGCTTTCCGTCCTCGTGATTTCGCTCTCCATCTGACAGTCATCCATGGTGACAGGGTGTGTCCCTTTCCCCTAAACAGGATCCTCAATGCCCATCGGAAAACGTTGTAAGGCGTTGAGCCCCCAACGCCCCCTCACCACAAGACCCTGCTGTGACCATCTTTTCCTGGTGAGGAGAGTCTGCACGGGGGAGCAGGGCGCCATACCCCAGAAAGAAACCTCTGTGCCTGGGAGTGAGGGACTCGCTGAGTAAAGTGAGGTCGAAGAGGGTGGAGAGGGGTAGGGTCCCAGTCACCACTGTCCTGAACCCACAGTTCAGTCCGGGCCCAAGATGGCCCCACAGGAGCACAGGGGGTTTCGGGCGCTGCAGGTGGAGGTGAAGGACCAGCTGCGGTGCGGAAAGGCCTGACCCGGGCGGCAGATCGCCTGCGGAGAGAATGACCGGCTGGGGTGGAGGCGGGGCTGGGGTGGTGTGGGCGTGGCTGGGGAGGCGTGGCTGGTGTGGTAGGCTTAAGCAGTGAGGGCGGGACTGGGGCAGAGGCGGGGTTTGGGCGCTGAGGGCGGGGCTGGGGCTTTGAGGAGGTGGCTGGGGCTGGGGCGAGGCTGGTGCGGAGGCGGGGTTGGGGCGGTGAGGGCGGGGCTGGGGCAGAGGCGGGGCTGGCGGAGTGAAGGCGGGGCTGGGGTGGTGAGGGCGGGGCTGGTGCGGAGGCGGTGCGGGGGAGGTGTGGGTGGGGCTGGGGCCGAGACGGAGTTTGGGCAGTAAGGGCGGGGCTGGTGCGGAGGCTGGGCTGGTGCGGTGAGGGCGGGGCTGGGTGGAGGCGGGGCTGGGGTAGAGGCGGGGCTGGGGCGGGGTGGGCGGAATTGCGGGCTGCGGGGCAGAGATGGTGATGGCGTCCGGGGGGCGGGGCTGGGTGGACGGCCGGACTACAAGGGACGAGAGGCTGGGCTTAAGGTAGCAGGGGGCAGAGCGGATTGCCCAGGGGCGGGGCGGGATCGGGGACAAGGCTCAAGTGCTGAGGACCAGACATGCGCCGGAAGCCCAAGCCCGGCTAGCGAGTAGGAGGGTGGATGGTGGGGGATGATAGGCTAGGCTTAAGATGGCTGAGGGCGGGGATACAAGGTGGTAGGGCCAGAGATGGGCTGGATGGGGCGTGATCGGCCTCCTCCTGGGAGATCTCAGCCCACCTGAGTAGGCTTCTTCCGGCCGCAAGAGAGACTGGGGCCTGGCCCTGATGGAATGGCCATTCTGAGCGTGAAGACCTGCGTCCCCCTCCCTTCAGGAAGCTCCCTGTCTCTCAAATTTCAGGGGGATCATCACTTCCCATCTCTCTGCCAGGTTGATCGAGTTCTGGATCTACAGGAGCCAGTTCTGAGAGGGAGGACTGGGGGTAGGAACGGGGTCTTTGAATGGCTGCGGGACTGCAGGAGACTTCCAGCAACCTCAGCTCCATGTTGGAGGAACATTCTGTACCTGCTGGGTGCTCTGTGTGGTGAGGGTCAGGGATGAGGGTGAGGGCCATCCCTGATGTACCAGGCCTACTAGGTTAGGCCCAATGGTACCAAGCAAGACCTACCACAAAAGTTAAGGGTCCCAGTGCAAAATGAAAATGCAGGACTCCTTGCTACAAAAGTTATTAAGAATTATATTTGGCCAGACGTGGTGGCTCACGCCTGTAATCCCAGCACTTTGGGAGGCCAAGGTGGGGGCCAATCACCTGAGGTCAGGGGTTCGAGACCAGCCTGGCCAACATGGTGAAACCCCCGTCTCTACTAAAGATACAAATTTAGCCAGGTGTTGTGGCACATGCCTATAATCCCAGCTACTTGGGAGGCTGAGGCAGGAGAATCGCTCGAACATGGGAGGCGGAGTTTGCAGTGAGCTGAGACCTCGCCATTGCACTCCAGCCTGGGCAACAAGAGCAAAACTCAAAAAAAAAAAAAATTATATTCAAGACAGTAGCAGCAGAGCATTAAACGAAGCATGGGGCTGTGTGCAACTGCACAGGTTGCATGCCCATGAAGCCAGCCCTGATACCAAGCTACAAGCAGAGTGGGCAGGGTGCAGACCCTATTGTCCCTTCCTCCAAGGAAAAGGCAAGAGGGGCAAGCCCACCTACCATCCCTACGCCAGCTCATTTTTCCCAAAAGGGGAAAAGGGAACATACCATTCCAGGAATCTCCTCTCATCCTCTCCTGGAGGAGAAAAAATGAATCTGCCGCCCACTTCCCCTCCACGGACACACATGGGAGCTAACCCCAGTTCCCAGAGCCACTTTTTTTTTTTTTTTTTTTTTTTGGAGACGGAGTCTCTCTCTGTTGCCCAGGCTGGAGTACAGCAGTGGGATCTCAGCTCACTGCAACCTCTGCCTCCCAGGTTCAAGCAATTCTCCTGCCTCAGCCTCCCGAGTAGCTGGGATTACAGGCATGTACCACCACACCCAGCTAATTTGTGTATTTTTAGTAGATGGGATTTCCCCATCACGGCCAGGTTGGTCTCAAACTCCTGACCTCAAGTGATCCGCTCCCCTCAGCTTCCCAAAGTGCTGGGATTACAGGTGTGAACCACCACACCCGGCCCCCAGAGCCACTTTACAATGCCCTGCCCACAGAAGGAGGGAGAGCATGCCGTGTCCCTCATGCCCTTTCCTCTCCTTTACCCTCTGCAGAGCTGAGTGAGGTGCAACAGCAGCTGCTGGCCATGTCCAGGGAGAAGGGGATCCTTTCCCAATAGGTGGAGCTGGAGAGGGACCTGGGGGATGACAACGAGGAGAAAATTGAGTTTGAGCTCATCCAGCTCCACCCCCACACTTGTGGATGGGCAGTCTGAGGCCCAGAGAGCACACAAGACTTTAGGGCCACACAGCAGGCTCTTAGCAGAACTCTCTACAGAACTTAGGTCTCCGGATTCTTAATCCTTGCCCATCTCTGCTTCACTCTAGCATTAACAGACAGAGGGGGGATCAAGGATGGGGACTGTAATAAAATAGCTTGTTGAATAGCAAGAGAGGCTGGGTGCGGTGGCTCACACCTACAATCCCAGAACTTTGGGAGGCCGAGGCAGGAGGATTGCTTGAGGCCAAGAGTTCCACACCAGCTTGGGCAACATAGCCAGACCCCATCTCTATTTAATATAGGAAATAATAAAAAATAAAAAGTAAAAGAATGGCAGTGTGATGCCACCTTGAAGCAAAACTGCCATGGTGACTGGTATTGGATTCCTGATTCTGGCAGCAAAGTCCTTAAACAATGCCTGTAGCATAGATAACCCCTGTATTAGTCCATTCTCACACTGCTGTGAAGAAATACCTGAGACTGGGTAATTTATAAGGGAAAGACATTTAATTGACTCACAGTTCCACATTGCTGGGGAGGCCTCAGGAAACTTAAAATTATGGCGGAAAGGAAAAGAGAAGAAGACACCTTCACAGAGCAGCAGGACAGAGTGAATGCAAGCAGGGGAAATGCCAGATACTTATAAAACCATCAGATCTCATGAGACTCACTCATGATCATGAAAACAGCATAGGGGTAACCACCCCCATCACTCAATTACCTCCACCCGGTCCCACCCCCAACACATGGGGATTATGGTGATTATAATTCAAGATAAGATTTTGGGTGGGGGACACAGCGAAACCATACCAACCCGTCATAAAGCAACAATGCCTGTAACACAGATAATCCCTCATATAGATGTGTATCTAACCTCCCCAGTGGCCATGACTTTTGCAAGACAGTCTGAGCCATGACTGGCTGCACCTGTTTCACTCTAAAGGCTTGTTATAGAAAAGATATTTTCTGGACAGCAGGTGTGGGGAACCACTTTTGTTCATAAGTCCCTATTAAATGTTTCTTTCTAAGAAGCTGGATTTGTCAGCCTCTTTCTTTCTTTCTTTCTTTTCTTTCCTTTCTTTCCTTTCTTTCTTTCTTTCTTTCTTCTTTCTTTTTCTGAGACGAAGTCTCGCTGTTGTCCCCCAGGCTGGAGTACAATGGCGTGATCTCGGCTCACTGCAACTCCGCCTCCTGGGTTCAAGCGATTCTCCTACCTCAGCCTCCCAAATAGCTGGGATTACAGGCGTCTGCCACCACGCCCAGCTAATTTTTGTATTTTTAGTAGAGATGGGAGTTCACTATGCTGGCCAGGCTGGTCTCAAACTCCTGACCTCAAATAATCCGCCCGCCTCGGCCTCCCAAAGTGCTGGAATTACAGGCGTGAGCTACCACGTCTGGCCTGTCAGTCTCCTTCTTTGGCCTTTCGATTCCCTTGGCCTTTGGGGGTAGGTTTGCAGATATCTGCTCACTGCAGAACAGCGACAGGGGCTGAAATTTAAATTTTTACTGAAAATTAAAATTTAAAATTTTACTGCAGGCCAGGCATGGTGGCTCACACCTGTAATCCCAGCACTTAGGGAGGCCAAGGCAGACAGATCACCTGAGGTCAGGAGTTCGAGACCCATCTGGCCAACCTGGTGAAACCCCATCTCTACTAAAAATACAAAAATTAGCTGGGCATGGTGGTATGTTCCTGTACATACAGCTACTTGTGGGGCTGAGTCAGGAGACTTGCTTGAACCTGGGAGGCAGAGGCTGCAGTGAGCCGAGATCGTGCCACTGCACTCCAGCCTGGGCGATAGAGGAAGACTCTGTCTCAAAAATAGACAGACAGACAGACAGACAGACAGACAGATAATAAAATACAATTTTACTGCAGACCACTTCTGAAGTTGGTGGCTCCCTAAATGCAAAGCATCCTGTGATGCTTTTTCTCCACTGTGCAGATGGAAACCATCCTGGACTAGAATTTCTTTCAGGGAGAGATGGAGCCCTTCTGTCTTTACTTTGAGCTGCTCAGGGGGTTCTGAGGTGAGGAGCTGAAAGTGGTCAGGCCCTGATGGGACTCTGTGGCCTTGACATATAAGGAGACCAAGGAGACAGATCCTCCTTACACCTGGGAGCCAAATGCCTTGACACTGCTCTGTGTCCTGTAAGCCAGCCTCTCCATCTTTCGGGTGCTGGCCAACAACACTTGGCTCTCCAGATATTTTATTCATCAGGGATCCCCAGCCCTGCCCGCCCATGGCTAGGGAAGGCAGGATGGGGCTTGAGGACAAGCCTAGGGGAGCTGGTGAAAATACAGAATAGTGGCCGGGCGCGGTGGCTCATGCCTATAATCCCAGCACTTTGGAAGGCCGAGGTGGGTGGATCACCTGAGGTCAGGAGTTCGAGACCAGCCTGGCCAACATGGTGAAACCCCATCTATACTGAAAATGCAACAATTATTCGGGTGTGGTGTCGCGCATCTGCAATCCCAGCTACTCGGGAGGCTGAGGCAGGAGAATCGCTTGAACCCGGGGGGCGGAGTTTGCAGTGAGCCAAGATTGGCACTCCAGCCTGAACAACAAGAGCGAAACTCAATCTCAAAAAAAAAAGAAAGAAAAAGAAAAAAAAATACAGAAAAGCTCCAACACATGCTCCCGTGCATCAGCAGGGGCTCAGGAAGAGGTGGGTTGCTGGGAGGATCACCTGACAGAAGAGAGTTCTCTGGGTTTGGGCTGGAGGCTGGCAGTGGCCTCCTTGCCCAGACAGGGCTGATGGGTAGGGGGATTGGCAGTGGAGGGGTGGGGGCAGTGAGGGCTGACACCTTGAAGCTGGATGCTGAGTTTGACACACTTAGAGCTGAACACTGATGTCTGTTCAGCCAGAGTCTGGGGAGGTCTTGGACTCCAAAGCTGATTTGGGAATTTGGGAAGAAACATTAAAGCTTTTTAGAGAATAAGGAAAGAGTATGGGAGCTTTACTCTGTTCAGAAAGGAGAATTTATGGAAGTATAGCTCACAATCTATGATCTGCACCCCCAAACATCCAACCTCCCATATGAGAGATAAAACACAGCATCCCTAGGAAGCATTATTCCTGCGCCTCCACCAGGCAGTCATGCCCCAGCCCAGCCTGTCTTCATCCCTAACCATTACCATTCCACCTCCTTTTGTTCAGGGCAGGTCTGGGAATATGTTCATGTGAGGGATCACTTCTTGCAAATGCTCCAGTTATCCTGCACCCTTCAAGTAGGCTCCAAATCCTACAACATTCTCCTTGCCCTCCCAACTCGCAGGGTGCCAGCTTCTTCCCATTCTGGCCAGAGTTTGTGACTTCCATGAACGCCCATAATCTACTTTTCTCTGTTTTCTCTGACCCCATGCTGAGGGGGAAATCAACAATAATAAAAAGGAGGCCAGGCACAGTGGATCACACCTGTAATCCCAGCAATTTGGGAGGCCAAGGTGGGTGTATCACTTGAGGCCAGGAGTTCGAGACCAGCCTGGCCAATGTGGTGAAACTTTGCCTCTACTAAAAACACAAAAAATAGCCCGGTGTGGTGGTGCGCACCTGTAGTCCCAGGTACTCGGGAGGCTGAGGCAGGAGAATCACTTGAACCTGGGAGGCGGAGGTTGCAGTGAACCGAGATTGTGCCACTGCACTCCAGCCAGCAATAGTGTGAGGCTCGGTCTCAAAAAACAACAACAAAAACAATAACAAAAGGGAAAATGAGTAAGGAAATAATGCCCTGTCCCAATGACTGTGTCTGTCTGCAGTGCACTCTATGGGTCAGAGAGACAGCAATGGTCCCACGGGGCAGGTGCCTGGGGCTTCCTCTCCTAAATCAATTCTCTCTCCTGATCCCTGTCTCCTAACAACCCTACATAGTCACAAGCTTGGTCTCTAAATCAGAGGTGATCATTGTCCATCACTACCTTAATTGACCACCAGAGGGAGGTAGAGAGCAAAGTTTACCGCCTGCCTGAGCAGCACTCACCGCATGACCAGGTCCTGCTTCCTTATTGTCTCTTTTAATTGACCTGAAGCGTCCTTACAAGGCAGTCTAACTTAAATATCCGCCAGTACAATTTAAATTCTGCCCCAGGCCGGGCGCAGTGGCTCACGCCTGTAACCCCAGCACTTTGGGAGACCGAGGCAGGAGGACTGCTTGAGCCTAGGAGTTCAAGATCAGCCTGAGCAACATAGGGAGACTCCCTTCTCTACAAAAAATTAAAAAGTGAGCCAGGCATGGCCGGGCGCAGTGGCTCAAGCCTGTAATCCTAGCACTTTGGGAGGCCGAGGCGGGCAGATCACGAGGTCAGGAGATCGAGACCATCCTGGCTAACATGGTGAAACCCCGTCTTTACTAAAAATACAAAAAATTAGCCAAGCGTGGTGGTGCGTGCCTGTAATCCCAGCTATTTTGGAGGCTGAGGTAGGAGAATCGCTTGAACCCGGGAGGCGGAGGTTGCAGTGAGCCAATATTGTGCCATTGCACTCCAGCCTGGGCGATAAGAGCAAGACTCCATCTCAAAAAAAAAAAAAAAAAAGCCAGGTGTGGTGACACATGCCTATAGTTCCAGGTACTGGGAGCAGGGAGCGGGCACTGAGATGAGAGAATCCCTTTAGCCCAGGAAGTCAAGGCTGCAGTGAGCCATGACTGCACCACTGCACTCCAGCCTGGGCAACAGAGTGAGAACCTGTCTCAAAAAAAAAAAAAAACAGAAAGAAAGAAAGAAAAGAAAAAGACGCAGCTGGGCACGGTAGCTCACGCTTGTAATCCCAGCACCTTCAGAGGCCGAGGTGGGTGGATCACCTGAGGTCAGGAGTTCGAGACCAGCCTGGCGAACAGGGTTGAAACCCCGTCTTTACTAAAAATACAAAAATTAGTTGGGAGCGGTGGCATGTGCTTGTAACCCAGCTACTCGGGAGGCTGAGGTAGGAGAATTGCTTGAACCCAGGAGGCGGAGGTTGCAGTGAGCCGAGATTACACCACTGCCCTCCAGCCTGGGAGACAGAGTGAGGCTCCATCTCAAAAAAAAAAAAAAGAAAAGAAAGAAAAAGAGGCAGGGCACCCTGGATGGGAGGAAGGAGCACCACCAAGACAAGCCTAAATGTGGATATTTTCATTCCAAAAGCACAAGAACTTCAACCTGGCTGACCCCACAAGCCCATATATCTCCTCCCTGCCTTGAACTCACCAAGCCCCCTGCTTGGAATACCAGTAGGCAGTCTGAGGGAATGGGACAATGTGGTGCAGGCAGGGTCGGGACGACACCAGGAGTGTGAGGACAGGCCCGGCAGAGTGCTCTGAGATCAGACTGAAGGCGGGAGAAATGAGAGAAGCAAGACTTCCCGGTCAGAGGAGAGAAAGCTGACTAGATGGGCTTTGCAGGTCCTTGGGGAGAGCAGAGCCACGTGTGGCTTTTAGATGCCACTGTTCTCCAGATCTTTGCAGAATCCACTAAACTAGGAACCTTGGCCTGCAGCCAGTGGGAGAAGGGTAGTCACTGGGAAGAAACTCCCAAAAGTCTGACCGAGGCAATGCTAGGCTGGTGAGAGGGTGGGAGTGGGACTATCTTCCCTGGAGCTGATTAAGGCATAAGGAGACTGCACAGCCTCAGGACTATATGCTGAAATGCAGGCATCACGTCAGTGTAGTGGCTGAGAGATACAAGGAGGAAGAGGTGGAAATCCAGGAAAACAGACAGAGATGAAAGGACTATAACACACACAGCAGGTTTCTATGTAAATATGTGCTTGTGATAGGGACCAGATGACTAACGACAACCTTTTTTTTCTTTTTCTTTTTTTTTTTTTTGAATCGGAGTCTTGCTCTGTCGCCCAGCCTGGCATGCAGTGGCACGATCTCGGCTCACTGCAACCTCCACCTCCCGGGTTCAAGTGATTCTCCTGCCTCAGCCTCCCAAGTAGCTGGGATTACAGGCACCTGCCACCACGCCCAGCTAATTTTTGCAGTTTTGGTAGAGATGGTGTTTCCCTCATGTTGGCCAGGCTGGTCTCGAACTCCTGACCTCAGGTGATCCACCCACTTCTGCCTCCCAAAGTGCTGGAATTACAGCCGTGAACCACCGCACCCAGCCTAACGACAACCTTCCCACACACTCAAGCCCCCACCTCTGCCTCTCCTAAGGAGAAGGGACATTTGATTGCTGGAATGGCTGGAGCTGTGGAAGGAGGATGAAGTATTGGGTGGCTGCAGTGAGCCATGATCAAGCCACTGCGCTCCAGCCTGGGTGACAGAGCGAGGCCCCGTCTCAAAAAGGTGTAGGGTGGATGGGAAAGTATGTAAAGAAAAAGAGAGTGAGCAGGGACCAGAGAGGCAGAGGCAAGGCTTGGCTTTGTTCTGTTTCAAGACATAGAGAAGAGATATTTGGGAGCATCTGTCATATTGAATGAGACTTTGGGGACACAAGTGGAGTAATGACTATTTTAGGGAGTTTTCCTAAGTGTGGAATGGTCTAGTCTCATTCACCATCAGCCCCTCAAGGAAACGTTCAGTAAAGATGGAATTGGCCGGGCGCAGTGGCTCATCCTGTAATCCCAGCACTTTGGGAGGCCGAGGCGGGCGGATCATGAGGTCAGGAGATCAAGACCCTCCTGGCCAACATGGCGAAACCCCGTCTCTAATAAAAATACAAAACTAGCCAGGCATGGTGGTGCATGCCTGTAATCCCAGCTACTCGGGAGGCTGAGGCAGAGAACTGTTTGAACCCGGGAGGTGGAAGTTGCAGTGAGCTGAGATTGCACCGCTGCACTCCAGCCTGGAGGACAGAGCGAGACTCCTTCTCAAAAAAAAAAAAGATGGAATTTACTCTTCACAGCATTCAGGGTTGCGTTTCTTTTTCCATGAGTGGTACTAAGAAGAGCCTCAAGGTGGGAGCAGGAAGGCTCTGCTGTGTCAGGTTATACCTGCACATATGCATGGCCACATGGCCCAACACTGTAAGGGCCTTGCTTGTAAGTCCCTTATTCTGTCCTCTAGCAATGTGACCATGTAGGCAACATTTGAAATTCCTTTAAAATTCCTTCTAGGCAGAGATTTAAGCTAAGAGGAGGACCTGAGTGACCTCTGGTGCAACATCTGAAAGCCCACGACAAGCCTCCTGGGCTTTTCCATGAATATCGCCGTGCCCCTGCCTACGGATATGCTGATGTGTGTATACAATATTCTGTGAGAAGCAGAGACGCTGAACACTAAACAACACAAACCCATTTGGTCTAACTCCATCTCTGCCTACTCAGACATCTGCTTCTAGCGGTATCAGAGTTATGTCTATGTAGCTAAAACAAATGGAGTAAGGCAGCAATACACACAGGCTGACAAGCCCAGGATGGAGGGCGGCACTGCAGATGCTCTGCTCTCTACTGGAATGTGTGGACATACAGGAATCCCTATCCCAGGACACCCGCAGACCCCCACCATGAATCCGAGATGCTCCCCAATGACGGTGATGATGACAGAACAGAGATGCCATCCCTGGTCACACACACACACACACACACACACACACTCCCACTGCCTCCCTCTGCACCCCTCCCAAAGGCACCTGCCTTCCTCTCCTCTCAATCCACAAGCCAACCTCCAGCTGCCACCTCTCTATCAGCCTTGGCTACCCCCACCCACGCTGGCACCTGCCTGGCAGCTCCCTATCCACCCCCTCAGCCCTCAGGAGGCCAGGGCACACGTGGAACAGGTTGATGTTGTTCTCCAGGAAGTGGAGTGGGAGGGGGGTGGGGTCACTAGGGCAGGCGGGGTCCCCGGAAGCCTCTGTCCCTGCATAAAGCAGCCTGTCCTGGCAAGGGATGGTCATCCTCTCAACCTACAGACCCAGTGAGCCCTAGGCCCTCACCCCAGACCCAGCTGCTGGATAGGACCCAGCCCCGCTCCCAGGTAAGAACTTGATGACAGCAGGGAAGGCAGGGGTGCTCTGAGGACACAGGAAGATGGGTGGACCAAGAAGGGAATGGAACTCCCCTAGAGTCCAGTGGGATAAGTATCCCGATAGGCCTTGGGGAGGGAAGGGAGAGGCAGGCCTGTGGACATCTCTCTGGTGAAGAGGAGGCTGCTGTTGCCCAAGCCCTTCCCAGGTGCACCCAGGTAGCACCAGGAGGTTGTCCTGCCCCATCCTGGCCCTCCCAGGAATGAGGGTGAAAAAAAAAAAGCACCTTGAAGCTGGCAGAACAGCCCCACGCATCTGTGCCGTGCTTCCTGCCCCCCCTGCTGCTGTGAAGTGCCTGTGGTGGATGTGGGATGCTTCCAAGCCAGCTGGTGTGGCCTCTTCCACCCACGGGGATAACTGGGGTGTGCCGATCGGCCACCCAGCCAGAGCACCTGGACTCAAACTTCAAAGACAGAGACTTAAGATGTTGACCCTCAGGTCAGGTGCGGTGGCTCACACCTGTAATCCCAGCACTTTGGGAGGGTGAGATGGGCGGATCACCTGAGGTCAGGAGTTCAAGACCAGCCTGGCCAACATGGTGAAACACCGTCTCTACTAAAAACACAAAAATTAGCTGGGCATGGTGGCAGGCGCCTGTAATCCCAGCTACCTGGGAGACTGAGGCAGGAGAATCACTTGAACCCAGGAGATGGAGGTTGCAGTGAGCCGAGATCATGCCATTGCACTCCAGCCTGGGCAACAAGAATGAAACTCCATCTCAAAAAGAAAAAAAAAATGTTGCCTCTCAGGTTCCCATGGGCCCCACATTCTCCAGGGCCCTCTCATCCTAGCGCACATCTCTCAGGGCCACATTCATTGGTTCTTTCCACACACATTTGCCAAGCTCGAACTCTGTGCCAGGTGTGGTACTTGCTGCTGCAGAGGTGACTAAGACCCATTTCCTGCCCTCTGGGAAGTCACAGACGAGTTGCTGATAGGGTCAGGTGAACAGATCATAACAAAGGAAGGTGCATCAGAAGAGCGCTTTGGAAACACAGATACAGTCACCAGCTGCCTGGAGGACTGAGGGAAGAGGTTCCAGGAGGTGACCTGAATTGAGCATTAGCGGAGGACTAGGGAGTCTTCAGATCCGGAAGCGGGTATTGTAAGCAGAGGGGGCAAAGGTGAAGAGCATCAAAATGCCTGGATCCTGGCTGGGCACAGAGGCTCACACCTGTAATCACAGTACTTTGGGAGGTCAAGGAGGGCGGATCATTTGAGGTCAGGAGTTCGAGACCAGCCTGACCAACATGGTGAAACCCTGTCTCCATTAAAAATACAAAAATTAGCCAGGCGTGGTGGCACACACCTGCAGTCCCAGCTACTCGGGAGGCTGAGGCAGGAGAATCGCTTGAATCTGAGAGGTGGAGACTGCAGGGAGCCGAGATGGCACCACTGCACTCCACCCTGGGCAACAGAGTAAGACTCCATCTCAAAAAGAAAAAAAAAAGTCTGGATCCAGGCATCCCCCAGGGGCTGTGAGAGGGGAGTGGGTGTACTCATACCTGTGGCACGCATGAGGGAAGGACAGGGTGCAGGGAAGTGTAACCCACACATGGAAAGGGCAACTGGGGCAGGTGAACAGCTTGGCCACCCAGGCTCTTGTTGCCAGCAGCATCTCCTTCCCTCCCCTGGTGTCCTCCGACTCTGGCTATTGCTAGTCTCTGGTGTGAGAGAAAGCTTTACTTCCATTGCTAAATAAATGCTCTAGACCAGGCGCAGTGGCTCACACCTGTAATCCCAGCACTTCGGGAGGCTGAGGTGGGAGGATCACTTGAGCCAGGAGTTTGAGACCAGCCTGGGAAACATAGTGAGACTCTGTCTCTACAAAAAAAATTTAAAAATTAGCCAAGTGCATGACTGCAGTCCCAGCTACTCAGGAGGCTGAAGTGGGAGGATCAATTAAGCCTTGGCGGTCAAGGCTGCAGTGAGCTGTGATCACGCCACTGCACTCCAACCTGGGCAACAGAGTAAGACCCTGTCTCGGAAGAAAAGAGAAGAAAGCAAAGCAAGGAAAGGCGAGGTGGAGGGAAGGAAGGAAGGGAAGGAAGGAAGGAAGGGAGAGGGGGAAGAAAGAAAGAGGAAAGAAAGAAAGAAGGAAGGAAGGAAGAAAGGGAGGGAGGGAGAGAAAGAAAGAAGGAAGGAAGGAAGGAAAGAAAGAAAGAAAGAGAAATAAATAAAGAAAGAAAGAAAGAAAGAAAAAGAAAAGAAAGAAAAGAAGTGCTCCAGCTGGGCTCCGTGGCAGTGAAGAAAATGAGCGTGGAGTGAGAAAAATGCCCTTGACAAAGAAAAGGGAGGTGTGGCTTTGCTGGCCATCTGTGGGACTTTGGGGCAACTCTTTCAACTCTCCAGCCCTAGGTTCCTCATCATAAAATGCAGACTCCCTTGATTCTTTCCAGCTGTGACATGAGACAATCCAGGCATCTCTAAGAGCTCCTCCTGCCTCAGAGCCGGGTAAACTCTCTCTGCAGGGGCCCAGCCTATATCCCGGGCTCCTTGGCAGCCTTGGCAGCCACCTTGACACTCTCCTGTCTCCCCACCTCCACAGAGACAATGACCATGTTTGAAAATGTCACCCGGGCCCTGGCCAGACAGCTAAACCCTCGAGGGGACCTGACACCACTTGACAGCCTCATCGACTTCAAGCGCTTCCATCCCTTCTGCCTGGTGCTGAGGAAGAGGAAGAGCACGCTCTTCTGGGGGGCCCGGTACGTCCGCACCGACTACACGCTGCTGGATGTGCTTGAGCCCGGCAGCTCACCTTCAGGTCAGCCTCAAGCGGGGCTGGGAACTGAGGGATACTGAGGGACAGGGGCTGGGCACCTGGCCTGCAAGGAGGACCTCAAAGCTCCCTCTGGCCAGAGGTGATTAGATGTCATCTAGCCCAAAGTCATCATCAGGAGCTGAGGAGGCTGGTGGTCGGGGGGATACCTCTCAGCTCAGCCTCTTTTATTTATTTACTTGTTTGTTTTTGTAGAGATGGGTTCTTGCTTTGTTGCCCAGGCTGGTTTCAAACTCCTGGGCTCAAGCAATCCTTCCACCTTGGCCTCCCAAAATGCTGGGATTACAGGCATGAGTTACTGCACCCAGCCAGCCCAGCCCCTTTTGTCTTTTCCCTCCTGCAGACCCAACAGACACTGGGAATTTTGGCTTTAAGAATATGCTGGACACCCGAGTGGAGGGAGATGTGGATGTACCAAAGACGGTGAAGGTGAAGGGAACGGCAGGGCTCTCGCAGAACAGCACTCTGGAGGTCCAGACACTCAGTGTGGCTCCCAAGGCCCTGGAGACCGTGCAGGAGAGGTGAGAGTGGGCGGGACTGAGGGTCTCCCGGGATGTGGGTGGGGCAGTGCATGGAAATGGTGCTTGGGGCCTTGAGCTGAAAGGTAGGACCCTTGCACTGACCTTTGCCAATGTGGTCATGACAGGGGAGCTCTTGGAGGCAACCCTTCTGGCCCATGGCTGCATCCAGGCCATTTCCTAGTCACACCTCCCGCTGCTGCCACCGTCTCCAGGACCACCTCCCCACTGTCACGCATGCACAGGGAAGATGATGTCCACACTAGCTTGCTGTGTGATCTTGGAAAAGTCACTTCTCTTGGGACCTCAGTTTTCTTTTCTGCAAAATGACAGGATTGAATGATCATCTCTAAGGCTCCTTCTAACTCTAAGACTATGCAATACACTAGAAAAAGGAGGGATGTGTCTTAACTGCCCCCAGCTGAGACCTGAGCACTGTGTTCTGCTCCCATAAATGAAGCCTCCTGCCTGACCCCAATACACACTAAGCACGCCCTCGGGAATGCTGCCCCACAGCACAAAGGGTGTGGCAGGTGCCACATTGATGCTGGGCACCACCGGATGTTTGGCTTGACACGGGAACTGACTTTTAAGTAGTTAAGTAGTGGTTGAAAGAAGGAGGTAAGGACTGTGAAGGCCAGAAGGAAAGGCTGGGGTAGTCATCCAGCAAGCATGTATATAGTAAAGCACTCTACTACGGGCTGGGGTGCGCCTAGAACATCTTTGTCCAAGAACCTTGCAGTCTAGGAAGGTGAAAATTTTAAAAACCTGTGCAACAGTAATTATAATCAAAGCCAAGAAGTGCTAAGTGCTGTAGGGATGGTTTGACTGAGTCTTGTGGCAGGTCAAAGGGACTTCTGGCTGGGGAAATAAGGGAAGATCTCACAGACATGGCAGCCTCTGTTTTGGGCCTTGAAAGATGAGCAGAAATTGGGCATGCAGGGCTGGGAGAAGGGTATTATGAAGGCACACAGGTGAGCAATCTCAAAACCACCAAGGGCCAGGAACAGCCAGCATAGCAGGGGCGGAAGAGGTGCGAGTAGAACGAGCAGGAAATGCAGGTGAACCCAAACCATGGAAGAGGCAAGTGGCAGCTCCAGGAGACTGAATTGTAGGCACCAGGAAGATCCTGAAAATGTTCTGATGTGTCCCATGACTAATCCAGCCAGATGGAGGAAGTGTGTCAGATAGGGGAAGAGGAACAGGGGTTTGAAGCAGTCAGACAAGGCAAGACACTTTTCTTCTTTTTTTGTTTGAAACAGTTTTTCGCTCTTGTTGCCCAGGCTGGAGTGCAGTGGTGCAATCTTGGCTCACCGCAACCTCCGCCTCCCAGGTTCAAGCAATTCTCCTGCCTCAGCCTCACGAGTAGCTGGGTTTACAGGTGCCCGCCACTACGCCCGGATAATTTTTTATTTATTTATTTTATTTATTTATTTATTTTGAGATGGAGTCTCGCTCTGTCGCCCAGGCTGGAGTGCAGTGGCACGATCTCAGCTCACTGCAAACTCCGCCTCCTGGGTTCAAGCAATTATCCAGCCTCAGCCTCTCAAGTAGCTGGGACTACAGGTGTCTGTCACCACACCCAGCTAATTTTTTATATTTTTAGTAGAGACGGAGTTTCACCATATTGGCTAGGCTGATCTCGAACTCCTGACTTTGTGATCTGTCCGCCTCGGCCTCCCAAAGTTCTGGGATTACAGGGAAGTAATCCCAGTTAAGTAGTGGTTGAAAGAAGGAGGTAAGGTGGCTCGTGAGCCACCACACCCGGCTAATTTTTGTATTATTAGTAGAGATGGGGTTTCACCATGTTAGTCAGGCTGGTCTTGTACTCCTGACCTGAGGTGATCCGCCTGCCTCAGCCCCCAAAAGTGCTGGGATTACAGGCGTGAGCCACTGAGCCCGGTCTTTTTTTTTTTTTTTTTTTTTTTTTTGAGACGGAGTCTCTCTCTGTTGCACAGGCTGGAGTGCAGTGACACGATACCAGGTCACTGCAACCTCCGCTTCCCAGGTTCAAGCAGTCCTCCTGCCTCAGCCTCCTGAGTAGCTGGGATTGCAGGCGCACGCCACTACATCCAGCTAATTTTTGTATTTTTGGAAGAGATGGGGTTTTACCATGTTGGCCAGGCTGGTCTCGAACTCCTGACCTCAGGTGATCCGCCTACCTCGGCCTCCCAAAGTGCTGGGATTACAGGCGTGAGCCACCACCCCCAGCCAAGACACTGTTCTTCTATCCCATGAGCAACGAAAACTGAGGACCCGAGCTGGGGAAGGGCAAGAGGAGTGAAGAGGGAGGAATGGATGCAATGCCCATTGCCAACGGTGATAGAATGGCCTGGGCTTGGTAGCTGATTGCAGGATGAGGGAAAGGGTTTTGTCAAAGGTGACTGCGAGATTTTACCCAGGTTGTGACATTATAGGACATTAAAGCTACCATTACAGGTGACAAACAGGAAGACACAGGTTAGAGGTAGATTTGGAGATTGTGAGTTCCTTTTGGATGTTTTGAGTTTCTGGTTCTGCTGAGACATCAGCTGAGCATGTTGAACAGGTGATTGGAAATAAGGGCCTGGAGCTCAGGAAAGAGGTCAAAGTGAAGATACACACAAGGTAATCAGCACTATAAAGATTAAAACTGTAGGAGCCAGGGGAGGAGTCTCACTCCCGTAAGCCCAGCACTTTGGGAAGCCAAGGCAGGATTGCTTGAGCCCAGGAGTTCAAACCAGCCTGGGCAAGAGAGTGAAACCCCCATCTCCACAAAAAACGCAATATTAGCCGGGCATGGTGGTGCGCCTAGAGTCCCAGCTACTCAGGAGGTTGAGGCAAGGGGATCACTTAAGCCCAAGAGCTCAAGTCTGCAGTGAGTTATGATCGAGCCACTGCACTTCAGCCTGGGCAACAGAGTGGGACCTTAAAAAAAAAAAAAAAGAAAAAACTATAGGAGTGAGTTGGGTGTGGGGAGCTTTTAGAGGGAGTTGAGAAAACAGGACTGAGAACAGAATCTTACAGAACATAAAATTTTAGAGAACCAAAGAAACTGGAAAATGAGGTGCAGACAGAATGGATAAGATTTAGGAACTAGAAGTACTGGAGTTGAGCCAGGGTGGTACACTGTGACTGGAAGCCAAGAGAAGCCAGCGTTGCACGGAGGGTTTCCACAGCAGGATCGAGTATTGCACAGAGTTAGGCGAGGTCATTGAGACTGACAGGTAAGAGATCATTGTAATTTCAGCTGAGTAGTGGAAATACAAGGCAAATTATAAAGAATTTAGGTGGACCGGGCATGGTGGCTCACATCTGTAATCCCAGCTATTCAGGAGGCTGAGGGAGAAGAATCGCTTGAACCCGGGAGGCAGAGGTTGTAGTGAGCCAAGATCGTGCCACTGCACTCCAGCCTGGGTGACAGAGTGAGTGAGACTCCGTCTCAAAAAAAAAAAGAATTTTTTTGATATATTTGCCAATGAAATGAAGGAAAAAATAGGGTAGTAATTTGAGGGAGTGGCATGATCAAAGCAAACAAATTTGTTAGGATTAGGGAGTTTATATATGGAAGCAGACAGAAGGAGCAAGTGGAGAGGAGGAACTGGTGTTAACAGCAAGAGAGAGCATAAGATGTGGAGAGAAAGGATCCCAGAGAGATGAATGGGGAGGAAAGAGGGGGGGAGCATCTACCCCCGGGATCCCAGAGAGATGAATGGGGAGGAAAGAGGGGGGGAGCATCTACCCCCGAACTGGAGGAAAAGGGGGTAAGAAGCACCCAAGAGGCCCTGTTCCTGGCCAGGTGCTGGCCCAATTACCGAGTTTATCTCTGAGCAACCCAGGAGGTCAGCATCATTATACTCATTTCATAGATGAGGCAATTAAGACTCAGAGAAGCTGCCCTGCCAGTAAGCATGAGATCTGGGTTTCAACCTCAGCCCTAGTCCAGAGTCCTCACTCCTTCCCTGCCACCACAATGTCTAGTTCCTGGGAATGACAGAAGGAAAGAGGAGGGTGTGGTACAGGCAGGAAGGAGCTCTGAACGGTTCCCTTATGTTTCTCCTGCAACAGGAAGCTGGCAGCAGACCACCCATTCCTGAAGGAGATGCAAGATCAAGGGGAGAACCTGTATGTGGTGATGGAGGTGGTGGAGACGGTGCAGGAGGTCACACTGGAGCGAGCCGGCAAGGCAGAGGCCTGCTTCTCCCTCCCCTTCTTCGCCCCATTGGGGCTACAGGTTTGATTCAAACACACACACACACACACACACACACTCTCACACTCACACTCACACATACACATTTACATTCAGCCCCTCCTTGGAGGCTTCATTAGCTTTGCCTGATCAGCGCCCACCGAGGATGCTGAAAAGGGCCACTCCTTCCCCCGGCTCTTAAAGATCCAAACCCCAGACATATGCCCCCTCCCTGGTCAGTGGCACCCAGTGAGGGCAGATCCCTGCGCCAGATGCCACAGGGAACTACTGGGGAAGGGGAAAGTCACATTCCTGGGTTTTCCCTCGTGGTGCTCCCATTCCAAAGAGGAGACATCTTTACTCTCGGAAAGTCATCAGGTTCATAGAGGAGACACAGAGGCTAAAGCCCAGAGAACACAGGCTTGGAAAAGCCAATGGAAATAAGGAATGGTCTCCATACCTCTATCTATTGCATCTAAATATTCAAGGGATGATTTGGGATTTGGAGCCAGGAGTAGGGGTTAGTCATGGAAGGCGTCCTGAAAGAGGTAAGCATGGGACAGATGGTGAAGAGGAAGAAGGAGCCAGGGCTTGGATGGAAGCTCTAGGGTGATGTACAGGCAGGAGATGGAGCAGGTCTGCCCAGTTCCCTTCATGCATCTGAACCAGGAACTAGAACTGACCTGACTAGACTCTACTGACCTGAACCAGGTCACTAGAGGGAAAATCAGCAGAAATGAGCACAAGGACTTTGAAGTCCTTCCTCAGAGTCCAGACCAGGGACACCACTGAAGGCTTCCAGCTTCTTATCTCCCTGAAGGCTCTCAGCCCTGACCCTGCACCTCCCCCAACTCACGCTCCCAATATCTCATACTTAAGATGTCCAGAGATTCACAAATTCTCATTGTCTAATTCTAGGGATCCATAAATCACAAGGAGGCTGTAACCATCCCCAAGGGCTGCGTCCTGGCCTTTCGAGTGAGACAGCTGATGGTCAAAGGCAAAGATGAGTGGGGTGAGCAGAGACCCGCATGTTCTCCCCACAAGATGAGAATTACCTGCACCAGTACTGAGGCACCCTGGTCCCCTCTTGCGGAAATGTCAGAGAATGAGTAGGGGGGTGTATTGTACTGTGATCCGACTGCAGCCATGGAGCCTGCTCTGGAGAGAAGGGTGAAGAGGCTCCTGGATTCTGAGCATCTTCTGGGTGCTGGGCACTGTGGTTATTGGGGGAGGGGGTACAAATATGAACATGCACTGCCTCTGCTCTCAAGAAGTCTGTGGCCAAAGGAGGAAACAGACAGAGACTGGAATGGATGATAGAAAGTAGTGTTCTCATAGTAGAGAATTTATCAAGGAAGAAAAGATTGCTTCCAGCAATGGAGGTTGAAGCTGGGAATTAAATGAAGCATTTGGGGTGCAAGGTCCTAGCCCTTAGCAGAGCCCTTTGGCTTGAGACTGAAGAAGGGAATGTGGGGCAGCTGCTAAGTGTCCTCCCACCCTCCCTCCCTTGCCCTTCACAGATATTCCACATATCTGCAATGATAACATGCAAACCTTCCCTCCTGGAGGTAAGTGAAATTGCTTACGGGCTTCCCACATCTTCCGCCCTACCCCTGACATTATCTGCCAAAATCCTCCACCCTCTCCTAGCTTATACTATAATCCCCCAAGGAGCCTCTGCTTTTGTTTCCCAAGTCCCTAAGAATACCTAGCCTCAACTTTAGAAAGACAGATAGAGGCATATAAATACTGTCCCAGAGAGATATAGAAACTGACAGACAGAGACCGGAAGGCACAGTCAGAAGCAGAAGTAAGACTTGGAGACTGAGTGTGTTCCCGAATCATGGGGGTGGATGAGCTAGCATAATCTCCCTGTGTTTTTATAATGATCACTGATGAAACTGCCTTGAAGACTGTTTTAGATGAAAAGGCAAAAATGGGTTTTGTGCTGACAGATGTGCATTTTTTCTGTCTTCAGAAAAGTCAGGAGAGGAGAAGGTCATCCGTAAGTGTTTCCTTTCATTCCACTGAAACTTTCTTGACTCCAAATTTTAAAACTCCAGTCTTTTTCTTTCCTTCTGACAGGACTGACAGGGAAATAGCAGAGCGAATCTCAGCAAATAATTGTCCCCGAAACATGGCAGAAATTCCAATAGCTTGGGAAAAAGCAGTGGAAAGGGGGGAGTCTTTGCCCAGGTGGTCTGACGCCTGAGACCTTTGTCCTCAACAGCCTTACTAGCAGCCAGGCACAGTGATTCACACCTATAATCCCAGCACTTTGGGAGGCTGAGGCAGGAGGATCCCTTGAGCTCAGGAGTTCAAGACCAGCCTGGGCAACATAGTGAGACAATGTCTCTATTTAAAAAAAAAAATTTTTTTTTGGATGGAGTTTCACTCTTGTTGCCCAGGCTGGAGTGTAGTGGCGCAATCTCAGTCCACTGCAACCTCCACCTCCCCGGTTCAAGTGATTCTCCTGCCTCAGCCTCCGGAGTAGCTGGGATTACAGGCACCCGCCACCATGCCCTGCTAATTTTTTGTATTTTTAGTAGAGATGGGGTTTCACCATGTTGGTCAGGCAGGTCTTGAACTCCTGACCTCAGGTGATCCACCCACCTCAGCCTCCCAAAGTATTGGGATTACAGGCGTGAGCCACGGCGCCTGGCCTTTTTTTTTTTTCTTGAGACAGAGTCTCATTCTGTTGCCCAGACTGGAGTGCAAAGGTGAGATCTCCACTCACTGCAAACTCTGCCTCCCAGGTTCAAGCAATTCTTGTGCCTCAGCCTCCTGAGTAGCTAGGATAACAGGCGCGGGCCACCACACTCGGCGAATTTTTAGTATAGATGGGGTTTCACCATGTTGGCCAGGCTGGTCTCAAACTCCTGACCTCAGGTGATCCTCCCACCTTGGCCTCCCAAAGTGCTGGGATCACAGGTGTGAGCCACTGAGCCTGGCCTAGAAAAAAAAAAAAAAAATTAAGAGTCTTAGTAGCTATAACCTGCTACACACACATCTGCAACTCGGCCGCCCAGCAACTGGGGCCAGAGCCACTGAGTCACAGTAATGCCAGGAACAAGGTAGCTGGGCTCTCCCAGGAGACAGGCAGGATGTATTTCCTCATCTTCCTTAGTGTCTCAACCCCTGGGTATGGCTGCCATTCTGAAGGATTGCATTCTTATCTTTTTTTTTTCCTTTTTTTCTCAGTTATCCAGGCATCTGATGTTGGTAAGGAACTTTGTGAGTTTCTCCCAAGACTTTGGCATGGAGGTAGCATTAGGGGCAGAGAGAGGAGAAGGCGAAGTCATTCTTTGTCAGCTAACTCATGGGAAGGGAAAACAGACTTTCTTTCTCCACTTTTTGCTGGAGTCTCAAAGAAAAGTCAAGTGTGTACTGATATGGGATAAGGCCTGGGATCTCAGGAAGATTAACTGTTGGGTTAGATGATACATGCATCCTGGCCCACCTTCTCGCCCCAACCCTCAGGTTAGGGTTGGTGGATAGTTCTGTCACCGCATTCCTTGGTAAAGAAAAATGGGGCCAGGCTCAAACTGGGGGGTAGAGCATGGGTACCTAAAGGGGGCTGAGTGTAGGAGCCCTGCAGGGGGAATGCTGACTGGAGAGGAAGGTGCCCGATGGAGGGCTGTGTGTCCCATTATTGTCCCCATAGGGGACGTACACGAAGGCTTCAGGACACTAAAAGAAGAAGTTCAGAGAGAGACCCAACAAGTGGAGAAGCTGAGCCGAGTAGGGCAAAGCTCCCTGCTCAGCTCCCTCAGCAAACTTCTAGGGAAGAAAAAGGAGCTACAAGACCTTGAGCTCGCAGTGAGGACCTAGTGGAAGTGGGGAAGGGTGGGAGAAGGCATGTTTTGGTGAAGATTTGGTGGGGGCGGGTATTGCAGCAGGTAGGGAGATCTGACGGGGGCAGGAGGTGGGTGGCCAGGGGAGTCCACCTTAGATACCTTCCCCAAGGCTGGCCACGTGCCCCAAGGCTGCCAGGCCACTGCTCCTCCCTTTGTCCCCTGGAAAAGGGCAAACAGTGGGTTCCCCCAAGGCACATGCTCCCTCTGATGGCCAGAAGGGACTTCTGCTGGAGGGGCTGGAACCTTCTCTTTCCAGAGTCCAAAACTCAGGAAACAAGGAACCCAGGAGTCCAGTACTCTTCAGGACATGAGGCCTCGAAAAAGAAATCAGGAAATGGAGAGAGTTTCCGCATGTCAAGGGGTTATTATGTGCTGGGCCCTGGGTTGGGCCCTTTCCTATGTTATCTTCAATAGTCGCCCACCTTCCCCCACAGCTTGAAGGGGCTCTAGACAAGGGACATGAAGTGACCCTGGAGGCACTCCCAAAAGATGTCCTGCTATCAAAGGAGGCCGTGGGCGCCATCCTCTATTTCGTTGGAGCCCTAACAGGTAAGTGGGGAATAAGGTCTTCATTTATAGACCTTTTCAGTAATAGGAATGAATCACTTGAATCAATTCCCAAATGGATGAATAAATGAATGAATGACAAATTATACCACAGTTAAGTAGTTTATATCTACATTTTTATAAATTGGTTTCATGGCTGGCTGCAGTGGCTCATGCCTGTAATCCCAGCACTTTGGGAGGCCAAGGTGGATGGATCACCCGTGATCAAGAGTTCGAGATCAGCCTGGCCAACATGGTGAAACCCCGCCTCTTCCAAAAATAGAAAAATTAGCCGGGCGTGGTGGCAGGTGCCTGTAATCCCAGCTACTCTGAAGGCTAAGGCAGGAGAATCGCTTGAACCCAGGAGGGGGAGGGTGCAGTGAGCCGAGATCACTCCATTGCACTCCAGCCTGGGCAACAGAGCGAGACTCCATCAAAAAAAAAAAAAATTGGTTTCATTCCTAAGGATTTGCTTGGTCACATTGGGTAGTCTGAGAAGACAGCCTAGTCTTGCTAATAGAGGTTGAATAACCCTAGTTTTATCAGCAACATATTTAAAATTTCTGCATATAGCTAAGCTCATCACTTCTATCCTGATACCTGTTAGCTTTAACTTCAGGGAGTAACATTTTCTTATCTTGCCCCTAAGAGCTCTTCTTCCCTCCACATTTTCTAGTTTTCCACTTAGAAAAACTCTGTGGTCCTTCAGGTGTAAGCCAAAACGTTTGTTCCCTTAGGAAGCCTGCCCTCCGACTCCAAGACCAAAGTGGACCCCTCAGCTATGGCTCCCTTAACACCTGCGTTGTAATTACATCCAATGAATGAAGGCTGAAATTCTGGAAGTGCGCTATTTGGAGGCTGTAGTCCCCTCTGCACCAGCAACACACATCTTTCTCTGCTTTTTTTCTCCAGAGCTAAGTGAAGCCCAACAGAAGCTGCTGGTGAAATCCATGGAGAAAAAGATCCTACCCGTGCAGCTAAAGCTGGTGAGGGAAAAACAGCAGATGCTGGGGAGAGTCTGGGAGTAGCTGCAGCCAGTGGAGATGCAGATTTCGCCTAAGGATGGAGCCATTCTGGAGGATCCCTGTCTTATCCCAGGGGCTTATGCCCACTCCTCCTTTCTCTCTCTATTTCTCATTTTTTGTTATTTCACAAGAGGTAGAAGACTGAATTTCTGGGCAATAATCTGGGTTTATTAGCCTGATCTTGGGAGAAGAGACAGAAACTGTGGCTTTGCTTATTCCTAGCCAAATATTGTAAGCAAATTTTTTTTTTTTTTTTTTTGAGATAGAGTTTCACTCTTTTTGCCCAGGCTGGAGTGCAATGGTGCGATCTTGGCTCACCACAACCTCCGCCTCCCGGGTTCAAGCGATTCTCCTGCCTCAGCCTCCCGAGTAGCTGGGATTACAGGCGCCCACCACCACACCCTGCTAATTTTGTATTTTTAGTAGAGACAGGGTTTCACCATGTTGGCCAGGCTGGTCTCAAACTCCTGACCTCAGGTGATCTGCCCACCTCAGCCTCCCAAAGTGCTGGGATTACAGGTGTGAGCCACCTCGCCTGGCCTGTGAGCAAATTTTTTACTGTGTCTGAGTCTGTCTCAATTTATTCCTCTGTAAAATGGGGCTAAAAATCAATGTGCTGCCCACTGTATAGGGCTGTTCAAAGACCCAGATGGGGTTGTAATGTAAGGTAAAGTAAGGAATTCTAATAAGGGGAATGTAACCTTCTTGTGATTTTTGTGAGTTAGGAGAGGAGAGAGGTTTCCAGTTCTTTCTTTTCATGCTGTTTTGATTCCCTCCAGGTGGAGAGCACGATGGAACAGAACTTCCTGCTGGATAAAGAGGGTGTTTTCCCCCTGCAACCTGAGCTGCTCTCCTCCCTTGGGGACGAGGAGCTGACCCTCACGGAGGCTCTAGTCGGGCTGAGTGGCCTGGAAGTGCAGAGATCGGGCCCCCAATATATGTGGGACCCAGACACCCTCCCTCGCCTCTGTGCTCTTTATGCAGGCCTCTCTCTCCTTCAGCAGCTTACCAAGGCCTCCTAATTTGCCTTTTACGTCTGCTTCATGACTCCCTAATGCCTTCCCAACCTCGTGGTGCTGTGTCCTTACCACCTAAGGGCATTTCAGAGCCATCAGCTGAAGACATCTGAAATCTCAGCTGGTCACCCATGATAACCAACTTCCACCTGCCCAACCATATATCACCCCCTACCCCTCCAGCTCCGCAACCCACTAAGCCCATCTGCTGATGCTTAAATTTTCTTTACTTTTCTTTTCTTTTTTTTTTTTTTTTTGAGATGGAGGCTCACTCTGTCACCCAGGCTGGAGTGCAGTGGCTTGATCTTGGCTCACTGCAACCTCCGCCTCCCAGGTTCAAGCAATTCTCCTGCCTCAGCCTCTCGAGCAGCTGGAATTACAGGCACGTGCCACGACACCCAGCTAATTTTTGTATTTTTAGTAGAGACGGGGTTTCACCATGTTGCCCAGGTTGGTCTCGAACTCCTGGCCTCAAGTGATCTGCCCGCCTCGGCCTCCCAAAGTGCTGGGATTACAGGCGTGAGCCACCGTGCCCGGCCTGTGCTTAAATATTCTAGGAGTAGAAGCACTCAGACTTTTAAAACTATGAGCCGTTTCAGCAAAACTGAGAAAAAAAGAAGATTAATTAATTTCCTATCCTAATCCCTCCTACTTATACTTCCCCAAAAAACAAGCTTTACTGGAATTAATGGAAAATATTATGTCAATCTTAGGAATGATATGTCTTTTGGTGTTTTTCTTTAAAGAATTTATCATACAGAAATTCTTAATTTGTGCCAGAAAAAGAAATTGTTATCATACTGCATATAAATCATATGTACATGAATATGATGCTGTACTGTCCTCAGGCAAACTGGAAAATGCTCAGAGGGTATAGAATGTGGAATCCAGATTTTTTTTTCTGTTCAATTAGTTTTCTTTAATGGAATCTAGAGTCTCAAGTGAGAAGATATCAAAGCAGTTTGTCTTCAAAGAAGAGCATTTGGGAGTCCCCTAGCTCTGGGTTGAGGGAAAGACCGAGAGATATATAGTAGAAGCCCGAAACAAAAATAAGACAGATTTCAAATTTATTGAACAGAAAATGCAGATGGGCCTTTAAAAAAAAGGGGGACCCAAGAATAAGACTAACCCAAAACTTTAAAAACTAAATTGTGATATTATTTCACCTTTCTCTGTTCTGCCCTGAAATTTAGGGTTCTTGTAGGAGGAAGTAGTGTGGGTAGGCTTGGCATATTACTACTAATATGGATATTACAATCTCATCAAACCGCTGGGTTTATATCATCCTCCTCTGCCTAAAAGCTGGGTTTGAACATCTTTCACCAACCTCTTTTAAAGCAGTATCAGGACCGGACACCGTAGCTCACGCCTGTAATCCCAGCACTTTGGGAGGCTAATGTGGGCAGATCGCTTGAATCCAGGAGTTCAAGACCAGCCTGGGCAACAGGGCGAAACCCTATCTCTACAAAATATACCAAAAATTAGCCAGGCATGGTGGCATGTGTCTGTGGTCCCAGCTACTCGGGAGGCTGAGGTTAGAGGATCACTTGAGCCTGGGAGGCTGAGGCTGCAGTTAGCCAAGATAGCACCACTGCACTCCAGCTTGGGTGATGGAGCGAGATCCTGTCTCAAAAAATAAAAATAATTTTTAAAAAAGTAGTTCTATGAGTGCAGTACATGTCTGTAATCCCAGCACTTTGCAAGGCCGAGGCAGGAGGATCACCTGAGGTCAGGAGTTCAAGACCAGCCTAATCAACATAGTGAAGCCCTGTCTCTACTAAAAATTAAAAAAAAAAAAATTAAAAATTAGCTGGACATGGTGGCTCGCACCTGTAGTCCCAGCTACTCAGGAGAAGGAGGCAGGAGAATCGCTTGAACCCCAGAGGGGGAGGTTGCAGTGAGCCAAGATCACGACACTGTACTCCCTAGCCTGGCCAACAGAACGAGATTCCGTTTAAAAAAAAAAAAAAGTTTTATGAGTGGAAGAATTTCTCTAAGGATTTTGGTCCGTGGAGTCAGACTCTCCCCCAGTGTCTTAGTCACCCCCTGCCCAGCCTGGTTCCCTCATCCACCAAGAATTCATGACCAACTGCCAGAAGCTTTGTGTTATGCCGCCAGCCTCCCTGATCCTGAGCACCTTCCAAAGCCTCACTCTATTGCTCATGGATATACTGGGTTGTTATCTGCTGACTTGGTTGTTTTCTCCTTGTGATGTAAACTTAATAGAGAGATGAGCTAACACCCTAACTATCTAGAAGAGTAACTCCTTTGATTGTTAAGGATGAACATAACTCATCTGTTTTCTTCCTTACCATTCTCGCCCACCTTCAGTTGCAGATATGGTGTTATGAAGAGGTTCTAATGAGTTTATTCCAATGATGATTCAAAAGTCCTGTTATCCACCCCCCAGCCCTGGAGGGTGAGAGGACAGTTGAGGAGGAACTGGTCAAGGCATGTTCCCTAAAACTAGAGCACATATCTTTCCAGTTAGCGAGTGGCTGTTTAACGCAAGGAACATCCTGCAATCCTATGAAAGAGGATGCAAAAGATATGCAGGATACCCTTTATATATGCAAAGGAGGAGGTCAAAACATATTTCCTGCCTTCTAGGTCCTTACAACAGGGCTAGATTGTCTTGTAGGGTCCGTGAAAGGTCTAAAACTCAGGACTTCCACTTATGGGAGAGAGAAAAGTTTCAAGGTAGGGAGAGAGTTTTTGTTGTGTGTTCTAAGAAATTGGGAGCTATATCCTTCACCTTGTTTCACCTTCCCTGCAGAACCAGTGGGGCAGTCCTTTGAAAAATAAGTGGGTAGGGTTTCTTGTCCAATTTGCTTCCCCTTAGGTACACCACTAAGTAAACCATCATTCTCTCCTTAGGCACACCATTATTCTGTTCCCCATTTCACAATGTCTGTCTGGATGTATAAAAGCCCTCTCAATGGGCTCCCTAAAGCGTCTGCCAGTAGGGGCTCCCACCCTCTTTCCTCAACACTCCCAATCCACCGCAGCCCAGAGCACAGTGTCTGCTTATCTAACCATCTGACTCCCCCGTATACTACATTCTTGAGCTGTTTTTCACCCCCCTATTTGCTAACCGTGGGCCGTACATAGGGTGGACCCCTATATTTTGTTAAACTGGAGTGATTCTACGCAAATGCACGCTCCTACCTATCGGCACTCCCAGCCTGCAGAAATTGTATGCCTTATGTTCAGCACTAAACTCAAATCTAACCAAGGAAGTCCGGATCCCATAGGGTTCTTCCTACTCTCCAGTTCGGTTTATTTTAAGGCCAACAGCCCTAGCTTCACGTCCCTCCTTCACAGCCTTCTTTCCTTCCCTCCTGCCGGATGCGCCCGGCAGCCGTTGAGCACAAGCCCAGCGGATCTGGAAGGAGACCCCGCCGCGACCGGGGAAAATTGAGCGAACTTGGGCGCAAAACCCGCCCGGCAACTCGTGACGTCATCTCGTCCCGCGCTCGGATAGGCTGTACCCACTCCACGCTGGTTGAGGCGCTCTTAAAGTCCTTTGTAACCCAGATTGGAGCCTGAGGGGACCTCTCGTGGACGCCCACAGAAATGCACTCGAGAGGAACATAAAAGCATCACACTTAAGCGCTCGAAAGAAAGCCCCACGAACCCATAAAGGCTCCTCCCCGCTCCTTCCTCGAAGCTCCTCCTTCATCCTGCACCTCGGCTGTGGATTTATTTCCCCTTTGTTGACTCGGCCATCGGCCTGCCGGGCCTGGCGTTTCCCAGAAGGCCCAGCGCCGGGAAGGGGTTTGCAGCTGCTCCGTCATCGTGCGGCCCGACGCTATCTCGCGCTCGTGTGCAGGCCCGGCTCGGCTCCTGGTCCCCGGTGCGAGGGTTAACGCGAGGCCCCGGCCTCGGTCCCCGGACTAGGCCGTGACCCCGGGTGCCATGAAGCAGGAGGGCTCGGCGCGGCGCCGCGGCGCGGACAAGGCGAAACCGCCGCCCGGCGGAGGAGAACAAGAACCCCCACCGCCGCCGGCCCCCCAGGATGTGGAGATGAAAGAGGAGGCAGCGACGGGTGGCGGGTCGACGGGGGAGGCAGACGGCAAGACGGCGGCGGCAGCGGCTGAGCACTCCCAGCGAGAGCTGGACACAGTCACCTTGGAGGGTACGGCAGCCCAGGCCGGGAACGTGCCGCGATCGCGGGTGACAGCGACCCCTGTGATTTGGCTTCTTGCTGGGAAGCCACAGCAGCCTCCACCACCCTCAGTTCTTTGGGATCACCCCCAGATACCTGCTCCCACTGCCCCGACACTCCCGACTCCAGGCCCAATGACTGAACCTTCTCTCCAGGCTGGGAACCACTCCCCTCCCATCCCCTCCATCCCCATATCTGGGGTTGCATCTATATCTAGGTCCCAGTGGGCCTGGGGACTCCCTCTTTTAAGTCCTCCCCTCTGACCTATTCCGTTTATATCCCACCCGACTGATTTTAGCGCCTCCAATATATGACTGATTGTTCCCGCTGGAAACCAGTGTTTGTGTCTGTGTGTAAACAGGGCCAGGATGACCTAGAATATTGACTCCTGAGTTTTAAAACTGTACAGCAGATTTTTGTTGTCCTAGCTGCCTTTAGCACACTCCCCCGAATGAACCATTTCGACCTAGTATCTTGTTTCCTACTTCTCTAACTGAAGTGTCCCAACAGTCCCCTTGCTGTCTCCTCCCTTCAGGTCCTTACTGCCCCTCTGTTTCTAAAGGGTTTAAGTACATACACACTTAAAACTTTTCGGGTGTCATCTTTGTTTGGTTTTGTAATACTCAACCTTTGGCCTAAACTCCTATATACCGGTGTCTCCTATTTCTTTTCTCCGAGGTTCCTGTTTCGAGTGTCTGTAGTCCTCTTGTTCCTCCAAGTTCATGTTTTACTTTTCCCACTTACAGCGTCCTGTTTCCATTTGAAGTGGGCAAAGTGAGAGCTTCCCACTGTGATCCTGGTGCCATTTTCCTGGTTCTGGATCAAGTGGGACCAGACTACTTACTAGGTTTTCTTTTCACTAAAATGCGTGAGAAACTAGCTCAAAAACATTGAGATAAGCAAAGTTATCCTCCTAGGTGGTGCTTTTGAGGATGTGATGGTGTTGACTACATCAGCTCTTACTGTAAAGTTGAGCAACAGGATCGATATTTAATAGAGATCCTTTTACCTAAAGTAGTGGCAGCAATGTCAAAGGTGCCACTCAGCATTGCCTACTGGGTGTGTTTATTACAGGCACTTCATTTTCTTCTTGTAAAGTAATTCATATTCATTGCAGAAATTGTGGAATGTATGAGAAGTTAAAAGCAGGGGATAAAAAACATGGTTAACATTTTTTCTTGTGAATTTTTGAGCTGTTCTCCTATAATTGAGAGCAAGTTATGTATACAGTTTGTATCAAGGCATAACTAAATATAAATTTTGAATTTTATGTGTTTTCATTAACATTCGTAAACATAATCAGCATTCAATTTATTCCAGAAACATTTATTGAATACCCAATATAATGGTTAAGAGTACAAGTTCTGGAATTAGTTCCCTCATCTGTATAAATACAAGTAATAGTACAGTACTTTATTGGGTTGTTGTGAACATTAAAATGCTTAAAACTGTGCCTAGCACATAAATATCAGCTGTTATTATTTATATCATTAGTGTGGCCCAGATACCCTGTGCTAATCGGTGAATATACAGAAGTGCCTAAGAAACTACTCATTGATTGCATTCCCTTATTGCTTTGCATTTAAACTGTTTCTAGTTTCTTGCTATCATAAATAGCTTTGAAGCAATCATCTTTGTGCCCAACTTAAAAAATCTACTTTTCTAATTATTTCTTCAGTACAGATTCCCACCAAAACCTATATGCCTGAGTTTAAAAGGCTGAACATTTTAAAGGTTTTTGATAGTTATTGTCCAGAAAAACTGTGCTGATTTACATTATACCAGGAGAAATGTAGTTTTCACTGTACTCTATAATTTTTTTTTTTTTTTGAGACGGAGTCTCGCTCTGTTGCCCAGGCTGGAGTGCAATGGCGCGATCTCGGCTCACTGCAACCTCTGCCTCCCAAGTTCAAGCGATTCTCCTGCCTCAGCTTCCCGAGTAGCTGGGATTACGGTCACCCACCACCACGCCCGGCTAATTTTTTTATTTTTAGTAGAGACTGGGTTTCACCATGTTGGCCAGGCTGGTCTCCAACTGCTACCCTTAATGATCCGCCCTCCTCAGCCTCCCAAAGTACTGGGATTACAGGCGTGAGCCACTGTGCCCCACCTATAATTTTTTTAATGTTACAAATTTGGTAGTTTAAAAATGTTTCCATTTGCAATTACTCAAATACTAATGGAATATAATTTTTGTCTGTTAGCTATTTTTCCTCTTTGTATGTTAGTTCGTCTCCATTTTTGTTTTGAAATTGTGGCAATATAATCATTATACCATTATATCTCTTAACCATTTATACAAGCTCTTTATAGAATAAAAATATGAATCTTTGATCACATTTGTTGAAAATATTTTTCTTTTGTATACACAGTTATCTAAAAGGGTTTTTTTAAATGAAGTCAAGCCCATTAATCTTTTGTGCGTATGTGATTTCTCCCATTGTTCACATTTAGAAAGTCTTTTCCATTAAGATCTGATAAATCTGGACTCCAGGTTTCTGTAGTTAATTGGTTTTTCTTTTCTTCCTCTGTCATCCTCTACCCCATCCTGCACCCCCACTGTATGTTTTTCTTGCCACTTGGTTATGTCTTAAAATCAGTGTGTGGAATCTGTAAATATTATGGACCCCATTAGGGCAGAAAAGGTGAGTGGTCGCATTTTGCCCCTCTGTGAGAGGCTCCTTAGAACTCCTTGCCTGGCCGGCACGGTGGCTCACGCCTATAATCCCAGCACTTTGGGAGGCCAAGGCGGGCAGATCACGAGGTCAGGAGATCGAGACCATCCTGGCTAACACGGTGAAACCCCGTCTCTACTAAAAATACAAAAAATTTAGCCAGGCGTGGTGGCGGGTGCCTGTAGTCCCAGCTACTCGGGAGGCTGAGGCAGGAGAATGGTGTGAACCCAGCAGGCAGAGCTTGCAGTGAGCCGAGATCACACCACTGCACTCCGGCCTGGGCGACAGAGTGAGACTCCGTCTCAAAAAAAAAAAAAAAAAAAAAAAGAACTCCTTGCCTGGAGTGGTGGGGGACTAGGAGTGAAAGTGACATCATTTTCTTCTCTGCTCTTCTTCAGACATCAAGGAGCACGTGAAACAGCTAGAGAAAGCGGTTTCAGGCAAGGAGCCGAGATTCGTGCTGCGGGCCCTGCGGATGCTGCCTTCCACATCACGCCGCCTCAACCACTATGTTCTGTATAAGGCTGTGCAGGGCTTCTTCACTTCAAATAATGCCACTCGAGACTTTTTGCTCCCCTTCCTGGAAGAGGTGAGTGAGTCAGGCCAACTTAAAGGGTGCAGGCCTGGCCTCAGATCCCCAGGAACAGCATTGTTTTCCATCCTAAAGTCCCATCTTATTACCTGTGGTAGCATGAGGAGAGAAGCCAAAGCAGTCCATTTGAATACTCATCTGCACAGTGACAAGGGAACCGTCCACTGCCCTGTAGTGTCATTCTTCAAAGTCAGGGGATCAGGACCCTCCCAGCCAAACTCATTTCCCACTACCCTGCAACCTGTACCCCCTACTCCAGTTGAGGTTGCGTTGGGTGACCTCTCTGTTGTTCTAGGAGAGAGAAGGTGCTGCTGCCTCTTTCTTCTGAAGCTTCACCATGGAGGAGGTAGAGAACAGTGGTTAGGAGGAGCACAGCTGTCAGGGCCAGGCACAGTGGCTCACACCTGTCTTCCCAGCACTTTGGGAGGCTGAGGCGGGCACAGTGGCTAACATCGTCATCCCAGCACTTTGGGAGGCTGAGGCGAGCAGATCGTTTGAGTCCAGCCTGGATTCAAACAATCTGCCCGCCCAGGAGTTTGAGACCAGCCTGGGCGACATGGTGAGACCCTGTCTCTGCAAAAAGTACAAAAATTAGCCAGGCATGGTGGCACCTGCCTGTAGTCCCAGCTACTCGGGAGGCTGAGGCAGGAGGATCACTTGAATGCAGGAGGTGGAGATTGCAGTGAACCAAGATTGCACCACTGCACTCTAGCCTAGGTGACAGGGTGACCCCCCTACCTCAAAACAAAACAAAAAAAACCCCACAGATTTTAGAGGTAGAGTTGAATTTGAATCCAAACCCTGACAGTTAGTACCTGTGGGACTTGGGCGAGTGACTTCATTTTGCTGTGCCTCGTTTTCTTCATTTGTTAAACGTGATGAACGGATTGGGAAGCGGGCAGTATAAAGCTCCTAGAGCAGTGCCTGGTACGTAGTGAATGCAGACGAAGTCAGTTTGGTGGTGGTGGTGGCGCCTCCGTGCCAGGAGAGACCTCTCCTTATCCTCTGTAGCTGTAAACTCTCCCTCATGATTCATGGCATGGGCCAGGTCTCAGCCTTCTCCAATTCCACTGACCTTCCAGCACCTGCATTTCCTTAAAATCCTGTATACTCAGTCAGCTCCGTGGATGGGGAAACTCAGAACATCCCTGGAGGCAGGGCAGTGAAGAGTTTCTTGTCTGGGAAAGGGGAAAAGCGTACTGTTCCCCCAACTCCACCTTGAATATTTTCTGACCTTCACATCGCTAAACTCACGAAACGTGATTATTTTGGGGGTGACTGTAACACATTATTTTTTCCAGTGTCAGTGACAACATAGGAAAATATGTTTTGTTTATATGTTGACTTTCCCTAAATTTTCTTTGTTCCCACAAGAAACCATTTTTTGGTCTCATTATTCTGATTTCATCTCTAGAATTATTTCGTTCAGCCCTGTCCAGTAGTATTTGCAGTGGATCCAGGTGTGGTGGTTTAATGTCTCCACTTAGGTTGTAGCCTCTTTGAAGGTTCCTTACATCGTCCTTTGTCTCCATTATGTTGTGTAAAGAAATTTTTTGTTCTCCTGTAACACTTTATTGTGTTTATTAATATTATATTGCCAGCCTCCTTGACTTGTTTTGTTTTTTTGAGATGGGGTCTTGCTCTGTCACCCAGGCTGAAGCACGGTGGCACACTTATGGCCCAGTGCAGGCTCAGACTCCTGGTATCAAGCAGTCCTCCTGCCTCAGCCTCCTGAGTAGCTGGGAATACAGGTGCATGCCACCATGCCTGGCTAGTTCTTTTTTATTTTTTGAGAGATGGGGTCTCACTGTGTTGCCCAGACTGGTCTCAAATTCCTGGCCTCAAGCATTCTCCTGCCTCAGCCTTCCAGGTAGCTGGCACTACCGGCGTGAGCCACCACACCCAGCTCCTCCTTGATTTCTTTGGGAAAGACTGTAATCTTTATTTTTTTATCCCTAGCACCTAACAAAATCTTGGCACATGGTAGACACTCAATAAATATGTTGAAATACATAGTGGATGCTCAATAAATTCTTGGTTACTTGATCAGACTGAGCTTTTCCATGGTAACTTCTGTCCTCTCCTAGCCCATGGACACAGAGGCTGATTTACAGTTCCGTCCCCGCACGGGAAAAGCTGCGTCGACACCCCTCCTGCCTGAAGTGGAAGCCTATCTCCAACTCCTCGTGGTCATCTTCATGATGAACAGCAAGCGCTACAAAGAGGTATCCAGGATGCAGTGAGAGCGATTCATAAGCCCCAAGTGATGCAAGGGGTTTGGCGGGGAGATGGTCCCTGGTGAAGAAATGGAAATAATCATTGATTCTTAAGAACTGTCCCCCACACTCTTTCCCCATAGAGGTATGCGTTTGATCCCACATCCCAGGAGAACCCACTCTTGCTCTGGGCACTGTGGGACAGGGCTTGCAGTGGTCATGCTGTACCGGTCTGTGGGGGATACCAGCGTAGTACATTCTTGGGGAAAAGTAGGGGCATTTGGAGACAGAAAGACCTGGGTTCCAATCCCAGCCATACCCTAGGCAAATTAATTTCTCCCAGCTATATGTAAGATGGGGATAATAGTGCCTACCTTACAAGATGGTTAGCGTTACATAAAATAATTTGTTTAGAAATACTTAGCGCAATGATCTGCATATAGTAAGCTTTCGTGATATTTTCATAAATGGTAGCTGTTATTATGGACTAATAGCTCCATTTGCAAACTGCACTTCTACCACTCCCCCAGCTAGGGCCAGCTTCTTTGTTCATCATAGCCACTGTCACAGGAGCACACTCAGGAAGTAAGTCGCACTCCTTAATTCCCTGGTTTGTTTCCTTTCCTTACCACACTATTTTTGGTTGTTGTTTGGTTGGGGGTTTTTTTGAGATTGGGTCTTGCTTTGTTGCCCATGCTGGAGGGCAGTGGTGTGATCACAGTTCACTTGACCTCCCCGGCTTAAGTGATCCTTCCACCTCAGCTTCTTGGGTAGCTGGGACTACAGGCATGTGCCACCACGCCCAGCTAATCTTTGCATTTTTTTTGTAGAGACAGGATTTCACCTTCTTGCCAAGCTGGTCTCCAACCCCTGGGCTCAAGTGATTTCCTGGGCTCAGCCTCCCAAAGTGTTAGGGTTACAGGCATGAGCCACTGCGCCTGGCCCACTGTTTTGTTTTTACTGGAGATGGGGTCTTGCTATGTTAACCAAGCTGGTCTTGAACTCCTGGGCTCAGGTAGTCCTCCCGCCTCAGCCTCTCATGTAGCTGGGATTACAGGCACGTGCCACTGTACTTGGCTGTTTGTTTTTGAGATATAATTCACCCCTTTAAAGTGTACTACAGGCCAGGTATGGTGGCTCACGCCTGTAATCCCAGCACCTTGGGAGGCCAAGGCAGGCAGATCATGAGGTCAGACAATCAAGACCATCCTGGCCAACATGGTGAAACCCTGTCTTTACTAAAAATACAAAAAATTAGCCGGGCGTGGTGGTGTGTGCCTGTAGACCCAGCTACTCAGAAGGCTGAGGCAGGGGAATTGCTTGAACCAGGGAGGCGGAGGTTGTGGTGAGCCGGGATTGTGCCACTGCACTCCAGCCTGGTGACAGAGCGAGACTCCGTCAAACAAATAAATAAAGTATACTACAATTGAGTGGGTTTTAGTATATTCCCAAAGTTGTATATCCACCCCTAATTCCAGAACATTTTCATCACCCCACAAAGAAACACCATACGTATTAGTAGTCACTTTTCATTTTCCCCTTACCCAGCCCCTGGCCGCTACTAATCTGCCCTGTCTCTATTGAGGATTTACTTACTCTGGACATTTCATGTAAATGGAATTACACACCGTGTGCCCTTGGTTTCTGGCTTTTTTCACTTAGCATCATGTTTTCAAGGTTGACCCATGTTGTAGTGTGTGTCAGTACTTCCTTCCTTTTTAAGGCTGAGTAATATTCCCTCGTGTGGATGTGCCACATTTTGTTTATCTGTTCATCAGCTGACGGGCACCTGGGTTGTTTCTACTCTTTGGTTATGAATAATGCTTCTGTGAACATTCGTGTACATGCTTTTATGTGAGCCTAAGTTTCCAGTTCTCTTGGCTTGCATACCTAGGATAGGAATTGCTGGCTCAAATGACAACTCCATGTTTATCCTTTTGAGGAACTGCCACTTGATTCTCTTTTGGCTTCCTCCCCAGGCACAGAAGATCTCTGATGATCTGATGCAGAAGATCAGTACTCAGAACCGCCGGGCCCTAGACCTTGTAGCCGCAAAGTGTTACTATTATCACGCCCGGGTCTATGAGTTCCTGGACAAGCTGGATGTGGTGCGCAGGTACAGGCAGCCAAGCATCTCACTTGGGGTCCGTGGGGTCAGAGACTTGGTCAGTCACAAGCACACAGCTGTGGATCTGCAGAGGGCGAAGAACCTGTAGATGTAAGCAGGGAAGAGGGGCAGTGGTTCCCATGCCCTGCGCCACGTGAGGGGTGTGGGAGAGAGACTGGTGCTAGATGAAGAAGTGGGTCACTGCTGGGCTGTAAAGAACTGTCCCCAGGTTCTTCCCTTCACCCCACATCAAGGTAGGACTGAGGGTGGGTTAGGGGTGGAGGGACAGGCTAGAAAACATTTTACTTCTTTGCTCAAAACCTGCAGTGGCTTCCCGTCTCAAGGAAAGACAAAGTCCTTACAATACCTCATAAGGCCTGACGTGATCTGCTCCATTTTGACCTCCCAGACTTCACCTCCTCCTGCTCCTCAGCCCCACTGGCCTGCCTTTCCTCTGGTGTGCCCGGCACACTCTTCTTCAGAGCCTTTGCACTGGCTGCCCCTCTGTCCAGAACACTCTTCTCTCCGCCTCCTTCAAGCCTTCCCTTAACTGATCCCTTCTCAGTGAGTCCTGCCTTGGCCAAGCTATTGAAAAGTTCAACTCATCTTTCTCACGTCCTGCATTCCCCATTGCAGTTCCCCTGGCCTCACAGGCCTCCCATCTTCTGTCACACTGCAGGCTGTGCTTCTTTCTCATGACCATTGCCTCCCCCACTGCACTGCATTCCCTAAGGGCAGGGTTTTGTCCCTTTGTCGCACCCAGAATAGTGCTGTACACCTTAGGCACTCGATAGTTAACAGTATTCAGCAAATAACCAGAAAAGCAATTTGTATAACTTTTTTAAGGAATTGAGAAAGAGCGAAGAGTTAAAGGCAGTTCAGAGAGTTGTGATTTGAAGGCTTTGACATCTTTCTTTCCTTCTTGAAGCTTCTTGCATGCTCGGCTCCGGACAGCTACGCTTCGGCATGACGCAGACGGGCAGGCCACCCTGTTGAACCTCCTGCTGCGGAATTACCTACACTACAGCTTGTACGACCAGGCTGAGAAGCTGGTGTCCAAGTCTGTGTTCCCAGAGCAGGCCAACAACAATGAGTGGGCCAGGTACCTCTACTACACAGGTGAGCAGAGGGGCCCAACCCATAAATCAGAAGGTGTCTCAGGCCTGCCTGGTGCAAATTTTCCAAGGGGTGGTGCATAAGAGGCCCATTTGGCACCCTGGCTTGTCGGTGGGGAGTTGGATGACCCTACTCTGTTGACCAACTCTCCTCTCCTCCACTCCCAGGGCGAATCAAAGCCATCCAGCTGGAGTACTCAGAGGCCCGGAGAACGATGACCAACGCCCTTCGCAAGGCCCCTCAGCACACAGCTGTCGGCTTCAAACAGACGGTGAGCCACAACTACCATCATCCCTTTGCCTCTTTTTTTTTTTTTTTTTTAAATGGTGTCTTGCTATGTTACCTGGGCTGGTCTTGAACTCCTGGGTTCAAGAAGTCCTCCCACCTCAGCTTCCCAAAGTGCTGGGATCACAGGTATGAGCCACCATGCCTGGCCCCTTTGCCTGTTACTCATTCCCTACCACTTCAGTTCTCTTCTCTATGCTAGGGGCTAGGAAAGGCATCCTTAACCTTCCTATCCAGAAGGACTTCAACTTTTATTATTATTTTTTGTGTGTGTGGAGACAGGCATATCACTGTTGCTCAGGTGAGAACTCCTGGGCTCAAGCAATCCTTCGGCCTCTGCCTCCCTAAGTGCTGAGATTGCAGGTGCGAGCTGCCATGTCTGCAAAAGGTTGCTTCACATCTATTTGTGGGTGTCAATGAAGCAGACACTACCTGCACCTCTGGCAGTGGATATTCAGAGTGTTTCTGGCAGATAGGTTTAGAATATTCCTGATTCCCCAGCGCTCCTGACAGTCATTCCAGGCTTGGACCTAGATTGTGTTGATACAAACCCCAGGTTTTTATCTAGTCCTTCATGTTCACATTTGGAAACTGTATTGTCTGTGGCCAAGGAACCCAGAAAATCTCTGCAAGGCTGAGTGGCTCAAGTAAACATAAAACTTGGCCACTTAAGAGCTGTCAGTCAGCAAGTATTTAAGCATCAACCTTGGTATTAGGCACTGTAAGGGATAGGAAGGGAGGATAATAAGTGATCTTTCTTTCTTTTCTTTCGTTTTTTGTTTTCTGAGACAGAGTCTCCCTCTGTCACTCAGGCTGGAGTGCAATGGCACGATCTTTTCTCACTGCAACCTCTGCCTCCCGAGTTCAAGTGATTCTCCTGCCTCAGCTTCCTCAGTAGCTGGGCAGGCGCCTGCCACCACATCCAACTAATTTTTTTGTTTGTTTTTTTGGTTCTTTTTTTTGAAACGGAGTCTTGCTCTGTCTCCCAGGCTGGAGACAGAGGTGCCATCTTGGCTCACTGCAACCCCTGTCTTTGGGGTTCAAGGGATTCTCCTGCCTCAGCCTCCCGAGTAACTGGGATTACAGGCGCCTGCCACCACGCCCAGCTAATTTTTTGTATTTTTAGTAGAGATGGGGTTTCACCATGTTGGCCAGGCTGGTCTCGAACTCCTGACCTCAAGTGATCCACCCACCTCAGCCTCCCAAAGTCCTGGGATTACAGGCGTGAGCCACCGCTCCAGGCCAGGTATTTCTTATTATTAGAGTATTTCAAAGAGATAAAGAATGTTGTGTCAGAAAGCTTGAGGGTGTATGTGAAGTCACAGAGCCCAGTAGCCAGGATGTAGACCCAGTCTTCCCAAATTCAAACCTCTGCTCCTACCTTCACACAACATCCACCTCCATGGTGTCTTGACAGGGAACGGGAGACGTGTGTTGATTAGGTCAATGTAGTAGGAGATTCATTTTATTTCTGTTCAGAAGTTCAGAGAAAGTCAGATTTGTTTTTGATCAAATAATGAAAGAGAAAGGGTCTTAAAGAAAAAGTTGGCTAGGTACAGGGCTCACACCTGTAATCCTAGCACTTTGGGAGGCTGTGGCAAGAGGATTGCTTGAGACCAACCTGAGCAACATATGGAGACACCGCCTCTGCAAAAATTAAAAACCTAGCTGGGCGTGATGGCATGCACCTGTAGTCCCAGCTACTTGGGAGGCTGAGGTGCAAGGATCACTTGGGCCCAGGAAGTCGAGGCTGCAGTGAGCCATGATCGTGCCACTGCACTGCAGCCTGGGCGACAGAGCAAGACTCTGTCTCAAAAAAAAACAAACATTAAAATTGAACTGGTCTTTGAAAGATGGGTAGGATTTTCACAAGGAGTAAAGGCTTTTCAGACACACAGGGTGCGTGAGCAAAATGTTAGATTGCTTACAATATGAGAGACACTAAAGTTTCTTTTGAAAATCACTAAAAATACTAGTAATTAACATATATAAAATGTGTCATGTACCATGAGAGAGGCTTTCAGGCATTTAAATCTCAGTGGCAGGAAGGCGTAGAGAGCTGGAAGAGAGGTCTCGGGCTGTTGGTGAGGGAGCGCAGGGAGAGAGAGGGCGGGAGTGAAGGCATGTTTGGGAGAAGGCCTGCAACCAGCCCTCTGCCCTCTGCCCTCACACACCTTTGCCGTACCCCTGTCACCACCCAGCTTACAGAATCACCTGGGGCTCTGATGAAGCTGTAGATTCCGATTCAGAGAGTCTGTGTTCCTAACAGGCCTTGGGTGATGCCAGTGCTGCTGGTGGCACAGAGCGCTCTGAGGAGGGCGGTGCTGGCTCATCCTGTTCAAAGCGGAGGTCAGCTAGCATTCATTCCTGCAGCCACCTTGTCTCTTGTAAACTTGAATGTCTCTCTCCGCCCATTTTCACCCTCCCTGTCTTTACTTAACACCAGCTTCACTACCTGTGTTTTCCATCACACTCCTTCCTCTCTCTTCTAGCCTTGGCCCATCACCTGTTTGCTTCAGTCTCCGGGAAGAAAACCCCCAGCCCTGCTGCTTCCTCTCTCAGGCGGCCGTTCCTGTCTCCCCTGGCTCCCTCCCCAACAGTGCACTGGCCAGCCCCTTCCCTCCAGTGTTCTCTCTGCTCCTTCTCACCACCTGGGCCTCAGCAGAGCACTCTGAGAGCTTCTCTGTCGATAGTAAAACCCTCATTCTCTCCTTGAGTGACCTTGTTTGCTTTCCCAGCTTCAGCGCTCGCCTGCATGATGCTCTTCAGCCTGTACATTACTAACTCCGTTACTCTGCTGGCACTGCCACCGCAAGGTCCCACAGACTTGGCGGCTTAAACAACCGAAATTGATTTCATCACAATTCTGGAGGCTCTAAGTCCAACAGCAAAGTGTGACACGATTGGTTTCTTCTGAGGGCCTCTCTCGTCTGCTTGTCGATGGCCGTCTCCTGGTGTTTTCACATGGTCTTCCCTCTGTGCGTGTCTGTGTCCTGCTTTTGTCTTAGAAGGACAATAGTCATGTAGGATTAGGGTCCACCCATATGACCTCACTTTACCATAATTACCTCTTTAAAGGCCCTGTGTCCAAATAGAGTCCCATTCTGAGGTACTGGGGTTTAGGTCTCTAACATGAACTTGAGGGGGATGCAGTTTAGCCCATAACACTAACTCTGACCCCTCTCACGAGCATCAGGCCTGCAGATCCAGCTCCCCCTCCCACTCCCCATGTCTCTCTCTACAGCGTGTCCCAAAGAGATCCCTCCTGGCCCCCTTACCATTCCTTCCTCCTGCTTTCCCGATCCAGATCAGGGCCTTGGGATCATCTCTGACTCTCCCCCATCCTCCTTCCCATCACTTGGTCGTCTGTTGAATTGTCTGCACATCTTCTGTGTTTGCCTGTTCCTTCATATTGCCAGTGCCATGGTTTGAGCCACTAACATTCCCAGACACTTCTGCCTGGTCATCTTCCTCTCCAGCAGCCCAGCTTACATTCACTTGCCTTACTAAGCAGAGCTCCAGCTCTGTCCTTCCCTTGCCTGGGAAGCTTCCATTGCTCCCCACTGCTGTAGGGTATCATAACGGTCTTGTGAGGTAGACAGGCTAGGTATTGTTATTGTTATTTGGTAGTTTTAGAGATGAGGAACTAAGGACCCAGTTGCTCAGTGTTTCCTAGCTAGTGAATAGAGACTAGACACCAAGTGTTCTACGTGCAGACTTTATACTGCTCAGCCTGGCACACAAAATGGCAATGGCATAGTCCCCAGACTGCGGTCCCAACTGTCTCTTTCCTAACAGCTCCCCAGGCACCCACACTTTTCTGCCTCTTTTTCAATCTGTACCCTTGACCCTCCTCCTTTTTCTGCTTTGTCAGACTCCTTAAGGCACTTCATAAATTAACCATTTCCAGGGATTTCCCCTCACACATGAGTTATTCCAGTGGACAGGGCAGCCTCATGGGTGCCTGTGGAGGGTGAAGGGTCTGCCTGGCCGTAGGTGTGATCACACACTCCCGTTGTAACCCCTGTCTCCTGTGACACTTGCTGCCCCACGATTTAGCTGCTTTGTGTTCCGTGCCTCCTGTTTGCTGGTGAACTCCTGAGTTGGGGGGCGTCATTCCCTCCACTGTAGTTCTTCCGCGATGCTGACTCCACCCACGGTCAGCACCACTCGGAAATACTTCACAGTCCTGTAGAGGAAGACAGGTCCAGGTTTCCAGTTACCCTTCTATGTCTGGATACTCTGCTCATTCACTGAAGCCAGGCCCCTTCCTGCACTTATGCCTCTACCCAGATAATGAGTTCTACCCACTGATGACCTCCTCTCCTCTAGTAACAGTCCGCCTCCCTAATGAGCATCTCTGGCTGACACACGTTCCGTTCTCCAGGCCTGTGAGCCCTGGTCCCTCGCTGTTGCTGAGCCACAGCACCCGCCCTTCTGGCCTCACTTTAGAGCACTGTCATTTCAGAGCAGACTACGCGCGGGGTGGCCAGGTGAAATGCAGCTGACGGCTCTGCGACCAAATGTGACCAAAGGGCCACATTCCCAGCACCCGGCTCCAAAGGCAGAGCTTGGATTCTATGCCCAGCACAGGTTTTCAGGGCTTCCTCCTCTCTCTGGGCCTAAACAGTGATCCCTTTCCCTGTTTCCCACTACATCTGGCAGAATTTAGGCCACATTTCATTTTCTTCTTCCGCCCATGGGGCTCCCTGCCCACTGTGTTCCCCTGTCACTCTGTCCAGGTGCACAAGCTTCTCATCGTGGTGGAGCTGTTGCTGGGGGAGATCCCTGACCGGCTGCAGTTCCGCCAGCCCTCCCTCAAGCGCTCACTCATGCCCTATTTCCTTCTGACTCAAGGTAAGGCTGGCTTCCCCACCCCAGAGCCCACTAGGCCCCCTTCAGTGGGGCCTCTTACATGCCTGTGCCTATTTGCATCATCCAATCTACTCCTGTTCTGCCTGCAGCTGTCAGGACAGGAAACCTAGCCAAGTTCAACCAGGTCCTGGATCAGTTTGGGGAGAAGTTTCAAGCAGATGGGACCTACACCCTAATTATCCGGCTGCGGCACAACGTGATTAAGACAGGTGTGGATCAGGATCTGAGGGGCTGTTGGAGGAGCAGAAGCCAGGCCAGGGCAAACCTAGTGGGTATCCTTGGGCAAGTGAAGGGTCTGTGTCCACTCTGCCCACCCCATCGCTCCTTCCTCTCCCAGGTGTACGCATGATCAGCCTCTCCTATTCCCGAATCTCCTTGGCTGACATCGCCCAGAAGCTGCAGTTGGATAGCCCCGAAGATGCAGAGTTCATTGTTGCCAAGGTGGGGCTGGTTCAGGAACCACAGTGACCAGGTTGTCACTTTCCTGCCAATCTCAGGAGGCAGGAGTGGGAGGAGTTTGGCCAAGGAGGGGAATAGGTAAAGCAATGGCATAGTCATTTCAGGGCGTGCCCGTCATTTGCAGTGAAGCCAAGAAGTTGCCAGAGAGAGCATGGATGTGCATGTGAGTGTGTGAGTGTAGGTGTGTGCACATGTTGAGTTTATGATAGTGCCTGTGAGTGTGAGAATATAAGGAGGGCAGAGGAATGGGATGGAACAAGATGTTCTCTGACTTAGAAGATGGGCGTGCTGGGCCAGGCGCAGTGGCTCATGCCTGTAATCCCAGCACTTTGGGAGGCTGACATGGGCAGATCACCTGAGGTCAGGAGTTTGAGACAAGCCTGGCCAACTTGGCGAAACCCCATCTCTACTGAAAATACAAAAATTAGCCAGGCCTGGTGGCAGGTTCCTGTAATCCCAGCTACTTGGGAGGCTGAGGCAGGAGAATCGCTTGAACCCGGGAGGTAAAGGTTGCAGTGAGCTGAGATCGCACCACCGCACTCTCCTGCCTGGGTGACAGAGCGAGACTCCATCTCAAAAAAAAAAAAAAAGAAGAAGCTGGGTGTGCTGGTGAACTTTCCTCTTTGGGGGCCTGCAGGCCATCCGGGATGGTGTCATTGAGGCCAGCATCAACCACGAGAAGGGCTATGTCCAATCCAAGGAGATGATTGACATCTATTCCACCCGAGAGCCCCAGCTAGCCTTCCACCAGCGCATCTCCTTCTGCCTAGATATCCACAACATGTCTGTCAAGGTGAGAAGCCCGTGGCTGCAGAGTCACGCCTGGCAGCAGCACACCCCTCCCTCCACACTCATGGATTCCTCAGAGAAGACTGGCTTAATTTGTGGCCCACGTCCCAGCCAATCTCTGTAAAATCACTGAGCTGCAGCACAGGGGGCCCAGAATGGGGAGGGGACTTGGCCATAGTTCCATAGCCAGTTGCCCTCTCCTATTGCGTTTAAGGGATGATGTGGTCACCAGGGAGGACCAGGCAGGGATTCAGAGGGCGGGGTTCTACATTTGGTTCCAAATTTGAGGCATTTAACTTCTCAAAGCTCTGTTTCTCCATCTCTGAAGCTGATAGGGAGGTGTTACCTGTCTTGCTTGCTTCACAGGGTTGGTAAGATTAAAAGAAGTCCCTGTATTGAGGCACTTAGCGAAGTCTAAATTGTAAAAAAGATGGCGCTGGTATCTAGCTCCACAAAAGGGTGAGCCCTTATCCTCAGTTAAGCACTGAGTTTGGCGCTGTTACTATTTGCTTGCCATGTTTTTTTCTGGTCTCCTCCGAGGAAACTAGGATATTGCTGCCTTGCTTAAAATCTGGCTAAGCCCTACTCCACGTGACATGCAAGGCCCTTTGTGACCTGGTCCCTTAGGTCAAGCCTCCCCTCCCACTCCTGCCCCACCACCCAGCAGCCAGCCCACTGGGTGCAGGCCAGGCCCCTCCCACATGGAATCCTCCACCGGGAAGGCCTCTCCCCGTTGCCACATCCACTGTGTTCCTCCTTTTCCTCCTCCCTGCCCAGTCAAGAGAGTTGGTCGTTTATTCCTCTTTTTTCAGCATTTCCCACAGGGCACTGTAATAATTCCTTTGATGCCTAGCCCCCCACTAGACTAACTGGAGAGGGGCCCGCCGCTTCCTGCCTGGTGTCTAGCTCACAGAGGGGACGCAGGGAGTGCAGGTTGCGTGAGTGCCTCACCTGCTTCCTTCCCTCGCTCATCTCCTCTCTTTGCTGTGCCCCAGGCCATGAGGTTTCCTCCCAAATCGTACAACAAGGACTTGGAGTCTGCAGAGGTAAGCTCTCTGCTTTCTGGGTGAGACCGAAAGGTCAAACTTCCACACAGAAGGGGAGTCGGGCGAGTGTCTGGAAGGGCTGAGCTGCTCTGAAGCTTTGGCCTCACTTGCCTCTCTCCCCAGGAACGGCGTGAGCGAGAACAGCAGGACTTGGAGTTTGCCAAGGAGATGGCAGAAGATGATGATGACAGCTTCCCTTGAGCTGGGGGGCTGGGGAGGGGTAGGGGGAATGGGGACAGGCTCTTTCCCCCTTGGGGGTCCCCTGCCCAGGGCACTGTCCCCATTTTCCCACACACAGCTCATATGCTGCATTCGTGCAGGGGGTGGGGGTGCTGGGAGCCAGCCACCCTGACCTCCCCCAGGGCTCCTCCCCAGCCGGTGACTTACTGTACAGCAGGCAGGAGGGTGGGCAGGCAACCTCCCCGGGCAGGGTCCTGGCCAGCAGTGTGGGAGCAGGAGGGGAAGGATAGTTCTGTGTACTCCTTTAGGGAGTGGGGGACTAGAACTGGGATGTCTTGGCTTGTATGTTTTTTGAAGCTTCGATTATGATTTTTAAACAATAAAAAGTTCTCCACAGTGCTTTGTGCATCAGTTACTATACTTCACTGCAGTATTGGCAGGCTCAGATTTTGGGTTTTTTGGCCTTAGAGTACTAGCCCCAGGTGTGTAATCTGAGGGCGATGGGTCTGCAGATGGGGAGGTGCCCAGGGGAGGATGAAGGGACCCTGACCTGGGGTCGGGGGCCTAGGTTTACTCTCTTTTCGTACTTGTGTGGCTTTGGTAAGGTCTTGTTAGGAAAGGTGTACCATGTGTCCATCACCAGCTGCAGACCTTCATCTCCCAATACACCTCATGGTGCTTCACGGTTATTGCAGTTTTTACAAATTGAAGGTTTGGCCAGGCATGGTGGCTCATGCCTGTAATCCCAACACTTTGGGAGGCTAAGGTGGGCGGATCACTAAAGGTCAGGAGTTTGAGACCAGCCTGGCCAACATGGCAAAACCCCGTCTCTACTAAAAATAAAAAAATCAGCTGGGCATGGAGGCAGGCGCCTGTAATCCCAGCTACTTGGGAGGCTGAAGCAGGAGAATTGCTTGAACCCGGGAGGTGGAGCATGCAGTGAGCCAAGATCTCGCCACTGCACTCCAGCCTGGGCAACAGAGTGAGACTGTGTCTCAAAAGAAAAAGAAAAGGACAAATTGAAGGTTTCTGGCAACACTGCATCAAGCAAATCTGTCGGTGCCATTTTCCCAACAGCATGTGCTCACTTAGCGTCTCTGGGTCACATTTTGGTAAATCCTCTCGATATCTCAAACTTTTTCATTATATCTGTTATGGTGATGTGTGATCGGTGATCTTTGATGTTACTATTGTCATTGTTGGGGCACCACAAATTGCACCCATATAGGATGGTGAACTTAGCCGGGCACGGTGGCTCGCGCTTGTAATCCCAGCACTTTGGCAGGCCGAGGCAGGTGGATCACCTGAGGTCAGGAGTTCAGGACCAGCTTGGACAACATGGGGAAACCCCGTCTCTACTAAAAATACAAAAAACAGCCGGGTGTGGTGGCAGGCGCCTGTAATCCCAGCTACTTGGGAGACTGAGGCAGGAGAATTGCTTGAACCCAGGAGGCGGAGGTTCCAGTGAGCCAAGATCGTGCCATTGCACTCCAGCCTGGGTGACACAGTGAGACATTGTCAAAAAAAAAAAAAAGATGGTGAACTTAATAAATGTCGAGTGTGTTCTCACTGCTCACACTGCTCACTCCATTCCCTGTCTCTCTCCCTCTTCTTGAGTCTCTCCATGCCCTGAGACACAAAATAATATTGAAATTAGGCCTGTTAGTAACCCTACAATGGCCTCTTAAGTGTTCCAGTGAGAGAAAGAGTCATTGGCCAGGCCTGGTGACTCACGCCTGTTATCCCAGCACTTTGGGAGGCCAAGGCTGGTGGACCCCTTGAGCTCAGGAGTTGGAGATCAGCCTGGGCAACACAATGAAACCTTATCGCTACAAAAAATATAAAAATTAGCTGGGCATGTGGCACGCACCTGTAGTCCCAGCTACTAGGAAGCCTGAGGTGGAAGGAGCCCTTGAGCCTGGGAGGTGAAGGCAGAGGCTGCAGTGACCTGAGATCCTGCCACTGCACTCCCACCTGGGCGACAGTGAGACCCTGTCTCAAAACAAGAAAACAGAAAAAGGGAGAAAGAATCACACATCTCTCACTTTCAATCAAAAGGTCAAAATGATTATGCTTAGTGAGGAAGGCATGTTGAAAGCTGAGAGAGGCCAAAAGTCAGGTCTCCTGCACCAAACAGGTAGCCAAGTTGTGAAGGGGGAGTTCTTTAAGGAAATTAAAAGTGCTGCTCCAGGTTGGGCACGGTGGCTCACAACTGTAATCCCAGCACTTTGGGAGGCTGAGGCGGGCAGATCACAAGGTCAGGAGTTCGAGACCAGCCTGGCCAGCATGGTGAAACCCCGTCTCTACTACAAATACAAAAACTAGCCAGGCATGGCAGTGGGCGCCTGTAATCCCAGCTACTCGGGAGGCTGAGATAGGAGAATCCTTGAAACCGGAAGGCAGAGGTTGCAGTGAGCCGAGATCACACCACTGCACTTCAGCCTGGGTAACAAAAGCGAAACTCTGTCTCAAAAAAAATGTTTTAAAAAGAGTTCGAGACCAGCCTGGCCAACATGGCAAGACCCCATCTCTACTAAAAATACAAAAAATTAGCTGGGCGTGGTGGTGCATGCCTGTACTCCGAACTACTTAGGACGCTGAGGCAGGAGAATCGCTTGAAGTGGGGAGGCGGAGGTTACCATGAGTCAAGATCGCACCACTGCACTCCAACCTGGGTGACAGAGCGAAATTCTGTCTCAAAACAATAAAAAATAAAAATGATAAATTAAATTAAAAGTGCTGCTCTAGTGGACACACAAATGATATGAAAGCAGAATAGCATTATTGCTGATACGGAGAAAGTTTGAGTCTGGAAAGAAGATCAAATCAGCCACAACATTCCTTTAAGCCAAAGCCTAGTCCGGAGAAAGGCCCTCACTCTCTTCAATCCTTTGAAGGCAGAGAGAGGTGAGAAAGTTGCAGAAGAAAAGTCAGAAGCTAACAGAGGTTGTTTTGTGAGGTTGAAAGAAAGAAGCCGTCTCTGTAACATAAAAGTGCAAAGTGAAGCAGCAAGTGCTGATGGAGAAGCTGCAGTAAGTTATCCATCAGATCTAGCTGATCTCACTGACGAAGGTGGCTACACTCAAAAACAGACTTTCAATGTAGACAAACAGCCTTCTATTGGAAGAAGATGCCACCTGGGACTTTCATAGCTACAGAAGAGAAGTCAATCCCTGGCTTCAAAGCTTCGAAGGACAGGCTGACTCTCGTTAGGGCTAATGCAGCTGGCGACTTTAAGTTGAAGCCAATGCTCATTTACCATTCCGAAAATCCCAGGGCTCTTAAGAATGATGCTAAATCTATTCTGCCTGTGCTCTGTGGATGGAACAACAAAGCCTGGATGACAGCCCATCTGTTCCCAGCATGGTTTACCGAACATTTTAAGCCACTGTTGAGACCAACTCCTTCGTCGGCTCTGTCGGCCAGGCTGGAGTGCCGTGGCATGATCTCAGCTCACTGCAACCTCTGCTTCTAGGTTCAAGCGATTCTCCTGCCTCAGCCTCCTGAGTAGCTGGGATTACAGGCATGAGCCACCGCACTCAGCCAAAAAAAATATTTTTTAAAGTTATTACTGCTGATTGACGATGCACCTGATTACCCAAGGGCTCTGATGGAGGGATACCAGGGAAATAATATTGTTTTCATTCCTGCTAACACATCCATTCTGCAGCCCATGGATGAAGAAGTAATTTCAACTTTCAAGTCTTTTTTAAGAAATACATTTTGTAAGGCTAGAGCTGCCATAGTGATTCCGCTGATGGATCTGGGTAAACTGAAAACTTAGAAAGCATTCATCATTCTAGATGCCATTAAGAATATTCATGATTAGGGCCGGACGTGGTGGCTCATGCCTATAATCCCAGCACTTTGGGAGGCTGAGGCAGGTGGATAAACTGAGGTCAGGAGTTTGAGACCAAGCTGGCCAACATGGTGAAACTCCATCTCCACTAAAAATAAATAAATAAATAAATAAATAAATAAATAAATAAATAAATACAAAACTTAGTCAGGTATGGTGGCACGCACCTGTAGTCCCAGCTACTCGGGAGGCTGAGACATGAGAATCGCTTGAATCCGGGAGGCAGAGGTTGCAGTGAGCCGAGATCGTGCCAATGCACTTCAGCCTGGGTGACAGAGTGAGACTCTCTCAAAAAACAAAAAAAGAATATTCATGATTAGGCCGGGAGTGGTGGCTGACACCTATAATTCCAGCACTTTGGGAGGCTGAGGCAAGAAGATCGCTTGAGCCCAGGAGGCCAAGAGCAGCCTGAATAACAAAGTGAGAACCCATCTGTATTAAAAAAATTTAAAAATTAGGCCGAGTGCAGCGGCTCACACCTGTAACTCCAGCACTTTGGGAGGATGAAGCGGGTGGATCACTTGAGGACAGGAGTTCGAGACCAGCCTGACCAACATGGTGAAACCACATCTCTACTAAAAATACAAAATTAGCCGGGCATGGTGGCGCTTTCCTGTAACCCCAGCTATTTGGGAGGCTGAGGCAGGAGAATCGCTTGAACCCGGGAGGCGGAGGTTGCAGTGAGCCGAGATCATGCCATTGCACTCCAGCCTGGGTGACAAAAGCAAGGCTCCATCTCAAAAAATTAACATTAGCAGGAGTTTGAAAGAAGTTGATTACAACCTTCATGGGTGACTTTGAGGGGCTGAAGACACACTTCAGTGGAGGAAAAAACTGCAGATGTAGAAATAGCAAAAGAACTAGAATTAGAAGTGGACCCTGAGGCCAGGCCCACTGGCTCACACCTGCAATCCCAGCAATTTGGGAGGCCAGGGCAGGAGGATAACTTGAGCTCAGAAGTTCCAAACCAACCTGGGTAACATAGCAAGACCTCGTCTCTACAAAAAAAAAAAAAAAAAAAAAAAAAGTGGAGCCTGAAGATGGGACTGAATTGCTGCCATCTCATGATAACATTTGAACAGATGAGTTGCTTCTATGGATGAGCAAGGAAAGTGGTTTCTTGAGATGGAATCTACTCCCGGTGAAGAGGCTGTGAACATTGCTGAAATGGCAACAAAGATTTAGGATATTACATATACTTAGTTGATAAAGCAGCAGCAGTTTGAGAGGATTGACTCCATTTCTTTCTTTCTTTTTTTTTTTTTTTGAGATGGAGTCTTGCTCTGTCGCCCAGGCTGGAGTGCAGTGCAGTGGCATGATCTTGGCTCACTGCAACCTCCACCTCCTGGGTCCAAGAGGTTCTCCCACCTCAGCCTCCCCAGTAGCTGGGACTACAGGTGCACGCCACCACGCCCAGTTAATTTTTTTCTATTTTTGGAAGAGATGGGGTTTCACCATGTTGGCCAGGCTGGTCTCGAACTCCTGACCTCAGGTGATCCACCCGCCTCAGCCTCCCAAAGTGCTGTGATTACAGGCGTGAGCCACCGCTCCAGGCCAGCATTGACTTCAATTTTGAAAGAAGTTCTACTGTGGGTAGAACGATGTCAAACAGCATCATATGCTATAGAGAAACCTTTCTAGAAATGGAGAGTCGGCCGGGCATGGTGGCTCACACCTGTAATGCCAGCACTTTGGGAGGCCGAGGCGGGCAGATCACCTGAGGTCAGGAGTTCGAGACCAACCTGGCCAACATGGTGAAATCTCGTCCCTACTAAAAATACAAAAATGAGACGGGCATGGTGGTGGGAGCCTGTAATCCCAGCTTCTTGGGAGGCTGAGGCAGGAAAATTGCTTGAATCTGGGAGGCGGAGCTTGCAGTGAGCCGGGATCGTGCCACTGCACTCCAGCCTGGGCAACAGAGGGAGACCCCATCTCAAAACAAAACAAAACAAACAAAAACACAAAAATGAAAAAAGAAAAGTCAATTGATGCAGAAAATTTCATTATTTTCTTATTTTAAGAAATTGTTTTCACCTGAAGGCACTAGGAAAAATAAAAACAAAAATAAGGAAAAAAAAAAGAAATTGCTACAGTCACCCCAAACTTCACCAGCCACCACCCTGATCAGTGAGTGGTCATCAACATGAGGCAAGACCCTTCACTAGCAAAAAGATTAGGACTTGCTGAAGGCACAGATGATTGTTAGCATTTTTAGCAATAAAGGTTTTTTGTTTTGTTTTGTTTTGTTTTTTGAGGCAGAGTCTTGCTCTGTCACCTAGGCTGGAGTGCAATGGTGCATTCTTGGCTCACTGCAACCTCTGCCTCCGGATTCAAGCGATTCTCCTGCCTCAGCCTCCTGAGTAGCTGGGACTATAGGCGCCAGCTACCACACCCGGCTAATTTTTGTACTTTTAGTAGAGACGGGGTTTAACTATGTTGTCCAGGCTGGTCTCGAACTCCTGACCTCAGGTGATCCACCCGTCTCGGCCTCCCAAAGTGCTGGGATTACAGGCACGAGCCACTGCGCCCGGCCAATTATTTTTAAATTAAAGTATGTACATATATATGTTTTTAAATATAATGCTATTGCACACTTAATAGACTACGGTATAGTGTAAACCTAACTTTTTTTTTTTGAGACAGGGTCTCACTCTGTCATCCAGGCTGAAATCAGTGGCACTATCACAGCTCACTGTAGCCTTGACCTCTTCGGGCTCAGGTAGATGATCCTCTCACCTCAGCCTCCCAAGTAACTGGGACTATAGGTGAGTGCCACCACACCCAGCTAATTTTTTATTTTTTTGTAGAGATGGGGTCTTGCAATGTTGCCCAGGCTGGACTTGAACTTCTGGGCTCAAGTGATCCGTCCGCCTCGGCCTCCCTAAGTGCTGGGATTACAGGCATGAGCCACCGTGCCCGGACCATATTGTGTAAACATAACTTTTCTATGCAGTGGGAAACCAGCACCTCTGTGACACCCTTTATCGTGGTGGTCTGGAACCGAACCTGCAATATCTCCGAGGTCTGCCTGTATTCATAATTTCCATTAAATACAGGTTTTGGCCTGGCCTTGCTCTGGCTCCTGATCATACTCCAGCCCTGGTCACAATATTTGGCATCACTACCTTCCTTTAATCTTCAGCTGCCTTTCGGTAAAATGAAACTCCTAAAGTTGACTTTGCAAAACAACACTTCTCCTGTGTTTCCCAAACCCGCCCTTCAATCTCTGTGGCAGATGTTTTGATCCTAGCGTCCGGATTCTTCATCTATTTTTAGGGCTCCAATCCTTGCCCCATTTTAACCTTTGATTTTGCAAACCAATCCCAAAACCTTCTCATAGATCTTTGATTCCCTTCCAGGAAGGGTGTGGTGGGAGGACTACGGTTAAGCACCTCCTCCGTGTCCTTTTAGGATGTGAGGACAGGTTCAGGTGGGTTAAATGAGTCCTGCAGTTGAACCCAGGCTGACCTGATACCAAGTTCAATGCGCCTTCTCTCAGGCTGTGCTGCCTTCTTCCGGCCTCAGCTTGGATGTATTAGTCAGGGTCCTCTAGAGGGACAGAACTAATACAATAGTTGTATATATAAAGGGGAGTTTAAGGAGTATTGACTCACGCAACAGGCCGTCTGCAAGCTGAGGAGCAAGGAAGCCAGTCCGCATCCCAAAACCTCAAAAGTAGGGAAGGTAACAGTGCAGCCTTCAGTCTGTGGTCAAAGGTCCAAACGTCCCAAAGCTGAAGAACTTAGAGTCCAGCGTTCAAGGGCAGGAAGCATCCAGCACGGGAGAAAGATGGAGGCCAGAAGACTCAGCCAGTCTGGTCTTTCCATGCTCTTCTGCCTGCTTTTTATTCTGCCTGCTCTGGCAGCTGATTAGATTGTGCTCACCCCAATTGAGGTCTACCTTTCCCAGTCCTCTGACTCAAATATTAATCTCCTTTGGCAACACCCTCACAGACACACCCAGGATCAATACTTTGTATCCTTCAATCCAATCAAGTTGACACTCAATATTAACCATCACTCTGGGGTTCTGTTATCCAGTCAGTCTTCATTTGTCTTTGGGTCTCCATGTAGCAGTCCTTCTGGCCCTTGACAGCTTTCCATGACTTCAAAAGCCAACTTTTCTTGAGTGTGTGATCCGAAGACATACATATGGCAGGCACAGCTGCCTGAAGCCCTTTCCAGCCTGTTCAATGTTTGTAGCTGTAATGAGCATTCTTCCTGAGGAGCCCAGCCTCACAAGAGGTTATAAATCTTCAGCCTTGGTTGTAAGTGACCGGAGAGAGTTTATCACCCTCTTCCAGAGAGCTGAGGTCATTCGCCATGATTCCCTGGTTCTTGCCCACATAAGGTCTATGGGCCATTTTTCCGTCTGCTCACTGTCTAGAGGCTTCTTCATCCACTGTCTGGATGAACCTTGTTGGCGTGGCTTCTAATTTCCTGAAGAAACTCAGTGTCACTTTTTTTTTTTTTTTTAAAGACAGAGTCTCATTCTGTCGCTCAGGCTGGAGTGCAGTGGCACAATCTTGGCTCACTACAACCTCCGCCTCCCAGGTTCAAGCAATTATCCTGCCTCAGCTTCCCAAGTAGCTGGGATTACAGGCACACGCCACCATGCCTGGCTAATTTTTTTGTATTTTTAGAAGAGATGGCGTTTCGCCATGTTGGCCAGGCTGGTCTTGAACTTCTGACCTCAGGTGATCCACCTGCCTCGGTCTCACAAAGTACTGGGATTACAGGCATGAGCCACCGCGCCCAGCCAAGTGTCACTTTCATGCTTAGAAAGTTCACTGTATTATTTTACCTTCCAGCTTTGTTTGTTTGTTTGTTTGTTTTGGGACGGAATCTCACTCTGTCACCCAGGCTGGAGTGCAGTGTTGCGATTTCGGCTCACCGCAACCTCTGCTGCCAGGGTTCAAGCGATCCTCCTGCCTCAGCCTTTCCAGTAGCTGGGATTACAGGCATACACCACCACACCCAGCTGATTTTTGTATTTTAGTAGAGATGGGGTTTCACCATGTGGGCCAGGTTGGTCTCGAACTCCTGACCTCAAGTGATCCGCCCGCCTTGGCCTCCCAAAGTGCTGGGATTACAAACATGAGCCACCCTGCCCGGCTACCTTCCAGTTTTGTTTTGTTTTTTAATTTGAAAACTACATAGAAGTACAAAGAATAACATAACAAATATGTACCCATATATTCTCCACCCAAGTTTAATCATGTTAACATTTCATTAGTCTGTGAAGTTTTTTAATCAAAAAAGAAATAAATTGGACACCATGGTTCATGCCTATAATCTCAGCCCTTTGAGAGGCCAATGCAGGAGGATCGCTTGAGCCTAGAAGTTTGAGACCAGCCTGGGCAACACAGTAAGATCCCATCTCTACAAAATAAATAAATAAATAAAACATTATGGCTAAGCTGGAAGTCCATCTTGTTCCCCTGGCAAAGCCAGCCACTTTAATGAATTCAGCTGGCAGGCTTCTAGTTTGTTTTTATACTTCTACTACATAATAGTATTGAGCTGCCAGGTGCAATGGCTCACGCCTGTAATCCCAGCACTTTGGAAGGCTGAGGCGGGAAGATTGCTCGAGCCCAGGAGTTTGAGACCAGCCTGGGCAACATGGCAAACCCCCTCTCTATAAAAAACACAAAAAAGGCCAGGAGCAGTGGCTCACGCCTGTAATCCCATCACTTTGGGAGGCCGAGGCGGGTGGATCACAAGGTCAGGAGATCGAGACCATCCTGGCTAACATGGTGAAACCCCATCTCTACTAAAAATATTAAAAATTAGCTGGGCGTGGTGGCAGGCGCCTATAGTCCCAGCTACTCAGGAAGCTGAGGCAGGAGAATGGCGTGAACCTGGAAAGCGGAGCTTGCAGTGAGCCGAGATCACGCCACTGCATTCCAGCCTGGGCAACAGAGTGAGACTCCTACTCAAAAAAAAAGGGCCTGGTGCAGTGGGTCATGCCTGTAATCTCAGCTCTTTGGGAGGCCGAGGTGGGCAGATCACATGGTCAGGAGATCGAGACCATCCTTGACCAACATGGTGAAACCCCGTCTCTACTAAAAATACAAAAATTAGCTGTGCCTGGTGGCGCGTGCCTGCCTGTATACTAGCTACTCGGGAGGCTGAGACAGGAGAATTGCTTGAACCCAAGAGTCAGAGGTTGCAGTGAGCAAAGATCTTGCCATAGCACTCCAGCCTGGCGACAGAGAGAGACTCCATCTCAAAAAAAAAAAAAATTAGGCAGGCACAGTGGTGCGCACCTGCAGTCCCAGCTACTTAGGGAGGCTAAGGTGGAAGGATCCCTTGAGCCCTGGGGGGCAGAGGTTTCAGTGAGCCAAGATTGCTCCACTGCACTCCAGCCTAAGTGACAGAGTGGGACCCTGTCTCAAAAAAAAACAAGAATAATATTGAGCTTTTATTCATTTTATTATTGAATTAGTCTGTTCTCACACTGCTATAAAGATACCTGAGACAGGGTAATTTATAAAGAAAAGAGGCTTCACTGGCTCATGGTTCTGCGGGCTGTACAGGCTTCTTGCTTCTCAGGAGGCCTCAGGAAACTTATAATCATAAGAGGAAGGGGTGGAAGACGAAGGGGAAGTAATCACGTTTCCATGGTGGGAGCAGGAGAAAGACAAAAGGCAAAAGGGAAGGTGCAACACACTTACCTCCCACCAGGCCCCACCTCCAACACTCAGAATCACAATTCAACATGAGATTTGGGTGGGCAGACAGAGCCAAACCATATCAATTTTATTTATTTATTTATTTATTTATTTTTCGAGGACAGGGTCTCACTCTGTCATCCAGGCTGGACTGCAGTGGGGTGATTACAGCTCACTGCAGCCTCAACCTCCCTGGCCCAAGCGATCCTCCCACCTCAGCCTCCCAGGTAGCTAGAACTACAGGCTTGCACAACCATGCCCGGCAAATTTTTTGATTTTTTTTGTAGAGATGGGGCCTCCTTATGTCGCCCAGGCTTATCTTAAACTCCTGGACTCACAAGCAATCCTCCTATCTCAGGCTCCCTACGTGCTGGGATTACAGGCATGAACCACCATGCCCGGCCAGTATTGAGTCTTAAAATTCTTGTAACTGGTATATTACAGGAATGTAATTTGCTCTGTTTTCGCTCAATATTGTTTTTAGACCTAATCACATTGATGCCCATGCCAAGCACTGTTCTGGGCACTGAGAATACAAATTCTCAGAGTCTTCACTCTGGACAGCTTTCCTCTCAGAGTCTTTCCTCTCAGAGTCTTCACTCTGGACAGGTTGGGAGGCATACATAGTATGAAGGGACCAGTATCTATCTAGCTATTCCCATGTTGATGGGCATTGCAAATGCATTTCCATTGGTTTACTATAACAGTGTTCCAAAGAACATCTCTGGCCAGGTGCAGTGGCTCACGGCTGTAATCCTAACACTTTTTAGGAGGCCAAGGCAGGAGGATCACTTGAGGACAGTAGTTCAAGACCAGCCTGGGCAGCATAGGGAGACTGTCTCTACGAAAAATCAAAAAATTATGGCCGGGCATGGTGGCTCACGTCTGTAATCCCTGAACTTTGGGACATCAAGGCAAGTGGATCACTTGAGGTCAGGAGTTCGAGACTAGCCTGGCCAACATGGTGAAACCCTATCTCTACTAAAAATACAAAAATTAGCCAGGCATGGTGGCAGGCACCTGTAATCCCGGCTACTCAGGAGGCTGAGGCAGGAGAATCACTTGAACCCAGGAGGCGGAGGTTGCAGTGAGCTGAGATCACACCACTGCACTCCAGCCTGGGTGACAGAGCAAGACTCTATCTCAAAAAAAAAAAAAAAATCAAAAAATTAGCCAGGCATGGTAGTGCACACCTTTAGTCTCAGCTACTCAGGAGGCTGAGGTGGGAGGATCACTTGAACCTGGGCAGTCAAGGCTGCAGTGAGCCAAGATCATGCCACTGCACTCCAGCCTGGGCAACAGAGAGAGACCCTGTCTCTAAAAAAATAATAATAATAAAGAAAAAAACAGCTCTGTTTATGTCTCCTGGTACATACATACTATGTATATAGTTTGCAAACTCAAAGATCCAGATAGTCAATTTTTTAGGCTTGTGGGCCGTATGGTCTCTGTCACAATCACTCTGCCCTGTCTTTCTAGCACAAAAGCAGCTATAAACAATACATACATGAATTTTTTATAGACATCGAGATTTGAATTTCATATGATTTTTACATTTTATAAAATAATCTTTTTAAAAATTTTCCCCTAACCATTTAAAAGTGTAAAAGCCGGCCAGGCGCCGCCATGGCTCACGCCTGTAATTCCAGCACTTTGGGAGGCTGAGGTGGGCAGATCACTTGAGATCAACAGTTCGAGACCAGCCTGGCCAACATAGCAAAACCCCATTTCTACTAAAAATAAAAAAATTAGCTGGGCATAGTGGTGCACACCTGTGATCCCAGCTACTTGGGAGGCTGAGGCAGGAGAATCGCTTGAACCTGGGAAGCGGAGGTTGCAGTGAGCCAACATCATGCCACTGCACTCCAGCCTGGGTGACAGAGTGAGACTTCGTCTCAACGAAAAAAAAAAAGTGTAAAAGCCATTCCTAATTCAGTGTACATCAGTGTACATACTCAGGTCTGCGTACTCCTGCTCTGAGGCATACCTGAGAAGTAGAGTTGCTTGGTCACAGGACATACACATTTCCACATTAACTAGACACTACCAAGTTGCCATCCAAGGAGGTTTTTTTTTTACAATCTACACTCCCCCCAGCAACAAATGAGAGTTACTCCAGATCCTTTACAAAGATGCTCTAAGCCCAGTACCAGATGAAAACAGGAAGTGGGAGGGGAAGCTGCCAGCCCCTTCTAACCATGAAGAAATACCTGGTAGAGCCTTCTGGATGCTGGAAGGATGAATAACGGGGGTCTCTGGAGCCTGCCCCCTGTCAGATCACTGTGACTTCTGAGCCTCCAGTCCAGCTCAGCCCCATGTGTCATGGCCAGTGATAATGAGCCCTCACTCTCTGTTTGGTCTTTATTCTCCCCCATGTGGGGCTGAAGTCTGGATTGAGCCGTTATTCAAGATGTACAGCTTTCTTGACAGGAAAGTAGTGTCACAGAAACAGCAGGGGCTTGGCAAGATGATCTAACTGCAAATCCTACCTGGCTCAGCCACCAGCTAGTTCTGTGATCTTGAACAAGTTTTTTCACTTCTCTGAGGCCATCCCTTGGCTACAACACACCAGTTGGTTGACAGGATGAAATGACGAAAGTGCCTTACACCTGTAATCCCAGCACTTTGGGAGGCCAAGGCGGGTGGATGGCTTGAGCCTGAGAGGTGACAGCATGCCGGCAGTCCTCACAGCCCTCGTTCGCTCTCGGCGCCTCCTCTGCCTGGGCTCCCACTTCGGTGGCACTTGAGGAGCCCTTCAGCCCACCGCTGCACTGTGGGAGCCCCTTTCTGGGCTGGCCAAGGCCAGAGCCGGCTCCCTCAGCTTGCAGGGAGGTGTGGAGGGAGAGGCTCAAGCAGGAACCGGGGCTGCGCGCGGCGCTTGCGGGCCAGCTGGAGTTCCGGGTGGGCGTGGGCTTGGCGGGCCCCGCACTCGGAGCAGCGGGCCAGCCCTGCCAGGCCCCGGGCAATGAGAGGCTTAGCACCCGGGCCAGCGGCTGCGGAGGGTGTACTGGGTGCCCCAGCAGTGCCAGCCCGCCGGCGCTGTGCTCGCTCGATTTCTCACTGGGCCTTAGCAGCCTTCCCGCGGGGCAGGGCTCGGGACCTGCAGCCCGCCATGCCTGAGCCTCCCCTCCATGGGCTCCTGTGCGGCCCGAGCCTCCCCGACGAGCACCACCCCCTGCTCCACAGCGCCCAGTCCCATCGACCACGCAAGGGCTGAGAAGTGCGGGCGCACGGCACCGGGACTGGCAGGCAGCTACCCCTGCAGCCCTGGTGCGGAATCCACTGGGTGAAGCCAGCTGGGCTCCTGAGTCTGGTGGAGACTTGGAGAACCTTTATGTCTAGCTCAGGGATCGTAAATACACCAATCAGCACCCTGTGTCTAGCTCAGGTTCTGTGAATGCACCAATCCACACTCTGTATCTAGCTACTCTGATGGGGCCTTGGAGAACCTTTATGTCTAGCTCAGGGATTGTAAATACACCAATCGGCACTCTGTATCTAGCTCAAGGTTTGTAAACACACCAATCAGCACCCTGTGTCTAGCTCAGGGTATGTGAATGCACCAATCGACAGTCTGTATCTGGCTACTTTCATGGGCATCCGTGTGAAGAGACCACCAAACAGGCTTTGTGTGAGCAATAAAGCTTTTATCACCTGGGTGCAGGTGGGCTGAGTCCGAAAAGAGAGTCAGCGAAGGGAGATAAGGGTGGGGCCGTTTTATAGGATTTGGGTAGGTAAAGGAAAATTACAGTCAAAGGGGGTTTGTTCTCTGGCGGGCAGGAGTGGGGGGTCGCAAGGTGCTCAGTGGGGGTGCTTTTTGAGCCAGGATGAGCCAGGAAAAGGACTTTCACAAGGTAATGTCATCAATTAAGGCAAGGACCCGCCATTTACACCTCTTTTGTGGTGGAATGTCATCAGTTAAGTTGGGGCAGGGCATATTCACTTCTTTTGTGATTCTTCAGTTACTTCAGGCCATCTGGGCGTATATGTGCAAGTTACAGGGGATGCGATGGCTTGGCTTGGGCTCAGAGGCTTGACAGCTACTCTGGTGGGGCCTTGGAGAATGTTTGTGTCGACACTCTGTATCTAGTTAATCTAGTGGGGACGTGGAGAACCTTTGTGTCTAGCTCAGGGATTGTAAACGCACCAATCAGCGCCCTGTCAAAACAGACCACTCGGCTCTACCAATCAGCAGGATGTGGGTGGGGCCAGATAAGAGAATAAAAGCAGGCTGCCCGAGCCAGCAGTGGCAACGGGCACAGGTCCCCATCCACAATATGGCAGCTTTGTTCTTTTGCTGTTTGCGATAAATCTTGCTACTGCTCGCTTTTTGGGTCCACACTGCTTTTATGAGCTGTAACACTCACCACGAAGGTCTGCAGCTTCACTCCTGAAGCCACTAAGACCACGAGCCCACCGGGAGGAATGAACAACTCCGGCCGCGCTGCCTTAAGAGCTATAACACTCACCGCGAAGGTCTGCAGCTTCACTCCTCAGCCAGCGAGACCACGAACCCACCAGAAGGAAGAAACTGCGAACACATCTGAACATCAGAAGGAACAAACTCCAGATGCACCACCTTAAGAGCTGTAACACTCACTGCGAGGGTCCGCGGCTTCCTTCTTGAAGTCAGTGAGACCAAGCACTCACCAGTTTCGGACACAAGCCCAGGAGTTTGAGATCAGCCTGGGCAACATGATGAAATGCCCTCTCTGCAAAAAAAAAAAAATTACAAAAATTGGCGGAGCATGGTGGTCCGTGCCTGTGGTCCCAGCTACGCGGGAGGCTAAAGTGGGAGGATCGCTTGAGCCTGGGAGGTGAAGACTGCAGTGAGCTGTGATTGTACCACAGCCCTCTAGGCTGGGGGACAGACTGAGACCCTGTTTCCCCTCCGCAAAAAAATTGACAAAAGTGTAATAAGAGGTGCCTGATATGGCTAGGCGCAGTGGCTCATGCCTGTAATCCCAGCACTTTGGGAAGCCGAGGCGGGCGGGTCACCTAAGGTCAGGAGTGTGAGACCAGCCTGGCCAACATGGAGAAAGCCCATCTCTTCTAAAAATACAAAATTAGCCGGCTGTGGGGGCAGTGGTGGAGCATGCCTGTAATCCCAGCTACTCAGGAGGCTGAGGCAGGAGAATCACTTGAACCCAGGAGGCGGCGGTTGCAGTGAGCCGAGATCGTGCCATTGCACTCCACCCACTCCAGCCTGGGCAACAAGAGCCAAACTCTGTCTTAAAAAAAAAAAAAAAAAGTGCCTGACATATAAGAGGTGTGCAATGCAATAGTTGCCAGGCAACATGTTTAAGAATGTGGAGCTCCTGCCTTCCATGGTCCTGTTAAAAACCCACCCTCAAGGCCAGGTGCAGTGGCTCATGCCTATAATCCCAGCACTTTGGGAGGCCGAGGCGGGTGGATCACCTGAGGTCAGGAGTTCGAGACCAGCCTGACCACCAACATGGTGAAATCCCACCTCTACTAAAAATACAAAATTAGATGAGCATGGTGGTGCATGCCTGTAATCCCACCTACTTGGGAGGCTGAGGCAGGAAAATCACTAGAACCAGGGAGGCGGAGGTTGTAGTGAGCCGAGATCGTGCCATTGCACTCCAGCCTGAGCAATGAGCGAAACTCCATCTCAAAAAAACAACAACAAAAACCCACCCTCTACTCCCAGGGAGCTGGGTACAGAGCTGGGCCACATCAGTGCAAGGTGCTGAGCCACAGAGCTAAGGCGGAGCTGCAGGACCGCGGACCAGATAACAGTGTGTGAGATCAGTGTGTGAGATCAGACGTCCCTGCCATTGGTGACCACCAGGGGGCCCCCAAGCACCAGAGATGGCCCCATCCAGTCACCACATCCACTTCTCATCCAGAGATGTCTGTTTCTTGGCACGCTGGGGTAAATTAGGACAGAAGGTGACAGTCTTGGGTGTGGTCAGTCAGACTGCCCCAGGCAGGCCTTGTGGCCTGTAGAAAACGTTCAGGCCTAGGCCGGGCACGGTGGCTCACGCCTGTAATCCCAGCACTTTGGGAGGCCGAGGCGGGTGGATCACGAGGTCAGGAGATCGTGACCATCCTGGCTAACACGGTGAAACCCCGTCTCTACTAAAAATACAAAAAATTGGCCGGGCATGGTGGCGGGCACCTGTAGTTCCAGCTACTCGGGAGGCTGAGGCAGGAGAATGGCGTGAACCCGAGAGGCAGAGTTTGCAGTGAGCCGAGATCGCGCCACTGCACTCCAGCCTGGGCGACAGAGCAAGACTCCATCTGGAAAAGAAAAAGAAAACGTTCAGGTCTGAGCCAGAGGCCCAGGCTGTAATTCTGTCACTTACCATGACCTTGGGCAAGGCACTTCCTTCCCTGGCCCAGTTCACGGGGTTGGAATCGACTCCAAGGTCCCTTCCAGCATTAACGCTGCATGGTTCTAAGATGAGAAGATGGGGCAGTTTCCCCTCTCTCACCCCAGCCCGTGTCCACTTCAAGGTGAATGACCAGGGAAGTCACGTGTCCCAATCCCGCAGTTCCAAAGCCCTTGGGGACCCTACTGTCAGGGTCGTGCACGAGGAGGTGAAGGTCAGGTGAGCCAATCGCCTCGAAGGGTCTTGCCTCATTCGGGACAGACATCCGGTTTCCTCTGGCTCTACCGGGATTCTAGGGGCTTTAGCCGAATGAGTCATGGGGGGCGGGGGGGTTTCTGGGGGAGTTCCCAGCTAATCAACTTGGGACAGGACAGCCTGGAACTTTCGATGGTGCCTATCCAAGTGTGGGGTGGGCACAGCAGCCAAGACCCAATGTCCTTATCTCAGGTAGGGGCTCAGGAGGTCTCCCAGACAGGCAGCCTCCGGAGAGTTTGGGGGTAGGAATGGGAGCAACCAGCTTCTTTTTTTCTCTCTTAGAATTTGGGGGCTTGGGGGACAGGCTTGAGAATCCCAAAGGAGAGGGGCAAAGGACACTGCCCCCGCAAGTCTGCCAGAGCAGAGAGGGAGACCCCGACTCAGCTGCCACTTCCCCACAGGCTGCTGCCGCTTCCAGGCGTCTATCAGCGGCTCAGCCTTTGTTCAGCTGTTCTGTTCAAACACTCTGGGGCCATTCAGGCCTGGGTGGGGCAGCGGGAGGAAGGGAGTTTGAGGGGGGCAAGGCGACGTCAAAGGAGGATCAGAGATTCCACAATTTCACAAAACTTTCGCAAACAGCTTTTTGTTCCAACCCCCCTGCATTGTCTTGGACACCAAATTTGCATAAATCCTGGGAAGTTATTACTAAGCCTTAGTCGTGGCCCCAGGTAATTTCCTCCCAGGCCTCCATGGGGTTATGTATAAAGGCCCCCCTAGAGCTGGGCCCCAAAACAGCCCGGAGCCTGCAGCCCAGCCCCACCCAGACCCATGGCTGGACCTGCCACCCAGAGCCCCATGAAGCTGATGGGTGAGTGTCTTGGCCCAGGATGGGAGAGCCGCCTGCCCTGGCATGGGAGGGAGGCTGGTGTGACAGAGGGGCTGGGGATCCCCGTTCTGGGAATGGGGATTAAAGGCACCCAGTGTCCCCGAGAGGGCCTCAGGTGGTAGGGAACAGCATGTCTCCTGAGCCCGCTCTGTCCCCAGCCCTGCAGCTGCTGCTGTGGCACAGTGCACTCTGGACAGTGCAGGAAGCCACCCCCCTGGGCCCTGCCAGCTCCCTGCCCCAGAGCTTCCTGCTCAAGTGCTTAGAGCAAGTGAGGAAGATCCAGGGCGATGGCGCAGCGCTCCAGGAGAAGCTGGTGAGTGAGGTGGGTGAGAGGGCTGTGGAGGGAAGCCCGGTGGGGAGAGCTAAGGGGGATGGAACTGCAGGGCCAACATCCTCTGGAAGGGACGTGGGAGAATATTAGGAGCAGTGGAGCTGGGGAAGGCTGGGAAGGGACTTGGGGAGGAGGACCTTGGTGGGGACAGTGCTCGGGAGGGCTGGCTGGGATGGGAGTGGAGGCATTACATTCAGGAGAAAGGGCAAGGGCCCCTGTGAGATCAGAGAGTGGGGGTGCAGGGCAGAGAGGAACTGAACAGCCTGGCAGGACATGGAGGGAGGGGAAAGACCAGAGAGTCGGGGAGGACCCGGGAAGGAGCGGCGACCCGGCCATGGCGAGTCTCACTCAGCATCCTTCCATCCCCAGTGTGCCACCTACAAGCTGTGCCACCCCGAGGAGCTGGTGCTGCTCGGACACTCTCTGGGCATCCCCTGGGCTCCCCTGAGCAGCTGCCCCAGCCAGGCCCTGCAGCTGGTGAGTGTCAGGAAAGGATAAGGCTAATGAGGAGGGGGAAGGAGAGGAGGAACACCCATGGGCTCCCCCATGTCTCCAGGTTCCAAGCTGGGGGCCTGACGTATCTCAGGCAGCACCCCCTAACTCTTCCGCTCTGTCTCACAGGCAGGCTGCTTGAGCCAACTCCATAGCGGCCTTTTCCTCTACCAGGGGCTCCTGCAGGCCCTGGAAGGGATCTCCCCCGAGTTGGGTCCCACCTTGGACACACTGCAGCTGGACGTCGCCGACTTTGCCACCACCATCTGGCAGCAGGTGAGCCTTGTTGGGCAGGGTGGCCAAGGTCGTGCTGGCATTCTGGGCACCACAGCCAGGCCTGTGTATGGGCCCTGTCCATGCTGTCACCCCCAGCATTTCCTCATTTGTAATAACGCCCACTCAGAAGGGCCCAACCACTGATCACAGCTTTCCCCCACAGATGGAAGAACTGGGAATGGCCCCTGCCCTGCAGCCCACCCAGGGTGCCATGCCGGCCTTCGCCTCTGCTTTCCAGCGCCGGGCAGGAGGGGTCCTGGTTGCCTCCCATCTGCAGAGCTTCCTGGAGGTGTCGTACCGCGTTCTACGCCACCTTGCCCAGCCCTGAGCCAAGCCCTCCCCATCCCATGTATTTATCTCTATTTAATATTTATGTCTATTTAAGCCTCATATTTAAAGACAGGGAAGAGCAGAACGGAGCCCCAGGCCTCTGTGTCCTTCCCTGCATTTCTGAGTTTCATTCTCCTGCCTGTAGCAGTGAGAAAAAGCTCCTGTCCTCCCATCCCCTGGACTGGGAGGTAGATAGGTAAATACCAAGTATTTATTACTATGACTGCTCCCCAGCCCTGGCTCTGCAATGGGCACTGGGATGAGCCGCTGTGAGCCCCTGGTCCTGAGGGTCCCCACCTGGGACCCTTGAGAGTATCAGGTCTCCCACGTGGGAGACAAGAAATCCCTGTTTAATATTTAAACAGCAGTGTTCCCCATCTGGGTCCTTGCACCCCTCACTCTGGCCTCAGCCGACTGCACAGCGGCCCCTGCATCCCCTTGGCTGTGAGGCCCCTGGACAAGCAGAGGTGGCCAGAGCTGGGAGGCATGGCCCTGGGGTCCCACGAATTTGCTGGGGAATCTCGTTTTTCTTCTTAAGACTTTTGGGACATGGTTTGACTCCCGAACATCACCGACGCGTCTCCTGTTTTTCTGGGTGGCCTCGGGACACCTGCCCTGCCCCCACGAGGGTCAGGACTGTGACTCTTTTTAGGGCCAGGCAGGTGCCTGGACATTTGCCTTGCTGGACGGGGACTGGGGATGTGGGAGGGAGCAGACAGGAGGAATCATGTCAGGCCTGTGTGTGAAAGGAAGCTCCACTGTCACCCTCCACCTCTTCACCCCCCACTCACCAGTGTCCCCTCCACTGTCACATTGTAACTGAACTTCAGGATAATAAAGTGTTTGCCTCCAGTCACGTCCTTCCTCCTTCTTGAGTCCAGCTGGTGCCTGGCCAGGGGCTGGGGAGGTGGCTGAAGGGTGGGAGAGGCCAGAGGGAGGTCGGGGAGGAGGTCTGGGGAGGAGGTCCAGGGAGGAGGAGGAAAGTTCTCAAGTTCGTCTGACATTCATTCCGTTAGCACATATTTATCTGAGCACCTACTCTGTGCAGACGCTGGGCTAAGTGCTGGGGACACAGCAGGGAACAAGGCAGACATGGAATCTGCACTCGAGCAGCCAAAGCCTGGCAGGGAAGACAGAGGCACAGGGACCATGGGAACCCGGAAAGGAGAGGGCATGGGGTCTGGGTGGGCTTAACAGGCCAGACACAGCCAGACAAGATGAAGCCAGGGAGTGCTGAGCATCTGCACCAGGCTTGTCATTTACCATCTTCCATAAACTTGAGCCCATCCATCAAGTTGCCCACAAAGTGGAAGCCAAGTTCAAGGTGACCACTGGGGTCAGAGCTTCTCTCCTCAGACTCGGTCTCTGCACTCGCCCCAGCTGGTCACTTCCTGCTTGTGGCAGCCTTGGGCTGAAGAGCGCTAAGCTCACAGCCCAGGAGGGTGGGGAGCTGTGGCAAGCAGGGGGGGCAGCGACCGCACCACAGGTGTGAGGCCTGCCTGCAGCCAAAGACTCCTGTGTGGCTTTGGGGTACCCCCACCAGTCCCCAGTCCACTATCTGCCCAAACCTTCTCCTCCTCAGCTCCTCAGTCCCTCCCACCTCCCCTGCCCGTGGCTCCTCGGAAAGCAGGGTCAGAAGTTCCCACTGCCAGCTCGGAGTCATCCATCTAGGGGCTCAGAGATGTGTGAGGCAGGCAAGGAAGGGTTAAAGAAAGGTCCGGCCCCTCATCCCCCCGCCTCCCATCCCCCAGTCCTTTTTTGGAGGCAACAGATCAAATCCCAGGCTAGTCAGAGTGTGGGTGGTGTTGGACCAGGTTCGGGAGACAGCAGAGCAGGCCACCCTGCCCCAGCACTGTGGGGCCCTGAGCCAAAGCCTCTCCCCTTTCAGGGTACAGCTGGCTTTGGGGGAGGGGGCAGCAGGCCAGCCAACTTGGCTCCAAGGAAGGGAAGCTGCTTTCCCCTGGCCCTTCCCCAGCTGAGCAAGCCCACATAGGACCCTGAGCCCTGCCGCCTCTGCTCCTCTTCCTCCTCCTCCTCACCACAGGAGTGAGCCGTTCCCTGGCCACAGCACAGGAGTCCAGGGAGAGGACACTATGCCCTGCCCCGGGTGGCACCAATACCAACAGCACACACAGTCACAAAGGGAGCCACGAGGAGCTTTATTTATACATGAACGAAGGTAGATTTCCCTCACATATTACAAAATACACACAAACACACACACACACACACACACACACACATACACACTTTGCATCTAGAAAGTTCCTCAGAGGTAAGACTACTCCTGGGCTGGGGCGGGCGCACACAGGGGTGACCACTGGGCTTGTGGTCCAGGCTGCTCACTCTCCTCAGGTGCCAGCAGATGGAGAGGAAATTTTGAAAGAAGAAACCGGGAGACATCCTGGAGGTCAGGAGTCAGGAGCGGGGAACTGGAAGCCGCTAGAGGCTCTTGCACCATGTGGAGCGGATGTGAGGCACGATGCCTCATCTTTCCTCACTGCTTCCCTTGGAGGCGCCTGGGGCTGCGCCAGTCCCCAGCCCCCACTGCGGCCATGCCAAGCCCCTCAGAGTGCAGCAATGGCTTTAGCAGCCACCTGGCGGCCCAGGGGCAGGCTGAGGTCCGTGATGGCCAGAACCACCTTGGGGCTGGACATGGCTGACACCTTCACCAGTTCCGACACCTGCCACGGACAGACAGATGCTGCTTGCGGGACGGCTGGTGGTGGGTGTGCTGTCCCAGGGGGAAGGAGGCCCCTCCCTGCTCTAAGGGCTGCCCCGAGGCCCCAGCACCAGCAGGAGAGCCGGGAAGGTGGTACTCACGGTGGTGAAGGGCATGAACTGCAGGACGCTGCCACGGCCACCCTGCTCCAGGCAGTCCACACACTCCTCCATGAACCACTGCACGAACTGGGTGTGGGGGCCAGCGGTGCGAGACCCCAGGATGGAGGAGATGAGCAGGAACAGGTTGGCTGTAGAGAGTGGGGGGAGAGTGACAGGAGGGAGTTCCATGAGAGTGGGTGAGGTCACACTCTGGGAGAAGGTGGGACTGAAAAGGGAAAAGAAACACATGCTGAGCATGTCCCCAAAATGGGGTGTCAGAGAGAGAAAATATAAAAGGCAATTGGGGAGGGGAGGAGGGGGAACTAGACAGGAGCCTGGGGGCCAGGACAGCCAACAATGAGGGGCATGGAGAGGGAAGGGAGGGGCACCGCAAGGCCCCTTCCAGCTGACAAGGTCTCCCAGCCTCCATGAGAAGAGAGACTCGTCCAGCTTAGCCCCAGGTTCGGCAGCAGGGGTGGGGAACTCACCCAGGACTCGGTTCAGAGGGTCCCGCATGTTGACCGTGTGGAGCTGAGAGGCTGAGAGGGAGCTGCTCATGGATCGGTCTGCTGTGGGACGGAGCAGATGGAGCGCTGGGAAACAGCCTGCCGAGTGCAAAAGTGGTGCTCCCCGGGGATGCCCCAACCCGACCTTCACCCATCGGAGGTAACTGGTACATGGAGAGCCCAGAGAAGACCCTGAGATCAAGAGCACAAAGGGAGGCCAGGTACAGTGGCTCACACCTGTAATCCCAGCATTTTGGGAGGCCGAGGCAGGAGGATCGCTTGAGTCCAGGAGTTTGAGACCAGCCTTGGCAACTAGCGAGACCTCATCTCTACAAAAAATACAAAAATTAGCTGGGTGTGGTGCCAACGCCTGTAGTCCCAGCTCCTCGGGAGGCTGAGGCAGACTGCTTGAGCCTAGGAGAACAAGGCTGCAGTGAGCCGAGATGGTGCCACTGCACTCCAGCCTGAGCAACAGAGCAAAACCGTGTCTCAGAAAAACAGGCTGGGCGTGGTGGCTCACGCCTGTAATCCCAGCACTTTGGGAGGCCAAGGCGGGTGGATCATCTGAGTTCAGGAGTTCGAGACCAGCCTGACCAATATGGTGAAACCCCGTCTCTACTAAAAATACAAAAATTAGCCAGGCGTTGTGGCAGGCGCCTGTAGTCCCAGAGACTCAGGAGGCTGAGACAGGAAAATTGCTTAAACCCAGGAGGCGGAGGTTGCAGTAAGCTGAGATCGTGCGACTGCACTCCAGCCTGGGCAACAGAGGGAGACTCCAACTCAAACAAACAAACAAACAAACAAACAAAAAACAAAACAAAAAAAGGGCACAGAGGGACCTCAGATACAGAGATCCCAATGGAATGAGAGAGAAAAACTAACATGTGGTGAGCACACAGGGCCAGGGGCCGATCTTGGTACTTCCTAAGCTGCTTACTCCTCACAACACCCCATTTACAGATGAGGAGACCCAGACGGGGGCTGGCTCAGTCGCTAGCTAAAGGTCACAGCACTTGTAGCTGGCAAACCTAGCATCTTTCTTCTGATCAAGTGTATAGTTGGTCCCCTAGTTCCTAAAAGGCTTCAGAGAAAAGTTCAGGCTCAGGAGAAATCTCTGGAAACAGGAAAAATGCCACAGAAGGAACCCTTGGCAGTAAGCCTGGCAGGGAGGAGGGGACAGTGAAAAGGATGACCTCCAGGGAAGTGGTTGGTGGGGGGTGTGCTCTTTAGGCAGGAAGGTGGGGAGTAGCCCCATGCCCCAGCCCGGGCCTCTCCGGGCATGTTTTGGGGGAAGGAAGGAAGGAAGGTCAGAGCTGGTGAGTCAATGGCACAGGCTGTGCCTGAGGCAGTGAACTCACTCACTTGGGTAGCTTGTCATCCCCTCAACCCTGGGGTAAGGGAGGGGCAGGAGGGCTGTGGGGGAACAACTGTGGGCTGGGCTGGACCTGGGCAGAGGAGCTTCAACCCTCAGGGAGTGAGAACAGCAACCTCTTCTCCAGGGGCAGGACACAGAGCACCCCCTTGGGGGCTAGAACAGCAGGTCCCTGCCACACCCTCTCTGACCAGCTGCAAAGATGCCTGCAGCTGGGGCAGCGGCAGAGTGGCAGCATCGGGGAGTGAATTCCCAGGAAAAGGAGCGGCGCGCGGCCAGCCCACACACTCACTGGGGCTCGAAAGGATGTTGGCATCGTCCTCATTAGAGCTCAGCAGTCGCATCAACTTCGAAGGCTGCACATCGTCCAGGGGGAAGAGGCTGATATAATCCTAGAGGGAGTGAAAGTCACTGTTATACACCCCTAAACCCCCCAGTTTCCAGCTGTCAGGGAAAAGAGCTTGAGCTCCGATTTGAGCGAGGTCAGCATGGCTAGCAGGGCCTCAGCCCCTCTCTGCTCAACCCCTCCCACAATCTGACAGGCCCCTTGTGCCCATGGGCAAGCTGGGGCCACACAAATCACCCATGCAGATTCCTGACCAATCATGCCCAGGCACAGCTGCCCCAAGGGCAGGGGCCACAACTGCTTCCCTTTGCCTGGGGAATCCTTAGGAAATGCTGTAACAAACCGGTGAACAAGTGAAGCCGGCGAGGGCAGCTGGGGGGCCTACCTCAATGTCTTCGCGGTGTCTCTTCTTCTGGCGGGTGGACGCCTGTCCCTTGTGGGAGGAGTAGGAACTGAGGGCACACCACACGGCCAGCCTGGCAAAGGGTTCCAGAAAAAGGGGGACAGTGAGAGGTGCCCCAGGAGCTTTCTGTGTCTGACTGGGCTCCCCAAAGCCCAGTCTCCCAGGGTGGCACCAGGCGAGGGGTGCTTGACCCTGGGTGGCCGGAGCAGGGCAAGCTCTGAAGAGAATCTTACTTGGCAAGAGCAGTGCCCGGGGGGTCCATGAGGCTGTGCCACTTGGAGGAGTCAGTGAGCAGGCCAGGTAGGATGTGGCCCAGCAGGACCAGGGTCACTTGCTGCATGTCCAGGCAGAAGATGGAGTAGAGCAGCTCCACTGCCCGCAGCGTGTGCTCCTTCCGCGTCTCCTTCAGCAGCTCCTAGTGCGCAGGAAAGGGGGCAGTTCAGGAGCCAGGGGCCCGGGATCTGGGGCTCCTACACCCTGCCACCCCAGCATGGCTGTCCAGTAAGGCCCGCAGAGGGGGCCCCAGATGTTGCTCCGCCCCTCAGGCTGAATCCCAGTCTCTGGCCAGAGCTCCCCAAGGAGGCAACTCTGAGGCGAGGCATTCCGGGGAGGCCACCTGGCTCACGGCAGCCTCTCAGGGAAGCCTGGCAGACCAGGCCAGGTGTGGGGAGCCAGGGGACAGGACCCATGTCGGCCCACAGCCACTCCAGCCCAAGTACCTTAATCAGGTTGTTGCAGAACCAGTAGACGCCGCCCATGTGCAGCAGGGTGTCAAAGATGTGGATGGAGCGGCTGTCCACCCAGCCCTTCTCCAGCACCTTGGCAAAAATGTCCGTCAGCACCTCTTTGATGGGCCGCTTGGGGGGCAGCAGGTTCCAGTAGGGCATTGTGTCCACCCCGGTGGAGGGAAACTTGATCTGCGTGGCTGTCTGCTGCAGCACGTCGGCACACATGCGCTCCAGGATCGAGTTCATGATCACCACCCTGGGGGAGGGCCGAGAGAACCTGAGGCTCAGGTGCCACTGTAGGGTGGGGAGGGAGAGGAGGGAACACCCATGCCAGACTTTCCCTTGGACTTAGGTTACGGAAATCTCCCTGAGGCATTAACCCAGTTTTGCGCTGGGGGACGGTATACCCCGGGGTGACCTGGCCCCTGCTCTGCTCCTGGCAGGTCTCTCACCTGCAGGACACAAAGCCTATAAATAGGGACTGGGGAGGGACTTTCCTCCCCCTGGCCATTCCAGCCAGATATTCACATTTTCTTTTATTCTCCAACTTCCCCCATCCCCCAGGCCTGGGCCCTGCCAACCTGCCACATAAATAAACACAATCACTTCCCCCTAGGCTGAGTGCTTGGGGGTCCCCGCCCAGCCCTGGCCTCCTCCCAAAGTAAACTGTTCCTTCCAGGAGAGGCCCAAGGGCTGCCCCACAGGACTCTTCCCGGCCCCTGGTAGCTGGGCAGATAGAAGTGTATATCCAGGAATTTTCTCATGGAAAGAGGCTTCGGAAGTGAATACAGACCCGGGCCGAGTGCTGACTGTTCCTGGAATGCAGGGTGGCTCTGGGAAAGTTGCTATGACCTTTAGAGCCACTTTTCCCACCTGCACAATGGAGCCACAGACTTCTCACTACCCCTTACCCAGATAGGATTTAGGGTGCTTAGAATGGGTTACACCAGAGCAAAAGCTCCCTACTTGGTAGGGCGGGGGGGAAGGTGGTGGAGAAATGAGAGAAGAAAGGAAAAAAGGAGGAGGCAAGGGGAAAACGAGATGTGCTTTTCCAGACCGTCCAAACCTCATTCAGCTCAATGCTTCCCCTTCTCCCTATTAAGACATCCTCAGGCCCGGTGCGGTGGCTCATGCCTATAATCCCAGCACTTCAGGAGGCTGAGGCGGGAAGATCACCTGAAATCAGGAGTTCGAGACCAGCCTGGCCAACATGGTGAAACCCCATCTCTACCAAAAATACAAAAATTAGCCGGGTGTGGTGGCACATGCCTGTAATCCCGGCTACTCGGGAGGCTGAGGCAGGAGAATCTCTTGAACCCAGGAGGCGGAGATTGCAGTGAGCCTAGATAGTGCCACAGCACTCCAGCCTGGGTGACAGAGCGAAACGCCGTCTCAAAAATAAGTACATAAATAAATAAATAAAGACATCCTCAACGTTGCCATAAAGACATGGCAACACCCAAAACGTATTAGCTGGTAAACACCCATGTTCACAGCAGCACTATTCACTATAGCCCAAAGGTGGAAGCAACTGAAGTGTCCACTGACAGAGGAGGGATCAAGATGTGGTATAGCCACACAATAGAGGTTTCTTTTGTTTTTGTTTTGTTTTTTGAGACAGAGTCTCACTCTTTCACCCAGGCTGGAGTGCAGTGGCGTGATCTCGGCTCACTGCAACCTCCGCTTCCTGGGTTCAAGCAATTCTCCTGTCTCAGCCTCCCAAGTAGCTGGGATTGCAGGCGCCTGCCACCACTCCCTGCTCATTTTTATATTTTTAGTAAGGCCAAGGTTTCACCATGTTGGTCAGGCTGGCCTTAAACTCCTGACCTCAAGTGAGCCACTCACCTCAGCCTCCCAAAGTGCTAGGATTGCAGGCGTGAGCCACCACGCCCGGCCCACAACAGAGTATTATTCAGCCTTAAAAAGGAAGGAATTCCTGTCACGTGCTACTACATGGATGAGCTTTGAGGACACCATGCTGAGTGAAGTCAGTGAGTCACGAAAAGGCAAGGACTGTATGATTCCAGTTAAATGAGGCATCTAAAAAGTAGTCAAATTCAGCAGGGCACGGTGGGTCACGCCTGTAATCCCAGCACTTTGGGAGACCACGGTGAGAGGATCACTCAAGGCCAGGAGTTCAAGACCTGGCAATATAGTGAGACCCTGTCTCTACAAAGACTAGAAAAATTAGCCGGCTGTGGGCCTGCAGTCCCAGCTACTCGGGAGGCTGAGGCGAGAGGATCACTTGAGCCCAGGAATTTGAGGTTGCAGTGAGACTCACTCTGATCTGGGCAAGGGTAAGACCTTGTCTCAACAACAACAACAACAAAAAGTATAAAGTAGTCAAATTCCTAGACACACAAAGTAAAATGGTAGTTACCAGGAGCTGGAGGGAGGGGAAAATAGGAAGCTGTTGTTCAGTGGGTATGGAGTTTCAGAGATGCAAGAAAGTTCTGGAGACCTGTTACACAACAGTGTGAATATACTTAACACTACTGAACAGTACACTTAAACATGGCTAAGATGGCAAATCTTATGTGTTTTTTACAATTAAAAAAAGCAAACAACTTATTGGTTGGGTGAATGAACTCAACGTAACTGGTCACCAGGGAAGTCCTCCAAGCCCCTGAAGAGCCAGGGCAGGAAACTGTCCTAAGAGGTAACTGAGGGTGGGGCATGGCCTGTAAAATCTACAGACAGGTTCCTAGCTCCTAGACAGTCACACAGCTTTGTTCTTTTGGGAGCTAGTTGTCTAGAACTTGAGTCTCTGCGGGCAGACCCTGTTTAGGGTCTGCATTTCTGACAACACAGCAGGTGCTGGCATATAAACGCTTCTGCCACAGAGACACAGTACATGTTTGCTGAGTCAGATGAGTGAATGCATGAATAGGAAAGTGAGTGAGTGATCAAGTAGCGTGTTTGCGAAGGTCAGAAAAGAGAGGGGTGCTTGTTATTGGATGTGCTGACTTCTCACAACACACTTGAAGGGTCTGAGAAGGGAAGGCAGGTTACCGACCTCTCATTGTAGAACTGCAGGGTGTTCTCACTAAACAGTGGCCCTGCCAGCTGGCGGATCATCTGCAGCGACTTCTCACGCTCATCCAGCCCCAGCATCCGGACGTGGGCCACAAGCCAAGCCACAGCACACACCGCCAGACTGCATACCTTCCCTTTGATGTTATCAGTGATTTTCTAGGGGAGACGGAAAGGTGATGGGCTACCATCTATCTCCCTTTCTTGAGCCAACATCACCTTCTCAGCCTCTGCGGGCAGCTAAGTGCAGCGGGTGGAGTCCCGGGCCACATTCCACACCTCTCTCCACAAGTTTGATCTTCCCAGAGCTACCTGGGCCAGAGGGAGTAGCTAAGACAACGATTACACAAAATATCAATATCAAAACATGAGCTCCTGGATTAAAGGTCTTCTTGCCCTTACGAAATATAACAAGTCATCACTGGCTGGCTCTGTGTCTCAGGGGAGCAAACGCTGCTGGGAAGGCGGGGCTACCTGGATGGACTCGAAGGCCAGGACCCCATTCTCCCAGGCATTGAGGATTTCCAAGATGGCGGCTGAGATGCTGAGACAGGCCTCATGCCACTTCATCTGCCTGCGGGTGTGCAGAGAAGTCAGCACAGGGGAGCAAGGAACGGGCTCAGGGAGCGGGTCTTGACCCTGCCCCCACCGCCACCCTTGGAGTGGGCGCCCGGGCCACTGACACTAGCTTCATCTCCGAGGAGTTGTTGAGCAGGGCCACCAGGGACTCCACTTTGGTGGAGTCGGGGCGGAAGCAGGGGTGGTCAGGGTTCAGGATCTTGCCCTCCTCAGGCATGCAGGTCTGCATCCAGGTCTCGAAGAAGGGCACCTCAGCTCCTGTGCGCGACTCGGACAGAATCACCTGGGAAAGGGGAAGGGGGGCACCAGCCGAGTGGGGAGGGCGCGGCGCCTGCCAGCGCTGGACCTGGGGCTGCACTGTTTCCCGCCAGGCTGCTGCTCCAGCCCAGCCCAAAGACTGGGGACGAACTGGTCTAAGGGAGCCAGACGGGGGCAATGCTGCCACCTAGTGGTCAATGTGAACATAGGGCTGAAGGTGCCTCTACGGACTCCAGCCCGGGTGGGCACCTGGTTTCTGAGGCCCACAGAACTAACTGGCTGAGAGGCTGCGGGGGCGCAGGCAGTGAGGTGGGGAGAGTTCCGGGTTACCTCCTTCCCTTGAGCCCCCGTCCCGGTCGCTCCCCTCTCTCACCTCTGAACCATAGGTCTGGGCCACATGGCACAGCATGAGGAAGGAGATGTCAAACAGCAGGGCCCGGACGGAGGCCGGTTTGGCTGTGGAAGGACGGGAAGGCTGAGCTCCCAGACGAGGGCAGGGGGGAGCCCGTGTCTGGGTTGACAGGGATCGGGATTTGCCTCTAGGAAGGTCAGGGACCAAGTGGCTCCTTCAAAGCTCTGAGGCTCAGAATCCTTTTCTTGAGTCTCAACTGGAACATCATCCCTTCCTTGAGACCAAAGACCCCCAGCACCCTCTCCTGGCATACCTAACCAAGTCGTAAAGGGATGAGGGGGGGAAGGAGACACAGGGATGGTCTGGGAAGAATCCTTTTCCAGCATTATCCACTTTCAAGCTCTGTGGAAGCTTCCATTGGTCATGGCTCTGAGGAGGGAGCACAGCCTCCCCCTGTTGAGCTGGGGAGCCCTCCTCCCTCCCACACTCTCCCGCCACACCCCTCCTCAGGGCCCACTGGGCCTGCGGATGCACAGGGCTGACTTACTGCTTTCTTCGCTGCCATAGGTTGTGAATTCATTCAAACTGAAAGGAATGGAGACAGGCTGCATTGACCAGGGCATGAGCTGAGCAGTAGCTGGGCGCTGGGGCTACACATGTTCAGAGAGCGATAGCTAGAGTCTGAGTTACTGGTTAAACTTAAAATGAGACACATTGCTATAGAAAAAAGGTTTTTGTGGTTTTTGTTTTTTGTTTTTTTTTTGTTTTTTTTGAGAAAGAGTCTCGCTCTGTCACCCAGGCTGGAGTGCAGTGGCACAATCTCAGCTCACTGCAACCTCCGCCTCTGTTCAAGCAATTCTTCTGCCTCAGTCTCCCAAGTAGCTGGGATTACAGGTGCCCGCCACCACACCCGGCTAATTTTTTGTATTTTTAGTAGAGACAGGGTTTCACCAAGTTGGCCAGGCCGGTCTTGAACTCCTGACCTCAGGTGATCCGCCCACCTTGGCCTCCCTAAGTGCTAGGATTACAGGCGTGAGCCACCGCACCCGGCCAGAAGGATTTTTATTGTTAGAAGATTTCCAAGGCCTAGAGAATGGCTCACTGAATGGAACCATGTTCTATATATGTCAAATTCCAGGGCAATCAAAAAAGGCAACAGAATTTGAGAGCCCCTTATTAATAACTGGGCATACTTGGAATTCCTCCATGCCCAATGTTCAACACCTCAACCCTTACCCTCATCTCTTTACCAAACATGTCCACTCCATCCTCAGCTGAAGAGAAAGGAACACTTAGGTCGTGAGAACAGGCCCTTCCTCCAAGATCTCCAGCCAGGATGCTCTGCCTAGGCCCGTGGGTCTCTGGATGAGACCCAGACCCAGGCACCTGACTCCTACCCTGCTACCTCCTCCCAACGCGCAGCCTCCCTGCACGCCCTGGGGTCAGGGGCTTGGCCTTCCTCACTTGATGAATTTCCGGGCGAAGGATTTCAGCTTTCCAGTGGCGGCGGCGGCAGCCAGCAGCAAGTCCAGACTCTTCCCGGACAGCATGTGGCCCAGGACTCCCAGCAGTCCCTCCGGTGACTTAGAGTGGTCTGCATCCATCGTCTGGGGACAGGACAGGAAATCAAGTCCTGAAGAACACTGAAGACCCCCCACCCAAGATACAGCCTAGCCACATTTTCTCTCTTCACAACCTGGAATGTAATCTACATCTTTCTGACTTCAATCTGGAAAATCATTCCTAAAACCCACCCCTGCTCTCCGATCCATCCCTCTCATCTACACTGGCATGCAGGTGGTAAGGTTGGAGTGGGCAAGGTCACGGCTAGGATCTTCTCTGTCCTTTCCTTTTTTAGACAGAGTCTCGCTCTATCGCTGAGGCTGGAGTGCAGTGGTGCGATCTTGGCTCACTGCAACCTCTGCCCCCCAGGGTTCAGCGATTCTCCTGCCTCAGCCTCCCAAGTAACTGGGATTACAGGCATGCACCACCACACCCAGTGAATTTTGTGTTTTTAGTAGAGACTGGGTTTCACCACGCTGGCCAAGCTGGTCTCAAACTCCTGACCTCAAGGGATCTTCCCACCTCAGCCTCCCAAAATGCTGGGATTACAGGCGTGAGCCACCGCACCCACGTCTCTGTTGTTTCCATGTGAGATGGCCTAAGTGAAAGCGCCTACTGCAGTGCCTGGTGTACAAATGAAGCTCCCACGGGTTAGCATTCAGTGGTAGCTGCCCTTGCCTCCCCTTTCACTACCTCCAAAGCAACTATGTATAAAAGCTAAAGGAGACAGAGGTCTGTGGCCTCTGTTTATTTATCTGCAAGCAGATGGAGCACTGGAAAGAAGAAAGAGAAGACTGTGGTGGCCAGGGAAGGGCACACTCACCTTGAGGATGTTTGTGACAGTGGGCTCCGCCCGGAGGATCAGCTGGATGTTGGGCTGGATGTTGGCATTCTCTCCCGATTTCTGCTGGGGTGCGTGCTCTCGGTCCGCTTTGCTGTGGACATCACCAGTTGGCCAAGGAAGGGAAGAGGAATGAAGAGAAATTCTTGACACGTTCCCTCGTTCAAGCCCGGAAGGAAATGCGCAGAGGAGGTGGGAAGCATGTAAGAACCTCCGAGGTTGGGGTGAAGTTTATGGAAGCATAGTCAATGTTGCAATCACTGATTTAGCATTAGTCTTTTTTTTTGAGACAGGTCTCACTCTGTTGCCCAGGCTGGAGTACAGTGGCACGATCTCGGCTCACTGCAGCCTCTGCCTCCAGAGTAGCTGGGCGCTCACCACCACGCCTGGCTACTTTTTTGTATTTTTAGTAGAGACGGGGTTTCACCATGTTCTACTGGTCTCAAACTCCTGACCTCAGGTGATCCACCCACCTTGGCTTCCCAAAGTCCTGGGATTACAGGTGAGCCAGCACACCTGGCAATTTATCATTAGTCTTTTTTTTTTTTGAGACAGAGTCTCGCTCTGTCACCCAGGCTGGAATGCAGTGGCGCGATCTCAGCTCAGTACAACCTCTGCTTTCCGGGTTCAAGTGATTCTCCTGCCTCAGCCTCCTGAGTAGCTGGAATTACAGGTGCATACCATCGCGCCTGATTAATTTTTGTATTTTTAGTAGAGATGGGGTTTCACCACGTTGGCCAGGCTGGTCTCAAACTCCTGACCTCGTGATCCACCCGCCTTGGCCTCCCAAATGCTGGGATTACAGGTGTGAGCCACCGCAGCCGGCCTATCATTAGTCTTAAATGCTCTGAAAGCACATTTAAGATTAAAGGAAGATTCAGGATTTTTATTTATTTATTTATTTTTTTTTTGAGACAAGGTCTCACTCTATCGCCCAGGCTGGGGTGCAGTGGCATGATTTCGCCTCACCACAATCTCCGCCTCCTGGGTTCAAGCAATTCTCGTGCCTCAGCCTCCAGAGTAGCTGAGATTACAGGCACACACCACCACGCCCAGCTGATTTTTGTATTTTTAGTAGACATGGGGTTTTGCCATGTTGGGCAGGCTGGTCTTGAACTCCTGGCCTCCAAGTAATCCACCCGCCTCCAGCCTAGGATTTTTACTTTTATCACAAAGATGGGTATGAGTTAAAGAGCAGTGACTAAGAGTGTAAAACTCTGGTCTGAAGACATCTGTGCTTTCTTTTCCTTCCTGTTCCCTGTACCCCCAGGCACGGTCCCAGTCACTTGCAGCCCAAACTTTCGACAGGAGGTTGAAAGGCACGCAGCAGCCCCACCGTAACAAGAGAGAGGTCAAGGGGCTCTTGGGGTAGCACAGGTGCGTTCACACTTACCGCTTAGCCATAAGGTTGTTGACGCTGGCCTCAGACAGAAGCCCCTGCTTGCCACATTCTTGGAGCAGGAAGTTTGTACAGTCACAGCTGTGAGGGAGAAAGATGCTGAGGGAACTGGGCACCTGGATAGGATGGTGAGGGGTGGGAGTGGCAGGTCCCTGAGCAGCATCCTCCCTCTTTCAGGATGAGGAAAATCTGGAGTGCCTGAGGGACGGTAGAGGGGCTCTGGGGACTTGGCAACTGTGGGCTCCTATTTCCTGCCCCTGCCAAGGGGAGTGAACAAGGAGACAGAGTCCCCTGAGGCTTCTCTGGCACAGAGATCAGGGGAAGAGCCCAGAACGCCTTCCAGTAGGGCGGGGGTGACCAGGGGAGCTCATACTTGCAGCGCTGGTCAGCTTTGTCCAACAAGGGGGTGAGCTTCAGCAGGAACTCAAAAGCACAGTTGACATCCTCAGTGAAGTCCTAGAAAGAGGCAGAAGTGTCCATCTGGTTTCCAGGGCCACCAGGCCCTGATCATCTCAGGCAACCTTGTCTGCTGGAGGCATCGGCCTGAGTTGCCTGGCTGCTTTCTGCCTGGAGCCTGGGTGTATGTTGTGGGTGCACGCAGACGCTGAAGCACACACACTGGCTGAAGCACACGTACACGCTGAAGCACACACACGCTGAAACACACACACTGAAGCACGCACACACTGAAGCACACGCACATGCTGAAGCACACGCACATGCTGAAGCATGCACATTGTGAAGCACGTGCACGCTGAGGTGTACACTCACATCCGGCTCTCTTCCAGGCATGAGAACACTGCCCAGCTGGGGCCTGAAGGACCCTCCCCTTTGCCCTTATTTCTGCTCCCATGCCTCCATCTCAATCCCCAACTCACCTTGTCTCCATGAGAGTACTTCTTCAACTTCACCAAAACCTGTGGAATCTAGGGGGTGAGGCAGGGGGAAAAACAGGAAGATCCATTTCTTTTCTCTTTCATCTACCCCTGAAGGCATCCCCCCGAACCCCTGCTCCAGGAAGAGAGACAGGAACACTCCTACCCTGGGAGTGAGAGCACACTTAGTGCTAAATGAGAAAGCCAATAGGTGCCCAGGCCCCTGATGCCCCCAGGCCTAGGCACAGGACACAAGCACCCTGCACCTCCGCTAGCTCAACAGAAAAAGATGCCATAAGCAAAAGTGGATCCCCAGCTTCAAGGAGGACTGGGGCCCCTTTCCCTGGCTCCCTTTACTGCCCTGCACCTATCTGTCTGATGACCAAGCTAAACTGCACCTCTGTGGTAAGAAACAACGGAGTCTGCCAAATGGGCTAAATATAGCCCTGGCACTTTCAGAGAAAATGATCAATGGGAACTTGCACTGGAATACCTGGCAGGCTGGGCCCAGTGCCCGCAGGGAGGAACACAGGGCAAAGGTCCAGGGTGCCACTGGTCTTGCTAAGAACCATTCCTAGACTGGCTCTGCCCCTCCCACGTCCCCAGTACCTTGAGGAAAGTGAAAGCTGTCCACTTGAGCTCCTCCGTACCCTCGGGAGACTCAATGAGCCCCACGAAGCAAGCTTTCCAGATCTCCAGGACAAAAAGTGGGGTGGGGATATGCTGTGGGAAGAGCCAAGGATGAGGCCTAAGAGGGTGCCCATACCCCGTCACCCTTCTGTGGACTCTGAGGATTTGGCTGGGTCAGAGACTGCATGGCAGAGTCACTGCTCAGCTATGTGCTGAGAACCAGGGGAGTAAGGTCCAATGACAGAAGTGTGCACGACTGGCACCCACTTTCCATCATGGAGCAGGAGAAACCCCACTTCTCCCAGGGAGAACCAGAAGAATCCTCCCTCCTGCCCCCAACAGGCTGGCCTGCCTTGGAGAAGGGAGAGCCACTCGGCCCCTCCCACCTGCATGCGCTTCACCATCGTCAGCTGCTCCACCAGGGACTGCGTCTCGCCTGTCAGGTTCATGGTGCCCTCGAGCAGGATCACGGCGTGGACAGTGGGGAAGCCGGTCTTGTGCATCTGCTCCGCATGCACAGACAGCATCGTGGGGATGCTGAGGGGTCACAAACACAGGGGACGGTGTTTGGGGGGCCAAAGGTGAAGGCGGAGAGGATGGCACGGGTGCCACATCTTCCTACCCCAGGGCGTGTCCTCCCTCTCCCTTCTCCACCATCCCCCAGGGAGCCGGTACCTCCTAATGAGGGTGCCACACTGCTCGGCCTGACTCCGGAGCTGCGGGTTGCTGAGATTGGCCAGGATCTCTCCAAGTTTCAAGAGAGAATGCTCGATGGCAGTCCAAGAAGCTGGCAGAGGGAAGGAAGTACAGAAACATGATGGGAAACAGGAGAGAAGGAGCACCTGGCCCTGAACTCCTCGATTTTGGCACTCCCTCCGGCACACGAAACCACACAGGAAGGCTTCCCCTGAGGACAACAGGGAGGGAGGGGCCTGAGGGCAGCATGCACTGTTTCCAGAAGGGGGGTGGGCACCTAGAGCTGGAAACCCCAGAGACCATTCCCAAAAGCCTGATTTCCAGGGGACACAGCCAGCTGACTTCAGAAGGTATGGCATCACACAGGCTCAGGAGAGAGAGGCAGAGGGAGGCCAGAATCCAGTGGCTGGAACAGGGAGGGCGGCCACAAATCACTCGAGGAGTGAGCGGATCCCAAAGTCCAGTCTTGCAGAGGCTGTCACTCTCCTCTGGGGGAACTGGGTCCCTAAATGGCTTTCTCATTCTCAACCACTCCCTCATCTAGGCATTGCGTTTGCTGCCCTCCCCTGCTGAAGGCCTCTTACACACTCTCTCTCAAACTCCCACCATGCTCTAAGCTTCTGTTCAAGCCCCAGTTCCTTTAGCAACTCACCCGACTGGTCTAACTCACTGTTCTCTCCTTAATGCCCACACTCATGGTCTAAGCCATATTGGTTAGCACTGAACTATAAGTTACTTATCCTAGTTACAATTCCAGAGGGTCAAATGATGAATAATGGCACCAACTAGCCCATTAACCTCCATGGAGCATAAAAGGGGGAAAAAAAGACAAGACCTGAGATCCATTAAAATTCAGTATTCATCCGATTTTCAGCCAATAAACATTTATCAAGGGCCCAAGGTAGGGAAGAGGCTGTCAACACAGTCCATTTTTATATAAAGATTGTCTTTTTGGACTTTTCACAGGCAGTAAAACATACTTGGGGAAGAAATAAATATACTAGTCCTAAAACAAGCTCTCCAACCAGGTCCTGAAGCCTCGAGAGTAGCCCATTCTAGCATTCTTGTTCCTGGAGAACAAGAGACCTGTAGGTGGTCCCAAGCCACTTGGGCTTCAAGGAGCAAGACTATGGCCTTAGGACCCCATTGCTGGAAATACTGGCATCTTCCCTCCCGCCAGGTGATCTGTCTGTTCTCAGGCTCTGGAAAGTACCCAAACTTAACATCTGAACTTGAGTCAAGAGGCATATGGTACAACAGGCCCAACAGCAGACAGGCACTGTGTTAAAAGGGGCATTTTAGGTAACATTCAAATACAAGAGTCATCTGCTTCCAAGCGATGAGTAACATGGAGACAAACACAATAATGGACACTGTGCTTGTCTTGTCCTCTAGTTTTTTCCTCGTCTGTGATGTACTAGTCTTGCTACCCACTAGCAGCTATGCTTGATGAGGGCAGGGACCCTGCCACATGCTCCTTTGGTAGCCCCCCACCCCCCACCCCCAGCACCTAGCACAGTGCTGGGTATACAACAATGCTCAGTAAATACCTGTTGGTTGATTGGCTCGGGTGCCACCCTGCCCAAGTCCCTGGGATGTGTGCAATGCTTATGGGGAGAAAAAAAAGGAAGTGGGATGGTTTCAGATCCTCCTGGAAAGAGGTGGGATGGCATCCTGCCTCTCCCTTCTCAATTAAAGGACCGGCTATGGGAGCAGCGGCAGGTGGGGCTCAGGGGAATCAAGGGACATACAGGCCTCCTCTAGTTTGGCGATGTGCAGCAGGGCCCGGTTCTTGGTGCTGCTGAGGGTTTTCTCCAGGCGCTGAAGGCACATGGCAAGCTGCTTCTCCCCAGCGGCTGGAGTGCCGGCCTCCAGCCCCTCCCGCAGCCGCTCTGCAGAGGCTGCCGTGCAGCGCAGCAGCCAGTGGAGGGCGCTAAGAAGGGCTCGGCACAGTCCGATGCATTCCTCTGCTTTGCCGTGACAGCTACAGGGAAGGATGCAAAATCAGACTCTGTTCTTCCAATGGCTGAAATCCGACCCACATCAATGTTCCCCAGAGTCCCTGGCACTCCCCTACTAGGGACTAGGGCTGAGAAGCTAGCAAAGTCCTGGGGAAGATGCTTAGCCCCTTTGGCTCCTACTGGACAAGATTTCAAATGAGCTACTCCAGACAGAGAGGAGGCACTCTGTCCTAAGGGAGTAAGAAAAGGAGGGCACAGGTAAGTGTAGATGGGCAGGTGGGGAGAAAAAACGTTGGAACCCGGAGTTGGTCTCGGTCTGTGTGCTAGGAGCTGCACCTCTGCACAAAGACAAGGCTGGAACATTGTATTGTGAGCCCCCTTACCCCTGCCCTTACCTCAGACGGTCACAAAACATGTCCATGATGTCCAGCAATGCCTGGACACACAGGTCCCGAGAAAAGTCATCAAACTGTGGAAAGGACAGTGGAGATGCTACGGAATGCCTCCATCCACCCCCAGGTCTCACATGAGGCAGACGGTGCATTCAGGACTCCTGCTCCTCTCTCCTCCAACCCTGGGTTCCAGACTCAGCATCCTCAACACTGGACATTGGCTCCCAAGCACCAGCCCCTACTTGCCAGGATCCCCCTCCCATGGAAGTCCAGCAATGCCAGCCAGAGGCATCATGTGCTGCCTATCCAGCCTCACGGGTCACAGCATCAGGGCCGTCAAGGAGGCGGGGCCTTGTCTGTCATCCCCAATCTAGCTCCTGAGTGTCTATGGTCATACCTTACTGATGGCTGTGAGGACAGAAGAGTAGGACACCATCTGGAGAGAAGGAAGAAAGATAATCTTTAGACAACTAGTCTCCCACAGTTGAGAGGAACAAACACTGATGCTTCAAGTTGCTGCAGCTCTCCTGAACCTCAACCCCTTCCACAGGCCCTCTTCAACCCAAGCAAGGAGAGGCAGTGTCACTGTGCACTGCCCTGTTCCTGCCTCTGTCAGACTTACTGCAAATGGTATCAGCATAAGCCCATCAAGAAGATGATTCTGGGGATGCTCAAAGGCTCCATGTTTCAGGCCGAGCATGGTGGCTCATGCCTGTAATCCCAAAACTTTGGGAGGCCGAGGCGGGCGGATCACGAGGTGAGGAGTTTGAGACCATCCCGCCCAACATGGTGAAACCCCGTCTCTACTAAAAATTAAAAATTAGCTGGGTGTGGTGGTGCGTGCCTATAATCCCAGCTACTCAGGAGGCTGAGGTAGGAGAATCGCTTGAATCAGGGAGTTGGAGGTTGCAGTGAGCCGAGATTGTGCCACTGCAGTCCAGACTGGGAGCAGAGCGAGACTCTGTCTCAAAAAAAAAAAAAAAAAAAAGCGCCTGCTACTCACTGTCCTCAATAAGCATGGGTTAACTGACGGCTAGTGGGCAGAAGCATGGGCAAGAGTGAAGCCATGTCACTGTATTCCTACAGCTTCCGGCAAGAACAGAGGTTTTAATGGGTAAGAACTAGAGACAAACAAACATTTCCTGCACTGAGCAGGTAGTACCTGCACCTTGAAACAGGGAGTGGCTGGGCGTGGTGGCTCACGTTTGTAATCCCAGTACTTTGGGAGGCTGAGGCAGGATTACCTGAGGTCAGGAGTTCAAGACTAGCCTGGCCAACATGGTGAAACCCTGTCTCTACTAAAAATACAAAAATTAGCTGGGCCTGGTGGCCTATGCCTGTAATCTCAGCTACTTGGGAGGCTGAGGCAGGAGAGCTGCTTGAGCCTGGGAGACGGATGTTGCAGTGAGACGAAATCTTGCCACCGCACTCTAACCTGGGTGACAGAGTGAGACTCTGTCAAAAGAAAAGAAAGGGAGGGAGAGAGAGAGAAAGAGGGAAGGAAGGAAGGAAGGAAGGAAAGAAGGAAAGAAGGAAAGAGTAAGTTTTACTGTACAAACTCTTATTTGTTCTCCAGAACTTACTCCCTAGGACCCATCCAGGACACCTTCCCTGATCAACCCCAACCTCCCCCACAAAGCTGAAACCCTTCCTCTGTGCTCCAAGTAATCACCTAAGGCTCATCATTACACGGCGGGTGCCTGCAGTCCCCACTAAATTAGAAGCTCCTTGAGGACAAGGATGCTTTTACTCAGTGACCACCACAAACTTGATGTTTGTAGAATGAATAAATAAAAACACCTTTAGCTCAGCATGTCTCAAAGTAGCTTCCAAAGCTGCCCTACCCAATACACAAGTCACTAGCCCCATATGGTTATTTAAATTTAAATTAATTAAAGTTAAATAAAATTTGGCCAGGTGTGGTGGCTCACGCCTGTAATCCCAGCACTTTGGGAGGCCAAGGCGGGAGGATCATGAGGTCAAGAGATCAAGACCATCCTGGCTGACACGGTGAAACCCCGTCTCTACTAATAATACAAAAAATTAGCCGGGCATGGTGGCGGGTGCCTATAGTCCCAGCTACTAGGGAGGCTGAGGCAGGAGAATGGCGTGAACCCGGGAGGCAGAGCTTGCAGTGAGCCGAGATTGCGCCACTGCACTCCAGTGTGGGCGACAGAGCTAGACTCTGTCTCAAAAAAAAAAAAAAAGAAATGTCACACACATACCCTGAGCTTGTGTGTGACATAAATTTGAGAAACACTGGATTAAACATATAACGAGAACTTTACCACAGAACTTCTCGGAACCATGATATACTCGTATACAATGAGAATCTCTAAGAAGACTGACGATAAAACAAAGCAATATCCTTTAAACTTACTTGACCAAGGAATTTCATGTACCCAGTATTTCCAAAATACATTTTGGGAAATTCTACCTGAACAGTAAGTTCCCAGAGGACAGAGATGGTATTGAATTTATATCTGTTTCTCTAGCATCCAGCCCAAGAACTGATACACAATAGGTCCTCAGGAAGTTTTTATTGCTTTGAACAGATGAATTCTACTAACTAGTTGCCTTCTGGAAAAATCTTACCTTAAAATAAATTTCTGTTAGTAAAACCTATTCATCACCATCATAAGACTGGATATCTAGTTCAGCTGTCTCTGCTGGAGGAGTGGAAGCCTCCAAAGATTTAAGAAGAAAGCTGTCGGCCGGGTGCAGTCGCTCACGCCTGTAATCCCAGAACTTTGGGAGGCCAAGGAGGGTGGATCACGGGGTCAAGAGATCAAGACCATCCTGGCCAACATGGTGAAACCCCGTCTCTGCTAAAAATACAAAAACTAGCCGGGCGTGGTGGCGCATGCCTGTAATCCCAGCTACTCAGGAGGCTGAGGCAGGAGAATCGCTTGAACCCAGGAGGCAGTGGTTGCAGAGAGCCAAGATCGCACCACTGCACTCCAGCCTGATGACAGAGCAAGACTCCATCTCAAAAAAAAAAAAAAAAAGGAGAGGAAGAAAGCCGTCTGCTCAATCACCTGGGTTTGGCAAACTTTCCATCCATGTGCAATTTCCCTCTCACCAAAATACACTGCTCTGTTCAGCCATCTTTCACTAGTACTCCTGGGTGAACAGGAGCAAAACACAGAGGGCTTAAATACCATCAGTGTTCAGAACCACCATACTGTGAGGCCAGGGCTAGTGTCTGATATCCATCAGAAAGCTGGGAGCCTGCCTGGGCAGGATGACCATAACGTTCCGGCGAGCGTTTTGTTTATTTATAACTGATGTCCCCATAGCGAGTGCTTGGCAAAGAAGTGAACCTTGCTGGATACCAACCTGCAGGGGGAGCTGGATGTCCCCACTGAACACTGACCCTCAAATGCCGGGAGAGAAACCCCCAATTATGCATGTTCCGAGGGATGCCATTCGTCAAAATGAATTTATGGTCTTCAAATTCTGAATTCTGTTCAGCAGATTTCTGCTAACTGTATCAATAAAGCACGGCTACTTCAGAGACCCAAAAATGCTTTCTACATGACGAACTGTTTTACACAGCAGGATCTGGCCTATTCAAGTCTTAATCATTCTATCACAGTAGAAGCTCTAAACCACCACAGGCCCCCAGGGCAGGAGACCCTCTGTGTGGCCACCATGCTTGTGGCTAGCCCCACCTGACCCTGCAGCTGCTCTCAAATCCTCTCTGCTCTTCTGAATATTCAACACCCCAACTACTCCTAAGTGCCCTCTACTCGCATAACATTGGGCCAAAGAGCCTCTTGACTCTGAAGGAAGAATAAATTACTAATTTTGCACAGCACTTGAGAGGGCACAAAGGTCTTTCATATCTATTTACTTCTGTTACTTCAGCCTCTTTCTCTTTCTTCCCTTTCCCATCAGTGTTTATACATCTCAAGACTCTTCTATTGGTCTGTTTGTTGTTTGAGACAGGGTCTCGCTCTGTCACCCAGGCTGGAGTGCAGTGGTGCTCCCGGATTCAAGCAATCCTCCCACCTCAGCCTCCTAAGTAGCTGGGACTACAGGTGCACACCACCATGCTTAATTTTTTTTTTTTTTTTTTTTGAGATGGAGTCTTGCTCTCTCGCCCAGGCTGGAGTGCAGCGGCGAGATCTCAGCTCACTGCAAGCTCTGCCTCCCGAGTTCACACCATTCTCCTGCCTCAGCCTCCCGAGTAGCTGGGACTACAGGCACCCACCACCACGCCCGGCTAATTTTTTGTATTCTTAGTAGAAGCGGGGTTTCACCATGTTAGCCAGGATGGTCACGATCTCCTGACCTCGTGATCTGCCCACCTCGGCCTCCCAAAGTGCTGGGATTACAGGTGTGAGCCACCATGCCAGGCTAATTTTCTTTTTTTGAGACAGAGTCTCACTCTGTTGCCCAGGCTGGAGTGCAGTGGCACAATCTCGGCTCACTGCAACCTCTGCCTCCTGGGTTCAAGCGATTCTTCTGCCTCAGCCTCCCGAGTAGCTGGGACTACAGGCACGCGCCACCATGCCCGGCTAATTTTGGTATTTTTAGTAGAGATGGAGTTTCACTCTGTTGGCCAGGCTGGTCTCGAACTCCTGACCTCATGATCCACCTGCCTCGGCCTCCCAAAGTGCTGGGATTACAAGCGTGAGCCACTGTGCCCAGCTGCCTGACTTTCGTATTTTTTGCAGAGATGGGGTTTTGCCGTGTTGTCAAGGGTGGTCTCAAATTCCTGGTCAAGTGAGTTGCCCACCCACACTGGCCTCCCAAATTCCTGGGATTACAGGTATGAGCCTGGCCTAGATTCTTCTATTTTTAAAAGAGTTTCCTATAGACCCCACACTTCCATTTAACCACCACCCCATCTCTGCTACTCTTCACACATATAAAAGTTTTTTTTTTTAATTTTATTTTCTTTTTTTTTTTTGAGACAGATTCTCACTCTGTTGCCCAGGCTGGAGTGCAGTAGCGCGATCTCGGCTCACTGCAACCTCCACCTCCCAGGTTCAAGCAATTCTCCTGCCTCAGCCACCTGAGTAGCTGGGATTACAGGCATGCACCACCACATCCAGCTTATTTTTGTATTAGTAGAGACAGAGTTTCGCCATGTTGGCCAGGCTGGTCTTGAACTCCTGACCTCATGATCCACTCCCTTGGCCTCCCAAAGTGCTGGGATTACAGGTGTGAGCCACTGAACCCGGCCTTTTTAATTTTACTTTTTTAGTAGAGATAGGGTCTATGTTGTCTAGGCTGGGCTCAAACTCCTGGCCTCAAGTGATCCTCCTACCTCGGCCTCAAAAAGTGCTGGGATTACAGGTGTGAGCCACCACGCCCGGACAACATAAGAGTCTTCTACACTCCCTGGCTCTACCTGCACACCTTCCATTGACTATTCAACGCACTCCAATCACTTCTGTCCTGACCACTCTATGAATCTTCTCATTAAGGTCATTGACAAACTCTTCATGTTAAACCTAATGGATCCTTCTCTGTTCTGATCTTACCTGACTTCCCAGCAGCATCTGACCCCTTGAAACATTCCCTCACCCCTCAATCCTCTCTTGGCTTTTCTTGATAACACTCTCACTTTTCTTCCCTACTCTCTGGCCCCTTCTCTTCAGACTCCTATGAGGAATTATCCTCCTAAGTGTGTTCCTTAAATGAGATTGGTTCCTCAGGAAGTTGGGTTTAGTCACTTCTTTGCTCACTCTCCCTGCTGTCTCTGCACAATCTCATCCATGCCCATAGCTTTGATTACCATCAGTAGCTGGTGACTTCTAAACCAAAAGCTCCAGTCTAGAACTCTCCTTTTGAGTACCAGACACGTATGTTCAACTGCCTACCGAGTATCCTCTTTTTGATACCCCACAGTCTTCTTAAATTTAAAAGGCCAAGATCAAACATGTATCCTCACCCACATCCCAACCCTACTCTGCTCTTCCACTGTCTCATGATCCATCAGCTATCTAATGTCCAAACCAGAAACCTAAGCGTTATCCTTGACCCCTTCTCCTCTCTCACTCTGCTCGTCCCATTAATCAAATTGTTTCAATGCCACTTCCTAAACTGTTCTTAAATTCATCATTTTTTTCTGCTGCCACTTCCCAATTTTGTGCTAGTATCATTTCTCGCCTGAATTACAGCAAGAGCCTAAATCAGGGGTTGGAAAACTACAGTCTGCAAGTCCAATTTGGCTCATCACTATTTTTCTTAATCAAATTTTATTAGAACACAGCTATACCCATTTGTTTACAGATGGGCTATACCTATTTTTGAGCTGTAATGACAGAATAGTGATGAGAGAGACCATTCAGTCTGCAAAGCTGAAAATACTTACTATCTGGGTCCTTTAAAGACAAAATATGCCAGACTCAATGATATCCCCATCTTCTGTCTTACCTCCCTCCAACTCGTTCTTCAAACTATAACCAGAGTGATCTTTTTAAAATTAATCCACAAATGTCCCTAATTAATCTACAAAGTCAAGGAAATCTGGATTAAAATATAATAGGATTTTTATGGTAACTTAACGAATTGATTCTAAAATTTGTCTGGAAATGAAATGTCTGAAAACAGCCAAAAAAATTTTGAAAAATAAAGAAACTAAGTGAAGATTTGTCCACCAAGGTATCAAAACATACTATAAAGCTCTAATAAAGTTCTGGTGCAACAAAAGAGAAAGAGGCCGGGCGCAGTGGCTCACGCCTGTAATCCCAGCACTTTCGGAGGCTGAGACAGATGGATTATGAGGTCGGGAGTTCAAGACCAGCCTGGCCAAGATGGTGAAACCCCATCTCTACTAAAAATACAAAAATTAGCTGTGCGTGGTGGTGGGCATCTATAATCCCAGCTACTTGGGAGGCTGAGGCAGAGAATTGCTTGATGCTTGAACCCAGGAGGAGGAGGTTGCACTGAGCCGAGATCGCACCACTGCACTCCAGCCTGGAAGACAGAGTGATACTCCGTCTCAAAAAAAACAGAGAAAGATACCAATGAAATATACTAGGGTGTCAAAAAATGGACCCTTGTGTACAAGAGAATTTAAAATTTAAGATATGACAAAGAATGGCCTATTCAATAAAGACAGTTGAGCCATTATCCATCTATTTGAACAAATAATAAATGTGGATCCCATCCTCATACCACAATAAATTCTAAATGGATCAAACAAAGTAAATACAAAAAATAAAAGTCCAGTGTTGGCAGAAATTAGAGAATATATTTTTCATTTTATTACGTATGTATGTATTTATTTATTTTGAGATAGGATCTCACTCTGTCACACAGGCTAAAGTGCAGTGATGTGATCTCAGCTCACCGCAAGTGCGCCTCCGCGGTTCAAAGGATTCTGCTGCCTCAGCCTCCCGAGTAGCTGGGATTACAGATGTGCGCCACCATCAGCTAATTTTTACATTTTTAGTAGAGACAGGGTTTCACCATGTTGGCCAGACTAGTCTTGAACTCCTAACCTAAGGTGATCCACCCACCTCGGCCTCCCAAAGTGCTGGGAGCCACCACACCCGGCCTGTTGTTAATAATGAGATTTTCCCTTCAGATTTCCCCTTCCCAGATCCCGTTGTCTCAGACTGATGGGATTTTCTCCACAGCCTCTTGACTGGCTCACCAATTGTTGTGCTGGACCCCTATTCACTAGGGATGGCACCAGGTTCAAGAGGCTGAAGGGACCTGGAGACAGCAGATGACACATAGGGTTTTGCTAGGCGGAACTTATATGCAGGGACAGTCCAGGGGTGGTGGGCTGGACAGGAGAACCGCCTGTAATTTTTTTTCTTAGTATGCAGAAATTTTTTATGTTTTTGTTGTCAGTTTTATCCTTTTTTTCCCTTACTGGACTTTTGTCTTCCTTAAGGATTTTTCTGCTTCAAAGATTTAAATAAGCCAGGCGCGGTGGCTCACGTCTGTAATCCCAGCACTTTGGGAGGCCGAGGCGGGCGGATCACGAGGTCAGGAGATCGAGACCATCCTGGCTAACACTTTCGTGAAACCCCATCTCTACTAAAAATACAAAAAATTAGCCAGGCGCAGTGGCGGGCGCCTGTAATCCCAGCTACTCAGGAGGCTGAGGCAGGAGAATGGCATGAACCCGGGAGGTGGAGCTTGCAGTGAACCGAGATACTGCCACTGCAGTCCGGCCTGGGCAGAAGAGCGAGACTCCATCTCAAAAAAAAAAAAAACAAAGATTTAAATATTAGGTTCGAGACCCGCCTGGCCAACATGGAGAAACCCTGTCTCTACTAAAAATACAAAGATTAGCCGGGCGTGGTGGCACCCGCCCATAGTCCCAGCTACTTGGAGGCTGAGGCAGGAGAATGGCTGGAACCGGGGAAGCTAAGGTTGCAATAAGCCGAGATCACACAGCTGCACTCCAGTCTGGATGAAGGAGTGAGACTCTGTCTCACAAAAAAAAAAAAAAAAGCCGTAACAAAAAAAAAAAATAGAAAAATAGGCAAATTATATATTTATTTGTGTATTTATGAATACATAAATTATGTATTCATAAATACATAGGCCGGGCGCAGTGGCTTACGCCTGTAATCCCAGCACTTTGGGAGTCCAAGGCGGGTGGACCACATGAGGTCAGGAGCTTGAGAACAGCCTCGCTAACATGGAGAATCCCCGTATCTACTAAAAATACAAAAATTAGCTGGGCATGGTGGCGCATGCCTGTAATCCCAGCTACTCGGGAGGCTGAGGCAGGAGAATTGCTTGAACCCGGGAGGCAGAGGTTGCAGTGAGCCAAGATTATGCCACTACACTCCAGCCTGGGCGACAGAGGGAGACTCCATCTCAAAAAAAAAAGAAAGAAAAGAAAATGCACATTATAATATGATATAATTATTTGCCTCTGGAAAAAGTTTTAAAAGATTCTGGCCAGGCGCGGTGGCTCACGCCTATAATCTCAGCACTTTGGGAGGCCGAGGTGGGCGGATCACGAGGTCAGGAGATCGAGACCATCCTGGCTAACAAGATGAAACGCATCTCTACTAAAAATACAAAAATTAGCCAGGCGTGGTCGTGGGCACCTGTAGTCCCAGCTACTTGGGAGGCTGAGGCAGGAGAATGGCGTGAATCCAGGAGGTGCAGCTTGCAGTGAGCCAAGATTGCACCACTGCACTCCAGCCTGGGCGACACAGCGAGACTCCATCTCAAAAAAAAAAAAAAAAATTATATCCAGCGTTGGCAAAGGTATGGGGAAATACTGTCAGACATTACGGATGGGGTATAACCTAATCCAATCATTTTCAGGGGGAAATTTGCAGGATCTACTATAATTTAGTATGTGTATATTCTTCAAATCAGATATTCCATTGTGAGGTATCCACCCTAGAGAAATACTTCCAGATATGCAGACAGGTAGGTATAAGGATATTCAGTGAAACATTGATTATAACAGTAAAAAATTACAAACAACCTAAATTAAAGTACATATGGGCTGGGCCAGGCACAGTGGCTCACGCCTGTGATCCCAGCACTTTGGGAGGCCGAGGCGGGCAGATCACTTGAGGTCAGGAGTTTGAGACCAGCCTGGCCAACATGATGAAACCCTGTCTCTACTAAAAATAAAAAAATGGGCCAGGTGTGGTGGTACATGCCTGTAATCCCAGCTACTTGGGAGGCTGAGGCAGGAGAATCACTTGAACCCAGCGGCGGGGACAGGAGGAGGTTGCAGTGAGCCAAGATCGTGCCACTGCTCTCCAGCCTGGGCGACAGAGCAAGACTTCATCTCAAAAAAAAAAAAAAAAGTACATATGGAATATTATGTAGCAGTGGTTTAGGGGTGAGCTCCATGGCTCACGCCTATAATCCCAACACTCTGGGAGGCCAAGGTGGGTAGATTGAGCTCAAGAGTTCAAGATGAGCCTGAGCAACATGGCGAAACCGTGTCTCTACACAAAATGCAAAAATTGGCCGGGTGTTTTGGTGCGCACCTGTAGTCCAAGCTACAGGTGCAGGAGGATGGCTTGAGCCAAGGAGGTCAAAGCTGCAGTGAGCCACTATTGTGCCACTGCACTCCAGCCTGGGCAACAAAGCAAGGATCCTGACTCTACACATTTTGTTTTTTTTGAGACAGAGTCTCGCTCTGTCAACCAGGCTGGAGTACAGTGGTTCGATCTTGGCTCACTCCAACCTCCGCCTCCTGGGTTCAAGTGATTCTCCTGCCTCAGCCTCCCGAGTAGCTGGGACTACACGTGCATGCCACCACACCCAGGTAATTTTTTGTATTTTTAGTAGAGATGGGGTTTCACCATGTTGGCCAGGATGGTCTCGGTCTCCTGACCTCATGATCCACCCGCCTCGGCCTCCCAAAGTGCTGGGATTACAGGCGTGAGCCATCACGCCCAGCCTCTAAAAAAAATTTTTTTTTTTTTTTTTGAGACGGAGTCTCACTGTTGCCCAGGCTGGAGCGCAGTGGCGCGATCTCTGCTCACTGCAAGCTCCGCCTCCCGGGTTCACGCCATTCTCCTGCCTCAGCCTCCCGAGTAGCTGGGACTATAGGCACCCGCCACCACGCCCGGCTAATTTTTTGTATTTTCAGTAGAGACGGGGTTTCACCATGTTAGCCAGGATGGTCTCGATCTCCTGACCTCGTGATCCGCCCGCCTCGGCCTCCCAAAGTTCCTGGGATTACAGGCATGATCCACTGCGCCCAGCCTAAAAAAATTTTTAATAAAAAAAAATATATATGTGTCAACTGAGAAATACTATTCAGCAGTTAAAAAATAAGAAGAAAAGGCCGGGCGCGGTGGCTCACGCCTGTAATCCCAGCACTTTGGGAGGCCGAGGCGGGCGGATCATGAGGTCAGGAGATCGAGACCATCCCGGCTAAAACGGTGAAACCCCGTCTCTACTAAAAAATACAAAAAATTAGCCGGGCGTAGTGGCGGGCGCCTGTAGTCCCAGCTACTTGGGAGGCTGAGGCAGGAGAATGGCGTGAACCCGGGAGGCGGAGCTTGCAGTGAGCCGAGATCCCGCCACTGCACTCCAGCCTGGGCGACAGAGCGAGACTCCGTCTCAAAAAAAAACAAGAAGAAGAAGAATGAGGCCAGGCATGGGTGGATCACACCTGTAATCACAGCACTTTGGGAGGCCAAGGCAGGAGGATCGCTTGAGCCCAGGAGTTTGATACCAGCCTGGGCAACAAAGGGAGACCCCGTCCCTACAAAAATGTAAAAATTATCAGCCTGGGCAACATAGGAAGATCCCATCTTTACAAAAAAATTTAAAAATTAGCCAGGCATGGTGGTGCATGACTGTAGTCCCAACTCCTTGGGAACCTGAGGTAGGAGGATTACTTGAGCCCAGAAGGATGAGGCTACAGGAAGCTGTGATCCTGCCATTGCACACTCCAGCCTGGGTAACAGAGCAAGACCCTGTTTCAAATTTAAAAAAATAAATAAAAAGAATGTACTATTAACATATACAACATAAATAATAAATCTCAAAAACATTTATGTTAAACAAAAGACAGTATACGAACTATATCCCATCTGACTACATTACTAAGAAATCCAAATAAAGGCAATTGTGGGAGAGGGGAGTGGACTAGAAAGCGGTAAAAGGGAACTTTCTGAGAGAACAGAAATGCTCTGTATCTTATTTTGGATGCTGGTGACATGGGTACATACAATTGCTAAAACTCACTAAATAGGCCAGGCGTGGTGGCTCATGCCTGTAATCCCAGCACTTTGGGAGGCTAAGGCAGGTGGATCACGAGGTCAGGAGTTCGAGACCAGCCTGACCAACATGGTGAAACCCCGTCTCTACTAAAAATACAAAAAAACTGGCCAGGCGTGGTGGAGGACACCTGTAATCCCAGCTACTCCGGAGGCTGAGGCAGGAGAATAGCTTGGACCTGGGAGGCGGAGGTTGCAGTGAGCTGAGATTGCCCTACTGCACTCCAGCCCAGGCAACAGAGCGAGACTCCATCTCATAAAAAAAAACAAAAAAACAAAAAACAAAAAACAACAACAAAAAAAAAACCCTGACTGAATTGATCTTAAGATGTTTGTATGTTCTGAGACGAAGTTTTGCTCGTTGCCCAGGCTGGAGCACAATGGCGCAATCTCGGTTCACTGCAACCTCCGCCTCCCAGGTTCAAGCAATTCTCCTGCTTCAGCCTCCTGAGTAGCTGGGATTACAGACGCCCACCACCATGCCCGGCTAATTTTTGTATATTTAGTAGAGACGGGGTTTCACCATGTTGGTCAGGCTGGTCTTGAACTTCTGACCTCAGGTGATACACTCGCCTCGGCCTCCCAAAGTGCTGGGATTACAGGATTGAGCCACTGCGCCCAGCGCAAGATCTTTGTATGTTATGCTATGTTAATTAAAATATGTATATTTTTACGGAAGTCTTGTCATGTGACGCCTCCACTTAAAACCCTTTAAATGATTATTTGTCACCCTAAAATAAAGTCCAAATTCCTTAGCATCACTCAAAAGTCTGTTACAATCTTATCATTCTCTCTCCCTAAACCACTCTCCTCCTTAAAGTGCCAGCCTAGCAGTTCTAAAGGTACGGTTCAGGAACTCCCCAGGGTCCCCAAGACCTTTCAGGGGGTCTAGGAAGTCAAAATTATTTTTAAAATACTACTAAGATACTGTTTACCTTTTTGCTCTTTTTCTCTCACAATTGTACAGTGGATTGTCCTGGAAGCTCCATAACATGTGAGAATATGATATTATTAAATGCATCAACAACTGTAATATCTATATAACTTAGTCATGGATATTGTCCAAATTACCAATTCATGATGTGACAAAAATCATGCATAGATAAAAGATCTATTCAAGGTGCAACAAAGAGACCAGTTAATTTTATTTCATTTTATTTTTTATTGAGACAGAGTCTTGCTCTGTCACCCAGGGTGGAGTTCAGTGGCATGATGTTGGCTCACTGCAGGCTCCACTTCCCGGGTTCAAGCGATTCTCCTGCCTCAGCCTCCTGAGTAGCTGGGATTACAGGTGCGCACCACCACACCCGGCTAATTTTTTGTATTTTTAGTAGAGACAGAATTTCACCATGTTGACCAAGCTGGTCTTGAATTCCTGACCTCAGATGATCCACCCACCTCAGCCTCCCAAAGTGCTGGGATTACAGGCAGGAGCCACCATGCCTGGCCAATAATATATATGTTTTAATATTTGAAGAAATTTATTCTGAGTCAAATATGAGTAACCATGGCCCTTCAGGAGGTCCTGAAAACATGTACCCAAGGTGGTCGGGTGCAGCTTGGTTTTATACATTTTAGGGAGGCATGAGATCAAATACAATCAAATATATTTAAGAAAAGTCTCAAAATTTTGAAGACTGTAAAGGGGTCCAGGGACTGAGCACAGTGGCTCATACTCATAATCCCAGCCTTTAGGAGGACAAGGAAGAAGGATTACTTGAGGCCAGGAGTTCAAGACCAGACTGGGCAACATAGTGAGACCCCGTTTCCACAAAAAATACAAAAAAAGAAAAAGGAGAAAAAAGAAAAGAAAAAGGGGTCCTGAGAGCAAACTCCTTTTCTCTAGCCATACCAAATTATTTTCAGTTCCTGAACAACATTATGTGATTTTTGCCTCCCACCGTGTACATATGCTTTTCTCTGCTTTGCACACACACTCTCCTCAATGTGCCGGCTAACTCATACTCAACATTCAGGTCTTGGTTTAAACATCACTTCCTCCACAAAGCCTTCCTTGATTGTTCACACTGGACTGGGTGCCTTTCCCATGTATTCCCATAGCAAGGACAGTCCCAACTTAACAATGGTTCACCTTACAATTTTTTGACTTTATTTTTTAATTTTATTTATTTTACTTTTTGAGATGGAGTCTCGCTCTGTCACCAGACTGGAGTGCAGTGGCACAATCTTGGCTTACTGCAACCTCTGACTCCCTGGTTCAAGCGATTCTCCTGCCTCAGCCTCCCAAGTAGCTGGGATTACAGGCACTCGCCACCATGCCCAGCTAATTTTTGTATTTTTAGTAGAGACGGGGTTTCACCATGTTGTCCAGGAGGGTCTCGATCGCCTGACCTCGTGATCCGCCCACCTCGGCCTTGCAAAGTGCTGGGATTAAGGCGTGAGCCACCACACCCCACCTTAATTTTTCGACTTTATGATGGTGTAAAAGAGATACACATTCAGGCTGGGCGTGGTGGCTCAAGCCTGTAATCCCAGCACTTTGGGAGGCCGAGGCAGATGGATCACTTGAGGTCAGGAGTTAGAGACCAGCCTGGCCAACATGGTGAAACCCTGTCTCTACTAAAAATACAAAAATTAGCGGGGCATGGTGGTGCACGCCTGTAATCCCAGCTACTCGGGAGGCTGAGGCAGAAGAATTGCTTGAGCCCAAGGAGATGGAGGTTGCAGTGAGCCGAGATCGCACCACTGCACTCCAGCCTGGGGGACAAGAGTGAAACTCCGTCTCAAAAAAAAAAAAAAAAAAAGAGAGATACGCATTCAGGTCAGGCACGGTGGCTCATTGGAGGCCGAGGTGAGCGGATCACCTGAGGTCAGGAGTTCGAGACCAGCCTGGCCAACACAGTAAAACCCCGTCTCTACTAAAACTACAAAAATTAGCTGGGTGTGGTGGTGCATGCTTGTGGTCCCAGCTACTCGGGAGACAGGCAGAAGAATCACTTGAGCCCAGGAGGTGGAGGTCACAGTAAGCAGAGATCACGCCACTGCACTCCACCCTGGGTGACAGAGTAAGACCTTGTCTCAAAAAAAAATATGAGATACACATTCAGTAGAAATTGTACTTCAAGTGCTCATACATGTAAGCCATTATCCTCAGTGAAATAACTGAGGAATAGAAAGTCAAGGAGGTTGCAGTGAGCTGAGATCAGCCATTGCACTCCAGCCTGGGCGACAGAGCAATACTCCGTCTCAGTAAATAAAAAAAAAGTCAAATACCACATATTCTCACTGATAAGTGGGAGCTACACAACGTGTGCACATATAGAGTGAACTAACAGACACTGGAGAATATAAAAGGTGGGAAGGTGGGAGTGGGGTGAGGGTTGAAAAATTACGTATTGGGTACAGTGTTCACTACTAGGGTAATGGGTATACTAAAAGCCCAGATTTCACCACGATGCAATGTATGCACATAAGAAATCTGCACTTCTGGCTGGGCGTGGTGGCTCACGCCTATAATCCCAGCACTTTGGGAGGCCAAGGCAGGCGAATTACCTGAGGTCGGGAGTTTGAGACCAGCATGACTAACGTGGAGAAACCCAGTCTCTACTAAAAATACAAAATTAGCCGGGTGTAATGGCATTTGCCTGTACTCCCAGCTACTTGGGAGGCTAAGGCAGGAGAATCGCTTGAACCTGGGAGGCAGAGGTTGCGGTGAGCCAAGATCGCGCCATTGCACTCCAGCCTGGGCAACAAGAGCTAGACTCTGTCTCAAAAAAAAAAAAAAAAAAAAAAAATTTTGCCAGGATTGGTGGTGGGCGCCTGTAATCCCAGCTACTTGGGAGGCTGAGGCAGGACAATTGCTTGAACCCGAAAGGCAGAGGTTGCAGTGAGCCAAGATTGTGCCACTGTACTCCACCCTGGGTGACAGAGTAAGACTCCTTCTCAAAAAATAAAAATAAGGCTGGGCGGCCGGGCACAGTGGCTCACGCCTGTAAACCCAGCACTTTGGGAGGCCGAGGCGGAAGGATCACGAGGTCAAGAGATCAAGACCATACTGGCCAACATGGTGAAACCCCATCTCTACTAAAAATACAAAAATTAGCTGGGCATAGTGGCACACGCCTGTAGTCCCAGCTACTCAGGAGGCTGAGGCACGAGAATCACTTAAACCTGGGAGGCAGAGGTTGCAGTAAGCCAAGATCACGCCACTGCACTCTAGCCTAGTGACAGAGCGAAACTCTGCCTCAATCAATCAATCAATCAATAAAAAATAAGGCTGGGCGTGGTGGCTCATGCCTGCAATCCCAGCACTTTGGGAGGCCGAGGTGGGTGGATCACCTGAAGTCAGGAGTTCGAGACCAGCCTGGCCAAAATGGTAAAACCTCATCTCTACTAAAAATACAAAAATTAGCCGGGTGTGGTGGCAGACGCCTGTAATCCTAGCTACTCAGGAGGCTGAGGCAGGAGAATCACTTGAACCCAGGAGGCAGAGGTTGCAGTGAGCCGAGATCAAGCCATTGCACTGCAGCCTGGGCAACAGGAGCGAAATCCCATCTCAATAAATAAACAAACAAACAGGCTTTGTGTTAGATGATTTTTCCCAACTGTAAGCTAGTGTGTTCTGAGCACATTTACGGTAGGTAGATGGCCAGGCACGGTGGCTCACACCTGTAATCCTAGCACTTTGGGAGGCCAAGGCGGGCGGATCACAAGGTCAGGAGTTCAAGACCAGCCTGGCCAATATAGTGAAACCCTGTCTCTACTAAAAATACAAAAATTAGCCAGGCGTGATGGCAGGCACCTGTAGTCCCAGCTACTCGGGAGGCTGAGGTAGGAGAATCGCTTGAACCCGGGAAACGGAGGTTGCAGTGAGCCGAGGTCACGCCACTGCACTCCAGCCTGGGCGATAGAGCAAGACTCTGACTCAAAAAAAGGTAGGTAGATGACCTTTGGCAAGTTATGTGTATTAAGTACATTTTCAACTTATGAGTGGTATATCAGCACATCACCCCATTGTAAGTTGAGGAGCATCTGTACTCTATCCTAACCTTTATCATAAACCCATCTAGTGACTGCTTATTTACATGTCTATATTACCCACTAAATTTTCTGTGTACTGACATCGGGTTTTGTTCACAGCTATATTCCCCAGGGGCTAAGCACTGTCTGGCACATAAAAGCATTCATGAGTATTTGTTGATAGAATAGGTGAATGTAATCCTCTTTTTTTCTTTTGCTTGTTGTTGTTTTTAATAGACGGAGTGTTGTTCTGTTGCCCAGGCTGGAGTGCAGTGGCACAATCAGTGCTCACTGTAGCCTCAAACTCCTGGGCTCAAGCAAGCCTCCTACCTCCACCTTCTGAGTAGGTGGGGCCACAGGCCTGTGCTACCTGCTACCACTCCCAGCAGAATAAGTGAATGTAATATTCATCACAACAAATGAAGTATTATTTTTATGAGAACACTGAAACTCACTGAAATGATCTGTTCAAACAGATCAATCTAGAATCTTACTCTTTCATCTAGAAAGAGTAAGCTGACAATTGTACAACTGCACCCCAAATTGTGTTTGTTTGTTTCTTTCCTGAGACAGGGTCTCACTCTGTTGCTCTGGCTGGAGGGCAGTGGCAGGATCATGGCTCATTGCAGTCTCGACCTCCCAGGGCTCAGGTGATCCTCCCACCTCAGCCTTCCAAGTAGCTGGGACTACAGGGGCACCACCACGCAGGGGTAACTCTTTGTATTTTTGGGTAGAGACTGGGTTTTGCCATGTTACGCAGGCTGGTCTTGAACTCCTGGGCTCAAGCAATCCGCCTGCCTCAGCCTCCCACAATGCTGGGATTACAGCCATGAACCACCGGGGCCCAAATGCACTCCAAGTTTTTTACCCCCAGAACTCTCACTTCTTGGTGGGGGTTTGCGGGAAGCTTACCTGGGAACTAATGGCATACTTCAGGTAGGACAAGATGAGAGGATTGGGGGATGGTCCAATCATGGCCTGCTCTAGTAACGCATCTGCAAGAGGAATAGCAAAACACAACTGAGTGATTACAACTTCTCTGGGTTTATCCCTCCCATCTTTCTTTCCCAGTTCACTTGAGACCTGCCAGGTTGAGAATATCCCAGGTGGCTCCTTTAGGAAAGAATTTCTTCATGTTGATTGCCCATTGGTAGTCACTCCAGCGCTCCTTCCAGGCTTGCAAAATGGCTTGCTTCAGGTTGACCACCTTCATTATTTCACTCTGAGCAGGTGGCAGCGGTGGCGGCCAGCTTTGAGGTGAAAGAAATGGAGCTAAAGAAAAGGACATGAGGTTCTAAGGAGAACCGGGGAAGGCAGAATTAAATAGAAAGGAGAAGATGCGGGAAGATTTAAGCGAGACAGAGGAATTTGAAAGAAAAAGAGCTAAAGGGATAAAGTAAGATCCTGTCAGACTCTCTCCTCCTGAACCGCCCTTCCTTAAACTGGGGCACTAAGAAAGTATCGGCCGAGCGCAGTGGCTCGCACCTGTAATCCCAGCACTTCGGGAGGCAGAGGCGGGCGAATCACCGGAGGTCAGGAGTTCGAGACTAGCCTGACCAACATGGAGAAACCTCGTCTCCACTAAAAATACAAAATTAGCCGGGCTTGGTGGTGCATGCCTGTAATCCCAGCTACTCGGGAGGCTGAGGCAGTAGAATCGCTTGAACCCGGGAGGCGGAGGTTGTTGGGGTGAGCCGAGATCGCACCATTGCACTCCAGCCTGGGCAACAAGAGCAAAACTCCGTCTCTCAAATAAATGAATAAAGAAGTATCAAAGGGACTAATAGATTAAACAGGGCATCAAGGAGTTAAGGCAGTCCTGGTTGCCTAATTACGCCCTTAGCTCTAAAAGCGTCCCTTGGCCACCACCATTCCAAGTCCAGATTTGCTCCCTCATTTCCTCCACCTTCTCCAGCCCTGTAACTATACCTCCCAATTTCCTTTTCATCCACCACCTCCCCAAATTTAAGCCTACCGCACAATCCAGTTCTAGGTGGTAGGCATCGCCATTTTGGCACTTGTCAAGAAGCTCACTTTCTATTGGCTGGGAGTAACAAACGCCAACCAATAGAAATGCAGCAAGGAACGCCCCGCTGTCTTCTGGGAATGGTAGTTCCTTGGACTGAAACCGTATTTGTCTGCGCCGGCGAGGAAACTAAGGGACTCGTCTAGTCGGCCCGCATTGTTCTTCTCCTTTAAGGGAGGACATCCAGGAGCTGAGGCACTACAGAGACTCAGGGACTCGAGGGAGCTCGAAAGGCCGCTCACAACCCGGCGTCGCCCACGACGTCACTGTCGACCGGGCTTCTCCATCATATTCCGACACCCTTTCATTCGTTAGCCCCTAGTTAGTAGGTGCGGCAAGGGTGTGGCGTGGGGGCAAGGGTGTGGCGTTCAGCAATAAGGTCTTTCTCCTTTCCTGGGCTCTTTCTGTTCTCCTAAGCCCCTGGAGCTACCAGAGCTATTCTCATTTCCACAACTATATTCTAAAAGCGACACCGAGGTGCCTTAGTTGCACACATATCACCGTCCCCGAATCTTACAGTCCTATCAGAATCTCCAGGCCCTCCATACAGCTTGGATACAAGGGAAAGTAAAGAGGAAACTAAGGTGAAGGTGATCAAAATCAAAGGAATTCTGAGAAACTGTCACAACTAAGAGGGCTAAGGAGACCTGATGACTAAATGTAATGTGGTTTTCTGAATGCGATCATGGAAGAGAAAAAGAATACTGGGTAAAAACTAAGGAAATCTAAATAAAGGGTGGACTTTAATTAATAATAATGTATCAATATTAGTTCATTAGTTGTTACAAATGCATAATACTAATGCTAAGATGTTAATAAAAAGAGAAATTGGGTGCAGAATATGTGGGGACCCTCTATTACCTTCCATTTTTTTCCTGTAAATTAAAAACTTGTTTTTTTAAGTTTCTTGTTGTTGTTGTTGTTGTTGTTGTTTAAATCTTGCTTATCCCAAAGATCCATATATAAATTATGCCCAGGGCTTTGGCCATAGCCTTTCCTTCCCCCAGTGAGAAACCCGAAAGCAAATGTTACCCACCTCTGGAGGCTCCAATGTCTGAGCCTTCTTATGCATAGCCCTCATCCCTCCCCATGCTATGGACTGGTCATCCCTAACATTTACAACCAGGAATAAGAGTAAATTACTCGGGAGGCTGAGAAAGGAGGATCACTTGAGCTCGGGAGTTCAAATCCAGCCTGGGCAACATAATGAGACTCTCAGCTCTACCAAAATACATAAATAAATAAACATGGAGGCCTTTAGCCAGGGCCCAATATCCTAGTTCACAAGTTCAAGCTCAATCTGTATTCCTCAACAAAGATTCTTTTTTTTTTTTTTTTTGAGATGGAGGCTTGCTCTGTTGCCCAGGCTGGAGTGCAATGGCGCAGTCTCAGCTCACTGCAACCTCTGCCTCCCAGGTTTAAGCAATTCTCCTGCCTCAGCCTCCCAAGTAGCTGGGATTACAGGCGTGTGCCACCACATCCGACTAATTTTTGTATTTTTAGTAGAGACAGGGTTTCGCCATGTCGGCCAGGGTGGTCTCAAAATCCTGACCTCAGCCACCCACCTTGGCCTCCCAGAGTGCTAGGACTGTAGGCATGAGCCACCGTGCCTAGCCTCCAACAACCATTCTTTGCTCACCCTTTGAGTGGCAAAATCAGTCCTCGGGAGGATAAATCTGGGAGAGCAGCCCACTTAAGGCTCTGGAAGCAAAACTGTGGCCATTTGGGCAGAGAATTACAGCGCCCTGGGTGTCTGGAGAATGGTCTAAACAGGGAGTCAAGAACTTCTGTTCCAAAGGGGAGAGTGTGGCTGAAGGAGGGTCAGATCATGTCCTCCTGCGGTTGGTACTGCCTATGGCCTTTCTTCCTCCCCATACATTCAATCCACACCCCTCTCTTAGGCTCCCTTTGTGCCTGCCCAAGTGACACCATTGGGGAATAGTGTGTATACAAAACAGCTGCCAAATATATGTTGCCAAAGCTTCTAAAGCAGGAAGGAGGGAAATACGGATTCCTCACCTCACCTTCCAGATGACCCCCGGCCACTCCACTCATACTTGAGACTGCCACAAACCCTGCTTCTCCTCAGTCTCTCACATATCTGACTTCCCCTGTTCTCCCAGGCCCCTCACTCTACCTTTGCCTGCTCCCCTGCTGTCATTCTGTGCCTGTAGCCACAGCCTAAGGCCCTCCACCTGGAGCCATTCCTGGATCATCCTGGAGCCCCTGTCGCATACCTCAGAGCCCAAACTGCCTCTCTTGGAGAGAAGCTGTCAACTGTGTGTCCGGTCCACACAGGACTGGGGACTATTTGGGCCCTGAGGATGGTGATATTTTGAGCTCAAACCATTCCCTCTGGCAGGGAGCCTGGCAGATTTCTAGGGAGGTGCCTCCTCCCCACTTCGCAGTGACAGGGAGGCGGCTTTTGTAGTCAGGCCATCTGCCTTCTCTGTCTCCCCACCTCCCACCAGCAGCCCTTTCTCTAGGCTTGGCAAGGTTTCCCCAAAGGCTGGACTCCTATGTACAAAGGCTCCCTTAGCTCTGGGCAAGGACCATTTTTAGTTTATCCACTTTGACCTCCCTGCCTCTCTAGTCTGTAAACATCAGAGGCAGCCTTTCCTATATCACCTCTTCCTTCCACACCACAATATCTTCCTAGGGACCCCCTTGGGCTCTCTGGCTCACTGCAAGCACAGGACCGGGACCCCATGATAATCCTCCAAAGGGTGAAGAGAGATGCTAACATTTCCTTTGGGTGTACAAAAAAACAGCCCCCCAACCGGGCGCGGTGGCTCACACCTCTAATCCCTGCACTTTGGGAAGCCAAGGCAGGCAGATCACCTGGGGTTAGGAGTTCGAGACCAGCCTGACCAACATGGAGAAACCCCATCTCTACTAAAAAACAAAATTAGCCGGGCATGGTGGCGCATGCCTGTAATCCCAGCTGCTCGGGAGATGGAGGTAGGAGAATTGCTTGAACCCAGGAGGCGAAGGTTGCGGTAAGCTGAGATTGCACCATTGCACTCCAGCCTGGGCAACAAGAGCGAAACTTCGTCTCAAAAAAAAAAAAAAAAGCCCTCCAGCCCATCTCAAAGCCCCGTCCTACTTACCCCACTTTCTTTTGCTGTTCATTTCCTCTCAACAGGGACAGGGGCCGAACTCCCATCTCTGCCCTCCTAGTCCTGAGCCCCAACCTCTTTCTTCATCTTGTTGCCTACCTTGGCTAGAGAGAGAAGAGGGGAAGGTGGAAGTCAACCAGTCAGAGTGATATGGCAACCCTGGAGAAGTGTCAGAAAAGCAGCTAGGCCAGAGTGGGGTAAGAGGTGGCAAGGAACAGGGTTCTGGGTACCCAAAGGGAAGGGAACATTCCTTATCTATCTAGGCTAGAAAACAGTATAAAGAAAAGTGGCAAGAGTCCAGACCCAAAAACCCAGAAACACTGAAATCGTTGGTAAAGCATACAAGGCACAGAGGGTGTCAGCTTCCCTTCTCTCCATAGGGAAACTGAGTCATTCCTTTTCCCTAAGTGGAACATTTTCCTCTGGAAGCTTGCCTGGGTCCCCCCACTATGGGCAGCAGGTGGATGGGAAAAGAAAGACAGTCACTCCCAAACACTTATACACAGCTGGCTCCAAACCAGTCTCCTCCTCATACCAGTCACCAAATCAAAATCCCTGCTTTCTGTCTATCTGGGGGAGGGAATGATGGGAAAGAGGTCTGCAAGGTGGCTGCACCTCAGGGACTCAGGGACTACCCCTGGATCCCCCACAGTTGCCTGTCTCTGTCTTCCCACTGCCCCAGGAGAGTGAAAGGCAGAATTTGAATCAACTCTTGGAATAGCTTCCCCTCTAACACCCTGGAGGATGCCTTCCCTCTCCATACTCCCAGCACAAAGAGAAGTGCTGTGATCCTGAGGCCGACAGTGGCTGGGAAGGGAGGGCAGCCTGCCATTTCCTTTGTATGGCCCCTCCCTCCAGGCCCTGAGAGCTGCTCTGCTTTATACTTTTGGCTTCCATATCATACTACCCTATCCCCTCCTTTAACTGGAGTGGGAGAACTGCGGAAAGGTAAGCCCCAAACTCTGATGGTAAAGGAGACTTCCCTGCTCCCCCTCCTCTCCTCTCTCCTGCTGGCAAAGATAGGATGAGAAGACTCTAAGGGAAAGTGAAACCAGAAGCTGGGAGCATTTGGGGAATCTAATACTTGGCACATATTAAATGCTTAAAAAAAAAAAGTGTCAGGCTGGGTGCGGTGGCTCACGCCTGTAATTCCAGCACTTTGGGAGGCCGAGGCAGGCGGATCATGAGGTCAGGAGATCGAGACCATCCTGGTTAACACAGTGAAAGCCCGTCTCTACTAAAAATACAAAAATTAGCCAGGCATTGTGGTGGGTGCCTGTAGTCCCCGCTACTCGGGAGGCTTAGGCAGGAGAATGGTGTTAACCCGGGAGGCAAGCTTTCAGTGAGCCAAGATCACACCACTGCACTCCAGCCTGGGTGACAGAGCAAGACTCCATCAGGAAAAAACAAACAAACAAAAAAAAAAAACAGTGTCAGATTAATGAATAAAATTAGGAGAAACCCTGAAAGACAGCCTGGAAAAGGTGTCAGCTTCCTTTTCCATTTCTCACCTCAGCTACCAAAAGCAAGACTCAGCCAGGCCTGGTCCCTTCCCTGGCTCCCTCTTTTGTGACCCATAGCAATAGCGCCTGATGGGACAAAGGGGAGAATTAAGTGGCCACTTTCTCTTACCAGGTAATTGCTAATTTGCCAGTCTCTCATCTCCTGCATCAGCCTCCCAAGTAGCCAGAACTGAAGGTCTGCACCACAACACCCAGATAATTTGTGGGTTTTTGTTTTTGGTTTTTTTTTTTTTTGAGATGGAGGTCTCACTATGTTGCCCAGGATGGTCTTGAACTCATGACCTGAAGAGATCCTCCCACCTCAGCCTCCCAAAATACTGGTGATGTCAGTCAGCCACCTTGCCCAGCCTGCTCTCCAACTTTCTTTCCTCCATTTGCACCACTCTTTCTGATTGGGAAACCCCTAGGAGGGAGAAACATCTGAGCTTTGAGTTCTCTTGGCTGGTAGTACCTCAGTTTCCTCTGCTGTCTTTCCAGAGCACCCCCAATAAGTTCAGCTCTGTCTGCAGAGTCTAGAGGTATATGCTGGACATGTCATCACTTGCTGACCTAGGGTCCAAGAGGTCAAGATGAGATAGAGGAAGGGATTTACTGAGGCCCAGGCCACAGAGCTTGTTCCATGGTGGCTGGTAGAGGGGCCTATCTCCTGTTTCCCCAAACTGCTAGAGATGTGTAAGGCTTTTGAGCAGGGGTAGAGGATGCTGTGTGGAGTTTTAGCTGCCAGACTTTGAAAAAAACCTCTTCAGAAAGATATCTGGATACCTTGGTTCCTAGGGGTCGTATCCTCAAGAAATCTTAGGGTGCTTCCTAGCAACAGTCTGGAAGGAAGGGAGGGAGAGATGGAGGGAGAGAGGGAGGGGCCTAGGCATGGCTGTTCTGATGGGAGCCCAGAGAACAGGCTGTTCCTGCTACCTCCTTAGCAACGGAAATCTCAGCTGGAGGGGCCATCAGACATATCCTCTTGGAGGGTCTATCCAGCCTTATTCATGCCACCCCTACCCTCCTCATAGATTCGGGGAATGCTCTGAAGCAGAGGTGGGGAATGGGAGGGGACAGCCCTGGTGGTGGTGGGGGGTTTCATGACAAGGACGGAAAAGGAGCTGAGGATGAACTCAATCTGAGAAGAGCTAGCAGCTTCAAGAAATGGGTGGGCAGGGTGAGTGGGGTGGGAGGACAGATGAGGCAACACAGGGACAGTGGCTATACGCCCAGACACGGGCTGGATCCTGGCACCTGGGGAGAGGCCTGCTTTGAAAGCAGTGTGCCCTTCACTTTGCCCTGCCCAGACCTGTCACCAGTCCATACTGGGAGCCCAAGAAAAAGAGAGAGGTAAAAAGAAGATGGGGGTGGCCGGGGACGGTGGTTCATGCCTGTAATCCCAGCACTTTGGGAGGCCAAGGCAGGAGGAGCACTTGAGGCCAGGAGTTCAAGACTAGCCTGGCCAACATGGTGAAACCCCTTCTCTACCAAAAAAACAAAACAAAACAAAGCAAAAAAACAAAAATTAGCTGGGCATGCTAGCACATGCCTACAATCCCCGCTACTTGGGAGGCTAGGACATGAAAATCCCTTGAACCCAGGAGACGGAGGTTGCAGTGAGCCAAGATTGTGCCACTGCACTCCAGCCTGGGCAAAAGAGCAAGACCCTGTCTCAAATAATAATAATAATAATAAATTTTAAGAAGGAGAAGATGGGACTGGTAAACCCTTGTCTTTGAGTGCTCCACTCTGCCCCTCAGGAAAAAAAAAAAGTGGAACAGGAGGCACTTCATTTTCTATGGCTCTGGGTTTAGGATTTCAGAAAGTCGTCACCACCCAACATTATAGGGCCTTGCATCAAAGAGAGATATGGTGGGGAAAGCCAGAATGGAAGAGAGACAAAACCGTAGCACCTTCCTCCTCCCCCTCTGGACACCATCACTCCTGC